>NC_000011.10:13810000-14435000 GCF_000001405.40 Homo sapiens
AGCATTTTAAGCAAGAGAATAACATGTACAATGTCCGCAAGGCAGAGAATCCAAGAGATTTTAAGGAAGAGCAAAGAGCTGAGCAAACTGAAAGGAGAGAGCAGTAGGAGGTGAGGTCAGAGAGGTAACTGGTCTGGATGGGTAGGGCTCTATAAGACATTGGTTCCTACTAACGGTGGGGTAAGAATCCATTGAATGGTTTTCAGCAAAACATTTATGTGAAGGATTTGTTTTTTAACAGGATCACTTTGATGCTTGTGTTGGAAATAGAAAGACCAAGAGCAGAAACATATGGAGGCAGAACTAGTCTATGGAATATTCTGCTAATCATCAGATATATAAAATTGTAAGCAGAGCATTCAGTTTGCACTGAGGCCAAGTCAAAATGGTAGCTCTCTCCTTTTAGGAATATATTGGATGATAGAGTAGATATAACTATAATTACACAATAAATATCTTCTCGATGAAAGTATATATTTGGTAATGCATGAATATGTTACTGTAAATGCAATTTGGAAAGATGTTTTGAAATGTTTAAATGAAATGAGTGAGAAATTATAGACTACTGTTTTGAATGTTTTTGAAGAGTACCATTTGTCATCTTTAAATGTATTTCTTGAAGAACTGAGAGAAGATTTAGATAACAATTAATGAAATATGAAACAAAAACAATAAAGATGAATGGTAAAATCAATAGAAATTATGCTGATATTGAGAAGTCAATTGTAACAAATTTTTCGGATTATACTGACAGCAGTAATTCGTTGAGATAAATTTAAAATAAATGTTATAAACTTGATAATTCAATACATTTGACAATCCAATTAATGAAATGAATTAATTAAATACACACATGGCTAACTTTACAAAAATATTTATATTAATGAAGCTAATATAAAGCTCAAAATGTGCCAACACAATAAGATATTGACAAAACCTGGTTAATGAGTATTATCAATTCAAAAATGTACTTAGATTCAATTACTGAATAGAAAAGCTCAAAATGTTTTGAAATCTTACAGCTCATATAGGAAAGAAATTCAATAGATGTTTTCCCAAATTTGAAAACAATCCTAAAAATATGACATTACTAATAACAAGTTGTGAACTGGAAAGAAACTTTCAAAAACTATCAATATTGAAATTTTACTTTTCATTAACCATGTTAAAGGAAGGATCCATTTGCCTTTTTATTCTTGACATAGAAAATGAAGAGTCAAAGAGTATGTACCCCCTAAATGGTAAGAAAATATATTACAAAGCTTATAGTTAATTAATGAAAATGTTATTTTTCTCGATGTTGTGATATTCGCAGTTCTTATTGGCTTTATATTTTTATTTTATTTTTTTGAGACAGGGTCTCACTTTGTCATCCAGGCTGGGCTGCAGTGGTATGATAATGGTTCACTGCAGCCTTGACCTCCTGGGCTCATGTGATCCTCCAGCCTCAGCCTCCTGCGTAATTGGGACTATAGGTGCACAAAACCACACCTGGCTAATTAAAACAAATTTTTTTTTGTAGAGGCAGGATCTCATTATGTTGTTGCCCAGTCTGGTCTCATACTCCTGGGCTCAAGCAATCTTCCCATCTCAGCCTCCAAAAGTGCTGGGATTATAGGCATGAGCCACCATGGCCAGCCTCTTGTTGGCTTTTTAAAATTCAGGTTTAGTGTGATTCTTTTTCTCCTCCTCAAATATTTACTTTTGTGCCTAATTTTTTGTTTTTTTTTTTCTCTCTTTAAAGAGGGACCCCTGAATTGTATAAGCTTCAGGTATCCCAAACCTGGATTCACTTGATCCACAGGTCAATTTGTGTATTCTATGAAGATATGGAGAGGCAATTACATATACAAATCTGGAGTTCAGGTTAGAGGTCTGTGTTAGTCCATTTTCACACTGCTGATAAAGACATACCCAAGACTGGGGAGAAAAAGAAGTTTAATTGGACTTACAGTTCCACATGGCTGTGGGGGCCTCAGAGTCATGGCAGGAGGTGAAAGGCACTTCTTACATGATGGCAGCAAGAGAAAAATGGGGAAGAAGCAAAAGCGGAAACCCCTGATAAACCCATCAGATCTTGTGAGACTTATTCACTATAACCAGAATAGCAGGGGAAAGACCAGCTACTCTGATTCAATTACCTCCCCCTGAGTGCCTCACACATGGGAGTTCTGGGAGATACAATTCAAGTTGAGATTTGAGTAGGGACACAGTCAAACCATATCATTCCACCCCTGACCCCATCAAATCTAGTGTCCTCATATTTCAAAACTAATCATGCCTTTCCAACAGTCCCTCAAAGTCTTAACTCATTTCAGCATTAACCCAAAAGTCCACAGTCCAAAGTTTCATCTGACACAAGGCAAGTCCCTTCTGCCTGTGAGCCTGTAAAAGCAAAAGCAAGCTAGTTACTTCCTAGATACAATGGGGGTACACGTATTGGTTAAATACAGCTGTTCCAAATTGGAGAAACTGGCCAAAACAAAGAGGTTACAGAGTCCATGCAAGTCTGAAATCCAGCGGGGCAGTCACATTTTAAACTTCCAAAATTATCATCTTTGACTCCAGGTCTCACATTCAGGTCATGCTGATGGAAGACGTGGGTTCCCATGGTCTTCGGCAGCTCCACCCCTGTGGTTTTGCAGGGTACAGACTCCCTCCCAGCTGCTTTCACAGGCTGGCATTGAGTGCAGCTTTTTCAGGCAAACAGTGCAAGCTGTCAGTGGATCTGCCATTCTGGGGTCTGGAGGATGGTGGCACTCTTCTCATGGCTCCACTAGGCAGTGCCCCAGTATGGACTCTGTGTGGGGGCTCCAACCCCACATTTCCCTTCCACACTGCCCTGGCAAGAGGTTCTCCATGAGGGCCTCGCCCCTGCAGCAAACTTTTTCCTGGACATCCAGGTGTTTCCATACATCATCTGAAATCTAGGCGGAGGTTCCCAAACCTCAATTCTTGACTTCTGTGCACCTGAAGTCTCAACATCACTTGGAAGCTGCCAAGGCTTGGGGCTTCCACCCTCTGAAGGCACAGCCCAAGCTCTACATTGGCCCCTTTCAGCCATGGCTGGAGCTGCTGGGACACGGGGCACCAAATCCCTAAGCTGCACACAGCACAAGGACCCTGGGCCCAGCACAGGAAACCACTTTTTCCTCCTGGGCCTCTGGGCCTGTGATGGGAGGGGCTGCCATGAAGGTCTCTGACATGGCCTGGAGACATTTTCCCCATAGTGTTGGGGATTAACATTAGGTTCCTTGCCACTTATGCACATTTCTGCAGCTGGCTTGAATTTCTCCTTAAAAAATGGGTTTTTCTTTTCTACTGTATTGTCAGGCTGCAGATTTTCTGAACTTTTATGATCTGTTTCCCTTTTAAAATGGTATACTTTTAACAGCATTCAAGTCACCTTTTGAATGCTTTGCTGCTTAGAAATTTCTTCTGCCAGCTACCCTCCATCATCTCTCTCAAGTTCAAAGTTCCACAAATCTCTAGGGCAGGGGCAAAATGCTGCCAGTCTTTTTGCTAAAACTTAATAAGAGTCACCTTTGCTCTAGTTCCCAACAAGTCCCTCATCTCCAGCTGAGACCACCTCAGCCTGGACCTTATTGTTCACATCACTATCAGCATTTTTGTCAAAGCCATTCTACAAGTCTCTAGGATGTTCCAAACTTTCCCACATTTTCCTCTCTTCTTTCCAAACTGTTCCAACCTCTGCCTGTTACCCAGTTCCAAAGTTGCTTCCACATTTTTGGATATCTTTTCAGCAATGCCCCACTTTACTGGTACCAATTTTCTCTATTAGTCCATTTTCACGCTGCTGATAAATACATACCTGAGACTGGGAAGAAAAAGAGGTTTAATTGGACTTACAGTTCCACATAGCTGGAGGCCTCAGAATCATGATGGGAGGTGAAAGGCACTTCTTACATGGCAATGGCAAGAGGAAATGAGGAATAAACAAAAGCAGAAACCCCTGCTAAAACCATCAATTTCATGAGACTTATTCACTGTCACGCGAATAACATGGGAAAGACCAGCCCCCATGATTCAATCACCTCCCCCTGGGTCCCTCCCACAACAAGTGGGAATTCTGGGACATACAATTCAAGTTCAGATTTGGGTGGGGACACAGCCAAACCATATCAAGGTCCAAACTGGAGAAAGAAATTTGTGAGTAGCATTGTAAATGTATCTAGAAGGTATTTAAAACCAGAAGCCTCAGGGTCACATTATGACTATCATGGGCCCTAGGCAATTTTTCCCTTCGTGGGCCTCTTTCTTCATTAAAGAATACACACACAGTCCCCAACTTCTGGTGATTCAACTTAAGATTTTTCAACATTACAATGGTGCAAAAGTGATATGCATTCAGTAGAAACTGTACTTTGAATTTTCAATTTTGATATTTTCCTGGGTTAACTGTACATGTTATAATCATCTCTTGCAATGCTGGACAGTGCCAGCCCAGGCAGCCATGCAACCATGAGGGTAAACAGTAGATACTGTACTCTATAGTGTGCAGTATTCAATAAATTACATGAGATATTCAATACTTTATTATAAAAAAGGCTTTGTGTTAGGTGCTTTTGCCCAACCATAGGCTAATGTAAGTGTTCTGAGTATACTTAATGTAGGCTTGGCTAAGCTACAATGTTCAGTAGGTTAGGTGTATTTAATGCATTTTTAAAATTTATTCATTTATTCCACATATATTTATTAAACACCCATTACACATCAGGTACTGTACTATGCCCTGAGGGCAGTGATTAAGAAAATAGAGCTGGTGCTAGCATTATGGTGTTTACAGTCTAGCAAACATTTAAGTCAAGGAGCATCTGAACTTATAATGGTTTGACTTACAGTTTTTGACATTACAATGGGTTGATCTGGGTATTAAATGCATTTTTGACATAGTTTTGACTTACTGTTTATTGGGATATAACCCCATCATAAGTCAAGGAGCAACTGTACATACACACACACACACACATACACACACACAAATATATGTATGTATAAAGATGATAACAATCTAGGCTGATTTCACTATTATTATACTCATTTTTTTCCTCTAACTTAAAAAGAAACTGAAACATTTTCATGGGCCCTTAAAAGTATCATGGGCCTTAGAAACTGTGCCCACCATGCCTAATGGATAAACTGGCCATAAAGCTAGAGAAAATTACCAAGAGAATGTGTGTGGGTAGAAAAAAAAGATTCAATGACTGAGTCCTGGAGCACTCCAACATTTAGAGATCAGGAAAGTGCAGAGTGTGAGAATAAAAAGGTTTTACACTATAAACTCAGTAGGTCATTTTTCATTGGTCATACAAATTAGTGACCACCAGAACCTGTTTTAAACCCACCCCAATCCATAAGTGACATCCCCCTTCTGAAAGCAAGTCACATCCACACTCCAGGAATCACGTCTATAACTGAAGGTCAGCAAAGAGACCCTAAACGCTTCCACTGCTCAGTCCACCAGCTCCTGGGCTTTGTGGCCCCTACACCCTATATAAGACAAGCCATTTACTATTTTTAGAAGCCCACACCTTACAAATAAGCAAAGGAACAGAAGTAGCCACCAGTGACATAGGAGAAAAACCATGAGAGCACAGTGTCCTGGAAACGGAGTGAGGAAGGCTTTGAGAGAATGAGGTGATTCATTTGTGTCCAACACCACAGATGAGTGAGGGGAAAGCCCTGAGAAAGGGTCATCTGGCTCATCAGTGTGGAGGTCCTTGGTGTCTTAAAAGGAGTTCTGATGGAGTGACGGAGGCAAAAACCATCTTGATCGGGTCCAAGGGAGGCACTGAGAAAACTGTTTTAAGGGGTTTTGCTATAAAAGGGAGAGAAGTGAGGAGCTGAAGGGAAAGTGAAATCAGGAAAGTTTTCTTTAATTTTTAAGGTGAGAAATATTACAGTGTGGGTGTTTGTTTGTGATAGGAAGGATCCGGTAGAGAGAGAGAGACAGAATGAATGGGGGTGGAGGGTTTCCTGAGTCATGTCCTTGAGTAGGGAGGGAGGTGGGATCTAGGGTTGGCCTTTGCTAACAGCACGGGCTGTTTGTCAGTAGTGATGGGAAAGGAAGAGGACACAGGCATAGATGCAGATGGGGCACGGGAGCTTGTGGAAGCACTTTTTTTATTGCTTCCATTTTCTCTTTGAAATAGCCATTTAGGAACCTGGTAGTGGAGATAGAGTGTAATTGATGGGCAGCATTAAAAGTCCACTTGAGGTGAGAGGCCAGTCAGCAGGTGCAAACATGTCATGTAGCTGATGAAACTTAAGCCTCAGGGCTTCTCATTTGCTTGCATGGATCCTTTCAAAGGCCTGGCTGGGAAGGTTTTAGCCATTTTGCATTTAAAAATTTGCATTATTTTTTTAAAAGAGCCCCCAAAGATGTAAGCTGCAGGACCACAGACCCTGAATTTCTTCCTGCCAGCCAGCATGGTGGTGTGTGCTTTTGGTAGCTGCAGGTAGCTGTGAGGGCACAGGTGTAGAGTTGGTAAGGTGTTGGATTTAAACTCGGTTATGGTTTTGCCAGGTGAAAAAAATGAGTTGTGTGAAGGACAAAGGCATTGAGGGAGCATGTAAGGGAGTGATTACAACAAATGATGATAGTATTTCAATGGGGTAAAGAGAGGAATGAGGACATATGGATGAGGGAGTGGTAGTTTTGAACAGTAAAAGGATTATAGGCCTTGGGATGGATCATTGGGGTCAGAGAGTCAGAGAAAGTGAACTAGAAAAATAGGAGGTGGAGGATGGAGAGAGGAAGCCTGAAATTGTGTGAGTTCTTAGTAATGATGAGGTTCAGGTCATGACCATGGAAGGGAGTGGCTGAGAAAGGGTGGAGGCTGAGACACTGAATATACAAATGGACATGGCCAGACCCTAAATGACAGTAAAACTGTGACACTCAACCTTTGCAGCAACCAGCTGGGACGCCAAACCACAACCTCTGCAGCAATCAGCCTATAACAGTCAGGACTTGGTCAAGGACTGCAGCTTCCCTATTTCTTGCCCGATTTCCAACTCAGGACCAACCAAAAAGAAGCCAAATGTGCTCCCCAAACCAATCATATAAGATGCCCCAATTGGGACAAGCGCGGTGGCTCATGCCTGCAATCCCAGCACTTTGGGAGGCCAAGGCGGGCTGATCACGAGGTCAGGAGTTCGAGATCAGCCTGGCCAATATGGTGAAACTCTGTCTCTACTAAAAATACAAAAATTAGCTGGGTGTGGTGGTGCGCACCTGTAGTCCCAGCTACTCAGGAGGCTGAGGCAGAAGAATTGCTTGAACCTGGGAGGCAGAGGTTGCACTGAACAGAGACCGTGCCATTGCACTCCAGCCTGGGTGACAGAGTGAGACTCCATCTCAAAAAACAAACAAACAAACAAAAAAAGATGCCCCACTTGTAGTGAGCCTGCCTCCAGCTTAACCATGTCAATCACTTCCAATCAGACCAGACCTGAAGCCCTCCCTTTAATTTTCTTTATAAAATTTTCTGCCTTTGAGACTCCCACAAACACAGAGATGCATTCACTGACTTGGTTGCTGACTCCCTTGCTAAAGGGCAAGCTCTTCATTTATTTCCATAAAGACAAGATCACCAGAGGAGAGAAGGTCAATAACTGGAGGTCAGAATATTGGTAAGATCAAATATATGGATATTAAAGTCACTTAGGATTATAAAAGAGGACAGTTGGAGGGAAGGATATTGAGAGAAGATCTCCAAATATTGAAGAAGCAAGTGGGACTCACCCAGGGTTCAGTGCACGATGGCAACAATGATGGACAGCAGGTGATAAAGTAATGATATGAGAGTCAAAACTATGGCTTTTAAGGGAGGTGAAAGGAGAATGGCTGGGAAGCAACAATGAGAAATAAGAAAGACCTACACCACCATTGGCTCCAGTGACAGGAGGGATGTGAGAGATTAAACAGCTGCCCCTGGAGAGGGCTGCAGGGGAAGCAGTGTCCTTAAGGAAGGGTCAGATTTTATTAGATCCAGGACATGGAGGGAGCTTTTAGAGATGCTTCAAGGGTTTAGGGAATATTGTTTACTATGACCATGAATTCCAGATGGTAGAAGTTTTTGTAAATTGAAGAGCATTATGATATGGGCTCAAAATGTACAGGACATTCTGGGGATTGGATCTGGGGGATGGAAGGTGGACTGAGGAACCAAGGCTTCTTGCAATGAATGACCAAAATGGAGACAAAGGGGATGTTCAATTCAGCCTTGGAGAATTGAGTATATTCCCAGGGTATTTCATTGGTGGACAAAGACAGCTAGGGTGAAGTTGTGGGTATTGAGGGGGAAGAGAGTTGTTGGAACGTTGTCAAGGAAGATTCTGACCTCTGGTGCTCCCTCAAGACTCCTCCTGGAGGTGTGGAGACCTCTGGAGGATCAGTTGTTCACTGAGCATGTAGGGCACTGTTTTGACTCCAAAGATGGAGCTCTGGAGGGTGGAGAGGGCAGTATTACACCAAATGAATATATTTTCAATGTCAGCATAAAAACTGCTCTGTTAAGGCTGCCTTAGCTGCCTCAAAAGTCCTACCGAGCCATCAACATGGTGTCTGATACACAGACACTTAAATATTTGTTGAATGAATATGTGAATGAAGGAATTCCCTTCACTAAACTGAATACTTAACATTTGCAGTCTGATGCATCTGTATTAGAATGACTTCTTGGGTAGACATCTGCCAGACTTCTGTATAATTAAAAGAATAACAAAGCAAAAGGTGGAGTCTGCCCTAAGGGCAAGTTCCAGCCTCTACCCTACGATGAAGAAAATCCTTACAAATCCCCAAATTGTCATTTTCTATGTCTAATAATTTAAAGATCCTGATTGCATAGAACATAAAACAGGCAATTATAGAAGAAGAAAGGAAGAAAAGTCAGAGGTAAAGAACCAACTATATTGGTAGTAGGCTGGTGGGGTGGACAAAAGGAATATTATGAATTTTCAATATCAATTTGAAGTGAAAGCACTGGGGGACAAGGAGCAAGGGTAATAGGTATTTTCTTTTTTAAAAAATAAACTTTAGACAACTATATTTAACAGAGTTTATTTGAGCACAGAACAATTTATGAATTGGGCAGCACTCAGAGCCCAAAGAGATTCAGAGAGCTGTACCCCAGCTACATGAGCAGCCAGCTTTTATAGGCTGAATGAGGAAGTAAGTAAAGAAATTACTTGATTGGCTATAGCTAGGCATTTGCCTTTCTTTGGTATATTCTGGTGGAAAGTCCCTAGTGAGAGGGAGAGACTTGTTATTTCATTTGTCCTTAATGAGCTGCCCCGTGGGATCACCCAGCATTGCTGGGTGTCTCTTTGCAATGGCAGCCAGGAGTCTCTGCACATGGGAGATAGCCCTGGGAGTGCTTCTTGGCTTCTGTTCTAGCCTTGCTCCAGGTGCATAGCCCTGCTGCAGCTCCTTGAAGAAACCATATTCTGCTTCCTGGTTAAAGTGTAGAGCCCTGAAGGCCACACTCATAAAGTGACATATCAAAGGGACCTTAAAACATTTTTAGTCTACTTCTCTGCCCGATGTGTGAGGCCCTTCAGAAAATGGCATTTTGCTTCACAGTGACATAATATTTACTACCCCAGAGGCAGTCCATTTCATTTTGGTTCTTTTTGATGAATAGAATGTTCAGGTTCATTGAGCTGAAATCCCCATATCTTCTTTAGCAGCATTTCTGCCAAGATTCTATAATCAGTTTAACAAGATCAGTGGCCACCAATTATGTGCCATAAGATATCTCTCTGGTGACCAGAATTCAGTCTCTCTTTTGGAAACAGCTTGATTCAGCCCTACTGCAGTCTTATAATAAACTTTCTTTCTGTATGCATTATTTTAAAATGCCCTTCATTTACATTATTAATTAGTTCATTCTTTCATCCAATAAAACAAACATTCAGGAAATTATGAAGTATCTACCATGTGTCACGCACAGCGGTTACATTGGTAAAAACCAGAGAAGGTTTCACTTTTTTTTTTATTATACTTTAAGTTTTAGGGTACATGTGCACAATGTGCAGGTTTGTTACATATGTATACATGTGCCATGTTGGTGTGCTGCACCCATTAACTCGTCATTTAACATTAGGTGTATCTCCTAATGCTATCCCTCCTTCCTCCCCCCACCCCACAACAGGCCCCAGTGTGTGATGTTCCCCTTCCTGTGTCCATGTGTTCTCATTGCTCAATTCCCACCTATGAGTGAGAACATGTGGTGTTTGGTTTTTTGTCCTTGCGATAGATTGCTGAGAATGATGGTTTCCAGCTTCATCCATGTCCCTACAAAGGACATGAATTCATCATTTTTTATGGCTGCATAGTATTCCATGGTGTATATGTGCCACATTTTCTTAATCCAGTCTATCATTGATGGACATTTGGGTTGGTTCCAAGTCTTTGCTATTGTGAATAATGCCACAATAAACATATGTGTGCAGGTGTCTTTATAGCAGCATGTTTTATAATCCTTTGGGCATATACCAAGTAATGGGATGGCTGGGTCAAATGGTATTTCTAGTTCTAGATCTCTGAGGAATCGCCACACTGACTTCTACAATGGTTGAACTAGTTTACAGTCCCACCAACAGTGTAAAAGTGTTCCTATTTCTCCACAAGCTCTCCAGCACCTGTTGTTTCCTGACTTTGTAATGATTGCCATTCTAACTGGTGTGAGATGGTATCTCATTGTGGTTTTGATTTGCATTTCTCTGATGGCCAGTGATGATGAGCATTTTTTCATGTGTCTTCTGGCTGCATAAATGTCTTCTTTTGAGAAGTGTCTGTTCATATCCTTCGCCCACTTTTTGATGGGGTTGTTTGTTTTCTTCTTGTAAATTTGTTTGAGTTCTTTGTAGATTCTGGATATTAGCCCTTTGTCAGATGAGTAGACTGAAAAAATTTTCTCCCATTCTGTAGGTTGCCTGTTTACTCTGATGGTAGTTTCTCTTGCTGTGCAGAAGCTCTTTAGTTTAATTAGATCCCATTTGTCAATTTTGGCTTTGGTTGCCATTGCTTTTGGTGTTTTAGACATGAAGTCCTTGCCCATGCCTATCTCCTGAATGGTATTGCCTAGGTTTTCTTCTAGGGTTTTTATGGGTTTGGGTCTAACATGTAAGTCTTTAATCCATCTTGAATTGATTTTTGCATAAGGTGTGAGGAAGGGATCCAGTTTCAGCTTTCTACATATGGCTAGCCGGTTTTCCCAGCACCATTTACTAAATAGGGAATCCTTTCCCCATTTCTTGTTTTTGTCAGGTTTGTCAAAGATCAGATAGTTGTAGATATGTGGCATTATTTCTGAGGGCTCTGTTCTGTTCCATTGGTCTATATCTCTGTTTTGGTACAAGTACCATGCTGTTTTGGTTACTGTAGCCTTGTAGTATAGTTTGAAGTCAGGTAGCGTGATGCCTCCAGCTTTGTTCTTTTGGCTTAGGATTGACTTGGCAATGCGGGCTCTTTTTTGGTTTCGTATGAATTTTAAAGTAGTTTTTTCCAATTCTGTGAAGAAAGGCATTGGTAGCTTGATGGGAATGGCATTGAATCTATAAATTACCTTGGGCAGTATGGCCATTTTCACGATATTGATTCTTCCTACCCATGAGCATGGAATGTTCTTCCATTTGTTTGTATCCTCTTTTATTTCCTTGAGCAGTGGTTTGTAGTTCTCCTTGAAGAGGTCCTTCACATCCCTTGTAAGTTGGATTCCTAGGTATTTTATTCTCTTTGAAGCAGTTGTGAATGGGAGTTCATTCATGATTTGGCTGTTTGTCTGTTATTGGTGTATAAGAATGCTTGTGATTTTTGCACATTGATTTTGTATCCTGAGACTTTACTGAAGTTGCCTATCAGCTTAAGGAGATTATAGGCTGAGACAATGGGGTTTTCTAGATATATAATCATGTCATCTGCAAACAGGGACAATTTGACTTCCTCTTTTCCTAATTGAATACCCTTTATTTCCTTCTTCTGCCTGATTCCCCTGGCCAGAACTTCCAACACTATGTTGAATAGGAGTGGTGAGAGAGGGCATCCTTGTCTTGTGCCAGTTTTCAAAGGGAATGCTTCCAGTTTTTGCCCATTCAGTATGTTATTGGCTGTGGGTTTGTCATAGATAGCTCTTATTATTTTGAGATACGTCCAATCAATACCTAATTTATTGAGAGTTTTTAGCATGAAAGGTTGTTGAATTTTGTCAAAGGCCTTTTCTGCATCTATTGAGATAATCATGTGGTTTTTGTCTTTGGTTCTGTTTATATGCTGGATTCCGTTGATTGATTTGCATATGTTGAACCAGCCTTGCATCCCAGGGATGGAGCCCACTTGATCATGATGGATAAGCTTCTTGATGTGCTGCTGGATTCGGTTTGCCAGTATTTTATTGAGGATTTTTGCATCAATGTTCATCAAGGATATTGGTCTAAAATTCTCTTTTCTGGTTGTGTCTCTGCCAGCCTTTGGTATCAGGATGATGCTGACCTCATAAAATGAGTTAGGGAGTATTCCCTCTTTTTCTATTGATTGGAATAGTTTCAGAAGGAATGGTACCAGCTCCTCCTTGTACCTCTGGTAGAATTCGGCTGTGAATCCGTCTGGTCCTGGACTTTTTTTGGTTGGTAAGCTATTAATTATTGCCTCAATTTCAGAGCCTGTTATTGGTCTATTTGGAGATTCAACTTCTTCCTGGTTTAGTCTTCAGAGGGTGTATGTGTCCAGAAATTTTTCCATTTCTTCTAGACTTTCTAGTTTGTTTGCGTAGAGGTGTTTATAGTATTCTCTGATGCTAGTTTGTATTTCTGTGGGATCAGTGGTGATATCCCCTTTATCATTTATTATTGCATCTATTTGATTCTTCTCTCTTTTCTTTTTTATTAGTCTTGCTAGTGGTCTATCAATTTTGTTGATCTCTTCAAAAAACCAGCTCCTGGATTCATTGATTTTTTGAAGGGTTTTTTGTGTCTCTATCTCCTTCAGTTCTGCTCTGATCTTAGTTATTTCTTGCCTTCTGCTAGCTTTTGAGTGTGTTTGCTCTTGCTTCTCTAGTTCTTTTAATTGTGATGTCAGGGTGTCAATTTTAGATCTTTCCTGCTTTCTCTTGTGGGCATTTAGTGCTATAAATTTCCCTCTACACACTGCTTTGAATGTGTCCCAGAGATTCTGGTATGTTTTGTCTTTGTTCTCGTTGGTTTCAAAGAACATTTTTATTTCTGCCTTCATTTCGTTTTGTACCCAGTAGTCATTCAGGAGCAGGTTGTTCAGTTTCCATGTAGTTGAGTGGTTTTGAGTGAGTTTCATAATCCTGAGTTCTAGTTGGATTGCACTGTGGTCTGAGAGACAGTTTGTTATAATTTCTGTTCTTTTACATTTGCTGAGGAGTGCTTTACTTCCAACTATGTGGTCAATTTTGGAATAGGTGTGGTGTGGTGCTGTAAAGAATATATATTCTGTTGATTTGGGGTGGAGAGTTCTGTAGATGTCTATTAGTTCTGCTTGGTGCTGAGCTGAGTTCAATTCCTGGATATCCTTGTTAACTTTCTGTCTCATTGATCTGTCTAATGTTGACAGTGGGCTGTTAAAGTCTCCTGTTATTATTGTGTGGGAGTCTAAGTCTCTTTGTAGGTCTCTAAGGACTTGCTTTATGAATCTGGGTGCTCCTGTATTGGGTGCATATATATTTAAGACAGTTAGCTATTCTTGTTGAATTGATCCCTTTACCATTATGTAATGGCCTTCTTTGTCTCTTTTGATCTTTGTTGGTTTAAAGTCTGTTTTATCAGAGACTAGGATTGCAACTCCTGCCTTTTTTTTGTTTTCCATTTGCTTGGTAGATCTTCCTCCATCCCTTTATTTTGAGCCTATGTGTGTCTCTGCACGTGAGATGGGTTTCCTGAATACAGCACACTGATGGGTCTTGACTCTTATTCAGTTTGCCAGTCTGTGTCTTTTAATTGGAGCATTTAGCCCATTTACATTTAAGGCTAATATTGTTATATGTGAATTTGGTCCTGTCATTATGATGTTAGCTGGTTATTTTGCTTGTTAGTTGATGCAGTTTCTTCCTATCCTCGATGGTCTTTACAATTTGGCATGTTTTTGCAGTGGCTGGTACCGGTTGTTCCTTTCCTTGTTTAGTGCTTCCTTCAGGAGCTGTTTTATGGCAGGCCTGGTGGTGACAAAATCTCTCCGCCTTTGCTTGTCTGTAAAGGATTTTATTTCTCCTTCAGTTATGAAGCTTAGTTTGGCTGGATTGAAATTCTGGGTTGAAAATTCTTTCCTTTAAGAATGTTGAATATTGGACCCCACTCCCTTCTGGCTTGTAGAGTTTCTGCCGAGAGATCAGCTGTTAGTCTGATGGGCTTCCCTTTGTGGGTAACCCGACCTTTCTCTCTGGCTGCCCTTAACATTTTTTCCTTCATTTCAACTTTGGTGAATCTGACAATTATGTGTCTTGGAGTTGCTCTTCTCGAGGAGTATCTTTGTGGCGTTCTCTGTATTTCCTGAATGTGAATGTTGGCCTGCCTTGCTAGATTGGGGAAGTTTTCCTGGATAATATCCTGCAGAGTGTTTTCCAACTTGGTTCCATTCTCCCCGTCACTTTCAGGTACACCAATCAGATGTAGATTTGGTCTTTTCACATAGTCCCATATTTCTTGGAGGGTTTGTTCATTTCTTTTTATTCTTTTTTCTCTAAACTTTTCTTTTCACTTCATTTCATTCATTTGATCTTCAACTCACCTTAGATAAATTTGGGTAGGTCCTACATTTTCATTAGTCACTCATTTACAGACCATCCCTAGTGGTGAAGTGTATGGGTAGGTTCCTCCTGAGTGGGCAAACCCAGTATTGGGCAGTCAGAGAGGGAAATAAAGGCTGGCAGGAGTGGAGGGGTGAAGAGGTAGGTCTTAGCCCTGGGCACTTTTGATTGCTATCAAATGCCAGACTCAGCGGTCTTTTTCCTAATGAGGAAATTCACTGTTATTTCTCAGAGTGACACAAGTTCCTGGGCTTCTGCTGAGAAAACAGACATTTTTTGTTTATTGGTTAGTCAATAAAGGAACAAGTTCAGAAGCTTTGAGCACAAATATTTCAAAAATAAATACAGGGATTCATCAATTTCTTTTTTGGAGCAGGGGTTGGGGGCACAGATTCAATAAGCCTAGATAAAGACAAAAACAATTAGGAGAAAGACATTTTCTTAAGACATTGTTAGATATTTTAAGATAAAAGTGATTACTAAATATATTTCCCAAAAGTCAAATCACATAGGTTAAGAGCTTCATTTCCCTGATGGCATTCCTGACTTCAGGCCATCTTCATAATTTTTACATTTTCTTTAACTTAATGAAATCTGCTGTGATAAAAAAATTTCCATAATTATATTCCAAGTTAAGGTTGAGAGGAAAGAAGGGGTCTAATTATTAGAAATTCTATAAGAGCTGCTGCAGGAAGGGCCTGTGGCAAAGCACGTGGGCTGGGCTTTCATCTCAGCTCCTCATCCTCTTGCTTTGTGATTTCCAACAAGTTACTGAACCCCTCAGCAAATGGAGGCAGAAGGGATCCCTACATCATGGGGTTGGTGTGAGCATCAGCTAGCCAACCAGCCAGTCATTCACTCAACAAATCCTTATCAAGCATCCCCTCTAGGGTTCCAAGTCCTCAGGCACTGTTCTTGGCAGCAGTGGAAAAGATAAGCATGGATCCCTGCTCTTATGGAACATGCATGGTGCAGGGGATGGCGGTAGACAGTAAGTATAATTAATAAGTAAATTATATAGAAGATGAGAAATGCCATGAAAAAATGAAAATATTAATATGATAGGGTAAGGGGAACTTGAGAGGGCAGGACGAAGGGCAGGATGGAGCCATGCAGGTCCCAATGTTAAATCCGGCAGTGCAGGAATGCCTTTGTTGAGAATGTGAGATTTAGGCCAAGACTTGAAGAAGGTAAAATAATGACCAGGTAGGAAGGGTCCTGGCACATTTGAAGGTAAAGAAGGCAGTGCTTCTAGAACAGAGGTAGGAGAGGTTATGTGAGTGGTGAGGGTGGGTTTTTCAGAGGATCACCTTTCCCTGTTAGTAAGCAAAGGAAACTAGCTAGGAGGCAGTAATAGAGGTGAGAGATGATGGTGACCCATAGATGACAGGAAGCTGTGAGAAATGGAGGGATTCTAGACATATTCTGAAGGCAGGGCTAGCATGATTTCCCTTTGGATTGGATATGGAGTGTCAGCATGTTTGTGGGAAAGAATCAGGGTCTCCAATGGCTATGTCTAGTTTGAGATGTCTACAGATACCAAAGTAGAAACGTCAAGAGGCAATTGTATACATGACTCTGGAGGTTGAGAGATGTTCTAGGATAAAGATATAAATTTAGGAGTCACCAGAGACTCACTAAAATACATAGCAAGTTAATTTATTGAGATAGTTATTTCTATTTTATTTATTCTCCACCCACCATGACAAAAAAAGAAGCCAGGTCTTTTTTTCCTTTTGCCTCAGGAAGAGTTGGCAATGGAAAGTATCCATCACTTGATGGCAAATCCTTTTTATTGCTTTTGTCTTCTAAAGCCTAAGCTTCCTGGAAAGGACCCCCAGGGAGGTATGTGTAATAGTCAGGTGGTTTGCATTAAACTCATCCTCCTTGTCATAGTTCAGGTAACCCAGGGCTTTCTCAGTCAGCATATAACCTTCCCCTAACCTCAGAGATTGGGTCAGGGGTGGCTCAATTTGTCAGAAGCTCAAGACATTTGCTGGGAATTCTGATATATCTGTGCATTCTCACCTCATGGACAGTGTGGTGTATGTTTGTTGGACCTGAAACTAATACAACCATTTCACCCCAATGAGGGAAGTATGCTTGAAGACTAAGCCGATATGAAATGGGGCATAACAGAAAATGACAGCAGAAACGGGGCTTATTCATGATCTATTGCTAAGTATATATTATCCCAACATTAAGTAGTTTAAAACAACAGACAGGTCTTATTTCCCACAGTATCTTTGGATGAGGAACTTGGGTGTGGTTCTGACTCATGCTTTCTCAGAGGTTCAGGCCAGATGTCAGATGGGGCTGCAGTTATCTGGAAGGCTTGCCTGCAGCTGGAGGGTCTTGTGTGAAGGTGGCACATTCAGAGATGGCAGGTCTCTGATGGGTATCGGTGGGAGGCCTGGAGTCTTCTCCGTAGGGCTGCCTTAGTCTTTGTGACAAGGCATGGTAACTTGCATCCCCCAGAGTAAATGATCTGAAAGAGAGGAAGAAAGAAACTTCAATGCCTTTTATGTTCTAGTCTCCAAAGTCACACACTATAACTTCTTCACATTCTGTTCATTAGAAGCAAGCCACTAAGTCCGTCCCATAATCAAGGGTAGAAAGGAGGAAATTGGGCTTTCCTTTTAGAAAACAGAAGTTTTCTAAAACCATCTTTCAAGAGATTAGAGTGCTTATATAACCATGTCCAAAACCTTTCCTGCCGGGAGGCGAGCCAATAGCTTTCTTTTATTTTTATTTTTTATTTTTTGCACTTTTATTTATTTATTTATTTATTTTTTTAAAATTTTTTTTTTTATTATACTCTAAGTTTTAGGGTACATGTGCACATTGTGCAGGTTAGTTACATATGTATACATGTGCCATGCTGGTGCGCTGCACCCACTAACGTGTCATCTAGCGTTAGGTATATCTCCCAATGCTATCCCTCCCCCCTCCCCCGACCCCACCACAGTCCCCAGAGTGTGATATTCCCCTTCCTGTGTCCATGTGATCTCATTGTTCAATTCCCACCTATGAGTGAGAATATGCGGTGTTTGGTTTTTTGTTCTGGTGCTGGAGAGGATGTGGAGAAATAGGAACATTTTTACACTGTTGGTGGGACTGTAAACTAGTTCAACCATTGTGGAAGTCAGTGTGGCGATTCCTCAGGGATCTAGAACTAGAAATACCATTTGACCCAGCCATCCCATTACTGGGTATATACCCAAAGGACTATAAATCATGCTGCTATAAAGACACATGCACACGTATGTTTATTGCGGCACTATTCACAATAGCAAAGACTTGGAACCAACCCAAATGTCCAACAATGATAGACTGGATTAAGAAAATGTGGCACATACACACCATGGAATACTATGCAGCCATAAAAAATGATGAGTTCATGTCCTTTGTAGGGACATGGATGAAATTGGAAACCATCATTCTCAGTAAACTATCGCAAGAGCTTTCTTTTATTTTTAAAGCCAATTTGAGTTTTTTGTTTCTTTTGCTACTTGTAGTGGAAAGCATTCTAATTGCTACAGACAGGTATAAGTTGAAGTAGCTGATCTGAGAGAGGGAAAAAGTCCCTAAAGCTGGGAAGGTGATGGTTTCTTGGAAAATGATAAGCTCTGAAAGAGGAAAGAGGAAATGGCAACTCCTAGGGAGACTAGACCTTCTATAGTGGGGCCCCCAGCCTCCCCAAAGATCTGTGGCCCAACCCCAGCACTGTATTAACCAAAGCTTTTATTATTTATATTCTGATGCTCTGACATCTGGGGCTTTGCTGACTCTGGAGGGACCATACCTCCCATGCTTAGTCAATTTCTAGAGATACTAAACATCTCATTCACAAGAGAGCTTTTCAAATACAAGCCAACCAGTCCAGAGCCCAGACCCCAACACTTTGAGTCTTATAACTCAAAAAAATTATACAGATATTTTTATAAGTTTTAATCATGATTTCACTTCATTGGTTATTTCTATTTTACCTTTCTGCCAACCTACTGATTTCTCTAAAACCTTAATTTATACCATGTCTATCTAGTAGGTTTATCTAGTAGATAAGAGGCTTTCATTTATTTCATTTATTATTTCATTTATTTCATTCAGCACTTCCTTTGTTGGGCTTCACACTCTGGGCCACTCTCCCTCCTCTTGCCCTAATCACTCCAGGGCAGGTGCCAAACAACTAGGGACAGCCCTTATGCCCCAGAGCCCACGTTATTCGAATTAGCCAATCCTAAGTCTGCTTATCCTGCTTTACCCATTCCTCCCTGCAGAAATAACAGTAGAGGCTCTTGCCCAGAATTTCCCTTCTCCCTCTGTCTCCCCACCATCCTCAGTGCATCCCAGGTGACCCTGTGACATGGTGTGCTCCCTCCTCTTAGAAACAGTATGTCATAAACTGTATTTTCTATGGTAATCATCTCCTCATCTGTTGGCCTTCTTATACCTCAAATTTTCTATTAATAAAATAGATTTTAAGTCAGGCACACAATCCATGGAACTTCCCACTTTCAAGGGACCATGCATATAACCACAAGTGGCATATCAGCTGTGACCAGTATTGTTCCTTCCAGAATGTTCTGAACTATATAAGACCCTAGAGTAAGGGAAAGAGGGGCTGGCTTGTGGAGAAAGAGTCAGACTTAGTATAAATTTAAGAAATAAAATAACATGATGCTTCTTTTTCTGAGTGTGGTGATTACAAACTACTACCATCTACATGTAAGTTTTGGTTTTTGAGGAATCTGTGATAATCCAAATAAGTAGTTATTCCTATTCATTTGCTGCTTTAAATTTTTGAAGTAACTTGCAAAGATTTATTTTTAATCATCTCTAGCCCTTACCATCTCCCCCTTTGATCTCATGACACATTTAAACACTGGGATGTGTGAAAGCATTTGCTGACAATTTATTTTACACAGATGGTACATGCCTCACCTCATCTACAAAATTTGCCAAGCATGTTGAGTCTTACTACTTAAAAAAAAATCACACAACTATTTTTGTAAATTTAATCATGAATTCACTTAACTGGTTATTCCAGTTTCACCCTTCTGGCAACCTACTGGTTTCTCTAAAATCTGAATTTACACCATGTCTATCTAATAGGTGAAAAGTTTTCATTTACTTATTTGGATTTATTTCTTTCTTTGTTATCGGGGAACCTGCCCCGATATTCACGTAGGTTCTTTTCTATTTTCCTTAAGCATTGGCCAGCTTGAGAAATAAAGGGACAGAGTACAAAAGAGATAAATTTTAAAGCTGGGCATCTGGGGGAGACATCACATGTCCGTAGGTTCCGTGATGTCCCACAAGCCACAAAAACCAGCAAGTTTTTATTAGGGATTTTCAAAAGGGGAGGGAGTGTGCAAATAGGTGTGGGTCACAGATATCAAGTACCTTGCAAGGTAATAGAATATCACAAGGCAAGTGGAGGCAGGGCGAGATCACAGGACCACAGGACCGAGGCGAAATTAAAATTGCTAATGAAGTTTCGGGCACCATTGTCATTGATAACATCTTATCAGGAGACAGGGTTTTGAGAGCAACCAGTCTGACCAAAATTATTAGGTGGGAATTTCCTCTTCCTAATAAGCCTGGGAGTGCTATAGGAGACTGGGGTCCATTTCACCCCTGCAGTCTCGACCATAAAAGACAGGCACACCTCGGGGGGCTGTTCATAGGTCTATACCTCCAGGTGCATATTCTCTTTTTTAGGGATGTTCCTTGCTGAGAAAAAGAATTCAGCAATATTTCTCCCATTTGCTTTTGAGAGAAGAGAAATATGGCTCTGTTCCATCCGGCTCACCAGCGGTCAGAGTTTAAGGTTCTCTCTCTTATTCCCTGAACAATTGCTGTTATCCTGTTCTGTTTTCAAGGTGCCCAGATTTCATATTGCTCAAACACACATGCTGTACAATTTGTGCAGTTAACACAATTATCACATGGTCCTGAGGCGACATACATCCTCCTCGGCTGACAGGATTAAGAGATTAAAGTAAAGACAGGCATAGGAAATCACAAGGGTATTGATTGGGGAAGTGATAAGTGTCCATGAAATCTTTACAATTTATGTTTAGAGATTGCAGTAAAGACAGGCATAAGAAATTATACAAGTATTAACTTGGGGAACTAATAAATGTCCATGAAATCTTCACAATCCACGTTCTTCTGCCATGGCTTCAGCCGGTCCCTCTGTTTGGGATCCCTGACTTCCCACAACACTTTGTGGGTAGGAAGGTGATCCTCCTTTATAGAAGCATCTTTCAGTAACCTTTGGTTAAGACTGACATTCCCAGAAAAGCTCTCTCCTTTGCAGATATTCTTAGACCTTCCTTGTAATGTTTTTCCCAGCACCCTTTGCTATCTGGGTCTCTATCTTCAAGCTGCCCCATCATCATCCTCAATAAATGATTACACATCTTTCATCTCAGATGAGATAAAAGCTGATTTATATGAGGCAGTTCCCACATTCGCCCTCAGGTTCCAAATTCTCTTTATCTCTGTGTTAAATTCTTTCATTTTCCCTTAGATTTCAGAGGAAGAGGTTGTAGGAAGTCATTCTTCTTTTAAGCTAAGCTGTTCCTTTTGTCCCCTTGTGGGAAAAGGATTCCTATATTCATCACCATGCATGCATTCATCCATCTTGCCAGTCATTCCCCCAACAATTAATTAGTGAGCACCTCCTATTTTGGGGAATCAGAGATGTTTAAGACACTGCCCTTGCTTTTAAGAATGTTGGAATAAGGCTGACTAACAAGCAAACCAACAATTGTAAAAGTATGTACAAAAGCACCTAAATAGCACAGAGGAGGTGATGACTTACTGTGGCATAGGGTGGTGCTTCAGTTGTCTGTTCCTATGTAACAAGCCACCCCAAAACTTCATGGCTTAAGACAACAATAATTCATGATTTTTTAGGATTCTGTAACCTGAGCTTGACTTAGCTGGGAGACTCTCCTACTTTGTGTGTTGCCTGCTGAAGCAGAAAATCCAAGATAGCTTCTTTAGTTGCACAGCTGTTGATTTTTCTATTGATTTCACTGGAAGAGCTGGACAGTGGCCAGGCAGCTCTCACCCTCCATGTGGTATCTCCACCTGGCTTACTTGGCTTTCCTCATAGTACAGCTGTCTTGGGGTTGTCAGACTTCTTTTGGCAGGTGGCTTCTAAGAGCTGCTAGTTCTCCTAAGGCCTGGGCTTGGAAATCTCAGAGTATCACTTTAACCACATCCTATTGTCAAAGCAGGTCATAAGTCCACACTAGATTCAGGAGAGGAGACATAGATTTCACTTCTTGATGAGTGGAGTGTCATGGGTGTATGTGGAGGTAATTCATGGCAGACATCTTTGGAGAGTACCACAGGAAGAAAAGTTAGGGAAAACCTCATAGAGAAGTGACTGAATTGGCCAAGGAAAAAACTGTCCAAGCATGAACTCACCATAATGTACTGAATGTTTATTTTCCCCCAACATTCTTATATTGAAATCCTAAACTGCACTGTGATGGTATTAGGACATGTGGCCTTTGGGAAGTAATTGGGTTGTGAGGGTACAGGCTTTATGCCTGGGATTAGTACCCCTATGAAAGGAACCCCAGAAAGTTATCTCACCCCTTTCCCACATGTGAAGACATGGAAGAAGTTAGCAGTCAGCAACCCAGAAGAACCTCACCAGAACCTCACCATGCTGGCCTCTCCATTCCCCAGAACTGTGAGAAATAAGTTGCTGCTGTTTATAAGCCACCTAGTCTATGGCACTTTGTTATAGCAGCCCACACTAAAACACTCACTTAATCTTTTGGTTATGAATAAGGACTTTCCTTCCCCACCAAGTTTTACCACTCCTCACCCCCGCTGCCCAGAGAACCAAGAATGGCTCACTTCTGGCATAAAGATAGGACGTGGAGAGTAGCTATTTGAGATGTGATCAGGAGTCTATTGTCCATACTATGCCCTCTTTTGGTGAGCCTGATCCACAATTGGCCTCTCCACATTCCCGGAATTTATTTGTTTCCCTGTGTGACACACCCCAGTCAATGACAAACATTTCAATAACCTGGAGAAGAGGCCTTGTTTTCCTATCCTGCCAGATCCCTGCACTTTTCCGGAGCACTTATGCTCTGCCTGAGTGATCCTCCACCTGGGAGCTGCCTGCCCTCATTATCACCATCTGAATCAATCCCTTCTAAGTCAGCGAAGTATCTGGGAACGCATTGTTGTTCCAGAATCCAGATGCCACCTTATCTAGTCTAAAGACAAATGGAATAGCACAGTTAGTTGCCCTTCATGAAACAGAGGTTAACTCAGAAATTAACAGCATAGGCTATGAACCCCACAGGACACCTTCCTCTTAGGGGTCTCAGCTGGGCAGGACATTGCCGTTGTTCTTGGAATAGGCTGTTCAGAGAAGAGACAGGACCAAGTAGACTCTTTATATCTAGGGAGTCCAAATGCTTTGTTTTTTCCCCCCCCCCAAATATATTTTGAGAACTAAAACTTTCTGAACATTTTTTTATATCAAGGCAAGGAGAAAAAAGAAAAAAAAATCACAATTTTTAAACTTTTATTTTAGATTCAGGGGTACACATGCAGGTTTGTTATATAGGTAAACTTGTGTCATGGGGGTTTGTTGTACACATTATTTTATCACCCCAGTACTAAGCCTAGTACCCAATAGTTATTATTTATTTATTTTTTTGCTCTTCTGCCTCCTCCCATCCTCTACCCTCATGTAGGCCCAAGTGTCTATTGTTCACTTCTTTGTGTTCATGAGTTCTCATCATTTAGCACCCAATTATAAGTGAGAACATGCAGTATTTGGTTTTCTGTTCCTGTGTTAGTTTGTTAAGGATAACAGCCTCCAGCTCCAACTATGTTCCTGCAAAGGACATTATCTCATTCTTTTTTCATGGCTGCATAGTATTCTATGGTATAGATGTATTACATTTTCTTTAACCAGTCTACCATTGATAGGCATTTAGGCTGATTCCATGTCTTTGCTATTGTGAATAGTGTGGCCATGAACAAGGAATCACCACAAATTAAGAGGTCAGAATTCCTATCACATCCATTTTACAAAGCACAGGGAGATGAAGACACTGGCTTATGTTACACAGCCAACAATAACAGAGATCTGAATGCAGGACTCCTTGCCCTAGGTAGCTCCCCTTCCCTGGTTAGATCCTGCCAGTCGGGTAACATGCCAGGAGCTCTGGGCCTTTCCACTGCTCTGCCCCAGGATGCTTTCTCAGGCCTGGCCAGCCTCTACCCTCTCCTTTTCCTTCTCCTGACACAAACCCAGTGACTTACCCACTTTTCTTTCCTATGAAGATTCCATCACCCCCTCTAGCTCTGGTCTTCTCCCCACTAGTCTTGGATGCATTATGGGTCACAGTTTTCCCAATTCCCTTCTTCCCCTCTGCTCTCAAACAAGAACTCACACGTTTTGTGTTTTAAGGATTTCACTGCAGGTGTCTCTAGGGACCAGGGGGAGGGTGAGAGGACAGAAGCAAAAGCCCTGCAGGTCTTTATCATTCTGGTCTTGGGTCTAGAGTCTCTGACCACCTCATACGTAGCTGAGGAAAGCCCTGGTAACCATCAAACATCCATTTTTATTTCAGAAGGTGGAGCTACTACACCTGCCCTCTGTCCCCACTGTCCCCAGCTTAGGGATGAACATGAGGATGCTTCTCTTCCTGAGAAAGTCTGCTCCCTGCCCAAAGACTCCAGCTGAGCGAAGCTCTTGTAATTTCTGGCCTCACCTGGGCAGTTTGCCTCTATGGAGTCTTCCAGATTGGGAGTCACTAAATTTCCTGGCTTCTGCCATTCCCACCTTGTCCTCTGGAGGCACTGTCTCATGACTTGGCCCCAGTCCTTTCAGACCACCAGGACCCTGGCTAAGGGAATGGGCAGCTGCCCCCGGCTGATTAGGTTGCTGGCCTCAGAAGGCATAACAGGATACTGCAACTTGAAGTAGGTCCCATCAGCTGGAGCACTTACCAACAGACAAACATCTCCTCGAGATTTAAAGCATTCAATTTCTGACTGCTTAAGAAAAATTCCATAAGGGAATTTGAGTTATGAATCAAGAGGGAGACTGCTGTGGATTTATTTTTCCTTTTTCTTTCTATTTTTTTTTCCCCCAGAGGAGAGCTGATACAATTAGGTTAAAATGGAATAGGTCATTGTCTCACCAGGTGATTCTTAGGGGAAAGCAGAGATGGTGTAGCTTGAAAATCATTCGGCATCAGCCACAGCCATAGAGTAGGAGGGAGAGTCAGCAT
The DNA here is from genome assembly GCF_000001405.40 of Homo sapiens. Lineage (NCBI taxonomy): Eukaryota > Metazoa > Chordata > Mammalia > Primates > Hominidae > Homo > Homo sapiens. The sequence goes on from NC_000011.10 coordinate 13,835,082, forward strand.
TCTCAGCAGGCTATGAAAGCCAGTTATTCATTACCACCAAGACTTGACAGTACACTGAACACCCAACATTATATTTATGCTACATAAAATAAAGTGATACAATTTTTATGACCCAATTTAAACCAGCAGAGGGTATCGGTTTAATAAAGACAAGGACGATAGAATTATCTATAGATCTACATAACAAAAAGCTAATAAAAAGAGAACTGCACTAATTTGGCAGGAAATAGATTGTATTGTAATAAAATTTGCAAAATGGAGAAAAAGTGCCTCACTCTGAATTTGTGTGAGTTAAGTTGACAGGTGCTGAGACCTGCAAAAGGAAAAAAGCAAGAACCACACAGCAGTTTTTTTCTGAATTCCCAGGCCAAGGACAAGTTTCCTTCCTTTATTTATCCTTCTGACAACAAAACAGACAATCTGCTGTGAAAAACTTAAACATTTTAACAACTATGCAACAAACAAGCAAAGTTTCCTCAGGTTGTATAAGATTTTTCAAAGTGGAATTTCACTCCATGTTGATACTTTGCTTTACCTTCTAGATATCCATGGCAACTGGTTGGAAATGCCTAATATAAATATAGAAATATCGACTCTAGCTGCTCCCTGGACTGGTGAGAGCAGTGGGCTCAGAGCTGAGTGTGACTTCACTGAGAAAGGAAAATGTGCATGATATATGGTGGATTTCAATTTTGTGCCACCCACCATGTGTTCATGGAGCTTCTCCTAATGGTCCACCTCCACCTCAGAACTGGGTTTGGGGGGACAAGAAAAGTCTGATCTTGTCTCTGTCCTCCACAAGCTCACAGTCCTTAGGGGATGCAAATTACTTTGATGTGTTGGCATTTCTTTTAAGGGTTTGGGGTTGAAGGTAAATCCTAACCAGCTTTGTTCATTCTGCCTATAGAATTTTCTCACCCATGCTCCTAGTACCAAGGTCATGGTGGTGTCAGCCCCTTAAATCTTTTTCCTCTGTTCATCAGTCAACTCCCTTGAACTACTCATCTTCCCTTCCAGCTGGAGCCCAGCCCTGGCTCAATCTAACCACTGGCTTCCATTACCGCTCCTCGGGGTACAGAGATGGACCTGGGGACATCAAGTATCTAATCCTTGTCAGACTATTGTCAAACCCTGGGCTGTTTAGTCTCTAGAGTGGTGTGCTAGTTAATTTTATGTGTCATTTTGGCTAGGCCATAGTACCCAGATATTTGGCAAGCCTCCATGACTTCATGAGCCAATTCCTTAAAAATAATCTTTCTCTCTCTCTTTCGTTTGATTTCTCTGAAAAACCTGTCTAAGAAAAGTGGCATTCAATCTCTGCTCCTCAGAACTCCAGGGCTTCTCTGAGGAGCTTCGGGGAGTCCTGCAGGGAGGGAGGAGAAAGAAGGAGACAGGAGGCTGAGCAGGCTGGGTCAGGCCTTCTCCCTGCTACAAAGTAGCTCCACTTCCATTTGTTTTATATATTAATGCTACATAAACACTATCAAATCCATCTAAGTCTCAGGAAGGATGGAGGCTGAGAAGTGATCATTCGATTTGACCACTGGGGAATCTCTAGTGGCCTTTGCTTGGTTTCAGAAAAAGGCTGGGGGCAGAACCAGCTTAAATGTGGTGAGGGAGGTGAGGAAGTGAAGGTAGTTAATATGAACTTATTTTTTTCTAGAATGGAGGTAAGGAAGTAGCTTGGGGGGTGGGGAGGGAATACAGTTTAGAAAGCGTTTCCTTTGAGAATTCATAAGTTTGAGGGAAGAGAGGAAGCTGCCCACAAGTTGAGAAGGAGTCATTGAAAGTACATGTGGGAAGGGCAGTTGGTGACACAGCATCCCTGGGAAGTGGACAGGGAGGGAACCAAGAGCCCTACCTGGCTGTGTGAACTCAGACAAGTTACTTGTCCTCTGGAACCTCCATGCCTTCATTTGTAAACTGGCGATCACAGTGCCCATCTCATTGGCTTGTAAGGATTAAATGAAATGCAGTGTGTAAAAGCAGATAACGTAGGGCCTGGTGTACAAAGGGGCAGTCACGCTTTCCTTCTCTCTCAGCTTTCTGATACCACTGTGCACTTTCTCCTGGCTTCCACCTCTCTGTTTGCACCTGTGATTGGAATCAGGAAGATAAGGGTTTAAGCCAGCGCTGTCCCACATAATGACTATTTGACTGTAGGCAGGTTATCCAATCTACCCAATCCTCAGTATTGATATGTGAAGAATGGGATTATATTTCTACTTTAGGGTTCTTTGTAAAGGTTAAATGAGATAGTATATATAAGGCACCCACTGAACTGCCTAACTTACAGAAGATGCAGTCAAGGAAAAAATAGTTTAAGTGACTCAACAGAGGTCAAATGCTTTATGAGCCTGATGTGAGTCAGGCAGCACCTGAATCAAAGCACAATTGTAGTTTTATGGGGTGAAGAGAAGAGAGGGGTACGTGTCCTTGTGGTTTGGCTCAGGTAGCTGTTTCTTCACTAACTGCAGTAAACTTGAGCTTGGAACTGTGCCTCTTGTTCAGGATCATTCGTGCAACCCCAGAACAGTTCTTTCAAGAGCCTTTTTCTTTCTTTTTAACTTTGCAGCTTTTCTGCTAGTAAAGTTACAGAGAAAGAGAAGGCAACAAAAAGAAAAAAGGGAGAGAAGGGGGAAAAGGAGAGAGGAGACAAGGGTTAATGAAAAATACCTGGGGGCCTCAATCATGTCAGTTTTAATTATCTTACAACATTGAGTAAATGTGCTGAATGAATTAACAAATGCATATCTGGCCTAGGAGCTACCTTAGTACACTGAACTGAGATGCAGAGTTATTCAAATAACTCTGGGTAAAAGCCCATGCTTATTTTTTAAAACAAGACACTAAAAATATATATAACCCGGGTTTCCCCAATCTCTCTACCCTATAGTTACCCTTTCTTTAAATTCCCAACCGAGATGATTTAAGATTCCCTCCTTGCTGATTGCAGAAATTCTGGCCTATCATGGGGGTTTTCTTCAGAAACATTTTTGCGATTTCCCCAAGATGATTTTTGTTAGCCACAAATGGGTCCTGACTATTGTGCCATCTTACTCCAAAAGGCTGCCTTCTGACCTCTGGGTCATCATTTGCTACCTTCTAACTTTTCTCCAGGTTCTCTCTCTTCTCCTTGGGACAGGTCCTTTCCTAAGATCAAGTTATCAATTTCAACAAAACTTAATGAAAGGTTTAGGGGTAATAGCTTCAACATATAGGAAGTCCATCTTAAATGAGGACCTGGGCATCTCAACCTCTAGCACCATAAGACCTGGCTCCTGCAGAGGCCAGCCCCTCACCCTTGGCTTCCTGTTGCTGCCCGTTGCAGGCCCTTCTGGCTACCTTCCCACATAAACAAGAATTCCCACAGGCATCCCCTCTGTCCAAATTCAGGCCTCCAACATCCTTTGAGGCCCACCAGGAGAGGGAGTGGGAAAGCCTTTACCTGCCTCACCTACATTTCCTCCCTGTCCTCATCACCACCCCCACTCCTCACTGGGACAGCTATTGCCCAGATAAACAATAGCTTGCCTCCTCCATGTGTCCACATTCAAACACAGCAGAAGAGGCTTTATCTTTTCCGAACCAAACTGCTGCCTTGAAATGTTTCCCTCTCCCAAAGAAAAAATTAGTCTTGCTTCAAAGATGATGTATTAGTTTCCTACGGTTCTGTAACAAATGGTCACAAACTTGGTGACAAACTTGGATAACAAAAGCTTATCACTTAACAATTCTAGAGGTCACAAGTCTTAAATGCACTTCACTGGAGTAAAATTAAGTTGTTCCTTTTGGAGGCTTGAAGAGGGAAATTGTTTCCTTGCCTTTTGCAGCTTCTAAAGGCCTCCTGCGTTCCTTAGTCTCCTTGTGTCTTCAAAACCAGCAGCGGCCAGTTGAGGCTCTCTCACTTCTGAGTCTGACTTTCCTGCCTCTCTCTTTCCCTCATAAAGACTCTTGTGATGATATTGGATCCACCTGGAAAATTCAGGCTGCTCTCCCCATCTCAAGATTTTGAGAATGTCTGCAAAGTTGCTTTTGCTATGTAAGGTAGCATATTCACAGATTTGGGGAATTAGGACTTGGACCTCCTGTATTTGTGGGGGAAATTATTCTGCCTACCACAGATGAGTTCTCTTTTACTACTTGAGAAATAGGAAAAACATTTTAAACTTTAAAATAACTTTAAAAGAGTGGTTTGGGCTGGACACAGTGGCACACGCCTGTAATCCTAGCAGTCTGGGAGTCTGAGGTGGGCAGATCACCTGAGGTCAGGAGTTTGAGACCAGCCTGGCCAACATGGCAAAACCTGATCTCTACTAAAACGTACAAAAATTAGCTGGGTGCGGTGGCAGGCACCTATAATCCCAGCTACTCGGGAGGGTGAGGCAGGGAGAATTGCTTGAACCCAGGAGGTGGAGGTTGCAGTGAGCCAAGATCATGCCACTGCACTCCAGCCTGGGTGATAGAGTGAGACTCAGTCTCAAAAGAAAAAAAAAGAGTGGTTTGTTCTGAGCACATGTATAAATAATTTATAATAAGATGGAGATATTTTTGTTGTAATTCTTCATGGAAAGAGCCCGTATTTCTTTGGAAGAAATAAGGCAATATGGGATGTGGAGGAACGAGAGGGGTGGGATGGGCGATAGGGAAGTGAGTCCTTTATGACATTTTAATATAACAAAAGATGGTCACTATAGTGTGTTCTGCAGATAGCGAAGCCTGTGGAGGACCCTTTATTTACAGAAGAGGGTAATAGAGTCGATATGTAAACTTGAGAGTGGGAACAGGGGTTGAGTTACTTAACAGGGGAGATAGAAAATTGAGATTCTCAAAGGAAAATTTAAGATGAAAGGATATAAGAACTGAGTCCCGCTAAGAAAGGGGGAGGGAAAGAAATAATATAACCAAACTATACCAGTCAAAAAATTAAACTTATGGCTAGAATGGGCAATGGGCATGTGAGATATGGGGACACCCTCATTCATTTTGGGGGGGTCTTCATTCAAGTTCACCTTGCTCACTAATGTCATAGGGGAGCATGAGATAGGAGGAGATGAAAAAAATGCAGAGTTCTACCCCGGGGCAGTACACAGTAAAAGGAGTGGTACTTGTAGGGTTCAGGGCAAGAGACAAACTGCATTTGGGTTGCAATTGACATAGGAGTTAACTGTGGTTCCTCCCATTATATGTAGCACCAAACTCCTTGTCTGGTCTACGTGAGTGGTCTTGCATCATCTGGCTGCTGCCATCTCTGACACCTTTCTGAGCACTCTTTCCCCTCACTACATCCACCCACTATCTCCCCTAAAGTCCCTGAAGGGCCCAACATGGTCCTAATTTTCACTTGTTTATTTGTTTTTACATCCCTCTCTACAACTAATCTGTAAACTCAACAAACTCATGCATACTTTTTAAAATCACAACATAGCTCCTAACCTTGAACCGGGAGCATAGACAAGTGTGTGGGATTTTGTTGAATGAATGAATAAGTCATCGTCTTTGGCTTATTCTTCTTAATTTCATTTTTTCAGCTTATTTCTAAGTCCCAGTTGGTTCTTCCTCACTCATTTCAGATGCCTCTTCCTGTCCATATCACTTGCTTCTGCATAAAGTGGGTGCAGAAGATAATGAGACGGATTTGACCGCGGTGAACAGGCAGGCACACAAGATGGAGCAGGCCCTGGTGATAAACCCCAATTCAAGTGAGAGGAAGTATGAGGAACCAGATTGGAAGATGGAGTCCAGTGCCCAGAGATCATGGTCCAGGCAGGTAGTGTAACCATGTGCTGCTGTACAAGAGGGAACCAGAGGGTTTTCTGACAGGTGTTGGGATCAATGAGATAATGGAAGGAAGGTAGATATGTGGGGGACTCGAGGTTTAGGACTGAAACCAGAGCATGAGTGTCTGTGTGTGGATATATGTATGCTGGTTTGGGGGCATCTTGCCTAACCTTGCAGAGCCTTGCTTTATACATCAGTTAACTGGGAAAGACAATATCTGTTTGGTAGGGTTGCTGGGAGGATTAATTGTGATGTTGCGTGCTAATGTCTGGCACACAGTTGGCACTCAAAACTATTGGTGTCCCATTCTTCAAACTTAGCTGACATCTCTTTCAGGCACCCCTCAACCATATGTGATCTTGGCTCTCCTCAACACCCACATATAGTTGTTGGTACCTCTCTCTAATGGCATTTGCATTTTCTGCATTTTATTAAGAGTTTCATTTCCCTTGTTCTATCTCCCTGTTCAGATTTTAAGCTCTTGAAGGCAAAGCCTAAATTGTCTTTATCTTAGCAGCCTCCACAGAAGGTGCTACGGAACTGGCACAGTGACTTGCAGCTGTGCTCAAAGTGTTTAATAAGCATTTGTTGAATGTAATTGAAATGTCGAAAACAACCTGATCCCATTGTCATTCTGAGAAATATCAGTCTTAAGAGCCAGGCTATCATGCATTATTCATGAGAGAATCACCCTCAACGTTCTTGTTTCCTGGTCTACCATTAGAGGAGGAGGCAGGTCAGTGGTGTGGACAGAAGATCTGATCTCTCTCTCCATTAGCTCACCCCAGGCCCAGTGAGGTTAGCTTGGCATTGCCAATCACAGAACCAGAGTCCTTGCAGTTCTCTCTCATAGAAGCTCTGATGGGAATATTGGTCTTTTAATACAATGCCAGCTTCAAATATATTATTTTTTCACATTTTTAGTTGTTTTAAAAAAGTAAAACTCTAACACTAAGTGCAGTCCCAGAGGACAGATATCGTTTAGTGAAAGAAGTCATACCTTTGGCATTAAAACAAATGTTTAGGGAAAGGAGGTACAGAAAATCTGGATATGACCATAGTTGGCTCCTCCATGAGATGGCACACACAGAGCCTTCCTTTATTTTTATTTCCTAATTTGATAAAAAGTTTGAGGTTTTATGCTGTCATAGAGTGGGTGGGCCTCTGATATTTATGTGGCTGATTTCATGTACTCTGACAGTTGCATCCCAATTCTGACAGTTGAAAAACCATCTCCCACTTATCAGCACACTGGGGTGTTGATATTGTGTTGGTGTGTTCTGGGAGCATCCTGAAGCTACACTTAGAGACCCAAGGATTTTCAGTCTTTTTAGAATTTAAAGCATACTTAGTTTGAATCGATTCACTCACAAAATTACACGTTTCTGGAAGGACTAAACAATCAACTAGAGATCATTTCGAGTTGAGTTTGTAGGAAAACACACAGTCTCTTTGCTCACACATTATTTTTGCTACGTTTCCAGCAGACCCTCGCCAATCAAGGCACCTTATCTTTGCAGATGCCACTTCTTCTCCTTGGGATGTTTCCCATCCCATGTCCTTATGGGGTGTAAGGTCATCTTTAGCTAAGGTCAAATGTCATCTTCCCCAGTCCCAGCTGGAGTGAATTGCTCCCTCTTTTCATTCCCACATAATTGTATACACCTCTCTCTGGTGCTGCTTTTTATATTGCTGCAATTATCTGTTTAAATGCCTGTCTCCTTTTGTAGATTGTGAATCCTTTAGTGACAGAGATGACTTTCTTTCCTAAGACCATTTTCCTGCTTCTCTTTGTATCCCATGACCTGCATGAAAATGAAAAAACTCGCAGGCCAGTCTCAAGGAATTGACAGTTATGAATATACAAACAGAATAGTTTAAAATCCTGCTCTACAATGATTAGAATCATAGCAAACTGTAAAAAAGTAAAAAGGGTACTGTAGATTATAATGGTGAAACAAAAGACACATACAATCAAAATATATATAATACTTGCAAACAAGGTGTACCTAAGAGATGGCAGGAATGCTTCCTGCCCCCACCATTGCCTGCTGGACTTAATGTAAATAAGAAACAAGCTTCTATAGTGTTAAATCTCTTCTTACCCTTCTACTCATGTATTACTTATTCTCTGTTCTCTTAGCAACCACTCTTTTCCACACTTAGGTTATTTTTATCTTCAAAATAAGTAGTTGAAATAGTAGTTATATTTCATGCAGAATAGTTTCACTGCTCATTATTTATGCATTTCTGTAGCCAAAATTTCTCCTTTTAACATTCTTTGTCATTCTAGATAATGCCCTCCAATGACTTGAATGAAATAACTATTTGGGTTGTAAAGTTTCTGAAGAATTTCACATCTCATTACATTCATGAAAAAAATAGTAGCTTGAATGGACATGGCCATTTCCTATCACTCTTTTTCTTTAAAAATTTTGAAAATAAAATTCATTGTCTTCTGACACTGTAAGTTAAAGTAGAGAAAGGCGAAACTATCTGATATGGGCCCATTGGAATTTTTTCTAGATAATACATCGTGAAGAGATTAATGCATGGCTAGAGGGGTGGGAGGTAGATCTATGAAACATGCATATCCCCCAGTCCTACTCACCATCTTCCTGGTTCCCACCTCCCTCTCACCACAGGTAATAATTATTATTCTGTATAGCTAGTAGATACAACCATTGGAAGAAGTTTCTTATGTGTCAACAAGTAAACATTAATATATATTACTATTCCCCATCCTTATAAAACAGGAGGGGAAAAAGTGAAGATAATTATTTTAATTTGGTTGGAACGAAAGCAGAATACAAAAGGCATAAAATAGGTAGATTAGCTCTCTGATTAAGCTAATGATTAATGAGAAAGCACAAAGGAAGAAAGAAAATCCAAAAAGGTCCAACTCCTTATCTGCCATAAAAGGACCTCTAGGTTATGCAACAATAGACAAATATAAATTGATGGTTATAGGACATGGGCTATTTATGCAAGTTCTGAAGTTAATAATGAGTAATATGAAAACCAAGTATTTACCTTTTAAATCATACTAGAATAAAAAAGGAAACTAATGTTGTTCATATATCAAAAAGCCATAATAGAAAAGGGGCCTCAAGGAGAAATAATGTTTAAAAGCATAAACTAGGATGACACAACTAGTATTGTAATGATCATCATGCTATCAACATTGAAATAGTGGTTTGATAAATTAAAGTTTATTGGCCCTCTGGAAGGTGATGAAGATAAAGGAAATAATCTTTTTAAGGACTGGGTGATGAGCAAAAGCATTTAAGATGTGAAGGTAAGTGAAAAGCTGATAAGTTCATTGGGATTGCGGCTGTAAAACACATCTGTGGACAGGTGAGGGGTCATGTGGCAGGGTGAGGGTGGTGAGATTACAGGATTTTTGTTACTATTTTTCTTTAAAATATTCTAAAGTTTTGTTTTTGTGTTGCCTTTCTTTTATTACATTAAAATTGATAGTATCAATGATTATGAGCAATGAAATCAGCCTAAAATATGTTTTTAGAGGTTTAAAAACCTCATCCAAGTGCTCTCCTTTCCAATCCTCCTGAGATTATTTACATTGACAACCTGCCACGTATCTTGCCACAATTTCCTTTATGCTCAAACACACACATATATTTAGGACATTTTTTAGCTGGTGTTAGTGTTTGTTTTCATAGAAATTGAATTGTACTATAATGGTAACTCTACTTTTCTCATATAAAAATATATCATGGGCAATAAAGATAGCTCTATTTCCATATCTTCACAGTTGTATAATAGTTTACAGTATGGAGCCATCACAATTGAGTCAAGAACATTTCTTCTTGCTGGACATTGAGGTTTTTCCCAGGTTTTTGGTTTTATAAACAATGATACCATACATATATCCTTACGTATAAGAGCTTTTATTTCTATTAGATTTCCCAGGGTGGGATTTCTGGCCAGTTTTTTGTAATGCCTACTAAAAAAGAACTTGGGTGAAAGAGTGAGATTTTTGTAAATCCATGCATATTTACTTTTGCCCTAAGTTTTCTGAGATGATCATTCTTTGTAGGATTGAAGATCAAAGTTTGAAGTTGACTTCTAGGCCCCATCCTGGTACATTCTGGATGAATTTTGGGGTTGGAAGATGGAGGACCTATACATTTTGAGGGAAATAAGAAGGATAATAGGAGTCAGTGAAGAAGTGGTCAGCACCAAAGGAGGAGAGCGTTTAAAGGAAAAGAGGTAGTCAACCTAGTTAACTGCTGCAGAGAGGCAAAGGAGCAGGAAAAGAAGCCTGTTCACAAAATTTCTGCATCCCTCTCCTGGGCACATGGTAAAACAGTACTTCTTCCATTGCTTTGATGTTAGGCCTGACCATGTGATTTGTCTTAGTGAATGAAACAGTGCAGAAGTGACATGTGTCTCTGTGAGGTAGAAGACTTTAAGAGCTGGTACTCAATTTTCTATGTCTCTTTGTCCTCATCACAGAGACTGGTGGCATTCTAGATATGGAGGCTCTATCAGCCAGAGTCCCCGAGTGATGATGACACAGGACAGCACTCCCTTAGCTCCCAGCCAATGCCAGATGGACACATGCAGAGTCCATGAGATATAAACCTTGCTGTTTTAAGCCACTAAGATTTTAGAGTTACTTGTTACTATAGCATAACTTAGCCCAGCCTGACTGATACAGTCATTTAGAAAAGAGATCCAACTGAGAGACACTGACGTCAGATCCCAAGGAATGAAGAGTAGCCAGGTCGTAGCTCAGGAGGTTAAAGAGTGGAAGTGTAGTGAGGAAGTGTAAGTAGCAAGCATCGAATTTCTTTCAAGTTTATTTAGGGGCTATGAGAACCCAGTTCTGCCAATTAGTTACATAAATGCTCTTGGGGAGAATCTAGGGATAATTCTAGAACACTTTTAAAATAAACTTAGAAAGATTAACTGCATAAATAATGGCAAAACCAGGACAGTCACAGCAGAATTCTTTATTATATAGACTAAGATTCCAGCAGCTTTTATGCATCTTAATGTGTACTAAAGATATAAGAGTATCACACAATGAATTCTTCTATGTCTACTACTAGGAAAAATATTCATTTCTCCTGATAAACTACATTTCCTTTTATTTATGAGAATTATGTCAGCATCCCTAGAAACCCTTGTTCCTTGCTCTCCTCTTTGTCTTGACTGCCAGGGCCTTCCGAGCTGTGTTCAAGTGAAAAATTGATCCTTTACCTGGATGGTTTGGTACAGTTCTTCCTCTGGGGATCAGCTTGTAAAGCAGGGATGCATTAGGCATGGGGTCTGTGTTGGAAGATCTGGACAACTTAGACGGCCCGGGTGGCTGAAAGCACCAAAGCTTCTCTTACTGTGGCCAAGACAATTTGGGATATTTTGTAGCTGGAAAAGACCCATCAAAAATGCTATGAGGGCCGGGCGCGGTGGCTCACGCCTGTAATCCCAGCACTTTGGGAGGCCGAGACGGGCAGATCACGAGGTCAGGAGATCGAGACCATCCTGGCTAACACGGTGAAACCCCGTCTCTACTAAAAATACAAAAATTAGCCGGGCATGGTGGCGCGCGCCTGTAGTCCCAGCTACACGGGAGGCTGAGGCAGGAGAATGGCGTGAACCCGGGAGGCGGAGCTTGCAGTGAGTCGAGATCGCGCCACTGCACTCCAGCCTGGGCGACAGAGCGAAACTCCGTCTCAAAAAAAAAAAAAAAAAAAAAAAAATGCTATGAGAGCAAAAGTATAGAGGGAGGGAGGGAGGGAATGTGTGTATAGGGGAATGTGTGTTTGTTTTTGCCTGTTTTACTGAGGATGACCCTAAAACCATATAACTAGTCATATAACTAGCAAAATCCAGCAACACCTTCAGAATCATTCAACAATAGTTGGACAGTCTCAATGTAGAAAATGATGTAGATAAGAGCCTGGTTCCCCTCAAGATAAGATCAGAACTGTTTATCACACATCAGTTTTTGAAACTGTGGGCCACACATTTTTAGTGGATTGTGAAATTGAATTATAGCATTTTGACCACAGTTTACAAAAATAAAATGGAATAGAAAACACCTTGAATGCATTCCATGTCATAAATGTAGGTTTGGTTTTTTCGTTTGTTTCTTTTGTTTTGGTTTTTAGAGATGGGGTCTTACTCTGTTGTCCAGGCTGGAGTACAGTGGCACAAACACAGCTCACTCTAGCCTCGACCTCCCAGGCTCAAGTGATTCTCCCACCTCAGCCTCCCAAAGACCTCGGACTGCAGGCACACACTGCCATGCCCAGCTAATTTTGAAAAAACTTTTATTGTAGAGACGGGATCTCCCTATGCTGCCCAGGCTGGTCTCGAAGTCCTGGGCTCAAGTGATCCTCCCACCTTGGCCTCCCAAAGTAATTTTTTTTTTTTAATGACACTTTTTTTTTCTCTGTGTGTGTGTGTGTGTGTGTGTGTGTCCTGGGTTGTGATCCAGAATGTGTTCTTATTGTGGGCTCTGGGGGGAAAAAAGAACACCATGAATCTAGAGCCAGTGGGGACTGTGAAGACAGGGATAGACCTGCACCCTGTAGAGACCAAAACCCAGTAAGACCACAAGATAGGCAAAAACTAGATATTGCCAAGGAAAGAGCGCTTTATGAAGCTAAAGCCAATGGTAGTGGGGTCACTGATTCTGAGTGAGGTGGAGCTGCCCGAGCATGCAGAAAATAGGGAACAGTTTAAACAAGTGCTCAGCCTTGGCATGGCTGAACATAGTTTGTTAGAGTCAATAAGTGTTTAAATTGGTATTCCATGTCAGTAGCAATTTGTATTAAAACTCTCTCCTTGATCTTGGATCAATTTCCTCCAGCTTGATAAACCAGAGGGATAGTCTGAGAGAGAAACTGAAGGTCAAAATCAACGCAGTGGTGCCGAACAGAAGGGCCCGAGGTGCGATGAGTATAATATGAACACGAAGGAAAACAGCGAGTTCAGAAGCCTGGAGAATCAGAAGCAGGTCAAGCGCTGGGGTTCAGGGCAAAGACCCTGAACACTGTGAAGGTGTTGGAGACCTGTTTTGAGGTGGCACTGCGGCTCAATGTGAGTGCAGACCTGAGAGATTAAAGTGCCTACGAAGGGCCAAATACCTGTCCCTTCATGACATGACTTTTGGCTCTGTGACTTTATTTTAGGGCAATTAATGTCTTTGAATCTTTCATTAAAAGCCACTTCAAATCCTTTTCCTAAACCAGTAGTATACAAGTGATAAGTACATGGAGATTGGTAAGACTGTAGCTCATTTTATTTCATATCATATCCTCTTGTTTATGCTACCCTTTGGTGAGTTTACAGGCTATAGGCATTTTTCCCCTATTAATAGAAGCTTTGGAGGGCATCCAACAGCAAAAGTGATCCTATACTTGGGATACACAGATACTTTAAACTGCAACAGTAGTTTCTCTTCCATCTTTATCTTCTATATCCTTTAAATTTTCTTTGCAGGCATAATTATCTGACCTCTGAAAACTGTTAGCTACAGAACCAGTTATGACAGTATAGATTTTTTTTCTCTCTATTTTCAACACCTTGGCTGTGCTTGGCATGCTGCAAATACCATATCGTCATCCAGACTAAAATTGTAATTCTGGGTGTGTACAATGTCACTGCGGTTAAATTGCTGATATAGAAGAATTCTGTTCAGGTTATTGTCAGTGATAGAGAGCAAAGCATGTGGTTGTTTGAACATTTATCTTTTTCCCTTTGTTTTCAGGAAGATTATAAGAATGAAAAGATCTTCATTAGGATAGTAGCATATTCTATTTAACCTAACACTGTTTAATAAATAGAAACACATTTAAGGGAAGATACAACATAGAAGAAGATTTCTTGTTTTTTTTTTTGATATAGATATTTTTTTTTAAGAGCAGTTTAGGTTCACAACAAAACTTAGCAGAAGAATGTTTCAAAAAAACATAAATCTTTACTAAAATTATCAAGCATTGTCATAATGGTAATTGCCCTTGGCTAGTACTTAACTACACTTTTGTTTTTATTTATTTATTTCTTTTTTTTTTTTTGAGACAGAGTCTGGTTCTGTCACCCAGGCTGGAGTGCAGTGGCGCAATCTTGGCTCACTGTAACCTCTGCCTCCCAGGTTCAAGCGATTCTCCTGCCTAAGCCTCCTGAGTAGCTGGGATTACAGGCATGTGCCACCATGCCCAGGTTTTTTATTTCATTATTTATTTATTACTATTTGCAGAGAAAACTGGTCTGTAAAGCTCTGCCCATTGACCCTTCAACAGTCTCTAATGATCTGACTCCCACTTCTAGCTCCAGTTTGCATCACGATCACTGGTCTTAGGCAGTCTTGGCTCTAATTCTAAAACTCCAGTGTTTCCCACTATACCACATTGCTAATTTCTTAAAGGACTTAGGCTTTCAATTGCCTTAAGAACCTATAGAAAATTGCCTTAAAACCTATAGAAAAAAATCAAAAGAAGATAAATTTTAAAACCCAGATTTAAAAAAATGATCTCAAGTGCTACTTTTCTTTTTTAGGAAACAATCAAATGTCTACTTTGATAAAAAAGATACAAAAATATTTAAGAAAAAAAGAACCTGTATGCCCCTCCAGCCATCCACGTCCCTGCCCCCTTTCCTCCCCAGAAAAGCAAACATAATTTCTCCTACAGGAAGGTTTGGTTTGTATTTGTGGGTAGCAGAAGTGAATTCTGAGGATAACATGGTTTACATGTGTGCTGGGATTTCCACTCACCCCTTCTTTGGCTGGCTTGAAAAATTAAACATGCGTGTCCTGTGTACAACCAGATGTGCATGACTCCTCATTGCTTTGAACAGTTCCAGATCCTTAGTAATTTGAGTTTATCTCAAAAATTACTGAACTGCACAGCAAGAAATTAAACTAAAAATTATGTTCATCCATCATCTTTTACGAGTCATGAAAAACTACATGGGGAATAAATCCTTGCAAGCAAGACAGTTTTGTTATAAGTGGTTCTTCTGCACTTCAAATGCATTAATATTCAAAACCATAACCTGTCGTGTGCTCAGCTTTGTGTGAGAAGGGGAGCAAATCAATCCCCTCCTTCTGTTTACTGTGTTGTTTAAGACTGTTCTTGTCTTTGCCTGGGATACAGGAGGTATTGTTGCTTTTCCCTTAAAGAAGTAGGTGCTCAGGAAGCCCAAAACAGAAAGAGGGAATCGATGTTTCTTATGAGCCTGCTGTGGACCATGCTGAATTCTCCCCGCATTCTGAGAAGTTTATTATTATTATTATTATTCCTACATTGCTGTGGAGAAAAATACAGCTCAGAGAGCCTATGAAACTCTGGCGAGCTGACACAGCTAGTAAGTATGAGCTGGGGTGAATCCCGCTCAGTCAAACTCCAAACACTTCTTGGATTCCTCCATGACATCCCTCACAAAGCAATAAAAGGAAGTAAGAAAATGCATGCCTCAAGCAACAAGAGCCCTTCAAGTGTCTGCAGAGAGGAGAATGGAGCATTCTGCCCATCTCCAGTTCTTAACAGCTCCTTCACTCTGCTCACAATTCACCCAGAAGTCACAGCGTGCTGTTCACTCTCTGTGTGTGATTGCTTTAGTTGTGAGTGGGAAGCTGCCATGAGTGACTCATGTCATGTGCCCCCACACAGCCCTCACGAGGGTATGGAATGCTCCCACCTCAATGTGTTCTGAAGCAATTCATTCCTGCCTGCATGGCATAGTTGTTCCCTAGACATCTGGCAGTAGGTCCCCCTTCCTAACCTCCAAATAATTATCAAAGTCAGAATCAATGTCTTTTAAGCAAAAACCCACTCTCTCTACTCTTTGCAGAAAGTCAAATTGCAGTCTCCTTGGCTGACAACTGATGTCATGAACTGTGGCCTTGTGAGCTCTTTCCTGCTCTCTGCTTGGACCCGTGGCACTGGTGGGTGCTTACAGGAAAAAACCAGAGAGCAGTTCCTCCTCCCAGCTGTCTTCCTCCCAGCTGTCATGGCTGTTTAAGCAGCAGCTTCAGTTGGTACTCACATCTTTCATGGCCGGGAAAAATCTTGAGCTTTTTCTGAAATCAAGATGTGCTTTTTGTAAACAACCAAAACTGAAACTGTTTTCCTGGCCCATCACAGAGGGGCTAGGATGTCGGGACACCTACTGCTCCAGCAGTCCCCACCTTGTGACACCCTGAAGACTGAAGAAAGTGTAGTACCATGAACAACATTCTTATCTCCATCCACAGCCCGACACCCACGGCTGGGCTTATCCTCCTCTATGGTCTCCCTCAAATCTCCTGTGTCCTCAGCCCCTTGTGTGTTCACTGTGCCCACCTTGCCAATCAGTTTTCTAGACACTGCCCATCGGCATTTAAGCCTTGCTGGAGAAAAAATTCACACAACCAGGCCAAATGGTGCCATAACTGTCATAGTGAAGCTTTAGCAGGGCTCTTGACATTGGTGGGCAGTGCTCTGAGTCATCTCCAAGCGATTTTCCATCACATCTACATCCCTCAGGGACTGGCCTGAAGCTCTTTCACTGCCCCTGGGATTACAACTCACTCCTATCCTCTCAACCTCCAATTCTTGCAGAAAACTTCTAGGGTAATGATTTTGAGCCCCTCAAAGATAAGAGCCACACTTTGTTCATATTTGTGGCAATAATGAGCTGGACAAATGATCGAAATGAATAAACAGAATAAAACTGTTTAACTTGAGTCCCCCCAAATTTAGTCCTCTTCCCCATTAATCTGAATCAAGGGGAAGGGAAAGAGACTCATTTAAATTAAGCACTAAACCATTTTTTAAGCCCTGTGATAAGCACTTTCTAATATATTATCTCATGTAATCCCCACCCAAGCCTGTGAGGTAGGTAATGTTATTTCCATTTTATGCATACAGAACAGTAATTGGTCCAGATTTGTCTAATTCCGAAGCTCGTGCACTTTTCCCTGCATTTGCTATCTGACTTCCCACCTGCTTTTCCATCTTTATCTCTTCTAATTCTCTAATAGCCAAGGGAGTTTATTAACAGTTGGCATTTGAGGAAGCAGAGCGTGAGCTGGCTTCTGCAGATAGTAAGAGGGAGAGGTCCCCCAAACTGTAATATTCACTGGTAATACTTGGCAAAGGAGGCAGAAGGGGGCTGAGAACGTGTATTAGTTTGAACATGATTGATTTTTATTGCAAGCAACAAATACCCAACTTAAAATAGAGGAAAAAGGGAGAATTGAATCATGTACCTAGAAAATCCTAGACACATTTGTTGAGTGTTTAGATATCACGCTCCAACAATGCATCAGCCTGGTGTCATTCTCTCTCTGGGCTTTGCTCTCTGCTGTGCTGGCTTTATCATAACATAGGGTGCCTCTACTTGGTGGCCAAGTGGCCACCGTTCTCTCTAGGCTCACACTGTCCTCCTGACATTTGCTACACTGTGGCCCCTTCTCCCACCCTCCAATCTCCTGTCTCTGAGCTCCTTCAGATTAAAGTCTGCACCTTCATCTGTATCCCCAGGGCCTGGCCTCCTTGGTGATCACTTACTAAATAGATGAATGAATACAACCTGCTGTTCCTCCTCCAATCTAAAGTGGTCAAGTTCACTGTGAGGGATGGGGGAGCAATCAGAACAGATCTGGGACAAAGTTTCCCTTTGTACATCTTCCTACTTAGTTTTTAATTCTAGCCCTGTTTGCCTTTGTTCTCCAGTGATTTTTTTAACAGATCTTTTCCTCCCTTAATCTCCAATCAAGACTTAGAGGGTCGGGGGAGGAGGAAAATAGGGAACGACTGCTAATGGGTACAGGGTTTCTAGTAGAGGGGAAGAAAATGTTCTAAAATTAGATTGTGGTAATGACTGCACGACTCTATGGACACACTAAAAAGCACTGGCTTTTACACTTTAAGTGGGTAAATTGTGTGGTATGCGAATTATATTTCAACGAAGTGGTTTACACAAAGATTTAAAGAAAAATATCCAAAAAAGGATATCCTTACAACACAGAATAAACAGAAAGCTCACTCTATATTGCTTTTCCCTATATTTACAGCTACTATACAATAATAACAGAATATCTACATAGTTTTCATATGTTGCTGTAACTATGATGAATAGAAAAAGCAGGGGTCTGGGTGCAGTGGCTCATGCCTGTTATCTCAACACTTTGAGAGGGTGTGGCTGGAGTATTACTTGAGGTCAAGAGTTTGAGATCAGCCTGGTCAACATAGAAAGACCCTGTCTCTACAAACAGAACAAAACAAAATTTAAATTAGCTTGGCATGGTGGCTAGGTCCTCAATCCCAGTTACTCGGGAGGTTGAGTGGGAGGATTGCTTGAGGTCAGGAGTTTGAGACCAGCCTGGGGAACATGGAAAGACTTCGTCTCTAAAAAATTTTTTTTTAATTAGCTGGGTGTGGTGGCATGCACCTACAATACCAGCTATTTGGGAAACTGAGGTGTGAGGATTGCTTGAGCCCAGGAGGTTGAGGCTGCAGTGAGCTATGATTGGACCACTGCACTCCAGCCTGAGTGACAGAGAAAGACCCTGTCTCTGAAAAAGAAAAAAAAAATAGCAAGGATGTATGTGTGTCTGTTTCTACATGGTAATATCTTCAGTGCCTAGAACAATGCCTGGCATCCAGTAGGTGTGGTAATTGCAGGAAATGGGTACAAATCCTTTGTAGTTCCTCCCATCAAAGGGTCAAATCTGTTTCTTCTCCCCTTGAATCTGAGCTTGGCCACATGACTTGATTTGGCCAAAGCAACATTAGCAAACATGATGCAAGTAAGGCTTTGAAAGCCCTGAGCACTGAAGCTTACCCTCATGTGCAGCTGGAAACCCTCCCATGACCATGTGAGGAATCCCAGGTTGGCCTACTGGAGGATGAGAGACCCAGTGGAGCACAGATGAGGCGTCCCAGTGAAGGTCCTCTAGAACAGTCACGCTGCCAACTGCTGGACGTGTGAATGAGCCCATGCTAGACCACACGGTCTCAGCCATGCCATCAGCTGACCACAGAGATTCCATCCCCCACGGTCCCCCAAAACCCTTAACAGACCAGAAGAATTGTCCAGCTGACTCACTGAATCATGAGCCAATACAATGTTGGTCGCCTCAAACCACTAATTTTGGGGTAGTTTGTTCCAGAGCAATGGATAACTGAAACAGTAGGCAGTCCATACATATAGAATGAGCAGACGCAAAGGTATCTGCAGATTGGCTGAGGAGGAAAGCATGCCCTGGAGGCTGGAAGTGTAAAGGATGATTCCAGCTGATGGCAGAACAAGAGGTAGAAGGAAGGCAGGAGAGAAACATGGGCAGCAAGCAGAGAAGCAAAACTCACTCTCCTCCCTGTTAGGGAATCTTTTCTCTTCTACAACATTTACCTGATTCTTTAAACACACTGTCCTCTTACCCCATTCCCATGGTACTTGGCCACACAAGCCAGCTGCAGACAGTAATGTTCCCCAGACCCCTCCTAGCTGCTTTGGCTCTCAAACTTCAGATTTTGACCCTTTGACCCTCAGAGTACATAATTATACTTTGCTCTTTGCTACTTCTGGTCCTTTTGGTTATGCAAACATCAGGGACTCTCTTCCTTAGCTTTTTGGCCTCAACAGTCTATTCTAAGCTTTGTTTGCTTCTTGGTTTCTGGATTCCCAGCAGTTTAAGCCTGCTTCTAGAGGAAATCCTCTGGCCAGGGGTAAAGACTTCAGTCATCTTGTTTGGAACCCATGAAGGCCTCCTGCCACCCTGGGCAGAATGTGATGGGGGAAGCTCTCCTACCCCTGCCACTGGAGATTGCAGAGCACTGGTGCAAACCATGGGGCTCTATGACAACTACTATAGACTGTATCGTCCCCAAAGTCACATGTTGAAATCCCAATTCCAAATGTAAGGGTATCTGGGGGTGCGATCTTTGGGAGGCAATTAGATGATGAGGGAAGAGCCCTCATGAATGAGATTAGTGCCCTTTTAAAGGAGGCCCCAAAGAGATTTCCTCTCTCTTCCACCATGTGATGTTACAGTGAAACGACAGTCATCTGTGAACCAAAAAACAGCCCTCACCAGACACCAAATCTGCCAGCACTTTGATCTTGGACTTCCCAGCATCCAATACTGTGAGAAATAAACTTCTGTTGTTTATAAGACACCCAATCTATGGCATTTTGTTATAGCAGCCCAAAGGAACTAAGACAACAATTCTCCCCACTCCATTGGAGAAAAGAGCATGCAGCTGTTGCCCTGTACGCCCTGGTGACATAAAGTAAGTGACCACTCCTGCCACTGCTTTTCCTGAGAGACCTGGAGAGGTGGGGTTAAGTGGTGGGACTGGAGAGAACACCAGACTGCCCTGGAACACAATGTGGTAAGGTGCCACAGGCATTTCTGGAGAAACATCAGGACTACCCATCTATGGGAAATGGACAGGAGCAAAACAGAGATGTCTGCCCCATATCTGCCCCCCTAACTTACCTGACTCTTTAAACACACTGCTGTCTTACAGCTGATCCACCATGTATCAAACTGCAGCTCACAAGTAAAGTCCACTTGTCCTAAGTAATTGTGCCAGACCACACTGAAGTATTTCAACCCTGTGTTCTCACATTCACTCTCCTGACCTGAGCATCCTGCCTCTGTGCTGTGGCTTCTGGCTGCTGCTTGATTTAGTTTAGATGAACAATTTGGACGCCTTCTTTGGCTTGTAGGACTCATCTTTCCACTCAGCATTTGAATCTGTTCTTTCTTAGAATCTTGATGTCCTCAGCAAATCTCATGTGGCCAGAGGGTGACCAACTCATCCTGATTTCCCCAGTTTTAAAACTGAAAGTCCTGAGTCTCAGGAGACCACCTCAGTCCTGTACAAACGAGATGGTTGGTCACTGTAGGTAGGAGTTCCCCAGAATGCCTAGATGGCCAAGTTAATCCCCTCTCCCCAACATGCAGCTAGGGAAGCCCCATCCATTGATGCAGCATCTCATCTATCAGATGAGGGATAAGAGATGTGTGCCACATAGAGTGGTTGTGAGAATTAAATGAGACAGAACATGCAAAGTGCTTACTGGCATGTCATTAAGTCACGAGTAAACATGTCTTATTGTCATCGTTGTTGTTGTTATTTTATTATTTCAAAACATCCTAGAAGAGGTGAATTCGTATAACACTGTACAAGAGTCTATGGTGTTGTAGATTCAGTGAAATCTAATGTTACACTAGATAAAATGAGTAAGATCAATAACTCTGGGCCCATTGAGATGCCTACTCTCTATAGCAATAACCAAACTAATATCATTTGACGTGAATTAGACACTGTTTATTTAACTTCAGGGTCTCTGGGGGCTCACACACAAGCAGGGCTCCAAAAGCCTCTACCCTGAGGTAGCGTGGGCAAACATCTCCCTTTCCTTTCTCCCACTCCCCACTAACTTCCCTGCCTTGCTCAGGTTGCCCTTGTCAGATTCAGATTCATTCACTATTTCTAAAAGCAGGTCCATCCCATATTTAAAATATTCCCAAGAGTGCTGGGAATAAGATATTCCCAGGAAAGGAGGTTGATGCCAGCTGGACCCTATTACATGAGATAAGCTATCTTTTGAATGTCAACTGATTCAGACTCTGTAAGAGTGGACCCCAGAAATCCACACTTCTAATGCATTCCCCAGGTGGCTCTTAGGCACACTAAGGTGCCAGAACCCCCACAGTAGACCTGGGCTCCTAGTAGAAGGTATTTGTGCCTTGTTCACTACAACATCACCATCCTCTAGGACGAGACCTGTACTCAGTAGGCACATCCTGAATGTGTATTTATTTATCAGTCCGTCCTTTTGTTTCTGATGCTAAAGATTTTGTGTGCCCAGAAAGTATTTCTCCAGAATGAGACAACAACACATGTTCTAGTCACTGAGGCATTTGTTTACACCAGTTTTTCACCCTGGTGGTAATGATTAGGACTGAAAACACTTAGAAAATAAACAAATTTCATGAGGAAAGGAGCAAATTAAGTCTGTGCCGGCAAGGGGCTTCGATTAGATGGAAACAACACTATAAAAACAATCGCCTGGTCTGCCAAGCAAGGTACACTCGCTCCTCTCAAATTAATGCCATCTGGTTACCCACTTCGAGACAAAGGCCCCTCCCCAGGAACGCCACGCACGGGAATGAGGACGAGTAATCTAATTCTCCACGACACTTCCATCTCCATTTTAATATGGAAAATCTCGATGAAATGGATTCTGCAAGAACAGATTTTCATTATTGAAAAGCCATGTCAGAATAAATTAGCATGAAGAAGAAGCAGGAAAATACTGGATTGGATTGTTCAGAACAATTAGATTATCCACCTATTGGCAAAGTTGTTTCATATGCATTAGTAGGCGTTAAAGACACTGAGTATTGTTCTTCCTACCAGTGAAAAGGTTGAATTATCTGCCTGAATTTCTGAATTGATAATTTGCATGCTTTCCCTGCTATTTCCAAGTCATTTGGTTATTTTGCATCTTGGGTCAGTAATGATAGCATTGTATTATATCAGGTCTCATAACTGAGCTTACACCTAGCAGGAATCTACCTGGAAAACATTGTCAGAGGAGAGGGAAGAGAAAAACAGATACAGACTGCCAAATTCGCAGGTTGTGGGGAAATACTTGAGCTGCCCTTTTTGTGGGTGAGCCAGGGAGATGGCCCCAGGGACCTGTGCTGCTGGGGTCCTTGGGAGATAGCTGGGGGTATGGAAGATGGCTCACAGCTGATGCCAATGTGGCTGGGGGCTTACAGACAAGCAGGGCTCCAAAAGCCTCCACCCTCAGGCAGCATGGGCAAACGTCTCCCTTCCTTTCTGCCTCCACCTCACTAACTTCTGTGCCTTCCTCAGGTTGACCCTGTCAGATGCAGATTCATCCGCTATTTCCAAAATGCCTGCTCTGTTTCAGGCTCTGCATTAGTCTCCTTTCTGATCATCCTCCACAGATAATCAGGTATTAGAAAACACACATACAAAGCAGGAAAAGCTGTCAAGCATCTCCTCTTTGCTCTGTGACCTTGTGTTTCTGTGCCTAGCTTCCTGGTAGATGGTGAGACCCTGGAGGGTATGGACTATGTCTGTTTATCCGGCAGTGATCACAGTGTTTGGCACTTGGCACACACATAATAAATGTCCAGTGAACAAATAATTACTCTGTGGCATTGGTCTGATCTCATTTTATAGAGGAGGAAATTGAAATACCATTTAAATGATGTGCCTTGGTTCACACAGCTAGTATGTGGGCCGCAGAGCCTCGCCCCACATTTGTTTGTTCTTGGCTGAACACTATGAATGGTGGGATTGAGGACTAAGTCTTCCTTCCCCTTCTATACTGTAAGTCTATGGATCCCATACCTCTCTATAGGGGACATCGCTCAGGGAAATACCTGACTTCTTCCTTTATCAAGGAAACTTCAATTTGGCCCCTTCCCTTCCTGATAAATGGCATTTCTTAAATGACAATCAGGGCTGGGTCTCATCTTTGCCCAGTAGCTCTTCTCTCCTGATGTTTTTTTTCTGGTCTAGAGGCCTTGCAGAGCCCTGGCTGAACATGGCTCACAGCACGTTGCCACCACTGGGCTACCACCGCCGGCACTGTGTTGCTCCTTCTGGTGGGCTCTGCAGCGCCAAACACCTAGGCCTCCAGCATCTACGGTGTGCTGCCCAGGCCTCTGTCCGGGCCCAAAAGGAACAGAGCTCCAAGGGTCTCTGCCACAGACTTCCTGCCTGCCCAAGACTGTGTTCAGGAAATCATGAATGATGTGTAAAGTTGGAAACAGGGGTTAGGTGGAACACAGTGCTAGAGAAGCTACTGGGACCACGTTGTCAAGAATCTTATGTAACGTGTTATTCATACGACCTCTGAAGGCAACTAGCTCATTGGCTATCACCTCCAAATTTCCTAATTCACTATATTAGGCCATTCTTGCATTGCTATAAAAGAATACCTGAGACTGGGTCATTTATAAATAAAAGAGGTTTAATTAGCTCACAGTTCTGCAGGCTGTACAGGAAGCATGGTGCCAGCATCTGCTCCGCTTCTGGGGAGGCCTCAGGGAGCTTTTACTCCTGATAGAAGGCCAAGTGGGAGCAGGCATGTAACATGGCCAGAGCAGAAGCAAGGAAGGGGGTGGGGATGCTACACACTTAACCAGATCTTGTGAGAACTCACTATCACAAGGACAGCACCAAGCCTCGAGGGATCTGCCCACGTGATCCAATCACTCCCACCAGGCCCCACCTCCAACACTGGGGATTACAATTCATCATGAGATTTGGCAGGGACACAGATCCAAACCATATCACTCACCCTCTGCAGGGTGAAGGTAAATGTTCTCTCAAATCTGGATCATGCTACATAATTACTAATCAATAGCAGAAACTTTTCTTCCCCAGAGCTTACACAAGGAACTGAAATTCTTCTCAACACAGTCTTTCAGGCAGCCACTACCAATGGGCTGGATTGGCACTTGAGATGAAATCTATTTGCCATCCTGATTCTAGGCATGCCCTCCATTTGGATAAGTGGAGGAAAAACTTGTCATCCAGGTAATCTCAATGGATTTTTCTTCCTCACTTCCCTCCCCTGCTCCAGGGATCTATAAACAAATAATGCTCCAAGGGATAGTCATAAGCTCCCTCTCCCATTCCTCAGTCTTACCCCAAAGAATGAACCTCCCCACTCGCTCCCTAGAGCAACAGCATCTGTGGCTTTTGCAGAGTCCCTATGCAATGGGTCAGAGACAGCTTTACTGCTAAAACTAATACACACAATAAATTATTAGTGAAACTCAGACTTTCACTAATCAGGGGTCTAGTTTTGCTCCCTCTGTCAATACCACATGGTGGTACCCATTTTCTAAAGTTGCATCAAGGCAGCATAACTCGATGGGCATTATGCAGCCATTAACCAGAAAAACCTGCCATTAGATGAAATCTGATTCGCCCAAAAGTTCTGTCTGGGCTCCCATGTAATTTCAGCTTTCTTTGTTAGGCCAGGCCTCTTGGCTTGGAGCTTCTCCCAGGGCGGCGCAGAGCCGAGCAGCCGAATGACTGATGGCTCTGAAAGGCAATGTGGGGGTCCCCATCGCTGCCCTCTCTCTAGGGCTCCAGGCTGCAGGACGAGGATTCTGTTACAACTCATAGAAAATGCAGACTGTTGTCACCCATGAGCAGAGACTGATGTGTGAGGAATTTTAAAGTGGAGTTTATTCAGCCCCAATTAAATCCCATTTTACAAATTCCATCGTACTCCTCAACAGAACACTCATTAATTTTTGTCACACTAAGCGGACTAGGTGGCACTGCTGGGCTGGGCTGGTTGGGCTCAGGCTCTCGAGGAAGACTGTCAGAGCAGAGTTCTGTGGTTTCTTAGAAATGGCAAAAGGATTTATGTGGTATAACTAAGTACCAGAAAGACAAGGTTATTTCTAAGCAGGTATCAGAAAATAAAATGATGGGCATGAAATGGGAAAAATAATCTTTGAAGAGAAGCATTTGAGCAACCCAGGGCTCACAAATCAAAAAAGAAAAGGTTTCTTTGTCTTTGCTTCTTTAAATAAGGCCAATTCTATCCAGTCAGGGATATCCAGTGAGCATTACGGGCTTTATAATGACTTGTGATTGAAGCAATTTTTAAAAGGCCATCACAGATAAAGCCTCCTGGGCTGTCTTTTAGCTATTGAATGGGTCACCAGAGGATTAGCCTATTATTCAATCAACAGAGGTCCAGAAACTGGTAATCATCAGAATTTTATAACGTTAAGATTTCCTCCCTCCATCCCCAGTCACCTTTTTATCCTCTTAGATACCTGGACAGTCCAAATTAGGGGACACAAAACCAAATTCTCTCTCTTTATTCCTAACTCGGAGTTGGCCTCAAGTCCACCCACTGCTGCCGCCTTGCTTTTCACCTGTTAAGTGTGACTATGCATCACCAAAATGGTCAGGGCCCTTTGCACCCCTATTAAGGTCTAGGGCTGCTTTCAATCCAAGAAGCCAGCTCCTTCTCTACTTCCTTGGGCCTTGCTTGACTTCCTCAGCTCTCCAGAGCCAAAGGGACCTCCCATGCACTAGGCATCCCCAGACCCAAGCCTGGCCATGGGCACTGCACCTTAAGGATGAGGGAGAGGATGAGTGGAATGGGAGTTGGGGAGAGACCATTATCATCTCCTCCTTGCACCTGAGGTTTGTCTATCTCAGATCTCTGGGGGTCACAGAGGAAGAACTCAGAGAATTAAAGATGAAGGTTGACCGTCTGCTCTCTCCCTCTCTCCCTTCTTTCCTTTTTCTATCCTTCCTTTTGGCTTACTGTAAAAAGTCTAATTAGGTAAGAGTAAAATAAATGAAAGAGCCAGGGCTTCCACTTCAGAAACAACCTTGCTTTGATGAGTCATTCAGTTCTCATAGATTCGCTATTGGCAAAAGGACACTTTAATTATGAAGAAAGGAAATATAGAAAACCTGCCTTTTCTGCAATGTTTCCTTTGGAACCAACGAAATCCTGTGTAGAGCTCTGGGAGAAGCAATGAGAACAGAGTGTAGCAAACTTTCATCCTTATGCAGATTTAAAAGACGAGGGGATGAAAGGTGCATCTATTAGAGGAAAGCTGAACACCTGTCTTCTTCACTTTTATTTTTTGTGCTCAAACAGGAAATCTGGGGCTCCATGTGGCAGATCTCCCCAGTGACCCTCCAGCGCAGGTGCTTCAAGACAGGAAGTCTAAGCAGGACTGAGCCAGCAAGACTGAGTCTGAGGGCAAGGCCTAGGATGGCTGGAAGCCAGGAGCTGGCCCAGGTTGAGGCAGGCAGGGACAATCATGCCAGGGCCAATGGCAGAAATAAATTATCCAAGGGAAGAATGGAAGTCAGGGAGCTGTCAGAAGGGGAAGGTAGGTGTTGGCCTTGGTAGACTTACAGAGCGAGGTTACACAGTGAAATGCCTGCAAAGATTTAGCTGGTAACTGAAATGAGGGTGGAGGGTTGGATGTAAAACAATAGGGAGTGAACTAGTTTACAGTCCCACTAACAGTGTAAAAGTGTTCCTATTTCTCCACATCCTCTCCAGCACCTGTTGTTTCCTGACTTTTTAATGATTGCCATTCTAACTGGTGTGAGATGGTATCTCATTGCGGTTTTGATTTGCATTTCTCTGATGGCCAGTGATGGTGAGCATTTTTTCATGTGTTTTTTGGCTGCATAAATGTCTTCTTTTGAGAAGTGTCTGTTCATATCCTTCGCCCACTTTTTGATGGGGACTGTTGTGGGGTTGGGGGAGGGGGGAGGGACAGCATTAGGAGATATACCTAATGCTAAATGACGAGTTAATGGGTGCAGCACACCAGCATGGCACATGTATACATATGTAACTAACCTACACATTGTGCACATGTACCCTAAAACTTAAAATAAAAACAAAAAAACAACAGGGAGTGGTGGGGACTGTGTCAAACTGGAAGTCAAGTGCCCCTGTCTAAAAGAGACCAACCGTCCTGGAATCCAGTAGATTGTGCCTATGAAGGAATGCAGGCCCAGGATTACATCTTCCCATTTTTTTCAAAAAAGCCTAAAATCTGGATTTCTATTTGAAACATTCCTGTTCTAAAATGATGAGGAAGTCAACAAAATACAGGTGGGGGTGCTGACATGACACAAGTCTGCATCATGACCTGTGTAAAATTTAAATAAGAGAGGAGAGAAGCAGGCACAAGGCTGAAGGAGAGCAGATGGGATTCCAGGAAGCGGTGAGGTTGGAAGGGACAGGAGCAACTCTATGGAAGGCAGACAGGGCATGACCACACCAAGTCTTTCTTTTCTTTTTTTTTTTAAGTTTGAGACAGGGTCTCACTTTGTTGCCCAGGCTGGAATGCAGTGGCGTGATCAGCTCACTGTAACCTCAAACTCCTGGGCTCAAGCCATCCTCTCACCTCAGCCTCTCAAGTAGCTGGGACTACAGGTGTGCACCACCACACCCAACTAAGTTTTTTATTTTTTTTTGAAGACGAGGTCTCACTATGTTGCCCAGGCTGGTCTCAAACTCCAGGCCTCAAGCAATCCTCCCACTTCAGCCTCCCAAAGCACTGACATTACAGGCATGAGCCACCATGCCCGGCCCACATCAAGTCTCTTAACACAACCTTGCTGCACTGTCACTGGGCTACACACCTTTAGCTTCCTCTCTACTTTATTCTTTGAAGACTGAACTTTGGAAAATTGCAGAGAAAGAAGTAGACTGATTCTGAAACTAGGATGTGGCTAGTGTCATGGAAACAGTGTGGATCTGCATGGATCAGTGAACATGACAGAGGTAGGAATGACAAAGAATGGGGATTTGGACTCAAACTGGAAAAATCCCATTTCCTAGATTCTGAGACACCTCCCATTACACAATACCACTAACTTAGAAATGGCTTTCAGGAAAAACAAACATGCGTTAAAGAACAGTTTTTGATTATTACTCATCTTTGTATAATTATATACTACTTTCTTTTCTTAGTAATTCAAGTCTTGAGCCTAAGCTTTTTCAGACAATGAATTCCAATGTTTTCTGAATGTTTTTGGTGAATAGCAACTATGCTTACCATCATATGATATACTGATTTTCACAAATAGTGCTTTTTGACTTCTTTATTACCTTTAGGATATTGGCAATGTAATTTATGAGTTGTATTAAATAAAACCCTTGTCTGCATTTCCTATTTGGCAACTGTAATTCCCCTCGCCACACCCCCCTACTCAATTACTAGAAATTAAACTGGTACTGTTGAATAGAGAGACATAAACCAGCTGCATGAAAAAGCATTTTTCTTTTAAATTTTTAAAAATCATTAAAAAAAAACTGTGTAGCCAAAGTATACAGTTTAAAATAAGCACCCTCATGGTATGAGAAGTTTCTGAAAAACCCTTTCCTGGGTGTGTATGTGGGATACCACCAAGAGATGCTTAACACATGCATTTTTCTTTATTCAACACAAAGCAGGGTATTAAAAATCTAATTTCTACAAGCCACTCTACTGTGCCCTTTATTCCAGAGCAGAAAGGAATTACAGTGCACCTGCTGTGTGCCAGGGATTTGGTGACATCTTCTAACCACGAATTTTATTTACTCTTTACAATGATTCTGAAAGCTATTATTATACGTATTCTGTAGTTGGGGAAATGGAGGGTCAAGAAGTTATGTAATTTGTTTGAAGTCACATAGAGTTCAAACATGGATTTCACTGATTCTGCAGTCCATGAGATCCAAAGAAGTCTCCAGCTGTGCTTATCTTCCTCTGCAATCAAATGAAGAATGGGCACCTGGGAACTCTCACCATTAGAACCACATCATTTACCACCTTTCTATATTCCTTGGCCCCATCTACTCTTAGCTGTTTTAGTCAGTTCATCTCGTCCAGTGCCCTGACACAGGAATCCAGTGCTTCTTCCCTACACTTTTTTTTTTTGGTATAAATTTAAAAGGTACAAGTGCAATTTCGTCACATTAATATATTGGGCAGTGGTGAAGTCTTGGCTTTTAGTGTGTCCATCACTCAAATAATGTACATCATACCCATTAAGTAATTTCTCATCGAGATTCTCCTGCCCCCAATCCCAACCCTGCCCAAGTCTCCTGGAGGCTATTATTTTAAACAACCTACACCCTTTTTTGGCCTCAGGTGCATAGTTTCTGTCCTTTAAAGCAGGGCTCCCCAGTCCCCAGGTGCAGACTGGTACTGGTCTATGGCCTATTAGGAATGGGGCCACACAGCTGGGGGTGAGCCTTGGGCTAGTGAGCATTACCGCCTGAGCTCTGTGTCCTGACAGATCAGCAGCAGCATTAGATTCTCAGAGTAGCTCGAACCCTATTGTGAACTGCACATATGAAGGATCTAGGTTGCATGCTCCTTGTGACAGTCTAATGTCCGATGATCTGAGGTGGAACAGTTTCATCCCCAAACCATCCACCCCCATCCCCCATGTCCATGGAAAAATTATCTTCCATGAAACTGGACCCTGGTGCCAAAAAGGTTGGGCACCGCTGCTTTAAAGCCCTTGAAACCTTTTCTGATTTTACCCTTCCCCCAGTCATTTGTTATTTCTTTCTTCTTTACAATCATATATATTATTGATCCTCTCTTATGAAGCTTATATTCTATCTTACATTATGTAATTGTCTTATTTTCTTTCCATAGCTTAGTGGGAGACTGTGAGACTAGCATTTAAGGTTTTGTACAGAGTACCAGCAGCATGATAGTTCTCCCCAGACAGCATAGCATTCAAGTCGCCTGAGCCTCATTCTTCCACAGAGGCTATGGCTTGTAAATCAGTATACTCAAAGTCCTCTGATACTCCAGTCAATAGACAGAAGATCTATGGGCCATTCAAAACATTGTTTTTAAAGAAATCTTTTGGTGTAACAAAAAATAATACAAGTCTCCTTTATTTATTTATTTCTTATTTATTTTCATGGATATGGATGTAGTGGATAGAATGGTTTTTCTTTCTTGAAATGTCTTTATCTGGTGTCGATGTTAGGTTAATGCTGGCCTCATGGAATGCTTCTATTTCCTGGAAAAGATTGAAGATAATTGGTACCATTTCTTCCTTGAATGTTTGGAAAAATCCACGGGTGAAACCCTCTGGTCCTGGATGCTACTCCTTTTGGAATGTTATTGGTTATTTATTTAATTATTTTATTTTATTTTTATTTTTATTTTTATTTTTTTTCATTTATTATTATATTTTAAGTTTTAGGGTACATGTGCACAACGTGCAGGTTAGTTACATATGTATACATGTGCCATGCTGGTGCGCTGCACCCACTAACTCATCATCTAGCATTAGGTATATCCCCCAATGCTATCCCTCCCCCCTCCCCCAACCCACAACAGTCCCCAGAGTGTGATGTTCCCCTTCCTGTGTCCATGTGTTCTCATTGTTCAGTTCCCACCTATGAGTGAGAATATGCGGTGTTTGGTTTTTTGTTCTTGTGATAGTTTACTGAGAATGATGATTTCCAATTTCATCCATGTCCCTACAAAGGACATGAACTCATCATTTTTTATGGCTGCGTAGTATTCCATGGTGTATATGTGCCACATTTTCTTAATCCAGTCTATCATTGTTGGACATTTGGGTTGGTTCCAAGTCTTTGCTATTGTGTATAATGCTGCAATAAACATATGTGTGCATGTGTCTTTATAGCAGCATGATTTATAGTCCTGTGGGTATATACCCAGTAATGGGATGGCTGGGTCAAATGGTATTTCTAGTTCTAGATCCCTGAGGAATCGCCACACTGACTTCCACAGTGGTTGAACTAGTTTACAGTCCCACCAACAGTGTAAAAGTGTTCCTATTTCTCCACAACCTCTCCAGCACCTGTTGTTTCCTGACTTTTTAATGATTGCCATTCTAACTGGTGTGAGATGGTATCTCACTGTGGTTTTGATTTGCATTTCTCTGATGGCCAGTGATGGTGAGCATTTTTTCATGTGTTTTTTGGCTGCATAAATGTCTTCTTTTGAGAAGTGTCTGTTCATATCCTTCGCCCACTTTTTGATGAGGTTGTTTGTTGTTTTCTTGTAAATTTGTTTGAGTTCATTGTAGATTCTGGATATTAGCCCTTTGTCAGATGAGTAGGTTGCAAAAATTTTCTCCCATTTTGTAGGTTGCCTGTTCACTCTGATGGTAGTTTCTTTTGCTGTGAAGAAGCTTTTGAGTTTAATTAGATCCCATTTGTCAATTTTGCCTTTTGTTGCCATTGCTTTTGGTGTTTTAGACATGAAGTCCTTGCCCATGCCTATGTCCTGAATGGTATTGCCTAGGTTTTCTTCTAGGGTTTTTATGGTTTTAGGTCTAACATGTAAGTCTTTAATCCATCTTGAATTAATTTTTGTATAAGGTGTAAGGAAGGGATCCAGTTTCAGCTTTCTACATATGGCTAGCCACTTTTCCCAGCACCATTTATTAAATAGGGAATCCTTTCCCCATTGCTTGTTTTTGTCAGGTTTGTCAAAGATCAGATAGTTGTAGATATGCTGCGTTATTTCTGAGGGCTCTGTTCTGTTCCATTGATCTATATCTCTGTTGTGGTACCAGTACCATGCTGTTTTGGTTACTGTAGCCTTGTAGTATAGTTTGAAGTCAGGTAGTGTGATGCCTCCAGCTTTGTTCTTTTGGCTTAGGATTGACTTGGCGATGCGGGCTCTTTTTTGGTTCCATATGAACTTTAAAGTAGTTTTTTCCAATTCTGTGAAGAAAGTCATTGGTAGCTTGATGGGGATGGCATTGAATCTGTAAATTACCTTGGGCAGTATGGCCATTTTCACGATATTGATTCTTCCTACCCATGAGCATGGAATGTTCTTCCATTTGTTTGTGTCCTCTTTTATTTCCTTGAGCAGTGGTTTGTAGTTCTCCTTGAAGAGGTCCTTCACATCCCTTGTAAGTTGGATTCCTAGGTATTTTATTCTCTTTGAAGCAATTGTGAATGGGAGTTCACTCATGATTTGGCTCTCTGTTTGTCTGTTGTTGGTGTATAAGGATGCTTGTGATTTTTGTACATTGATTTTGTATCCTGAGACTTTGCTGAAGTTGCTTATCAGCTTAAGGAGATTTTGGGCTGAGACGATGGGGTTTTCTAGATAAACAATCATGTCGTCTGCAAACAGGGACAATTTGACTTCCTCTTTTCCTAATTGAATACCCTTTATTTCCTTCTCCTGCCTGATTGCCCTGGCCAGAGCTTCCAACACTATGTTGAATAGGAGTGGTGAGAGAGGGCATCCTTGTCTTGCACCAGTTTTCAAAGGGAATGCTTCCAGTTTTTGCCCATTCAGTATGATATTGGCTGTGGGTTTGTCATAAATAGCTCTTATTATTTTGAGATACATCCCATCGATACCTAATTTATTGAGAGTTTTTAAAATAAATAAGAAATAAATAAATAAAGGTGAAAAAAACTACACACTAGTAACTCTTATGAACATAGTTGCGAAATTTCTCAACACACTATTAGCAAATGGAACCCAACAATTTACTTAACAATATTGCACAGCTAATTGAGCTTTATTCCAGGTATGAAAGTATGCATGGCAGGTCCAATATTAGTTAATCAATCAATGGAATTTGGCACATTAACAAACTGAAACAGAAATCATAAGATCATATCAATATATACAGGAAAAGCACTGACAAAATTTAGCACCCATTTATGATTAAAAAAACAAACAAAAATTTAAAAAAAGTCTCTCAGAAATCTAGGGCCAGGGGGACCTTGTTCAACTTGATAAAATACCCTATAGCTACCATCATACCTATGGTGAGCAACTGGATGTATTTCTCCTAATATCAGCAATAGTGCGATAATGTCTTCTCTTACTTCTCCTAGTCAATACTATGCTGGAGTATCTAGTTAGTGCATTAAGGTAAGAAAAGAAAAGAAAACTCAGTTTACATGCTTGATGTTCTTCTCAAACACCCATGAAATCAGTCTAATTATGAGAAAAACATCAGGCACATGCTAATGGAGTAATATTCTATAAAACATTTGAAGATTACTCAATACTATTGAGGTAATCAAAAACAATGCCAGAGAAAAGTATAGCCAAGAAAAGCCCAAGAAGACATGACTATTTCATGTAATGTGGTAACTTAGATGATATTCTGGAACAGAGAAAGGATACGAAGAAAAAACTAAGCAAAGCTAAATAAACTATAGCCTTTAGTTAAAAAAAATAAACAAGTCATATTTTATATATATGCTGTTACTTATATTTTATAATACCTGGCTGGTGCTTAGCCTTGCCTCTCTGAAAATCTTGGTTCTAGAAGTGCATAAAAGGAAAGAGAGGATCTTTTTTAAAATTTATTTTATCATTCTAAGTATTATTATTATTATTATTAAGAGACAGGGTCTCACTTTGTCACCCAGGCTGAAGTGCAGTGGTGTGATTATAGCTCACTGCAACCTCAGACTCCTGGGCTCAAGTGATCCTCCTGCCTCAACCTTCCAAAGCACTGGGATTACAGGAGTGAGCCAACACACCTAAGAGGATCTTTTCTACCTAAATTTATGCTAGTCAACAGTATAAGCAGTAACAAACTTTAAACCAAATAGAATGAAAAAAAACCACAAAAACTCCAGAGCTTAGGTAAGGAAATTCTTATCTAAGTGGGTTGGCTTAGCTAGCATGAATTCTGCCTAAAATCCCAACACTTCCCACATTTCCACCTCAAGTATTGCAGCCTGTGCCCTCAGGGTAACAGATCATCAAAGCTGTGTTTTTGCTCTTCACTTTCTCTTCTCTGTGTGTATTGACTCATCTTTTACCACTTCCACAACCCCACTACTCAGCCCTGATGCTCTAATATATCAAAGCCAAGTTTATAATCAAAGAATCATACAACTACCATTGACATCATGACCCACGTTAGTATCTGTTTTTCAGGAAGTGTTGAGATCAAAGAAGTAGATATGTTTGGTCACCTCCCAGCTCAGAAAAATCTCCAAATTCACGGAAGCCCTGCAGTAAAAAAGCCTGTTTAAGTTAATTTAATGCCTACATGACCAGATTTATTTTGACAGAATACACCCTCTTCCACACCCACCCAGCATTTGTTGTTTTTTTTCTAGTTAAGGGACACTAGCCTTCTTTGGAACACAATTTGGAAAATGTGAACGTCCCCTGTCTGGTACATGGCTCTATCTCTTCTACATTCTTGGTTTTCTAAGAAAAGCTGCCCAGGATCTCTTACCCTACTGTACTCCCCTAAATTTTCTATTTTAGGAAATACAGTGTTATAACAAAAACAGTCAGAATATGGACTGTGATGATCTTTGCCAAATACAGAGTCATCTCATTAAACCTCAGAGGTAGTGCCTCAGTAGGGCCTGAGAATGTGGCACTATAAAATTTTCACTTAACATTAAAACACCCAAAAAATATCTGGGGTAAGAGCAGATGTCTTTTTGTTTTGTGCAATAGCTTATATGGAAACCTACTTATAGGTGGGCCATTGTTTGCAATATTTTATTTAAATAAATTTGTTGTTTGGGACACTACCTTTTAATATACTCTCTTTCATAAACTAAGTTTGGTCTTCTGGAAATGCTGTATAATATTGAGAATAATTTACATCCAGGAAAAATGTCTTGTTTGAAGAACCTCGAGTGACTTCTCATTTCAAAATATATCAAGTTGTTTATTCTTAAAGGCTCAAAGGAATCTGACCATGTGTATTAGTCCATTTTCATACTGCTATGAAGAAATACCCAGGACTAGGCAATTTATAAAGAAAAAGGGGTTTAATGGACTCACAGTTCCATATGGCTGGAGAGGCCTCACAATCATGGCAGAAGGTGAATGAGGAACAAAGTGACATCTTACATGGTGGCAGGCAAGAGAGCATGTACAGAGGAACTGCCCTTTATAAAACCATCAGATCTTGTGAGACTTATTCACTATCATGGTAACAGCAGGGAAAAACTTGCCCCCATGATTCAATTACCTCCCACAAGGTCCCTCCTGCAACATTTGGTGATTATGGGAGCTACCGTTCAAGATGAAATTTGGGTGGGGACACAGCCAAACCATATCACCCTGGCTCTATTCAGAGCCTACAGAGGAGGTCCAAACTTTAAATATTCATTTATGCAGTCTGTTATTTAGTTGGTAAATACTTATGGGACACCTACTTTGTGCCAGACTCTGTTCCAGATGTTGGAGATAACATGGCAAACAAAGAAAGAAAAAGGCCCATGACCTCTTGGATCTTACACTCTGCTGGAAAGAAACAGGGCTTACATAAGTGAGAGCATGTCAGAGCATAATAAATGCTATGAAGGAAAGAAAGTGGGGTAAAGGGAAAGAGGGTGACTTACGGAGGCACGAGAAGAAGGGCCTCTCTGGAGAGGTGACATTTGAATGAATTGAAGGAGCCAGCCATGGGAGAGAAAAAGATCACAGACAGAAGGAGAAGCTAATGACAAAGCCCTGAGGTGGGAGCAAGCTCGGGATTTTCCAGGTTTAGAAAGAATGCTGTGTACTTCTATGTGGCATGGGGGACGAGAGCCTGGGGACAGAGTTAGACAGGAGGTCAGGGACCAGACCATGTGAGGTCTTGAAGGCCAGAGTAAGGAGCTGCAGTTTATTCCAGGGACAATGGGAAGCCATTGGAGAGTTGTATCAGGGGAGTGATATTATCTGATTTATAGATCACCAGTCTACACCAGCACTGAAATGACTTTTGGCAGCATTTTATTTTGAGACTTGACACTACCTATTCCCACCCATATCCCCGTCAACCTTGGCTGAACCTCCAAGCTCAAGTGCCTGCATCACCATCCTCTTCTGGGCCCTTGTCTCCTCATATTCCATTCTTTTTTTTCAAAATGTTTCCACCCTGCCTCCTAGAACCCCACATTCTAGAGTAACTGCCCCCCTTTCTTCTCGACATCTTCACTATCTACTGTTTTCATCTTCTTGTGTTAACTAGAAGCTTGTCCTCCCTTTTGGGTGCCTCCTGGCTTTGTTCCTCCTTTGAGTTACCTATTTGTTCTCCTAAGGGCATGAGGTGGAAGGTGGACACTCTCCCTCCTCCACCCAGCTGCTTCCGTGCACTTCTGCCTCCCTCTTGCCCTCTGTGATGATGCTCCATTTTTGTTTACAGCACATCCCTTGGATAGTTCCTTCCAAGTCATCTCTGCTGGTTCATTTTCCTTTGCCTGCCCCTTATATTTTGGGATGGTAGAACGCTTTCCTGGACTCCCTTTCCTTCTTACTTTACACACCTTTCCTTGGTTATCAATTCCTCCCCCAGTCCCATGAATTCAATCTTCATCTATAACCCGAAGGTGTTGGAATCCATATTTCCAGTTCAGACTTCTTTCTCAAGTTGCAGACTCTTTTTGTTTGTGTGTTTTTGGAGATGGAGTCTCACTGTGTTTCCCAGGCTGGAATGCAGTGGCCTGTTCTTGGCTCACTGCAAACTTCACCTCCGGGTTCAAGTAATTCTTGTGCCTCAGCCTCCCCCAAGAAGCTGAGATTACAGGCATGTGCCACCATGCCGAGCTAATTTTTGTATTTTTAGTAGAGGTAGGGTTTTGCCATATTGGCCAAGCTGGTCTTGAACTTCTGGCCTCAAGAAATCTGCCTGCCTCACCCTCCCAAAGTGCTCGGATTACAGGCATGAGCCACTGTGCCCATCCAATGTTACATACATTTATAGGTAGTATATCACAAGCTCCTTGGAAGAGGGACAATATTCTGCTCTTACTTGTAGCACTCATAGCATGCATTGGGCTTCATATATAGTATGCACTTAGTAAATATTTGTTGGGAAAAATGGATGGAGAAAACATATGTCACCTGCTACCTAACCTTGTTGTCATCCACTGATCTCTGTTTCTCCTCATCATTCACTGAGGGCTTAAGCTCTCCACACCACTCCTGACATTAGCAATAATTCTGTTAATATCAACATCTGTGGAGAAGATGCAGCCAACAACTGACCTCAGGTTTTCAGCTCCTCCCTCCCATGATGAATTTCTCTACCGTGCTTCAGTTTCCAACTCCCATGAGATGCCTCTGTCTAGATTGTGTCATCACAAATAGGTACACCTCCTTCTAAAATCTCAGTTCCATGCCCCACCCCCATCACCTCCTGCCAACCTCCTAAAGCCCAGGCTGTAACCATCCTTCATCCTCACTTGGACCTTCAATCTATAGGTCCTTTTTTACCCCTCATGTCCTCCTCTTCCTCCCTATCCACCTTACAGTTCATCATTATCATTGATCCCTTTCAGTTTCAGTGATAGCCCAGGCAAGTGCCAGGTCCTGAAAATCGGGCAGGGAAGAAAAGGCAACCTGGCTATGCACTCCCAGAATTTATAGTCTAGTGGGGGGATAGATATTAAAAACGTGAGGAAACATATAGATGTATGATTAAAAATTATGAGAAGAGCTTTGAAGGGAATGTACAGGAGGCAATGAGTTTGCATAATAGGCTTATCTAATTCAGTCTCAGGAGATGGAGAAGTCTTCCCTGAAGAATATTAAAAGAAACTCCTTGGGAAAAAAAAGAAAAGGAAAAGCATTTCTGTAGTTTAAATGTTGATTTTTAATTATTTCAAAAATCTGCTCAACTTTTACCTAGGAGAAGCACTAACAATGATTTCTAAAGATCTCAATACTCTGCTCTTTCCTGTACCCTCCTGGGCATATCGCTTCTTAGACGTTTCCCATTGTCTGTATTTTCTGTCTGCCTCTCCTTCTGCCTCGGGGTGCTTCTGAGGCTTCTAGAGCCAAATGATCAAAATAGATAAGTTTATGGAAAACCCTGGAAACAATTGTTACTTTTCCTACCAAGTGCAACACAGAGACATTATGTTCCACATTTGCTAAATAAAATAAAAGTCAACACTTTGAACGTTGCTATTAAAAGCTGCGCATTGGCTCGCTGGCCCTCTCCCCATGTCTTTCTGGGGCTGACTGTCCTATTTGTCCTTCACCAGTAGGCGGCTCAAGCCTGCCCCAGAATCCGGGAACCTGGCCCTATGCAAGAGCTCTCTTCACCTGACCTGTCTCCGGTCACAATCTGACAGTTTAATGTCTGAGTCACTCAGTTTTCTTTCCTCTCTGGCAAGGACATGCTGGGTTTATTACACGGTGCTATTGTTCCTGTTTTATGCCTGTAAAGCCCATCCCACTGCACCAGGGAATAAATCATCCCCTTGTCGTTGGCCCGAACGAATTATAACTGCTCTCTGGGGCCCAGGGCAGACCCCTGCTGAGGTCCAGCTCTCCAAGAAAAGAAGCGCCTGAGTCCTCTGAGCTGCTACGTCCTTCTTCCCACTCATTGGCCATAGGTCTGTATCTTCCCTTTAGCAGCCCTCTGGGCACCTGACTCCTTTGAACAAGGAGCAAAGTGACCAGAACAGATAAAGAGGCTGTTGGAAGAACAAGATAAAATTATTAACTTTCCTAGAATTCAGACCTTAAAGAATAGAGAAGGTCTTTGAACCATTTACTCCTCATTCTTGAATAAGGATCCTTTAGAAGGCATTTAGATCAGTTAACAAGGTAAACAAATGTGTGTGTGTGTGTGCATATGTGTGTGTGTGTGTGAGAGAGAGAGAGAGAGAGAGAGAGAGAGAGAGAGAGAGAAACAGTGCAGGGATCAAGGAAACTGGAGAACTGTCTTGAATTTCAGCCACTGGGAGACCAAGGAGTTATGATTTTCCTGGAGCCTTCCCAGACAGCTCTTTCACCATCTGAAGAGCTCTTCCTCTCTGTGCTGAGGCTCTTGGAGCCTCTATTCTTTTTGTTTGTTTGTTTTGTTTTTTTAACACATTAGAAGAACCAGTTTGTGGAAACTAAATGAGCCAGAATTCAAACTTTTGGGTTTCTTAAATTGATACATTGTAGTTGTACATATTTTGGGCATATACGTAATACATGTATACCATGATACATGTGTAGTGATCAAATTAGGATCATTAGGCTATCCATTACCCAGCCATTTATCTCTTCTTTGTGTTGGGAACATTACAAATTTTTTTTCTAGCTATTTTGAACTATCCAACAAATTATTGTTAATTAGAACTTTTCTACTGTATTATCAAATATTAGAACTTATTCCTTTGATCTAACTGTATTTGTATTTTTATAACCATTAACCAACTTCTCTTTATCTCCTACCTCCCTTCACTTCCCAGCTTCTGGTAATTACTATTTTACTCTCTACCTCCATGAAAACCTCAAATTCTTTTAAGAATAATATTATTTATTTATTTATTTAGAGATAGGGTCTCACTATGTTGCCTAGGCTGGGTTGATCTCCTGGGCCCAAGTGATCCTCCTGCCTCTGCCTCCTAAGTAGCTGGGATTACTGGTGTTCTCACTTGTGACATAGCATTCCTGGGATCACTCTGGTGGTGGGTGTGGTGGGTGGATGTCAAGCTGCATGAGAAGAAGCCAAAGTCAGATAGTCCTGTTAGAAGGATGCTGTACTCACCAAAGTGACCACAAGCTGAGACAAAGGCTATGAAGGGAGGAGTGTGGATTTAAAAGATCTTGAGAAGGAACTGAATGGATTTGTAAAGTACCTGTGTCTGGAGAGAAATGGAAAAGAAGTTCATGATAAGATCTAGGTTTCTCACTTCAGCAATGGAATATGTTTTTACTCATGGGAATGGGGCAGATGGAGGCGGAGAGTAGTCGGTCCTGAGAGGAGTCTAGGGGAGGGAGAGAGCCTGACAGCCATTAGGATGCATGTGGAAGGGGGTTAGGGCAGGGATGGCAGAGAGGGGCGTACGTTCTGATAGTCCCAACCCTTCACAACCAGACCTAGGACAGATATTACTAATCAATTGTACCAATCTTTCCCACTGAGCTTGAACCCAGTGTCAGAACATTTTGTAATATAATAAATCCTGGTAGCCATTATCAATTAATGAAATGTACTTCTGAAGATGAAAGGTGATTGCTTCCTTTTATCGTCCTAGAGATTTAGAAGCAGAGCTTACAGGTAAGAAGGCTGGGCCTTGCTCAGGCCTGCTTGGCAAATTTATTCCCTCCCAGGCCAGCTTTCCATGCTCACCTCAAGCCTCTGCCTTTTCTCTCACCTCTGAGGCCTCGGGGCAAGTCTTAGCAGCCTTGATCTAAAGGTGAGCATTGCACCCCTGACCTAGATTCTCTACCTGTCCATAGTCTTCATGCAAGCCAAACAGCACCAAGATCCCCCAATTAATGCGTGTCCTCTTGTCCTTCCCCCTTTACAAAATTATGTGGACACTGGTCCTGGCCCGTCCTGAACTTGAGAGCCCGAATCTTGGGAGGCTGAGTGACAAGCATTACCCGTCAAGGGAGACAATGGCAGTATTGACCTGCTGACGGGAAGCAGGCCTGTCCGCGTGCTCCGAGGACAGCTTGCAGACAGGCTTTTCTTCCCACACAATTGCTGGCTGTTTCCCATGTTCCACAAGAAAAGGGGCGTACATTCCAGACAAGGAGACTATTTATTTTCCCACCAAAGGTGACACGTGGCATCCAGAGGTCAGGCTCAGGGCAGGGCCATGTTTGCTGGGCTAAGCTTAGCCTTTTCTCAGAAGCCTGAATTGTTCTGACAACCTCCCAAGCTGTGTCTCTGGGCTGGGAATGTTTCCTCAACTGCTCTGTACAAACACCCATACTGGCTACTCCATCTTCTGGGTTTGTTTATAGACCAAAGTCAAAGGCGTGAGCACCCAGGCTCCAGACAGAGCTTTGATGCAAATAGAGGGGTGAGGGGCAAGGGTGGTACCCTTAGCTTGCTCTTTCTCCACACAGTCTGAGCAAGCAAGGCAGAATTTCTACTATAAAAAGGTCTTCAAATACAATTTGACCCCTCGAAAAGAAACTGCATGACTGTGACCCTGTCTAGCAAGAAAGAGGAAGTTAGAGTGGCTTTTCTTTCTACTTACCTGTTCCAATGGTACCAAAATTCTGCAACAGTCCCTCAAATAGCTGGGATTTTTTTTTGAGACACCAATAACAATAACGACGAATTTTATCTGAAAAGCACCTTACACTTTAAGAGACACTGTTACAAATATTATTTTATTAAATTCTCAGTATAACCCAAGGAAATCAGTATAAATAACATCATGTGTTCAAAGCATGTACTGGGTTGAGCACAGTTCAGGATGAGAGGGTAAGGGGTATGTGGAGCTGAATGAGAGTCCCTGAGCTGCGGCGGCTCACTGTTATGTGTGTGAATGATGATAAGGAAGGCAGCAAGGCCTTTTGATCCTGTCTCCAGGCTCTTAGGGCCTCCCAAATTTTGGCTGCCCTCCAGGGGAAAATTTGTTCAGAGGACTAGCATAGCACTTTAGCAAAAATATTGATCCTAACCAAAATCCACTAGTCCTAGGTAGTGGCCAAACCTGATAGGTTGCCTCAAAAGCTGCCTATACCTCACTTGAAGGATCTGCTTAGAGTTATGCATAAACAGCAACCAGGTTGTATCTCGAGTGGCTGTTCTGGAGGGAATCTCAGCTGTGCTACTGTACCAGCTGTGCGACCTCCGGCAAGTTGCTCAAACACTTGGGCAAGTGCATGTTGGCTTCTCTATCCCTAAAGTGAGGTTACTATTATTGTTTGTCTCATTTGTTGGTACTGAGGGTTGAATAAATTAATGTATGTGATGTGCTTTGAATTGCACCTGTCATATAATGCATGATTACTACATGCTAGTTATTATTATTCCAGTGACCACACGTATAGTGGTTAGAAGCAGCAATACAATTTCAAGCACTGGTGAAAAAGTGCAGAGTAGCATTAAGAGAGCCTAACTTAAACCCTTTCATCTTTCCTTTTCTCTCTTCTTCCTCCTTCCCTGCCACCTGCCCTTATTCCTCACCTCTTTTCCTTTCTCAGTGGAAGGAGTATGAATAGTAAATGGGAAGAGTTAAGGCAGATTGAGTGACCTTTGGTTGGAACTAGGGCAGGGTCAGACCCCAGGCTTTGGGAGGAACCAAAAGGCCCAAAACCATACGGGAGCATCCACAAGTCAACACCAGGAAACCAAACATAAAATCTACATGCAAAAGGCAGAGGCAGCTGGGTGCAGCTCACACATGTAACCCCAGCTCACACCTGTAACCCTAGCACTTTGGGAGCCCAAGGCGGTCAGGAGTTCGAGACCAGCCTGGCCAACATGGTGAAACCCCATCTCTACTAAAGATACAAAAATTAGCCAGGTGTGCTGGTGGGTGCCTGTAATCCCAGCTACTAGGGAGGCTGAGGCAGGAAATTGCTTGAATCTGGGAGGTGGAGGTTGCAGTGAGCCAAGATCGTGCCACTACACTCCAGCCTGGGTGACAGAGTGAGACCCTGTCTTAAAAAACAAACAAAAAACAAAACAAAACAAAACAAAAAAAGCAGAGGCAAGATTGGAATCAAAAGGCTGAATGCAGAGACCAGAGATCACAATGGGGAGAATGGAGTCAGAGTGTGAGCAGGGTGGAAACAATTGGGAAAGTCCCCAGGAATTGCCACTAACAGGCCTGGGAGGTTTGGGTAGCTGTGTTGGATGGTCTTAAAGGGTCAGAGACTGGAAGGGTACAATCACTCACCACTACCACCACCAACAATAATGGCCAACATCTATTGAGCACTTACTCTGTTATGGCAGCACGCTAATTCCTTTATGTGCATTTCTCATATAATCCTCACACTATACTGAGTGACTGCTATTGTTTTCCTCATTTTAGAAGCTAAAGTTCAGAAAGGCAAGCTTCTGCTCAAGGTCATAGAGCTGGATGTGATGGAAAATTGGACCCAGGAGTATTTGATGTGGAGCCCATTCTCTATGCTCTGCCATCATCCTTTACTCAAAAAAACAGCAACTAAATGTCTGTAGTGGCCTAGTCTCAGGGTAAAGCATTCTGAAGGTAACACAGATGAGTCAGATGTGGTCCCTGTTCTCCTAGGTAATGAGGTAGCAGTGAAGGCAGATAGAGAATCAAAGTGTAATTTGTTAAGGACCGTGATTGCTTGGTCCTTACAATAAATATACCTTCTGGTAGAAAGCAATCAAGGTT
Organism: Homo sapiens; assembly: GCF_000001405.40. NCBI lineage: Eukaryota > Metazoa > Chordata > Mammalia > Primates > Hominidae > Homo > Homo sapiens. The sequence continues at coordinate 13,878,435 of NC_000011.10, forward strand.
TTCCAAAAGCAAAACCAGGAATATGAAAGGAACTTGATCTAACAGGTTCTGAATTCAAGGAGGAGACCAGTAGAGGCAGCCAACTAGCAGGGCTTATAGAGAGACACCGGAGAGAGAGAGGATCAGGGACTGGCTGGTGAACCCAGCCCAGGTGAGAGGCAGCCAAGTACAGCAGAAAGTGCTTTGGAACCCAAGGGATCTGCTGCTCCCTAGCCCTGGGGACTTATACAAGCAAGTCTCTTAACTTATGTAAAATGGGGATGCTGGTACCTATCTTGGAGGTTGGCAGTAAGGATTAATTGAAGTAAATTATATACAGAGCCTATTACAGTGCCTGACATTGTAGAAAATACTAGTAAGTGATGAATCGATGGAGCGAGATGAGAGGGAGGAAGAAGATGGAGAAGAGAAGAAGAAAGAGAGGACCACTTCTAAGCAGCCCCTGGAAGCAAAGCTTGCAGCTTTAAAACAGCCATGTTATCCACAGTGGTGAAGCAATGTAGCTTCCTGGTCTCCAAATCCATGCAAAGCTATAGAGCAAGATAATCAAACTTATGAGTTCTCAGAAACACATTGAAGGATACCCCAGTTCTCTCGTGTTGGCAAATTTTACTTGTACACTTAAATGTGAGTGTGAAACTGAAGTGCACATGCTTTTTTAAGGAAAAGGGACTATCCTAGAAGCCAGAGAATGTGTGTCAGGGAGAGGGAGAACAGCACAGAGTATAAGGGTTTGGCTGTTAACTGGAAACGCTTCACTCAATAAGCAGTAATGGAGCACCTGCTGGTGTGTACCTAAACCTTGAAGGGAAGTCTGAGCCCTAACCCAAGGAGAGGACAAAGCATCAGGCCCCATGACAACAGGCCTATGAGGAGGAGGTGAAGAAAGGTGCACTCTGAGGAAAAGGAGGAAATGTGTGCTGCTCAGGGAGCAGAATTTGCAGAGCTCGAAGGCTAATTGGGAGTGGGGATGAGGGACGTTGTTACCTGGGCTTCCGGCGGCAGTTCTGCCAGGAACAGAGCTCTACTGAAGGGTCTGGGGATTCCAACAACACAGAATGCTGCCAGGTAGAGTTCACTGAGTGTCTGTTCCATCAGCCGATGGGAGCAAAGTTAAATCCATGCTGGCTCAGCCCCAAAGACAGAAGCAGAGAAGTTGGTTGTGCATTCTTGCCATGTCTCTCTCCAGCCCTCTCTCCTTTGGCACCTCTGGCATGTTTATCCTGGGTGGACCTTCTCTGTCCCATTTTCTTAACCCAACCAAACATAGAGCTGTCCTCCTTTGCTTGTCTTCGATCTGAGTCTATAAACTTGCAGGCCTGGGTCGGTTCTCTGGCTGGATTTCTTGGAACCTCCTTTCTGCTCTATTTTGTTTCAGGCCTTTTCAGGCTGGTGCCAGTAACAGCTCCTCTCCCACCCCCTAATAGCCACAGATACCTAATTTTAAAAATTTCTTGCAGGTTTAACTTCCTTCTAGTGCTCTCGGCTTCAGACCTTCTCGTTCTGGTTGGTAATTTAATGCGGATGTCAGCTACCTGAGTATCCCCAGTCCTCCAAGCTACAAGGGCATTTTCTTCCTTTAATAAATATAGAAAAATGACTCAAACTCCAGCCCAGGTACGGGGAGGAACACAGCATCCTCCTGGTACCTCCTTCTCCTCTGACACCTCCTTGATCCATTTCATGCATAACCCCAATTTTCTTTATTTCTCTCTAGTTTACTACAAACACAAGGCCTCTTACAGAGTAGACATTCCTGAGGCTTTGGGGTAACAGGTAGATTTAGCATACCACATTAGAGATTACAACCTACAACCATCTCTTACTTGTTGGTGTCTCGATAGCTAATGGGCATTTTCTGCCCTGGGAAATCTCTCACTGGCCGGGCCCCTCATTAGGCCTTGCTGTTATCTTTGATGTCAGCCTTGAGGGTCTTCTCCCCTCCCAAGCTGCCAACTTCCCAACCTTACCACCAAAATCCTATTAACTTCATAAAAAAAACACCTCACCTACCCACCCTCTACCCACAACCCTAAACTACTTTGCATATTCAAAGTTTATTAAGGGGCTCTACTGAAATCTGCCATCTCAGGAACTTCCTCCAAGGCACCCAATGAAGCTCTGAAAGAACAGTTTTCCCTCTAACATGACAGACTCATTAGAAAGAGCTCCCTCCTTTGTTCGAAGACTCCCCCTTCCCCAGGGTGTAGGATTTTTGTGTCTTTCTTTCTCCATCTAGTTTCCCAGCTTCCCTCTCATTACCTTGCTGGATTCTTTTGCACTGCTTAGTCTCTGGGTTGACCATTAGGCTGCCTGGATTTGATTTCATTTTCTTGCCTCACTGCCCTTGACCACACACGCTGCTGCCTAGGCCAGACCCCACACTCCAGCTGGGCCCTATGTCACACACTTGCCCCCTGGAGGGGGTCCGTGACATTTCCTTGGAAGTCCCCAGTAATCTACTCACCCCATTTCAGGCAGCTAGGCCATTTGTTCAGTGAGTAATCATGTCTCATCCTGTGCACAGGGCCTGGAGCCACAGAACCTGGGACTACCCTCTAATGTTAGGATGTCAACATTAATGGGACACAGGGAGGACCAGGAAATCCATAATGGGGCAGGTGGAATGGAGGGGATCTTGGCTTGGGGACTGGCTGCTTGAAGGTGACATTACCAGGAATATGAGAAAAGCAGGTTGGAAAGTTCCCTTTCATGCTTGTTAAGGCTGAGGGACCTATGGGGCAACCCAGGGCAAAAGGCCTTCAGGTAAGCAGCTGGGAAAATGGGTCTGCAGCCCATGAGAAGATGGGGAGGGGGAGGGGAGCCAAGGGCACAGAAAGTAATGTGAGGGCCAGAAAGGCTGTGTACTGGATGGCTTGGCTGTACCCAAGCTCTTGGGGACCAGCAAAGCCTTGAGAGTGCAGATCTCTCCCCAACAGGGGCCCAGCTGCGTCCTGCACCCCGCACCACAGTCACAGCAGCCCTTACACTTAGCCGGTGCAGGCAGGCAGATAATGCGCTCTGGTGTTCAAGGACAATCAGATTCAGCAAAGCGTGAAATCAGTTTTTTCCAACGAACTCACTGTGGGCCAAAGGAACAGTTTCTATCTTCAGAGAGAGGAGAAACCTGTCATTCCCTGAAGGAATTTACCTGTTTCAGTGGAAGCGGATGTTCTTTCAAAGAGCAGGGGGCATCTGTGCCTAACCAGGGACCACCCATGGGCTCATTTGGTGGAACAGACCACAAGGGCTAGGCTGACTTTCCTCTCTGCCTCGTGTCCAAGGGCTTGGGATAATGGTGGCTGCATCAGGAAAGCAGATGTTACATATCAGCAGCCCAGCGTCACTGCAAGCCAAGAAATAGGTTTCATTTGTTTGTTCATTCACTCGTGTTTATTAAGCACTTTCTATGCATCAGGTTCTGGGCCCCATTGTTCCATAAAAGAGACAGAAAAATCCAGTCTCATATTAGGTATGCAGACTGTGGACTCAGACCACTTGGATTCAAGTCCCGGTTCTAGCACTTACACTATGCTGACCTTGAACAACTTGCCTCCCTTTTTTGTGCCTTGATTTCCTTATTTATAAAATGGGAATGTGAAAGTTCCATCTACATCATGAGAGTATGGTAAAAACTGTTGCAATACATGTAAAAGCTCTTAAAATGATGCTTTGCACATTGAAATGCTCTGTAAATGCTAATATAGAAAAAGAAAACCATTCATTTTTTGTGATACATGCAGTGTTGAAGGAATGATGTACCAGTTTCTCTGAGAGCACTGAAAAAGGAGTATTTTGTGAGACACTGGTATCTGCATCGAGTCTTGAAGAATGATCAGGAAAGTGTACAGTGAGTTTGCTGGAACTGGAAATGGCCCCTCATGGCTGGAGCCAAGTTCACTCAGGGAAGATCAAGGAGTGAGGGAGGAAAGGTTGACAGGGGAAGATCCCAGGATCCCAAGATCACAGAGGGCCTTGAATGTCGCACCAAGACACTTGGGGTTAATATTAGGTTAAACATTGTAAAGACTCTTCTGGAAGGGTTTCTGGGCACTGAAATGCCATGCCATTATTCATTTGCCTTGGAAATATTCTCTAGTCAGGAAGGTGGAATTATAGTTTGTTTATTTTTAACAAAATTGATTTTTTTAACTGCCCGTCTGTTTGCCAATAAACCGTTGTGCCACTGAGGCTGCTTCATAAGCTGGTGACTGTGCTAGCTGGAGTGTAATAATTGTTTTTCCTCATGGACTGACTGAAGCATTGGTCTGTGAGGCAGGAGTTCAAGTTCAAATTAGATGGCATTTGTTCCTTATTTAGGTCCACCTGTTATGAATATTTACCAAGCTGGAAAAAAAAACAGTGAATAAGTGGATGATTTGGGAAGGCCTTAGGTTGAATGGAACAGCCTCCTGGGAAGAAAGAGTGGGGCTGTATATGTATCTCTCATAAGAGGGTCTCTCCAGGTCTAGAGCATGTCTTGAAGGAGCATTTCTAAGTGTCCTTATCAGGATCTTTTCCATTTTCATCTGCCAGTGACCTTTCCCCCTTGCCTAGGGGGTGGGTCCCCGAAACAATGTAATTTGGGGAGTCACATGCAGTACATTAGGAAGTACATGGGCTTTGGTGAAAAAGGACTTGGTCTTGGTGCCAACTCTGAGCCTTTATTCCCTTGGTCATAAAGCAGGTATCAGGATGCTGCTTACCTCATGGGGTGGCTGAGAGCTTGAGACCATGTGACAGTTCTGAGAGCACAGTCAACTGTGGCACCTTCTGAGTGCACTCACAGAGCCACGCCCACAGAATTCATGCTTGCACAAAATGTCAGCACAACACCAGGGGAAAATGCTACATTGGACCCGTGAGACAATGCTGCTATTACAGTTAAGAGATTGGGTCTGAACGTGATCCAGTGCAGTGGGGAGGGGAGAGAAGGTGGTGCTTCCTCTGCTTTATGCATATAAAGTGTTCTTCTTGGTTCCTAGCAGACAGTGAATACCCCGTAAGTGGCAGGCACTGGTGGGGCAGCAGGCGTTGGAGAGTGGAGCAGGGTGGTGATGGGGAGCTCATAAAGAAATGGAAGGGAGGGACTTGAGAAAAAGACAGAAGGCTCAAAAGCACAAGGAGAATGTTAAGGGGACCAGAAGGAGCAAGAGAAGGACTCATATAGTATAGGAGTGCAGAGAAAGTGGGAGGCGAGTAGAGAGTAAAAATAGAGTCAAACAAGCACAACGGGAGAGTGGGCCGCTGCCTTGTAACATGGGGCAGGTGCCACTGGAAAACTGGCTGGTGGCAGTCACTGTGTTCAAGTTGTGTCAGCTCCCTGAGCCTCAGTTTCCTCATGGGTAACACAGTTGGGAAGTGTGGCAGGGAGAGGCATTGGTGCAATGCCTGGGGAGCAGCATCTAGTCCCTCGTCACAAATAATGTGGCCTGATGTTCTGGCATCATGCTTGGCATACAGGAGGCCATACTATTGATGGTTCAAATTGGCTCACTTTGTGGAGTGAAAGACAGAGCTGTTCATAATCACGCCAGGACAACAGGGCAAATCGGGACTCTCCGGGGCTCACTGCTTCGTGTGACCTCCACACATAGTAAGCTCTTAAAGACACAGTTGCAATCCCTAGGATTCATTAATGGGAATCACATAGTTAAGAGAAGGCACTCACCTAATTCATTATTCTTCTGAAAAGAAGGTAGGTTTTGTAGAAACAAATGCCTGATACCTATAAATAGACTGTGTCAATTAATGGTCAGGATGCAGTGTTGCCAAATGAAATGCAAGTTTAGTTAAGTTTGAATTTCAGATCAACGATGAATCATTTTTAAGGTAAGTATGCAGTAGACATAGTTACCTCCCTTTCTGTCTCCCCGTCTGATTCTTTCTCTTCTCACTGCCGAATGCCTTCCTCTGCTTAGTCACAGATTCGATATGGTCAGAACGTTGGCTCATGCCTGCTCAGCATGGTTTCTAAGGACCTGAATCTACCTTCAGGATTACAATTTCAAATACCTATTACCAAATGCCTCAGTATTTTAAAGTTCATGGTTTAATTTTTAAACAATTTTATTGAGGTATAAAATGCACATGCCATAAGATTCACCCACTTCCTAGTTTAAATTTTGCTAAAAGCTCTATCTAGGCTAGCTTATGAGTCAGCATCTTGGTCAGGTGCTATCCCTGTGTCAGGTACCTACCCCTGGTACAATAGCTACGACCCGAGGACAGATCATGACTATCCTTGGGCAAGCGCTGAAGGTTACGTAGCTTCACTTAGATAGAAATATGGACCCTCAGACACTGAGATTAACATCTCTAATGGCAGGATCTAAGAGGAGATGACATTTGATATGGGTTTTGCAGGATGAATTAGTATTAATCAGCAATTTAAAAAGGGAAACAAGACATTCTAGCCAAGGCACATCCTGTGCAAAAGCAAAGGTGCATGAAACAGGAATGGGCAAGCAATGGGGAGTGGTTTAGAAGGTCTGGAGCACAGGGTCCTAGATGGGAAGACAGGGTAATGTAGGTGAATGTCGACTTCCAGGTTTCCAGCTTGGCTGCTTGGGTAGATAGAAGTGTCATTGAGTGAGATTGTACTTCCAGAAGAAGTACAAGTTTGGGAGGGAAGATGGGGCCTGTAGAGCAATCCAGAGAGAGAAAGTCTAGTAGGTAGTTGGATACATAATGAGGAACCTATAATAATCTTCACCAAAACTTGTTCTGAAGTTCACCAATAATCTAGCCCTTGGAGAGCCTTGATGCTGAGCTGTCAGACAATGCAGCAGGAAATGAGTCCATTCCTCCAGGGTTACCTGCTCAAACCTTCCTGAAGGTGAGCCCTGCCAAATTCTGCATTGTTGATTCAGCCCAAACTCAAGTGCCTGTGTACCTTAGAAGGAAGTAGAGAGTGGCAGAAACCTGGAATGCTATATGTGGAATCTGTGCTTAGCCCGCAAGTTTAGATATTAAATGTTGAAAAGAAAAATAGAACCTGCCATAAATTCTCATTACACACACTATTGCCTTAATAGTAGAAGTACAAATAGGCCCCTAAAGAATTTTCTGTTATAGAGTCCATATTTAGTTTTAGCTTGTGATTTATTAATTTGCTCATTTTTCATGGTTGCTTATGGTAAACTTTTTAGAACGTATAAATACTTGTTTTAAAAGGAAAGAAAAGAAAAATCACCATAAATCCCCTGCCTAAAGATGACCACTATGAACAGTTTTAAGTATCTACTTCAAGTTTTTTTCTTTTGCAAAATTAAATGTTAATTTCTATCTATGTATACATACAGTTGCACATCAAGTAGTGCAAAGATTTTCTAATAAGAGCACCTGGTCTCCATGTCACCTCCTCATGCTATTCTACTTTCCAGAGAGAACATATTTCAGTGGATTTTGTTTCTCATGGTGGTATCTGTGCTGTCCAATATGCTGCTTTCTAGCCACATGTGGTTCTTTAAATTAAAATTAATTACAATTAAATAAAACTTAAAATTCAATTTCTCATTTTCACTGGCTGCGTTGAAGTACTCAATAGCTTCATGTGGCTAGAAGCTAATGTGTTAGACAAAGCAGATATAGAACATTTCTATCATCACAGAACATTCTATTAAACATCACTGCTTTAGCTAAAAAGATGCTTTTATCTTTATTTATTTATCTTTAGGTAGTATCAGTTGCCTTCGTTCTGTTCCTATTCAGATATATCTTTTAAAACTTTTAGAAAAATTAAAATATAACATACATAGAGAAAAGCATATTTGTCACATATATAAATCTTAATAACTTATTACAAAGTAAATAATCCATGTGACTGTCTCCAGAGAAATAAATGGAACATTACCAGGAACCCAAACTCCCTCTTATTCCTAACCCTTCTCCAATATCTCATCTTCTATCAACATGGATTAATTTTGCCTGTTTGCAGTCTTTCATAGCTGGCTTCTTTCATGTAAATTATGTATGTGGGATTCCTCCATATTTTTGTGTGAAGGAGAGTATATTTACTGAAATAATATTACCAGTTGTAATGTAATTCTTGTAATTTAAGAATACTAATATTTCTGTATGAATACTAATGTAAGAATACTAATATTTGTTTATTCCACTAATTAGACATTCGAGCTGTTTCCAGTTTGAAGCTGTTATGAATAATGTAGCTGTGAACATTCTTGTACATGTATTTTGATACATGTGAGTACACATTTCTGTGGGGTGTGAAGCTAGGCGTGGAACTGCAGGGCCACAAGTCCGACTATGCTTAGCTTTCGTGGAGCTTCCATTGTATCATTTCACACTCAGCAGCATCTGACAGTATCAGCAGTTGTTCTACAGCTGTCTGATATTGTTTGGCTCTCTGTCCCCACCCAAATCTCATGTCAAATTGTAATTCCCAATGTTGGGGGAGGGACCTGGTGGGAGGTGATTGGATCATGGGGTGGATTTCCCCCTTGCTGTTATCATGATAGTGAGTGAGTTCTCACCAGATCTGATGTTTAAAAGTGTGGCACTTCCCACTTAGCTCTCTCTCTCTCTCTCTCTCCTGCTGCCTGTGAAGATGTGCTTGCTTCCCCTTTGCCCTTCTGCTATGACTGTAAGTTTCCTGAGGTCTCCCAGCTAGGCTTCCTGTACTGCCTGTGGAACTGTGAGTCAATTAGACCTCTTTTCTTCGTAAATTATCCAGTCTAAGGCAGTTTTTTACAGCCATGTGAGAACTGACTAATACAACATCCTCACCAATTCTTGATACTCTAACAGTTATATCATTATGTTTTAAATTTGCATTTCCCTGATAACTAGTAAAGATTAACACCTTTTTAGACATACATTGACTATTTGGAAATTCTTTTTTTGTCATGTTTCTCAATGTCTTGTATTTTACTGTGAGATTTCCTGACTTTTAGAAAAATTGATTTGTAGGCACTTTAAATATTTTCTAGATATGAACCCCTTTTCAGTTATATGTGTTGCTAACATCTTCTCCCAGACTATATCTTGCCAACACCTTTTGATGAAGAAAAAGCTCATAATTTTTATATAACCCAACCTACTAATCTTTTCTTTTATGGTTAGTGCTTTTTGTGTTCTTATTTAAGAAATATTTTTCTACCCATGAATATATTATCTTATGTAATTTTCTAGAAGGTTTATTATTTCGATTTTTTACATTTATATCTAGAAAGAAGCTGGAGTTTATTTTTATATATGCTGTGAGGTAGGAATCAGATTTCACTTTTTCAATATGGCTAGCTAATTGGAGCAATTGAATCTGTATTATCTATTTTAAGAACCATTCTTCCCTCATTGCTCTTTATGGCCATCTGTGTCACAAGTCATATCTATATGTCTATATATCTATACCTATATCCATGTCTATAGATGTCTGTTTCTGGATTCTCTGTTACAGGGATAGGCAAACTAAATCCTGCTGCCTGGTTTAATAAATTAAGTTTTATTGAAACACAGCCATGCCCATTCATTTGTGTATTGTGTATGGGTACTTTCATGCCACAGCAGCACTTGAGTTCTTGTGACAGAGACCAGTTGACCTGCAAAACCTAAAGTATTCAGTATCTGGCCTTTTTGAGAGAAGGTTTATGACCCTTGAATTCTGTTCCTTTTTCTTTTTAAAAAATTATACTTGCACTGATGCTATACTGTCTTCATTGCTGTAGCTTTACAATCAATCTTGATTTTTGGTAGAGCAAGCCTTTCAATATTGTTCTTCAGGATTGTCTGGGCTAGTTTGGGGTCTTTGTATTTCCATACAAATTCTATTCAGATATATTTTGATTATAAAATTTTTTTTTACAAATCACATAATTTTAGCAACTTGTTTTATAAATGACTTAATATGTAGTGGAAATCTTTCCATAATATTAAATATTCTTCTACAATATTATTTTTAATGGCTTCATAATATTCAATTATGCAGACAAACTATAATTTATTCAATCAAATAAATTGCTTGTTGTGTCTTTCCTATTTTCTTATCACCCCATTAAACTGTAAATTGCTTCTTTAGATTGTTCATACTCTTACACTAAGTAATTCCATTTAAGGGAATTAAACCAAAATAAATTATCTTAAATGGGAAAAAAAGCATGAAGATGTTGATCATAGCATTGTTTATAATCACGAAAAACCGGAAATGGCAATTCACTGACACTTGGTGAATGGTTATGGCACTTTTGCTTATTGGAATATATAAAAATGCTTAAAACCATGATCAAGGAGACTGGGAAATTATTATGGAATGTTTTATGCAAAAAAATGTGTGTACTCTTGCAAAGGCAGCTATACTCACCACTGTACCACCAATGCCACATGGTGTGTACTCTTTATTTATGAGTATTAAAATATAGCCCTTAGGAAAAGATCTAGAATGATCTAGACCAAATCTAAGTTGGTTAATACTAGGGAGTGGCATTTGTGGGGGAGGGAAAGGTATAGTACTACATTCCCTTTTGTGTCGCTTGAATATTTCATAGAACTTATGTTATCTTATAATAAAAACATTTGACAATCACTTTCAAAAATAGACTGTATGATGCATGAAAGGATAAAATAGCAATGTCCTAGGGGAAAGATAAGCCTTCTGTAAAAAGCAATCCCAGAGACTTAGTGTTAAGCAAGTCTGTAAACAGAGGCTAAGATTTAAAACAAGACTAACATCCCAACTTGGCAGATGAATACAGCACAAGAGCATGGAACTCACAGAGGACAACCCCAGTTTGACCAGATTTATTCCCTTAGTCACACTGGATACGGTGATTCCCAGCTCCTTAGTGAAGATGAACTGGAGACTCTGGGTCCTTAGAGGCTGTTGAGTATGATCACAATAAACTGCTTGTGATTCTTATTTTTGAGTGTGAGTACAAGGTAATCCTGGAAGAGACTGAATATCATCCTTGAAAATGCATAACATGGGACTGTCCTGTGGGCATCTTGTGGAGACCATAGAAATAAATCACAATCTGGTGGGTGGGGTGGGATTTTTCTCTGAAAAGGGTAAAAGCCCCAAAAGCCAATCATCTTAGATAGTGTTTATAAATTGGTCTTTGGTCCAGTGGAGAGGGGAGCGCACCCCCAGCCTGGTGCAGTTGGGCCTAGACGCTGAGGGAGGTCTGAAGAAATGGTGGTGGTGGACATGACCTATCTCTGGCCATAAGGAGGCAGAGGGGATGGAACAGCAATGTGATATAGTTAGTGTCGGGAGCAGCAGCAATAGCAACGGGGCAGAAAGGCTGCTCTTATGGCAGCTGGCATCCATAGCTGCAGGCAGTGTTTGCAGAACCAGGCCTCTGACCACAAAGGGCGCATGCCCCATTGCCAATGCCATTATAAAAAATACTGATGTCCGGGCCTCACTCCAAACCAGTTCAATCAGATGGTTAGGAGTATAGCCCAGGCACCCATTTATTTCCAAACTCTCCAGGTAAGAACCACTGTTTTAGCATCTATACTTCCCCAACACCCCTGGGTGTCAGACTCTCATAACTGCATCCAATTTGGATTGTGCTGCCCTGCAGATTAATGGTGGGTAAGAGTTTCATTCTTCAACAAGCCACGGTCCATTAGCCGTGGCGAGCTGCCAGCCCTTCTCTTCCCTCTTTGCCAGAAAATTAATGAGACCATTTATTGAAAGGAAGAAAACTAACCACTCCATTTTGTAGTGTCATGGGTCAAACTGTACACATTCTGCTATACTTAAGCTTCCATCAGGAAGGGGTAAAGGGGAAGGACTCTGCTTATGTGCCAGGCACACTTTCCACAGGTTATTTCTCTTAATCTTCACAAAACACCCTGGAGAGTAGGTAATACCATTAGTTTCTTTTGACAAAAACACTGAGACATAAAATGGCTAAGAAATATGGCCCAAATTACATAGGTAGTATAAGTGGTAGAGTGGGGATTTGAACAAGGTTTATCTAACTCTAGAATTCATTTTTTGTCTTTCTCTTTATTATAACCCTTTCGCTCCTTCAGTTCATTGCTACACATAAAGTATTTAAAATAATGTCTGGCAAATTGCAAGTGCTCAATAAATATTAGCAATTCCTCCTGGGAGCTTACTGTGAGAAGGAGGGGAGGCATGCAATCTGACCCTAAACTGCAGTAATTAAACTTTGTTGGCAAAAAAATATAGGCTAGAAGTTGGGGCTGGGTGAAGAAAATTTCCCAGCCTGTGGCTGAAATCCTTAATCCAAGGATGCAATCTTAACCAACTCATTTATACCAAATAAAAGATTGAGATTCAACTTTGCTAAAACAGAATGCATGTACTGGGTTAAGTTATTAAAAATGCAAAGCAGGTTCTAGAAATTATGAACTCTTCTTTTAAGCAAATTCTTTATCCAGCAAAGGGCAGGAAGGTCTATGGGTTTCAGGTATCTTGGTGATTTCCACTGATGTTGCCTTCTTGGCAGGCATGTGGGCTCCTTTGCAGTGAAAGGGCAGAAACAGCAGGTGAGGGCCGATGTGAACCATGGCAGAGAATGAGAAGTCTACAGAAGAATCATCTCAGAACTGGCCCCTTGTTAAAACAAAGCACAGCCCCTTCCAGGGTGGAGCAGCGTGGCTCTCTGGTGAGTGAGTGCCTCTCCATCCCTCCTGAATTCTCCTTCCCTTCAGCGACCTCCCACTTGAATCCAGCTGTCACTGCTATCTAATCTCCTGAGGATGCTACACATTGTCTTTGAAGACTAGCCTTGCAGAAATGGAAATATCTTTTGAGACAGTCTGACTTCCCAAAGAGACTTTACTAAATAATGAGAATTAGAGAGAAATTCTAGAAAGTATAAGCAGCATAAAGGACATTCTAAATAATGTTTTACATTTGTTTCTTTTATTCCACCATAAGTGGCTTCTGTCCCCAGAGTGTGGTTTCACATCATGGGTCCTTCCTCCCCACGTCACACTTGTCAGGTTATTTGTATCACACAAAAACCTGTCTCCTAGACATTCCTGACCCTTCAGGGAAATGACCAACTTCCCTTCCAGCATTCCCTTTCATTCTAGCCTGTGGTCTCGGGCACGGCCATGCTCTCCCCGCTCTCCCCCTAAGCTAAGAAAAGGCCCCCAGTGGTTGATAGACACACACAAAAGAAACTTATTCCTCAGATAAGAATTCTGCTTTCTACTCACAGAGGTAGGCGTTGTCCGTTTGGATTCCAATGGAATAATATCTCAAGCACTAAACAATACCTCCTCTATTAGACACACAATAACAGAAATATTATTTTTTAAAATAGAGGAATCATGAGCATAGCAAAGACTTTTTCCTGATTCAATTCCTGGTGGTATATAACAAAAAGCTCCCAGTCCCCTTTCCAATAGGCCTTGTTGTAACATTACAAAGTGTCAACTAATAAAGTGGTGGATCCTTCATTTGTGATTTGCACATTACTTAGAAGATGCAAGTTTTCTGGGATTTTAATCAAGAATTGCAAATTCCTAAAAATGCAGTCTCTGCAAGCAAATATTATAGCAGTGGTGCAGACAGGAAGAGCTCTGTATTTGTTCATACTGCAAGTGTACATTTTCATGTGCTTTGTAAACTCAAATAGCAAAGGATCAGCCAATAAGGTCTATAAGAGAGAGCACCTGCCTAGTTTTGCAAAGTCACACTAGACGGACATCTGCTATGAGGTAATAGTCATGGCCTCTGTGAAATGGTAGCATAAAGTGACAGGAGAGGATAATCTGACTAAAATACAGTTGAAACAGATGTCAACAAAGATAACTGAGATAAGAATGAATTACAAAGAAGCTAGAAATGCAGGAGATGGATTAAAATCTTTGGAAGATTTACAAGCAGAAAAGGTGTTGCAGAAAATCAGACCAATAAGGTAGAGAACAAATTGCAGAAGGTCTCCTAGAATTCCGAGGAAAAATAATGAAGAGATAGAAACAATATAAGAGTAATATGATAGCCATTAAAAGAGAGAGAAGAGGTCTAACCTAAGAATTAGAGATGTTTTTTATCAAAACCAAACAATTAGAACAGAAGTAATAATTAAAGATGTACTGGAAACTTTCCTAAGCTAAAAATCAAATAGGCCTTTTTTTTTTAAAATAAACTTTTTATTTTGGAATAATTTTAGATTTACAGAAGAGTTGCAAGAATAGAGTTCCTGGATGCCCTTTACCCAGTTTCCTCTATTGTTCATGGTTTACATACCCACAATGCATTTGTCAAAGGTAGGAAATTAGCACTGATACACGACAATTAACTAAACTACAGACTTTATTCCGATTTTACCAGTTTTTTCACTAATGTCCTTTTACTGCTCCAGGACGAGATCTAGGATACCATGTTGCATTTAGCCTTTATATTTTTGTAAAAATAGAATTGTAGGCTGGGCGCACTGGCTCATGCCTGTAATCCCAGCACTTCAGGAGGCCGAGATGGGAGGATCGCTTGAGCCCAGGAGTTTGAGACCAGCTGGGGCAGCATAGCAAGCCCTTGTCTCTATTTTTTTTTTATTTGTTCCTACCACAACTTTTTAAAATTATACTTTAAGTTCTAGGGTACATGTGCACAATGTGCAGGTTTGTTACATATGTATACATGTGCCATGTTTGTGTGCTGCACCCATTAACTTGTCATTTACATTAGGTATTTCTCCTAACGCTATCCCTCCCCAATACCCCCACCCCATGACGGGTCCCACTGTGTGATGTTCCCTGCCCTGTGTCCATGTGTTCTCATTGTTCAATTCCCACCTATAAGTGAGAACATGCGGTGTTTGGTTTTCTGCTCTTGCAATAGTTTGCTCAGAATGATGGTTTCCAGCTTCATCCATGTCCCTATGAAGGACATGAACTCATCCTTTTTTACGGCTGCACAGTATTCCATAGTGTATATGTGCCACATTTTCTTAATCCAGTCTATCATTGATGGACATTTGGGTTGGTTCCAAGTCTTTCCATTGTGAATAGTGCTGCAATAAACATACGTGTGCATGTGTCTTTATAGTAGCATGATTTATAATACTTTGGGTATATAGCCAGTAATGGGATGGCTGGGTCAAATGGTATTTCTAGTTCTAGATCCTTGAGGAATTGCCACACTGACTTCCACAATGGTTGAACTAGTTTACAGTCCCACCAACAGTGTAAAAGTGTTCCTATTTCTCCACATCCTCTCCAGCACCTGTTGCTTCCTGATTTTTTAATGACCACCATTCTAACTGGTGTGAGATCGTATCTCATTGTGGTTTTGATTTGCATTTCTGTGATGGCCAGTGATGATGAGCATTTTTTCATGTGTTTGTTGGCTGCATAAATGTCTTCTTTTGAGATGTGTCTATTCATATCCCTTGCCCACTTTTTGATGGGGTTGTTTGATTTTTTCTTGTACATTTGTTTAAGTTCTTTGTAGATGCTGGATATTAGCCCTTTGTCAGATGGGTAGATTGCAAAAATTTTCTCCCATTCTGTAGGTTGCCTGTTCACTCTGATGGTAGTTTCTTTTGCCATGCAGAAGCTCTTTGGTTTAATTAGATCCGATATGTCTATTTTGGCTTTTGTTGCCATTGCTTTTGGTGTTTTAGTCATGAAGTCCTTGCCCGTGCCTATGTCCTGAATGGAATTGCCTAGGTTTTCTTCTAGGGTTTTTATGGTTTTAGGTCTAACATGTAAGTCTTTTATCCATCTTGAATTAATTTTTGTATAAGGTGTAAGGAAGGGATCCAGTTTCGGGGCTTTCTACATATGGCTAGCCAGTTTTCCCAACACCATTTATTAAATAGGGAACCCTTTCCCCATTTCTTGTTTTTGTCAAGTTTGTCAAAGATCAGATGGTTGTAGATGTGTGGTATTATTTCTGAGGGCTCTGTTCTGTTCCATTGATCTATATCTCTATTTTGGTAGCAGTACTATGCTGCTTTGGTTACTGTAGCCTTGTAGTATAGTTTGAAGTCAGGTAGCGTGATGCCTCCAGCTTTGTTCTTTTGGCTTAGGATTGACTTGGCGATGCGGGCTCTTTTTTGGTTCCATATGAACTTTAAAGTAGTTTTTTTCCAATTCTGTGAAGAAAGTCATTGAAAGTCATTGGTAGCTTGATGAGGATGGCATTGAATCTATAAATTACCTTGGGCAGTATGGCCATTTTCACGATATTGATTCTTCCTATCCATGAGCATGGAATGTTCTTCTATTTGTTTGTATCCTCTTTTATTTCACTGAGCAGTGATTTGTAGTTCTCCTTGAAGAGGTCCTTCACATCCCTCGTAAGTTGGATTCCTAGGTATTTTATTTTCTTTGAAGCAATTGTGAATGGGAGTTCATTCATGATTTGGCTCTCTGTTTGTCTGTTATTGGTGTATAAGAATGCTTGTGATTTTTGCACATTGATTTTGTATCCTGAGACTTTGCTAAAGTTGCTTATCAGCTTAAGGAGATTTTGGGCTGAGAGGATGGGGTTTTCTAAATATACAATCATGTCATCTGCAAACAGGGACAATCTGACTTCCTCTTTTCCTAATTGAATGCCCTTTATTTCCTTCTCCTGCCTGATTGCCCTGGCCAGAACTTCCAACACTATGTTGAATAGTAGTGAGAGAGGGCATCCCTGTCTTGTGCCAGTTTTCAAAGGGAATGCTTCCAGTTTTTGCCCATTCAGTATGATATTGGCTGTGGGTTTGTCATAAGTAGCTCTTATTATTTTGAGATACATCCCATCAATACCTAGTTTATTGCCTCATCTCTATTTTTTAATAAAAAAATAGAATCGCAGTGGGAGACAAAAAATTGCTCCTTACATTGCCTCTGTCCCACTCTCTGCTTTCCTGGTCTCTGATTTTTTCATTCCTCCTGAATTTTCTCCTTGCCCTCAGCTGTGATGCACACCATGACCTCAGAACACCTATTGATAATGACTTTATTCTTCATACACTCTGTACTGCCTCAAGGGCCTTGGGTAATGTCCATTCCATTCCCAGGACCCTCTCACCCTGTGCTGCCTCCTCAGGGGGCACCATCGCCCCAGCTTCCCCTGGCTTCTGGTCAAAAAAGAGTCATCATTAATTTCTCCACTAGGATGCATTCTGACTGAAAAGACAATTTTAGTCTAGAGAAGTCAAAAGAAAAATGAAAATCAAAAACATTCCTCTTCACACACAACTCAATATGTCTCTCTCTTTTTTCTTGATAAATGTTAGACCCTTTGAGAATGTCATTATTTCAGTTTCACAAAAGAAAAAAACATTTAATGACTGGATTTGGGGGATGGGGTGGTTCTCTGCCGGGTACTGTCCTGTGAGTTCCCTGCAGCCTAGGATCTGACCCTCAGCCTTGCAGGGTGAGGAACTTAAACCCATCAGCTTTCCAGAGGTGATCACACTTAAGGAATGCCCATGCATACTTGAAAAATCTCTGATAAATGTGAATGAAATCAAACAACAATTTATTTATAATGAGCAACACAACTGAAAAATCTGGCAGATGTGTCATTGGATGGGCCTACCCAGCCAGCCCCAACAGGAGCCACATTATCAGATGGGTTCTTGGTGAGTACAGAAGCAGAACAAGGGAGTTATGGAATTGAAAGCTGAATGACATCGGGCCCTGAAAAATGGATGCTTCCATTTCCCCAGTAAAGGAAGGCCTATCCAGAGAAATAGGACATTACACAGCCTGTCTGGGCACTTCTCCTCTGGGGATGATTTAGGCAGCACTTCTTTCCTTTGTGCTTCTAAGGCTGACCAATGCTCATGCATGCACTCTATAGATGTGACCATATTTTTCTTCAATTATTGTCCAGCTCTGGGAGCCATTCTGGGTCTTTAAGATGATGGTGGTTCTGATCAATTATATACGGATCGGAATTTTAACCCCCAAAGAACTCACTTCCAAGTCCTGTGTGTGTGTGCACGAGTGTGTGTGTGTGCATGAGTGTGTGTGTGTGTGCATGAGCATGTGTGTGCATGAGTGTGTGTGTGTATCGGGGAGGGTTACTGTCAAGTATGTGGTCTACATTCCCTTGAATGCAGCTATTCCTGACCCCAGGAAAGTCAGGAGGACCTAAAATAGAAGAGCGAGCACAACAAGTGCCCATGAAATGCCCGGCCTGTGCCAGGCAATAGACATACAGCAACAAACCAGACAGACCTGGTCCCTGTCCTCCTGGAGCCTAGAGTCTGGTGGGGACACTGCTGTTCATAAAATAGCCACATAGATTACAGTAAGAGACTTCAACAAGTACTGTGAAGGAAAAGGAGAGGGAACAGCTTAATAAGAAACCTGCTCTAGTGCTGGAGGGCAGGGAGGGTTTTCTTGAGAGAGTGACACTTGAGTTGATATTTAAAGCTTAAGTAAAAATTAACTAGAGAAAGTGAGGAGGACAGAGGGCTGGACATTTCCAGACCTGCTCTCTGCTTTTCTCTGCCCTGCTCTCTGGGCTTGGAGGCTGGCCACCTAGGATTGCATCACTAGCTCCCTGCCCTCTCTGGCTCTTCAGTGGGGAGCCCCAGCTCCCTAGATATTCAAAGGGAAGGAGGACTGTGAGGGGTGTGCATTCCCTGTCTTCCTCCCTGTGGCATTGCCTCCAATTTGCTGGTTTTTTTTTTTTTAAGGAAAAGTCGCTATTCCCGCTGCCTCTCCAGCAGTGCTGCCCTTTCACCTGGAAGAGAGAGCCCCCCGCCCCAACCCCATACGACCCCATGGATACCATGCCTTGGACTTCCTGTCCTCCGGCCACATCACTGCCCACGGTGTAAGAGCACCCTCCTCCCATGCCGTGCATGGCCATGCATTTTGTGTGCACCTCTCTTCCTGAATGTGGACTGCTCCTGCAGGCTCCTCTGCCCTAGGCCTGAGGGGTTGACCAAAGAGTATGTGTTTTTTGTGTGTGGTAGGTTCTGAGGGCAGCACAGGCATGAGGCCTGGGATGCCCCCCTGTACCAGTAAGGCCTCCTGAAGTTGCCAGAAAACACAGGGGTGGGAAGAGAAAGGGGTGAGCTAGGAGTCCAGGGCCCAGATATTTCCCTTCTGCCATGTTCTGGGCAGTCTGAGACTTCCCAATTCCAACTTCATCTTCCAGGTTTTTATAAAGGTATATTTTCCAAGGTCAACAGCTAGGATATATTTTGTTGAGTGGTTCGTTAGTTTGAGTGATAACTTTTAAATATCTAGACATATGGTTTGGAGGATTTCCAATTGTTCTGTTTTTCTGGGCCCCACAAATGTGTGGGATGTGCTTGCCTTCCAGTAACCACTCTCTCCCTCCTCCCTTTGGGCCCAGAAGCAGGGCACCCCAGGCTAGAGAACGATCCCTTACACCCACACCTTTGTAATGACCCTTTGTGAACAGACCCCCCTTGAATTGTTCTATTTTCAGTGGACCATCTGTTTCCTGGCGAGTCCCTGCCTGATTCTGCAGGTGTTTCAGGCAGAGGGAACAGCATGTGAACGTTCCCTCCCCAAACTCACACACAATTTTTTATTTCACCTTTCAGTTATTCTGTAAGTCATTAGTTGTGGGAAGCAAGATGAGGAGAGATGCTAAAAGGGGCAGGAGAGCCAAGGGTTATTGTGGCTATTAAGCCAGTGTGTGTGTTTATCTGCAGAGGGAGGGGGTGCAGTAGCTCAGCTCCTCAGTTCTCTTTCTCTCACTCACAGACCTTCCCCCTACCAAAAGGGAACACCCCCTTAGCCGCCTTGCAGGGCCTGGCTGGCAGGAGCTCACCCCTGGTGCCTTCAGATGGACCCCGGTGGCTCTCCTTGCCAAAGCAGGTGGAAGGCAGCAACTTCCCTTAATCTCTCAAGCCCTTCCCTCCAGGAAAACTGGATTCCTGTCCCCTCCTGCCCGCCTCAGGACACTATTCCCCAGTTTTGCTCACCTCCTAAGTTCTCTGGGAAACAAGCAAATGTCCCTCCCCCTAAGCAGGCTCATGAAGCCAGCTCAGATCAGGGTCATGTACAAAAACCTAGCAAGCATCCCCTGTATTGCAATAAAAATACAATTTTGATTTTATCACCCACACCCCTTTTGCAAATTATTCGGTAGGGATAAATTTCCCCCTGCCCTGGATGAAATTGCTAGCAAGCTCACAATTACTCTGCTCACTTTCTCGTATTAGGTACTCTTTAAATTGTACATGCACTCTTAATTTATAATAGCAATCAAAATGTTCAGTCCCAAACTCTAATCTTGATTTAGCTTGGTGCCATCTACCCTATTCTCAGCTTGGGCTGACTTTAGGATGGGAAACTGCAAAGGGAAATGGGATGGGGTGTGCCTGGTGTCCCCATGTCTGCCCCTTGGGCTCCTCCATTGTCCAACCTCCTCAATTGGGAAAAGGATGGAGTTGGGTGGATGTAGGAAAGGCCTCACCTAAAATGTGGGGTCTCATCTGGCATCAGCATCTCTGGGCCTGGCATATATTGGAGCTGACTTTTTCTCTTCTGGGTGCTCTCTTAGATTCTCTGGGGTTTTCTACAGGGCCCCCCTTATGTGAATTTCTGTTCACACAGAGACATGCATTTTTTATGGGTGGTAAACCCTTGCCCTCCAGTCAGATGGTGGAACCCAAGCTGTCTTTCTTGAGTTCCATAGGAAAGTGTGTTCCATGGGAAAATACATATACTTGCCTGGACAATCTCTAGGCATGCAAGAAATCTAAAGGCAGCAGCACCTCCATGACTCTGCTGGGAAAGCGGGTAGTCAGCCTCTTGGTCTTTCCGTCCTCTGATTCCCCAGGTGTGTCCTCGTGTGTGCGTGCATGCATGCCTACGTTCATGTGTAGGAGAGGCACGTTAAGTTCTCTGGGTAGCCCAGGGAAGCCCCTGCTTGCCATGTGTATGGTGAGCAGACAGACACCCAGGCACTCACCTCCTACTACGGGGGCAGGATGGGGACAAAGAGCACTACCCAAACTTCCCTAAAGAGCCCTTTCTCAAAAATTGCTCCTGGAAAAGAGCAAGTAAGTTCTGGAGATAGAGAATGGTGGCCAACTATTTCTGCTGAAAATGTGCCTGTGGTGATTTAGGGTCTCACTTTGGAATTTCACATCTATCTCATCTTGGTATCTACTAATTACTTGGACTTGTTGATAATGATCAAAGTCCTTCACTCAATCGCAGTTAGGGGAGCTGGGTTCTCACAAATCCCCTTTTCAAATCACTCTAGGACAGCCCAGCTCTTTTCACTGTTAGCTAGATAGGAGAGAAAGGCAAACATGTGAAGGCAAGAAGGGAAGTAGCCAAAATACAAGGAAGGACTAGAAGGGTTGGGAAGAGAGGAAATCAGGAGAGAGAGAGAGAGAGAGAGAGAGAGAATGAGAGCAGATTCCCTCAAGTTTGAGAAGAAATACTCCTGACACAGCTGCCTTGCTGGGTGGGGCTTCATTCCTTTGATGACTCTGCTAGATCTCCATTCCAGCTCCAGGAAGGGGCCTGTATTCCCCTGGTCCAAAAGAATACAACAAGAGAGGAAACTTTTGTGACTCAGGTTCAAGGACCAGGATAGAATCCCAGTAATGTGAATTAATGGGGGGAAAAAAGACTGAGAATAAATCTACTTGTGGCCACAGTAATGCCCCATGATTGTGCCTGGGTCCAACAGTTCTGTTCCCTTTATGAAGCTTACTTCCAAAGGAAGAAAGCATCATTTTGGCATCAGACTTCTCGTCTGTAATACCAGAAGCTAGCGGATGTGAATAACAATCTGTAGGTCACTGAGAGAAAAGAATTGAACCCCCAAAATCCTGTACTCAGTCAAGATATATCCTTGCTGATATGCAAGGATTCAGTGAATATCTCACATCCTCCATCTGAGGAAAATATTCAAAAATCACAGCAAGGATCTCAAGATAGAGAAATGAGCAAGGACCCTTATAATCTATAGTTGAATCTAAATGGATTAATTATTCATTTTACAGGTATCTATTTTGCACCTAGAGCCAGGCACAATTCTATGCACTAGGTGGCAAACAAGGCAGACAACTGCTGTCATGGGATGTACATTCTAGTGGAGGGAGACAAAAAATGGGTAGACAAAAAGACATATGATTTAAAGTAAAAATAAGTTCAATGAGGAAAACTAACCAGGGTAAGGGGATAGGGAGGGAAGAACTAGTGGGGGTAGGCTGCTATTTTAGAGAGAGTGGTTTGGCTTTTAGGGGAGGAGGAAATTGAACAGAGACCTAAATGAAGTAAAGAAATAAGCCCTACAGGCATTTGGCGGATGAGAGCTCCAAACAGGGAAGCACCAATGCCAAAGCCTAGAAGGGAAACAAGCTTGGTGTAAGAACCTGAGAAACAGCAAGAATGACACGGATTGAGGGGCATAGTGGGAGATGAGTCAGAGAGGCAGTCCGCACACTACCAGGAACAGCCTTACAGACACTGGTAAGGGGCTTCACCATCATGCTAAAAGCAAAGCAAAGCCATTAGAAAGTTTTGATCAGAGCAGCAACATGATGTGTTTGGGTTTTTTTAAAGAGCATTCTGGCTCCTGTATGGAGAATAGATGCAGGAATACCAGTCAGGAGGCTACTGCAGCAGTCAAGGAAAAAGAAGGTTAGTGATTTTTATGGGTGATTGATATGGGACTGGTAGAAGTGGTGAGAAGTGAGTGGATTTCCATGTTCTACACTAAAGGAAGAGCCATTTGTGTTAAATTATTTACATGGACATGCATAAAAAGTTGTATAAAAGGATAGACAACATGTTATTCGTGGTTAATATGCAATGAGATTTGAGGTGATTAAGTTTCCACCTTATACATTTATATATTGTTTAAAATTTTCCAATGAGCATGTCATCTATATAAACAAAAAATTAATAAAGCTATAGTTATTGTGGATAACAAAAAAAGATGAGAAAAAAGAAATATAAGTTGAGATACAAAGACTGCCTCCAAGATTGTCCCTGAATCCCTGGTTCTATTATCTTCATGTTTCCATCTTTTCTTTGGCTGTCAGGAAGCTCAGAGCTAAATTGCCAACTCCCCTTTAGTAATTATGTAGTAGTCCTGGGTCTTGTACACCTGTGTTTTAATTTTTCAGCTGAATCCTGTCTAAGGGAGTGTTGGAGACCAGATTCTCCGGGTCATCAGACTCTGAGATAGAGATCTGTGTGCAGAAAAGTCACTGGAGTGTACTGTCAGTGGTAAGACCTGTGGGGGAGGAAAAGAAGCAGGATTGGGCAGATTTAGAAGGTAAACTCTAATGCAATCACAGTCAAAGGGCTGGGCTGATTCTTGGAGAGCTCCAAATCTTGGATGGCCCTTCAGAGTTTTCTGGAATAGGGTAGGGGGCTGGGCCCTACATCGATCTATCATTGAATGGGTAGTGTAATTCTTTTGAGGCAAGGGACTGAACTGTCAGCAGCTGCCACTCTCCTGAGCTGAGAGAATAAGTGTTTCAGTCCTGGACATGCTGGTTCTGGGCAGCACACCACAGCATCTACTACAGAGAGGAGCCTAATTTCAGGGTAAAGCTCTTACACTGCAGACTCTGGCTCCTGGGTTTAAATTCTGGCTCAACTGCTTGTTGGCTGAATGACTTTTCAGCAAGTTCCTTAATTTCATTTATGAAATAGTGATAATGATCTTGTCTAGCTCAAGTTTTTTTTGCAACAACTTATTGAGTCAATCCATGTAAAGCATTTACACCAGTAGCACACACATAGGAAACACTCAATAAATGTTAGCTATTAAAATTATGCTAGTTCCTGTATTTCCTGGTGCAAACTTTTAATGTATTATTCATAGATTTTTTTTTGAGACAGGGTCTCACTCTGTTACTCAGGCTGGAGTGCAGTGCTATGATCACAGCTCACTGCAGCCTCAAACTCCCAGGCTCAAACAATCCTCCCACCTCAGCCTCCTGAGTAGCTGGGACTACAGGTGCATGCCACCACACCTGGCTAATTTTTGTAGTTTTTGTAGAGACGGGCTCTCACTATGTTGCCCAGGCTGGTCTCAAACTCCTGGGCTCAAGTGATCTGCCCACCTTGGCCTCCCCGCTGGGATTACAGGCATGAGCCACTGTGCCTGACCTATATGTCTTCATTGTAGAAAATGCCCTAAGTTTCTGAAAAACCCCTGAGCAATGAGGGGGTTGATTCTAGGTCTTGGATCTGATCTTTAGTATTATAAAACATGGGGATCAGCCCAGGCACTCAACAGCAATACTACATCCTTTGAGGCCCATCAGGTGCTGGCCTGAGACACTTAGCAGCTGCCTCACAGCTGGGCTGTGCTGGGACCTGGAACGGGGCAGAGGCTGAACGTGGAGCAAAAACAAGATGAGGTTTGGCAAGCGTTAGTAAATAGTAAGATATGTACAAACCTTGCCTCCAAAATATGGCTTCCTAGCAAAGCCAAGGATATTATATTATCATTATAAAGAGATTTTCTGTTTCCTGTGTAGAACCCTGCCAGGAGGCTAAATAACAAAGAAAACATGGTGACAGCTTGCTGTGTTCCTGACCCTATTATGCAGCCAGTGCATGAAACGCGTCTCCTTTGAAAATAAACAGTTATTCATCAAGTTGTCGCTCTCTAGCATGGTATCATTATCTTCCCAAAGTTATGAAGGAAATTATAGGTTCCCAACAAAAAGAGCACGATGTAAAGATGGGTTTCGGCAGCGTCAGTTTGTTTCGAGGGAAAGGTGGGGCCTGCCTCTCCCTGGGCTGCTCTTGCCACTGAACACACATGTTTCAAGCTGACCCACAGTGTACATGAGAGAGGAAGGGGCCCCTTGGGGAGAAGAAAGGCTTTCAGAGGTTGGTGGCAACATTTTTGTATTGCTCCACTCCAAGACTGAGTGGGTCCAACCTTAAGCTCCCAACTTTCAGGAGGTAAGAATGGGTCAAAGGGATATGAGACCAGGTAAGAGGCCAGGACTGGCCAGAGGACACAGGCATTGACCATGGAGGAGACAGAACACGTCAGTGCAGAGCTGGCGCTGACTCTGAGTGCAGGGCCCTGCAATATGTTACCGAAAACCAGAGATCCTTCCTTTAGCCTACGTGATTATTCCTTGTTCACAGCTAAAGTCGAGAGGAGCAAAACACATCAGCTATATTCAGTAATTTCTGTCATAGGATAAATTAGTGTCTCAGACACTAATTTTACCTAACATGGGAGCATCCTCATTCATAGCAGGTGAGGCAGCCTCCTTCTTCCCGGGGAAAATGAAGCTACTTGGCTTAACCCTCTCTGTGTCGCTCCTCTCTATGAACACATCGTGCTGGATCTGTGCTCTGTCTTTTTCCTCACTCACCTGTACAAAGGAACGCTTGTCTGGAGCGAATCCTCTTTACTTGTTTTTTTCTTTCAACCTGTGTTTTCAATTCCCTCCTATCCCCATAGCACTCTTGCTCCATCAAGTATCGTTTTATCATCATGCAAATAAAATGCTTGGCATGGTGCTTGATACCTAGAATTCAGCTCCGGTTGGCTACTACCACTGTCATTATTATCACCAAGAAGGTGGTAGTAAGCTATTTTCACATGTAGTTAAGGCTGTGTCTTTCACTACTTATAACGGTGCAGCTACTGAGTCCATGCTATGTAAATGTTTGCTATCTTAATCATTCTTGTTATCATTGTTACCCACCAAGCATTGCTTAATGTGACTACTAGAGTGGCATACGCCCAATGAGCCAGTCAGGTCTAATTGTAAAGAAATTTTAAAATACCAACAAAATCCCTTCACAGGGCATTATGAGCTCCGATGATAGATAATTATAAAATAGTACAGGTTTCAGACTTTAGGTTTTGCCACTCGTGTACTACTATTGATTGTCGTCTTTGGTAGTGGGCATGGAAAGGGCCATGAGGGAGGTGAGGTGAGCACCCTCATGTGAGTAGTGACCCACCATAATGTGACAACAGTAACAAAAGTAGTCCATCAAATCTTCAACCACTTCCCACTGTTGTTACCTTCACCAAAAGACAGGCTCCCATGGCCCCCATTACTCCAAACTCAGCCATTAACCCAGAATCCCCCCCTCAACTTGACATCCTATGGTCCTCTGTGGCACAAGCAGACTTCGGGAAAGGAGAATCTACCTTCAATTAATTCTTTCTCTTTTCAGTCTGCTGGCTCCTGCTCCCACCGTTCTAACGAAACTACTCTCTATTCTTGATGCCTTTGTAATGTACATGCAAATAGACATGAAATAATTTTTAAAGTTGCAGTGTTGGTAGGGGGAAATAGTACAGTGATGATATAATACCAGAATTAACCAGAGATTTTCATTTGTATAGAGCAATGGCAAATGAAAAGTAATTATTAGGAAAACAAGAAAATTATAAAGGGAATTTCCTTTGACATTATAAAGGAAACCAAGATGGTAGCTGTGAGCAGACACAAGATGGTGGCCATGTGCTTCAGAAGGAGAGGCTGGCACCATGAAGTAACAGAGATGCTTTATTGTTCACAATTCTGCATGCTCTAGGAATGTAGTAGAGATAGTCAAAGAACTGGTAATAGAAGCACCCACTAAGAAAAATTCTGCAGAGAGAAATGGAGAGACTCCCAGGATCTGAAAAGTATAATATTCCTCCTTTTTTTCTGAGGTTTTGGGCTTATACATATACTCCCCTTCAAATTAGAGTAGACTTATTAGCATTGATTAGACAATTTAATACCTATGATGTATTTTCTGTGTTAATTAACTCCTCTCTATGACCTTGTTCTTTGTAAAAGTGCTTACAAAGAACAGGAAAGACACAATCCAATTTCATATGACAAATATTCCCAAATCTGTTGGGAGGAAAAGAGCCACTCAAGACAACCTTTCTCAGAAGAAGTGGCCTCAAAAACTTGTAGAAGTGTTCCCACATCACACACGATTGCTGTTTCCACTCCTGGGCTGATAGCACCACCAAGCCCCAGCTAGGCTTAGAGTCTTCTTCGATTTATGGCCCTATTCTTTTCTGGTCTGGGTTATTCAAAGGTCAGTTGAACTAATGGATGAGGGCTGCTTTGCAGTCTGTATTCAATTTAAAATGTGTGATGCCTGTTGACTTATTATTTTTAAAAGGAAGCTCTGATTGGAGCAGAAATGCTATTTTAGAGATGATTCTGTGATTAGTTTTAGGGAATAAATCAGATATGATTCAGAAAGATAGTGTTGAAATTCACTACATGTGAAAAAAAGGGACCAAAATTCTCCAGTGTACTCCTGCTATGTACAAAAAGGTTCTCTGAAATATTTCACCCACGTCTTTTGAGGCCATTAAGAAAGTGCCCAGCCAGGACTAAAAAGTGCATTAATAGTTATTTCTACATAGCAATTGAATTATAACATCAATCTCTACCTAACTTGGACCACATTGAAGCAGGTTATTTTTAAAATTAGATACAAGTGTTCTGGTTTAAAAGGTGGCTGGCTAGTAACCCCTAACACAACCTCCTCAAACCTCTCAATACAATTCTATGAAGATAGAAAATATAACAAATGCACATTTTAAAAAACTGCAAACTAAGACTGACAAACTACTGCTAGAATCTGGGACAAATTAACAACTTCAATGCCAACAGAATTGGCCTGAGAATGCAGATTTTGTCTTACCCTTGCTCTGATATTAGAAACAGAATAAGTCTGCTAGGCTGAAAACAATAATAGAAATAATAGTATTAATAGTTGTCTTAGTCCACTTATGTTGCTATAAAGGAATACTTGAGACTGGGTAATCTGTAAAGAAAAGAAGTTTCTTTGGCTCATGGTTCTGCAAGCTGTACAAGAAGCAGGGTGCCAGTATCTGCTTCTGGTGAGGGCTTTAGGCTGCTTCCACTCATGGTGAAAGGGGAAGGGGAGCCAGCATGCAGAGATCACATGGTGACGAGACAGGAGGCAAGAGAGAGGGGAGGAGGTGCCAGGCTCTTTTCCACAACCAGTTCTTCTGGGAACTAAGAGTGAGAACTCCCTCAGTTCCATGAGAATGGCACCAAGCCATTCATGAGGATCTGCCCCCATGATCCAAATGCCTCCCACCAGGCCCCATCTTCAACAATGGGGATCAAATTTCAACATAAGGCTTTGGGGATAGGGTAGGGAAACAAACTGTATCCAAACCATAGTAGTAATTAACACTTATTGAATGCTGACTATGTGCAAGACACTGCTCTAAGCATTTTACATGAATTCTCATTTAATTCTCTCAACAACCCTATAAAGTAGAAACTATTATTTCCCCTCACTTTACAGATGAGGAAACTGAGGCACAGAGAGACTAAGTATCTTGCTAAGGGTCCCAAAGATAGTATGTAATAGAACCAAGATTAAAATCCGTACGCTTTACTTAGTTCCTCCTTCATTTCGTAATTGCAGTCCAGAAAGACAAGGTCTTCCTATCAGAAATCTAGGCAGCCATATCTCTACAATGTCCAGTGATAACAAAGTGTATTGTCATAAAATTTTAGTGCCAAATTGCAAAGCATCAAGCCTGAAAAAGAAAAAAAAAAGGGTTACAAATATAAGAAACTGATAGTTGTACAATTATTTGAATGACTTCTGCAGATAAATTAGGACCCCAACCCAAACCAAACCAAAACAGAAACCTGGAATTATAGAGAATTCAAGCAATACATATATGGCATAACATATGGTATTATAAACAAAAATATATCTTCTTTCAAAATAGTTGAGAAACATTTACAAAACTGATCTTGTACTAGACCACAAAAACAAGTTTAATAAATCCCCAAAAGTAGAGATCGTACTATCTTTCTGCCTAAAATGCAGTGAATCTAGAAATCAAGAATAAAAGTTTAAGGATAATCCCTCAACCTCATGGAAATAAAAAACACTCTCCTAAAAAACTATCACTAAAAGAGGAAATCAAAGGTTTCGTTATATATTATTTAGAAAATTGCGGTGAAAATACAGTATATCAAAATTCATGAGATGTGGTCAAAGCTGTCATCATAGATAAATTCATAGTACTAAGTGATCTCATTATTTAACAGCAATAGCAAAATAAAATAATATTCCTTATTTGACTTGATAACTTAGAAAATAAACAGCAAGATAAGAGAAGCAGAAACACAGAAGAATTGTTATATATAGTGGAGACTGTAGAATTATTTTCTCCCATCCAAGTACTAACCAGGCCTGACCCTGCTTAACTTCCAAGATCAGACGAGATAGGACACTTTCAGGGTGGTATGGCTATAGATTACAGAATGATTTTTTTAATGCCAATTCCTAACTTCATTTTCTCTAATCTTTTTTTTTCTATGGGAGCTGGAAAATTAAATAATTAATTCCCTAGAATGTCTTGTAGTTAGAAGTGGACATGCAAAATAGACCTTATCACTGGGATATAAGTGGAAAGTGATTGAGGAGTCTTGGAACACTCTTGCTTTAATGTTAAAAAAGAGGTACAGACAGAGCCGGTTCCATGCGCCCACTTCCCCTTCTCCAACCACATTTTCTGTTTTGAATGGTCCCTTGATGTCTGAGATCGTAATAACCATCTTGGGACCATGACACCACAAACATGAAGAGGAAAGCTAATGGGCTAGGAATGCCACAAACATAAAGAGAAAAGCCAGTCCGAAAAGCAGAATGAGTCTAGATGCCTGATGGCACTGTTGAGTAGTTAAACTGTGCTAGCAACCATTCACCTCTAAGCTTATTATTATGTAAGAAAAATAATGCCTACTTGTTTAATGCACTGGTAGTTTCATTTTCTGATCCATGCAGCTAAATATATTTCTAATATATATGATTCTAGTTTATAGATTTTTAAAATAAAGACAAAACCTCGGGCACATCTAATTTTTAAAAAGAGTGGGAAAGCAAATAAACAAAATTAAGATTTAGATCAGTATATAATAAATACAGAGAGAATTTTAAAATTTTAAGAGAAGATACTCCTAATAAGATTAATGATTTCAAAATGGATCTTTTTTTTAGAAAAAAAAAATCATTGTGATTTAGGTTTTTTATTTCTTTCCAGTTACTATATTAGTCAGATATTGGTCAGGAAAACTCTGGGGATCTTAGATAAAACCTGATTTAGGACACGGAGTCGTATGCTTAAAAAACTTGAAAAAAACACACAAAAACCACTGGAGTGGCAATTTCATCATGTCTCTGCCTTTAAAAAAAAACTTGCTGTTTATTTTCTAAGTTATTGAGTCAAATAAGCATAGATCAGGGAAGATAGTTGACAGTGCTCAGGTTCCTGCTAGCTTTCAGAGAATCAAGAAAATGTTACTCTCTCCCAAGTCAGCAACTGCAAAAAATCAGCCACTGACAATGATCACAGTTGCCTGCAATGCCAAGGCGGATGTCTCTGGGAGGAAAGGCCCTGAGGCCACTGCATTGCAGGAGGAGAAATAATAGCGTACGTTTTCCTTCTGCCTTCTAATCTCACAGTGAGTACCTCTCATTAATTGACTACAAATCAGAAATCTGCTGGCAAAGAAATGGGAGAAATGTAGTTCTCAGGTTTTCAGTCCCGTTGTAATGCAGAGATAACATAGAAGGGCTGGGAAGAGAGGAATTAGCTGGTTACTGAGTGCCAGCTAACTTTGTAGCACATTTATTCATTTTATTTAGGAAAAAAATGAAAAGCCCATTAACATACATATGTCAGCCCATGAAATTCCCATGCTATATAACTGCACACACTCCTGTTCTAATGGATTGTATTAAAATCCTGGAAACAGAATTATATTCAAATGGGTTTAACTATAGATAATTTAATGAAGGGATTGTTTGTAGAGATGTGGTCAAAGGTTTAGGAAATTTGTATATAATGATTTATTCAAGACTAGCCACAGTGGGAGGTCATTACCATCCCAGGTCTGAAATGGGCAAAGGAAGTATGGTGGTTTTAAGGTATGTTCACAAATTTTGGGGTACTGTTCTCTTGAAGAGGTGGAGCTTATCTCTCCTCTGCTTGAGTGTGGGCTGGACTTAGTGACTCCTTTTGAATGGACAGAATATGGCAGAGGTGATAGTGTATGACTTTTGAGACTCAAAGGCATGTAACTTCCTCCTCATTCTCTTTTGGATTTCTTGTTCTGGGGAAGGCCAGCTGCTATTTTGTAGGAGGCTCCAGCAACCCTATGGAAAGGCCCACAGGGTAAGACCTTGAGGCTTCCTGCCAGTGGTCATGTGAGTGCATTTGGAACACATCCTCCAGCCCCAGTCAAGCCTTCAGATGACCACAGTCCCAGCTGACATCTTGACTACAATTGCATGAGATACCCTGAGCCAGAATCACCCAGCTAAGCTACTACCACATTCCTGATGCTCAGAGAATGAATCTCATGGAGCCAACAAAAAATAATCAGAACATATTTAAAACAATCTTATGAATGGTGTTTTGATAAAGATTTGATAAGAGCAGAAGAAACATTAGGGTTTATATAAAATGAGGATATATTATACAGATTGGACCTTATACAATTGTGGGAGCTGGTTAAATGTTTATGTACAGCTATTGTTTCTGTGTTTCAGGCTGGAATCTGAAATCAGAAAGGCAGGCAATGAGGAAAGAAAGATGGACATGAACTGGGGGCAGCAAAACTGGAACCTGCAAAGACAGGTTAAAACCTACACCAGTTTCTCACTGTCCCCAAGCCTCCATAGAGTGGCATTGGTGGGAGAAATAGGTACTTTTCCTCATGTAGCTGAAGTGTGTCTAGCCCAGGAATCAGTGAAGCAGAAGACATTGGCCCAGCAGAATCTGGAGGAGCTACAGACCCAGCTGCTGTCTCATCCTAACCAGGCAAGCCAGCAGAACAGTAACAGCAGGTACCAAGCACCAATGCCTTGTGTGCTGCACCAACCTTGTGAGTGTAAAGTGAATACGGCTCCTACTTCACGTTCACCTTCCTAATCTCACACAATTGTTGGTTGTGGCCCAGCTAACCCAGAACTATGTAGAGAATTCTGGAGATGTAGTTCCAGCTAAATTAAGTTGATGCAATACAAATCCACCACAGAGTTGGAAAAGGACAAAATATAATAATGACAAAATATAATAATAACAAAATAAAATATTAAGAGAATAACCTACTGCAGCTAAATATGGTTTATTCCAGAGAAGCAAGGGTAGTTTTATGTTAGAAAAATCTGTTAATATAATGGCGTTAGTTCAACAACTCCAATATAAAAAATTGTATGATAATCTCAATAGATGACAAAAAGGTATTCAGAAAAATTTAACATTCATGCCTGATTTGGAAAAAAAATCCTCATAGAAAACTAGGAATAGGAAGATACTTCCTTTAATATATAATATTTCATATTGACAGCCTGCATTATCTTTAATGTTAAAAAACCAGAATCATTCCCATTAAATCCAGGAAGTGGCAGAGATGCTAGATGTCTCCATTGTCACGTAACACTGTTCTGGAAATTCTATCTGATGCAATAAGACATGAGGCAGAAATAAGAGGTAAGATTATCAGAAAGGAAGAGACACATTATTGTTATTTTCAGACAATATGATTATATATCTTTTAAAAACTGCAAGATAACCAGCTGAAAGCTCTTAATATTAGTTCATAATAAGTAAAATGATGGCACACCAAAAAAAAGTACAAAATTCAGTAGCTTTCCTCAATGGCAGTAATACCATTCAGATAACATAATGGGGAAGGGAATTCAATCACAAGAGATATCAGAAAATATTAAATGCCAGTGATGTAGACATTTTTGAAGAACACAGATTATTTATTTTGTTGTGTGTCTCTCAGTTTGGGTTTGTCTGATGTTTCCCTATTACTAGATTCAAGTTTTCTATTTTTGGCAAGGATATCTCAGAAGTCATGTTGTATCCTTCTCAGTTCATTGTATTATGAGGAACATGATGTTAATTAGTGTCATTATCAATTCTAGCAACTTTGATCTCTTGGTTAACGTGGTGTCTGCCAGATTTTTCTAGCATAAAATTATTTTTCTCCCTGTGGTTATTAAATGTCTTGTGGGAATTTATTTTGACACCATGGAAATATCCTGTTTCTCATCAAACTTTCACCCACTGTCAACTATTTTAAATGACAATGCTAGCAAGGGTGTGGTGAGATGTATATTTACACACAGTGCTAGGGGGTCATATAAATAAGTCACATTCTCTGAAAAGCAAATGATCAGTCCTTATGAGGAACATTAAAAATCATCAAAGTCTTCGATCTAATAATTCAACTTCTATGAATTTACTCCAAGAAGGATGAAAACCAAAAGTGTGGCCAAACAGGTATCCCTTTCATTTCAGAAATCTTAGTATAGTGAAAGTTTGGTAACAAGGTAACTGTCCAACAATAGTTAATAAATTATCATGGTTCTGTATAATGAAATAATATATAACCAATTATACTATTCTTAAAGACTAATGAAAAAATAGTCACTAAGTAATGTCATTTGAAGATATGGTATTTTAAACTGTATATACAGTATGTACTTACAGGTTTAAATTTTTTAGATAAAAAAACACCAAAATTTTAATAGTATTTGTTATCAAGGGCAGTTTTTCAGGTAACTTTCATTATTTTCTTTTATATTTTCCAAATACTATACAATAATATACTTATATATTCTTTTTTATAATTGAAAAAATCTTAATAAAGAAACACTGTGTGCAAGTTAATTTTCCTGCACATTTTCTTTGTGCAAATTTGTGGTCGATGTGTTACCTCTGCTAGAGTCAGCAACAAAGAATCAATGAAACAGCTGACAAAGCAGGTGAAATCACTTTGATATGTTTGGTAGCCATTAAAATGTAATGTGTAATACTGTACAATTACATCCATCTGCTCAGACCATTTTATTTTTTAACCTCATTTATTTAATCAGTAAATGACCCAATATTTAGGCAACATTTTATAATTTACAGTGCACTTTCATATACATTTTCTCATATGTTAAATGCTGACCTGTTTTAGGTCCTTTTAATCTGACCATGGAGAAAATCTTAAAAATGTCATTGAGCACTAGGGTCATCTTGCCTCTTTAGACCTCTCTTTCCTTGCTTTAAGAATATTGTGGTAAAAAGCACATATCACTTAGGCCTGTGATATGATTTGGCTCTATGTCCCCACCAAATCTCATGTTGAATTGTAATCCCCAGTGTTGGAGTTGGGGCCTGGTGGGAGGTGATTTGATCATGGGGGTGGCCCTTCATGAATGGGTTAGTACCATCCCTCGGTGCTGTTCTCATGATAGTGAGTGAGTGAGTTATCCTGAGATCTGGTTAAGTGTATAGCACCTCCTCACTCTTCCCTTTCTCCTGCTCTGGCCATGTAAGACATGCCTGCTTCCCCTTCACCTTCTGCCATAATTGTAAGTTTCCTAAGGCCTCTCCAGAAGCAGAAGCCACTATGGTTCCTATACAGACTGCAAAACCATGATCCCATTAAACCTCTTTTCTTTACAAATTACCCAGTCTCAGGCATTTCTTTATAGCAGTGTGAGAATGGACTAATATAGCCTGAGACTCCAAACAACAGGATTTGAGTTGTCTGTCTCCTTTTTATTAACATGTGACCCTAGGTGGATCATTTCATGTCTTTGTGCTTCATTTTTCTCATCTTCAAAATCGAGGATTCCTAAGGCTTCACTTAGCTTTATTAGTCTATGATTCTTATTCGGTATGCCCATTTTCTTCATGTCCAACATTTTTTCTTGACTGGTTCCTTTGAAACGTCAACAACCATCTGTGCCTTTGCAGGGTATCTGCAAATATCATCACACAAATATGCCTTAACAAGTTCACATCAGAAAAGGACTGGATTTTCTTTTGCCCTGACAATCATAAGCATTAGGCAAATCTGGATTTCCATCTCATTTCACCAGAAACTTTGGGCATCTGGTATCTCCCTTCCTAATTTAGCCCCCTTGAATGACTGTTGGCCACACTGCACCAGAGGGAACTTTATAAATAAGTGCACAGATATTAGGCATTATGTGAGAGGGCAAGTCACAGTACTCCAAGATCAGTAAACAATGTCGCCAATAAACACTTCCCAATGAGTTAGGAGAAATAGGTAGCAAGGAGAGATCATGCCCCCAATTTCTCTCAAGGAGACCAGGCCTTGAGCAGCTGTTTATAAGAATGTGATTTTCACTTGACACTCACACTAAACCCTGGTCCCCCCAGTAAGAGCTACAGCACTTTAAATGAAATGAGCTCCTTATAGAACACGGTTTGATTAAGTCTTGAGTTGCCTCATCTAAGGTCTGCTCTGGATAAGGCTTGCTAAACTTGACAAGTTTTTGAGGCTTCCAGGAGTCTTTGTCAAACCTGGAGTTAGGAATATAAGAATATGTGTTAAGCACCAACCATGGTATGGTTAAAGCCAATTATATCCATTCACTCATAGCAGTCTTGTAAGCTAGCTCACAAAATGAGAAAAATGTCTCAAAGAGGTTAAGTGAGGTATCCTAGGTCATACAACTAGGCAAGTGTGCCTGACGAAACTTATGATCTTTCTACTGCACTGTGGCTATCCAGACCTGGGGAATTCCAGATAGGTTTCAATCCCTCTTCATTCTGTTGCTGTAGGGTCATACATTCATTTACCAAACATTTATTGAATGTCCCGTGTGTGTCAGGAACTGTACTAGGCTCTGGGAATTCATTATTGAACAAAACAGAAAAACAGTGGAGAAGACTGATAGTAAACAAAATAAAAAGTAAAACACCTTGTGTGTGAGCTGTGATGTGTTAAGGAGAATGGTAAGATTTATTGACAGAGGAGAGCAGTTTGAGATGTGGTAATTTTTAAAAATTTTTTTTATTTCAATAGGTTTTTGGGGAACAGATGGTGTTTGGTTACATGAATAAGTTCTTTGGTGGTGATTTCTGAGATTTTGGTGCACCCATCACCTGAGCGGTGTACACCGTACCCAATGTGTAGTCTTTTATCTCTTACCACCCCCAACCCTTTTCCCCAAGTCCCTAAAGTCAAATGTATCATTCTTATGCCTTTGAATCCTCATAGCTGAGCTCCCACATATGAGTGAGAACATACAATCTTGATTTTCCATTCCTGAATTACTTCACTTAGCATATTAGTCTCCAATTTCTTCCAGGTTGCCGTGAATGCCATTATTTCATTCCTTTTTATGACTGAGTAGTATTCCATGGAGTGTATATGTGTGTGTGTATATATATATATATACACACACACATATATATATATACACACATGTATATATATATATATATATACATATACATATCACATTTTTTAACTACTCATTTGTTGATGGGCATTTGGGCTGGTTCCATATTTTTACAATTGCAAATTGTGCTGCTATAAACGTGTGTACAATTGTCTTTTTCATATAATGACTTCTTTTCCTCTGGGTGGATACCTAGTAGTGGGATTGCTGGATCAAACAGTAGGTCGACTTTTAGTTCTTTAAGGAATCTCCTTACTGTTTTAAGTAGTTGTTGTACTAGTTTACATTCCCACCAACAGTGTAAAAGTGTTCCCTTTTCACTGCATCCATGCCAACTTCTATTTTTTTTTAATTGTTTGATTATGGCCATTCTTGCAGGAGTGAGGTGGTATGCACCGTGGTTTTGATTTACATTTCCCTGATAATCAGTGATGTTGAGCATTTTTCCATATGCTTGTTGGCCTTTTGTGTATCTTCTTTGGAGAATTGTCTGTTCATGTCCTTAGCCCACTTTTTGATGGGATTGTTTGTTTTTTTTTTCTTGCTGATTTGTTTGAGTTCTTTGTAGATTCTGAATATTAGTCCTTTGTCAGATGTATAGCTTGTGAAGATTTTCTCCCACTCTGTGGGTTGTCTGTTAACTCTGCTGATTATTTATTTTGCTGTGCAGAAGCTCTTTAGTTTAATTAAGTCCCATCTACTTATCTTTGTTTTTGTTGCATTTGCTTTTGGGTTCTTGGTCATGAAGTCTTTGCCTAAGTCAATGTCTGGAAGGATTTTTCTGATGTTATCTTTTAGAATATTAATGGTTTCAGGTCTTAGATTTAAGTTTTTCATCCATCTAGAGTTGATTTTTGTATAAAGTGAGAGATGAGGATCCAGTTTCATTCTTCTACATGTGGCTTGCCAATTATCTCAGCACCATTTGTTGAAAAGGGTGTCCTTTCCACACTGTATGTTTTTATTTGCTTTGTCAAAGATCAGTTGGCTGTAAGTATCTGGCTTTATTTCTATGTTCTCTATTCTGTTCCATTGGTCTATGAGCCTATTTTTATACCAGTATCAGACTGTTCTGGTGACTATGGCCTTATAGTATAGTTTGAAATTGGGCAATGTGATGCCTCTAGATTTGTTCTTTTTGCTTAGTCTTGCTTTGGCTATGTGGGCTCTTTTTTGGTTCCATATGAATTTTAGGATTGTTTTTTCTAGTTCTGTGAAAACTGATGGTGGTATTTTGATGGGAATTGGATTGAATTTGTAGATCGTTTTTGGCAGTGTGGTCATTTTCACAATATTGATTCTACCCATTCATGAGCAGGAATGTGTTTCCATTTGTGTCATCTATGATTTCTCTCAGCAGTGTTTTGTAGTTTTCCTTGTAGAGGTCTTTCACATCTTTGGTTAGGTGTATTCCTAAGTATTTTATTTTTCTTGCAAGTATTGTGAAAGGGGTTCAGTTCGTGATTTGATTCTCAGCTTGGTCTCAGTTGGTGTATAGCAGAGCTATTGATGTGCGTACATTGATTTTGTATCCTGAAAGCTTTGCTGAATTCATTTACCAGTTCTAGGAGGTTTTAGGTTGAGTCTTTAGGGTTTTCTAGGTATACGATCATATCATTAGCCAACAGTAGCCCTTTTGTCTTGTTCCAGTTCTCAGGGGGAATGCTTTCAACTTTTCCTCTTTCAGTATAAGGTTGGCTTGTCACAGATGGCTTTTATTACCTTAAGGTATGAGATGTGGTAAATTTTGAGATGTCTATTAAACATCCAAATGAAGATGTCTGCATAACAGTTGAAAATACGTGTCTGGAGTTTAAGAGAGAGGTGAATGAAAACATCTCACTATAAAAAACAGAGGAGAAATCCTAGGGTTTTCTCTATTTGTAATTTAATAACTCCTGGTCTTGACCCTATCAGCTCCAGGGCAAAGACCTGAAGATGAAAAGTAATGGCGTGTTTGAGACACTAAAAGATACTCAGTGTGGGTGAATGTGGAATGTGGGGGGAAAATGGATCAAGAGGATCATAATTAGCTTGGACTTTGTTCAGGTGAGAATAGGAGGCCATAAAAGGGTTTAAAGGAGAGAAGATGTGTGCTTTAGCGAGAGGACTCAATCAGTCATGAAGACTAAATTGAAGAGCAAGGCTGTAGGCAAGAGGCCTGACCAGAAGCTGCTTCAGTAGCTCAGGTGAAAAAGACTGGAGGCTTTTACCAAGGCAGTGGGAAAAGATGGAGATAAGCAAGTGGGTTCCAGTTATATTTGGATTTAGAATCAGCAGGGCTTAGGGAGTGATTGGAAATAAAGGGTGGGCAAAGAGTGTGAAGGGAATTGAGGGTTCCAGGTTTCTGGCTTAGATGGCAGTGCCACTTACCAAAATGGAGATGAAGGAAGAGAAGCTGATTTGGTAAGGCCGAGGGTGAGTTTAGTTTTGCATATATTGTGCTCAAGGTGACTGGAAAATCCAAACTATACAGTTGAGTGTGTGCATCTTAAACCCCTGGGTAAAATCTGAACTGTGCATATTTGGGATACACACACAATACACACACCCACACAAAACAAAGAGTGTGTGTGCGTGTGTATGTGTTGTGTGTGCATATCCCAAACATGTGCAGATGAGGTCATCCAGGGCTAGTGTAGAGCATGCAAAGACAAAAAGACAAAACCCCAAGGAACCCTACATTATCCATATGCACGTCTAATTCATCTTTTTAACAACCCCATGAGTTAAATTTTATCTTTTCTGATGCAAATCAATGAGAATGACTGAAGTGAGTCACAATCATTTCAGAGGTTTATTTTGCCAAGGTTGAGGACATACCTAAGAAAAAGGAACACAAAACCACAGGAACATCTGTGATCTGTGCTTTTTCCAAAGAGGGTTTGGGAACTTCAGCTTTTAAAGGGGAAAGAGTGGGCAGTAGGGGAAAGAGAAGTGAAAAAAGAAGGAGAAGGTTAGATAAAAGGGGGAAGCAGTGTCATTGTTTTGAGTCTTTGATCAGCCTTCACTGAATCCATGTTTTACATGTAAAAGGAGGGGATCGAGGAAGAGTCAGTTATGCATTCATCTCATGCTCTGTGAATCTGCATTGTTACATAAGATGAAGTAAACATAGAGTAGAGGAAGCAGTCAAACATGCATTCATCTCAGGTGAATGGAGAGATGACTTCTGGTTCTGTCCTTGGTTCTATATCCGTGAAGATAAGCTGTTAATTTACATTGTCAAGGTGAAATTCAACAGAACTGATTTAGGGTAAAGATCTTGGGGCCCACAAGGAATTGCCTTGTGAGCAAATTGTGAGGGAGGTATGTAGCCTTTTATCTTTGTAACTATCTATTTAAGAACAAAATGGGGGGAAGTTTGGATTGACTCAGTCCCCAAGTTTGACCTTTCCCTTTGGCATAGTGAGTTTGAGGGTCCTGAGATTTTAATTTTCCTTTCACACTGTTTTCTCCACAGCTGAATGATGAAACAACCATAGGCATTTCCCAGTTCCCGGCCTCAGGAGGCCTATTTGTGTAACATCTGGGACCCTTTGCCAAATCAGCTTACATGTGGGTTATACATTTATTACACGAGGCATCCCTGCTGTGTGTAAAGCACATGAAGAAATCTTGAATACTGTCATGAAGCCTCCTTAAAAATGCTAGTATGAAGTATCCTACACAGGTTAAAATTAGAACCCTCCCTCCCATTTTTGCAATCTTTGGGTAAGGATATTTGGGCTGACACTGCAGTTTAGATTGAAAGCCAAGAAAGTTATCAACATGGTAAAAGTCAAGTTATAGGACCCCAGAGATCAGACAGGACGTGGAAGTCTTCATACATGAAAATAGTCTTTGGTCCACAAAGGTGAGAAAAGTAATAAAATTCCCACAGGTTTCTTCTAGTAAGATAATTGGTCAGAAGAAAATATCACAAATGCAAGGTATTGTGCTATTATTTTAGCACCTTTCTTGTAGGAATACATAGGAAGAAATGTAAAATATTCCTATAGAATCTTTAGAGAAGCTTTCCATGTGGGCTGATCCCAAGTACTAGGACAGAATACAGGCTTTTGAAAGGAGCTTTTAAAAATAATAGATAAGTGTTTTTTCTTTTGAAAATTGTTATATTGTGTGGTTTTAAAATATTTAAAATCTCCAAACAGAAATCCACTGAAGTGCAATAATTTTATTGTAGGATAGACTGAAAACAATATTTAACCCAGCAACTGGGCATCAAAGTGAGAAAGATTATATGCTAGAATGGCACAGGGAACGTGTTCCATGGTCTGCATTGCTGACTGCCACAGAACGCCTTGGGAGCAGGCTTGAGGCTTTCAGTGTCATTATGTAAGTACTCATAGACCACTTAGCCATGAGATATGACTTGTACATTTATATAAAGGAGAAAAGAAAGTCATTTTCCAAGTTAGTTTCCACAGCAACAATATTCCATATTTTCTTCTTCTGTGTCTAAACATGAGCATGCCTCAACTAGGGGGTGGAATATAATTCTTGCAAAATACCAGTTAAGACCAACCGTGAGTGTGAAAGCTTCAGGGATCACATTCATTCAACAAGCACTGATTACAAGCCTACCCTAGACCAGGAACTGTGGGAGACCTTGGAGATGTAGGGAGGAAGAAGCCCCAAGGTCTGCCCTCTAGATCCTTGTGTGCAATGAGAAAGAGCCAGATAGAAGGATGAATTAATAGAATGTGATAAAGTGCTATAATGGAGATACGTTTGGAGTATTAGGAGGGGGCAATTAACAGCCCCAAGAAGTCATGGACATTTGACCTAGATTTTGAATTTGAAAGAGGTATTTGACCTTGATCTTGAATGATCAATAAACTTTTGCAAATTGGGGAGGAAAGACGGGAAAGTGGGCAATTAAGACAAAGACAAATGTATGTTCAAAAACATACAAACTGAACAAATAGAGGTATGGAAGAGCAAAATCATTGAGAAAAGACAGGGTGGAGGGGGTGAGGAAGAGGCTATGAAGTAGGTTGAGGCTGTTTGGGAAGCATAATATGTGCCTAACTAAAGTGTAAGGATTTGATCTTGTAGATGATGAGAAACCACCAAACCTAATAACGCAGAGGCGAGATCAGTTTTATGCTATTAGAATATTCACATGAGCTGCAGAATAGACAATGAAAATAATTGAAAGAGTTGGGAAGAATGAAGGCAGAGTGATCCCCCTAAGATTTCATAGTTTATCTCAGGGTTTGAGAATGTACTGGGATGTAAAAACATGTGCATATGCTTTGGATCCTAATAGAGTACTCAGCAAAAGTTAGTTCTCTCTTTCCCTCCCCATCTTGTTTAACCCCATACTTGGCAGCTGAGCTACTGTTAATCCTTTGCTGAGATTTTGCAGAGGAGGATTTTAGGCATGAAGAGAAAAATTCGTGGCCCAAAGTTACAGAGCTAGGAAATGGCAGGGCTAGAATTTGAACCCAGGCATTCAGACACCAGAGGCAGGGTG
Organism: Homo sapiens; assembly: GCF_000001405.40. Classification (NCBI taxonomy): domain Eukaryota; kingdom Metazoa; phylum Chordata; class Mammalia; order Primates; family Hominidae; genus Homo; species Homo sapiens. The sequence goes on from NC_000011.10 coordinate 13,920,040, forward strand.
AGTAATCACCACACTGTTACCTTTAGCTAAGTGGGAGATTTGTTGTAAGGATTAAGTGAGACGATATATATTTCTTGCTGAGATGATGATATAGTTAGCCATTTGACTGAATCCTTACTCCTCCCCCAAAACCTGTCCTCCTGGTCTGTGACCTTAATCTGGTCAGTTCCCATTTTTCAGGGTCCCACATCAGCCCTCATAGTTCTGTACTTACCTTCATCCCAAGGTTAGAATTGCTCTCTACAGTCTTTGTTGCAGTTTCTTTTCTAATTTCAGGTCCCAACACCTTCTCTCCCATGTGTTCTCATGTAATACCCCTCTCAATGGCCCTTTGTGAAATGCCTGGCCCTCTTCATATAGATCCTGGTACTCTTTCCCCCTGAAGTAAGTTTCCAAAGTGGGAATACCACAGAGCCTCTCTTGACCAGAGATCTTGCTTGTTAAATAGATATTAATCAATGTTGCTGAGATGCCACTCTACCTAAAACTGCCCCACTCAAAATTCTGAGATTTGTGACCCAAGAGGATCCAGTCTGGTGACCAATTCAATTCTCTCTCTCTCTCTCTCCTCTCTCTCTCCCTGTCGGACTTAAAACTAGAGACTGAGATACTTAGTCCATCTGAGATGCTAGAACTTGGAAGTCAGGTGGAGCAGAAGCTTGGGCTCTGCTCCTGGACCTGCTGGAGCTGGACTACGGATGGGGAGAGTTGAGGGATTGTGCAGCCCCTTACCCTTGGTTCCTGGCTTTAATGGATGTTGGCTCTCTATAAAGCCCTTGGGATCTGAGAGACATTCACTATCTGCTTCCATTGAGCTTTCCTTCTGGGGTTGTGTCATTTTGAGTGGGTTTCTGTTTCTCACATTCAAATATTTCCTAACTCTGCTATAGAACTATGAGTGGTGTTGTCATATATGAGTTGTGTGCGGGCTCAATTGTAAACCCCATCAGAGCCAGATAAAAAGAATTTAGGGGGAGTGATGGAATCCATATTGAGACTTGGCATCCAAAGTAGGTTTCTTTTCTTTGCTCATAGCTTGTAACGATGTTATAAAAGAGGCTGCTTCTGTTGCCACCTAATTTTCTTTTTTTTAACCTCTCGGGGTAGACTATAACAAAGGACTCTAGAAAAACAATTATCCACTTTTATGTGGCTTAAAATATTTGGCCAGCCTTACCCTAACAATTTTGGCTAATATGAGAGCAAATTGTGGAGACTAATTATTTAAAGTCCTAAGAATTATAGTACTAAGGAACATACACGTAGAGTGGGGGCCACCAGTAAATTTTAGGATTCAGAAGCTGCGTCTGTTTGTCATTGTTATAAGCCTGTGTGTGTGCGCGCACACACACACACACACACACACACACACACACACACCAGGATTCTACCACACAAGACAGCACCTGACTTTTTAAAATATGTCCTTTTTTATTTTGACAGTGAGCTATGCCAGGTGATCAATTTGAATGACCATTAATCAGTGCAATGAGGTGTCAAAGAAGGCAGAAATCATTAGGAAGGTATTGTCTCTGGAGAGTTTTGCAATTTTCCAAATTTATCTTTATCTAAAGAGACTCATGAGGCTCCACGGTGACATATGTGTCCTATTTACTTCATCAGAACCAGGGTAGCTGGGCACAGATGCACCCAATGAGGGATGAGCTATATCAGTCTGGGGCAAGCTGCATTCTGAGAGGTCAGGGCCGATTGCAGGGAAGGGTCGGCAGAAGGGCAGCACGAGGACATCATCTCATCCAAGAGGTGAGTGTTAGTTAGGCGTGCCCGAGAGGGATGAAGACCTTGAATATCACCAGGCCTCTGGAGACTGGTGTCGCAGGAGTACAATCCTGTCCTGGAAAGGGTAGCCAGAGCTCGGCAGTGGGATGGATCTGTCTGCATCCTCAACAAGGAGAGGTTTCCTATATGAAAAAAAAAAATGCCCAGTTTTAAAGGGACACAGCTTGGCTTGTCACCCTCAGATCTCTGAGCATTGTGATTAAACTGTAAAACTGTCATAAAAGGAAGCATGAAGATTAATAGATAATATTCTTTAGCACTTTAATTTTGTACATTTCAAAATGTAAGAAAATGAATTTCCTGGCCTCTCACCAAAGGAGATATAAATAAATAGCGATTGAGGTTCTAATTTCCTGAGAATTTTAATAAAAAGAAATATTTATGGTTTAAAATTACCCCCGAAATTATGCATCGAAGAATAGATAGTTTATGACTTCGGAGAACAAAAAGAAACTTGCAAATTCTTGATGTTGGCAGATCAATTAAGCGGTAATACATGCTACATTATAATTTTAATCACCATGAAATTAAAATATGGTAATGAATGTTAACATGACTTTATCCTTTCAAACTATAATTTAATTTATGGAACTTTTCTTGACTACTTCCTTATTTCCTTGGTTACTTTTCTTGCTCTGCGTGCTACTTTAGATTATACACTTTCCAATGCACATTATTTAAGACAGCCACCAATTAAATGAGTTCTTCTTCCTTTATCAATTAAGGATCTTGTAGCTAATGTTACTCTTTTTAACCTAGTTCTTTCTGTCTCCCCGCATAAAGTATGCAGAGAATTAGAATAGCGCTCTCTTAATGTCTTTTTTTGGTTTTAAATTTGTTTATTTTTTCCAGTAACACAAAAGGCAGCCCAAGTGTGAGCTTGCTCTCTTCAAGGGTCTTCTTCCTCTAACATATCTGGGGCAGGGACAGAGCTTGTTCTTGGCATCCACATGCCAGCTACTTGGATATGGTGCTGCTCCTCCTGCCTCCCCCATCTCTGTCGGGGCTCCCATTCCTTCCCTCTGCCCAGTGATGCCCCCATCCCACATGCACCTCAGCAGATGGATGGTGTTGCAAAGGCCACGTTTCCCTTTGCTCCTCAAACCTCTAATTTCCAGCACCCCATTTTCAAAGCTCCATGCTGAGATGTCTAAAAAGTATCTCCATAAATGAAGAGAACTGTTTAATAGTACACCAAAAATGACTCAGACGGTAAGGAAAAAGAACAACAAAAAATGTTAAACCCTTCTCTGGTTTTTCCCTGACACCAAGTGCGTGCTGTCTTTTCCAACACCACCGAGTCTCCAATTCCACGACACTAACTGGGTGTTCAGCAATTCAATTCAATTCTGAGACTAACTCTCCATGGTTAGTGCAGTTTCCACAGGTTAAGGGCTCAGGCCCAGGAGACTGCCCCCACTTCAGATGCCAGTCACAAGGCCCAGGTTTCCACCTACATTTCTGAAGGACCTGCTATAAATTCAGTGGTTCCAACTCCCTCTTCAGGTTTGCTAATTTGCTAGAACAACTCACAGATTTCAGGGAAGCACTGTACTTACTATTACTGGTTTATTACGAAGGAATACAGTGCAAGAGCAGCCAAGTGGCAGAAATGCAAAGGGCAAGGCATGGGGGAGGAGCACTGAGCTTCCAGTCCCTCTCCACCCTCCCAGCACCTCTATGTGCTCAACACCCTGGAAGCTCTCTGAACCTCCTTGTTTAGGAGTTTTAACAACCCAATCTTCAGACCTCCGCTTCTCCCCAGAGGTCAGGAGGATTGGAGGGGTAGTGCTGAGAGTTCCCACCCTCTAATCATGTATTTGGTTATTTGGATTTTCTAAGGACCAGCCCTCTATACTGAAATTACCTAGGGATCCCAACCCGAGTGGCCTCATTAGCATTGACTCAGGTGTGTTGGAAGGGGCTTGTTATGACTAACAAAGGACACTCCTGTCACTCAGGAAATTCCAAGGGTTTTAGGAGCCCTGTGCCAAGAACTGGAGACAAAGATCAAATATATTTTTATTATACCACACCTTCCCAGAGGACCCACTGTGTCTTACCCAAGGTTTACTCCTTTCATCTTGAGGTCAACACTCCTGTCTCTCCCTCTTCTTCAACTCCCTGCGTGTGAAACCACACCCCATCCCCACAGGTGGGAAACCTCAGCCTCTCCCCAAAGCTGTTGGTCTAACTCCAGAATCCATTCATTCCACCCAACCAGGTAATCCCCAGGATCACAATAACCCCATTTCTCAAATGCATTGTTTTAAAGTCTGATTTATTCAGCCAAAAATGCAGTGACACGGATGGGGAGTAGTGGCTTGACGGTTGAGTGCTGAAGCAAGTCAGTCTTGAATAGTTTTCTGCAAGAAAACCAACATAATTTCCTGTCTCTACATTAAACAATGCTGAGACCATGCACACTTCCTGGGCCTGTGATAAACAACATTGAGACCAAGAAAAAACAACTTAGTTGGCTGCTCCAGGAAATACCACGCCTTGCAAGGTGAGGCTGTGGGTCAGCTAAATAGTTAAATTATCAAAACTAAGAGCATACTCGTTAAAACACATCAGCATCCTAACTTCACTGCACTCACCAATCTAAAGCCGTTACACCATAACTGTACCCAAACCTAACTAGTTCCTTGCCTTGTAAGATTTGCCTTAAAATCACCCAGTCCAGGCCCTTGTTAGGTCTTCTGATGGCTGCCCGTCAGCTGTAGGATAAAGTAAAAACTTTTATAAATGTATATGTTTACCTGAGCAGCCCTATCTCCATCAATCCAAATTTCACACTTTATTGCAGAACTCTGAAGAATTTGTAACCACCCCAATATGCACATACATACCAAGATGTTTTGCATTTCCATGTCTTTATTCATTTTTCTCATTGTCTTAAATACCCTCCTCCTCTACTCCTTGTTGCCTTGGATAACTCCTACACAACTTTTATTAGTCCAAGGCCTCTCTTCAGGGATCCTTCTCTGAGCCCCAGGCTAGATCAGATGCCCTTCCTTCCTCTTTTCTCCTTGCGCATATATCACAACTCTCCCACTTACAGCATTGCATCAGAATGGTCAGCTTTTACATGCTGCCCTGTCAGCAGAGCTCTAAGAACAGACATGATGTCTTACTGAACATTACAGCTCTCAGGACCTCATGGTTCTAGGAACCTAGGAATGCACAAGTGGTACATGTTGAACTGAACTGAACTGGATTTGGCCATCAGAGTTGTGGTGAATATTTTTCTGGCTTATTGTTCACCTTTAATTTGGGTTGTGAGGGGTTTTGACATAATTTTAATTTTTATGGAGTTGAACCTATTGATCTTCGTGTGATTTCTTCTATTGATTTTGAGCTTCAAAAGTGAAGGACTAGGTTTTAAAGACTTCATGACTAAGCTAAGAAATTCTGCCACCTCATCCTTCTCATTGGGAATAGAAAAACAGCATAAGGCAGAAGAACAAAGAAAACATCTTACCCATCTATTCTCAGAAATTCATGGCTCTTTTCCTTTCTTCCCAGTGAGGAATGGTCTATGTGTCAAAGGCACAGCTTATATTTGCTATCTCAGCTTTTATAATTTTCATCAATGCATGAAGACAGCTATCTTAAAGCTAAGCAATTCCATTTGGCTTTGGGTCCCAAAAGATAACCTATATCTAAGTGCTTCTGCACAAAAAAAAAAAAAAGCATTTGCTGTTTTACTCTTTTCTTATTTTATTTCCTAAATAAATATAATACACTGCAGCAATTTACTCAGCTGGCTCTGCTTGCCTGGCTGTGTGCTTCACCCTTGAGGTCTCCCTCTGAATTGTTGGCCCACCCTCCAAGGGCCAGCTCAAATGTTATGGCCTTGATAAGCCCCTTCTCTGATGAGCTCCTTCTCCTTCTAAACCTGTTTCCTATCCTGTAGATACATGCTTTTATACAACACTCCTAAAATGTAAGCAACATGACACCAAAACTGATGTCTCCTTCATTTGTTCATTCACTGTTCAAACATTAAGCATAACAAATCCTCTGCTAAACACAGGAGAAATGGTAATGAACAAGATAGGCTAGGCCCAAGCCCTGACCTCATGGAACTTGTATCTTAGCAGGGGAGACAACAGTTGAATAGCTAATCACACATTTGCTTACAAGCTAGGAAGAGGCTATGAAAGGAAAATGTAAAAGGATACGAGAATATATTTTAAAAGGGTGAGAGAAGGGGAGTTCAGGAAAAGCTTCTCTGGAAAGTGATATTTTAAGCTAATATTCTAAGTTATATTTGAATAGGTGTTAGCAAAGTAGTGAGGAGTAGGCTGAGGGCAGGGTATACCAGGTGGGGGAATAGCACGTGGCTGGCTAAGGACACTGCTTTGCATACAAAGACACCCAGCGCACATGGATAAAGTAAAGGAAATGATAATACTTATTTAAACAAACAAAATGATATTATTTTGTGTAATAATATCTTGTTTCAACATTCTAACATATTCAACTCTTAAAGAAGAAGCATCAAGAGTAAAATCAAGGTTTTTATATTTTTAGTAGAGACAGGGTTTTGCCATGTTGGCTAGACTGGTCTCGAACTCCTGGCCTCAAGTGATCCGCCCGCCCTGGCCTCCCAAAGTGCTGGGATTACAGGCTTGAGCCACCGCACCCAGCCTGGACTACAGGAATTTAATCAGCTTGAGCACATCAGCCTGTTTTACAGCCTCCTGCCCCATAGCTTGTTTTTTTCCAAACCCCAGGTAGAATGCAGTCACCTGGTTGGCTGGAACCAGTTTATGGCATGTCAATTTACTGAAGAGTCAGAATATGATAATAATTAAGAAAGTGGCTCTGGAATCAGATGGAGTTTAAATCTAAGCTCCATCTCTTACACAAGGTGCGAGACCCTGGGCAAGTTACTTAACTTCTCTGTGCCTTATTGTTTTCATCTGCAAAATAGAATAATAATAATATTTTTTAAAAAGTACCCCCCCCACCCCGCCACAGGCACACCTCATAGGATAGCTGAAGGGATTAGGTGAGATTTAAAAAATGTGACAAGCTAAGAGCACTCAATGAAAGTCAGCACTAATCATTTACCAAAATCAACATATCTGTAAATCTTCTCTATGTCCCTAAATAAAAGAATATTTATTGGAGTTTACATTAATAGTACTAATAGGAAAAGAGAAAGTGTGATTTTTATTTTTCGCCTTCTACCCAAGGAATTTCCCTTGTGAGTATGTCTATATATAGCATTGCCAGTGAAAAGTAGAGCAAAGAACAAGATTTCCAAATGATAAAATTATATTTCCGTTTCAGTCATAATTACATACCTTCATAGCTACTCTCAGGAATTACAAGCATCATTTTTCCTCTGTCTTCACTTTCAAATACCTACAGTGTTGGAATCCTTTGGCAATCTTCTATAAATTTCAAACTGGGGCAACTTAATTAGAATCCTGACTTCTCTCCCTTCCACCAGCAATTGCTTAAGTTTTTGAAAAACATCGTTAAAACAAAGGATGCATTGAGTTTGAGAATATTGGGCTTTATTTGTTTCTGAGACAAGATCATGGGGAGGAAAGCAACTTATAAATGATAAATAGATTTGATATTTAGACTCATCTAGCCTTGATTTCCAGCTTGGGAACCTTCATTTAATATTGAGAAAGACCAGGCTTCATCTTATATCTCACAGTTCTGCACTGGGTTGGTCAACCTACAACATTTTATCCCCTCTAATAGAGCTAGACAGAAAGCAATGAAAAAGAAACAGTAGGGGCAACTGGACTTGAATAGAAGAATAACCATAAATTAATGGTCTATTCATTCCTCCTTGGTCTGCCTTGCTGAGGCTGTGTCCTGCGCAGGTGGCCAAGGCTGCCTAATTAGTGCTTGGGCAGAATGGGGAGTCTGGTGAGACTGCCAAGTGCACCAGTGTTGAGCTTTTAATTTGGAGACTTACCACTTTCTTGACTTTTTTTTTCTTGGTAAAAGCTTTTTTTAGCTCACATACCATACAATTCACCCACTTAAAGTATATAATTCAAGAGTTTATCATACATCCATAGGATTGTGTGATCAGTGCCACAATTGATCTTGGAACATTTTCATCACCCTCAAAGAAACTCCATATTTTTTAGTAATCAATCCCTTCCTAAACACCCCCATGCACCTAACCCTCGGCAATGAGTAATCTACTTTCTGTCCCCATAGATTTACCTATTCTGAACATTTCACGTAAATGAAATCTTAAAATATGTGGCCTTTTGTAATGGGCTCTTTCGCTAGGCACACTGTTTTCAAGGTTCATCCATGTTGTGGCATGTTTCAGTACTTCATTCCTTTTTATGGCCAAATAATATTCCAGTGTATGGCTATACCGCACTTGGTTTATCCATTCATCAGTTGATAGACACTTGGGTTGTTTCTTCCTTTTGACTGTTATGAATAATGCTGCTATGAACAATCATGAGCAAGTTTTTGCACAAACATATGTTTTTATTTCTCTTGTGTATACATATGCACCTAGGAGTGGAATTGCTGGGTCAAATTTTCTTGGTGTTTTAACTTAAAAACAAACCTTATGCCAAATTAAACTAAATGACAGCACTTTGTAAATAATAAATCACCTATAAAAATAAGGTTTCATTTTAACTATCTTGTAGAATATTTAATCTCCTAATTTATTCCAGTAATGTTGAATCCATTTCTACTGTGGACTTTGCACTGTGCTATGTGTTGGGAGTAAAGATTCAAAGAGGACTGAGACATGGATCCTAAACTGGAGGGGATTACTGTCTATACAAATAACTAACATACATTGGATCCTTACTCTAAGCCAAGCATGATACTAAATGTTTTATATGTATCAAATCCGTCACTAGTAATACTACCCTATGAGGTAGATACTATTATCATCCTTATTTTACAGAGGACTTAAGTAACCATCCCAAAGTCACACAGCTGGTAAGTGGCAGAGAACTGTCACACTTCATTGCTCTCCCAGGCCAGGCTGCCTCTCTAGCAACAGTATAACACACAAGAGTTAACAACGTGTCATCTGGAGTTAGATATCCTGAGTTTGAGTGCTACCTCCCCCACTTACCATGTGACCTTGGGCAAATGAATCACACTTCCTACGCTTCACATGCCTAATCTATAAAGAGAGGTTAATCCAAGAACCTACTTCATAGTGTTGACATAAGGATTAAAAGACATAAACATATATTAGTTGCTTGACATGTAGTTAGTGCTCAATAAATATTAGTTGTTGTTATTATCCATAAAAACTCTATAAGCAAATCATTACAAAGGCATGTGATACATTTTAAGGGCTGCCAAATGTCGCAATTTATCTCTGCTGGGAAGGAAAAAAAAAAAGGAAAAAAGGAAAACAAAACAAAACAAAAAAAAACCTCAGGCCAAACTGCAGAAAAGCGTTTGCCTCCTTTTACACGAATTCCATCCATTGACTTTAACAACTGAAGTCTTAAAAGCTGGATTCTGCTTATCTCTTTCGCTTCCATTTCTAGTGCTGTTGGGGAGCCTAATGCAGGGTGGTGATTTGTATTCTGCAAGTGTCTCTTGTCTCACCAAGAAAGGGGCCCATCTGTCTGGTCTTTGGGTGGGTTTGGAACATGACACCCAGGGGATGGGGGTGGCAGCAGAGGAATCAACCCAGGCACCCACAGAGGTGCCAACCAGGCAAGATCCATCCCTCTGCAGGCTCCTGTAAGGAGGGGAAAAGACAATATGATTATTCAAGGGAAGGTCTCATAGAGATGTGTGCTGCATTTAAACACAAATGCATTCTGTCCTCAATAATTTGGTGGAGTTGGCATAGCATTGGGGTCAGCCTGACACGGTATTGAAGAGTCCCAGGGTGCAATGTGACTTGTCACACTAAGTACACTTGTCTCCCACGGCAACAAGTTACTGGGCAGCAGGAGACAGCAGGGCTGGGAAAAGCATTCAGGGGAAGGGTCAACAGGGAGCCCTTCTTTGCACATTTATCCGGCCCCAGATTTGGCTGATGGTTTCAGAATGTGCTAAGTGGTCATCAGCATTCTCGGCTGTTCTAGGGGATGCAGTTAGTCGGGATTGGCTTCCTGGTACTTATTAAAGAAAAATCAGACATCTAGGGAACCAGGCCATGGAGAAGGCTAAGTCCAAAATAAGTATGAGCTTATGGAGACACACATATGAACACACCCCAGGACGACTCTCCTTAAGGATCTTTCAAACTCACATGTTAGATCCTAAGTCAATATTGATTCCCTTTCTCCCTGCTGTCCTGGAAGAACTCTGAGATACCTAAATGTATTATAGCTACTTGCTTACTTATATCTGTTTCTGCCCACTGACTTGTGATTTGGAGTGAACAGGGACTGTGTGTTATTCTTTTAGTGGTCCCAAGACCGTGGTACACGCTGAAAAAAAAAATGTGACTGAATAGAATTTTGGGAGTATATACAACCTTTTGCCCTGGAATTCCATTTAATTATTAGACAAAGTCTATGCAGACGGCTTTACTATTCCTACTTTAACTGGTGTGGAAACTGAGGTTCACAGACATGAAGCAACCTGCCCAAGGTCATGTGGTTGGTGGAGCTGAAATTGAATTTCACAATAAACGTCTGATGGGTGATTAATATACAAAAATCAATTAACCTATTATCACATTAAGACACTTACTAGGATGACTGAAAGAAAATGTCTGGAACTTCCAGAAAGTTCAATATTAATTGCCTTCAGGCCCATGGCACTGAGCTAAATGCCATGAAAGGTAATCCATGCAGATGGCCTGGCTCTCTATTGGATTTTTAAAAATAAAAACCTAGGCCAGGCAGGGTGGCTCATGCCCGTAATCCCAGCACTTTGGGAGGCAGATGCAGGAGAATCACTTAAGCCCAGGAGTTCAAGACCAGCCTGGGCAACATGGTGAAACCCCATCTCTACTAAAAATACAAAAGCTAGCCGGGTGTAGGGGCACAAGCCTGTAATCCCAGCTACTCGGGAGGCTAAGATAGGAGCAATCACCTGAGCCTGTGAGTTGGAGGCTGCAGTAAGCCAAGATAGCGCCACTGCACAATGTGAGTGAGACCTGGCCTCAAAAAAAAAATAATAAAAATAAAAAAGTAAAAACCATAAGTAAAGTATAATTATAGTTAAGAGGATGATTAGTGCCACAGTGAACTTGAATCAATTTGAATATGGACCAGATGAGTGAGAGCTCTCTGAGAACAAGAATTGGTTTTTTTGTTTTGTTTTGTTTTTGTTTTTTAATCACTGTTGTCCTAGAGCCCTGCACAATGCTGGTGACCAACAAATGCTACTGAGATGGATAACGTATAAAGGTATAAAGGCTATGTAACCACTGGATCTGGATATAAAATGTCAATCAGTAGGATTAGATGAACAGGTTCTTTCTAGCTGACTTTCCCACCTGTGTGCCAGACCTCCTCTGCAAGATTCATAGGGTCTTCGTTTCATTGGCATATCCCTGGGGTTAGTAGCTTTGCCATAGCCATATAATAGGTGGTCCAGGTTGTGTTGTATGACCTCAGGAGTAGAGGGATGAGGGCATAGTTCGCCACAGCATTAAGACCACCTCTTCCCCTCTACCCTGGAAGTTGGCTGGAGGTGTGGAGAAATCAATGGACGGGTGAGAAGAAGATAGGGATAGAGGCCAAAGTTTTGTTCACAGAAGCCTGGGGGGCACCTCAGAGTCCAAGGAACAGCAATGGGAGGTTGATGCTTAGCACCAGAAGAGGGGGCTGCAGCTGGTGCAGCTGCTGCTGCAGGTGACATTGTTTGTGGGTACAAGATGGGAGCAGAACACTCTGTAGGGGAGACTAGAGCCCAGGCTAAGCGGAGGAGGACTGGTGCAGGGTGGGAGTTGGCCCAGGAAGAGCACGTACCTCAACAAAGGTTTGCCATGTGCTTAGGGGTGTGGACTGGAGAGAGTATGCTGGGGAAGAAGGGCGTGTATCATGGGAATATGGATAAGAATAAGCTCCAGGATTTCAGTCTACAGAGGAAAACAGACACAGACATGACCAACAGTAATTCTGCATGACAAGTGGGAAAAATAAAGATGGAATGAAGTAATATAATAATTTAAAAGAAGAAGCAGCTTGTGAAAGCTAGTAGGTACCAAGAGCCAGAGAGTTTTGGATTCAGATCCTAACTTACAAGGTGTGTGAGCTAGCACAAGTCATGTAGTTTCATCTAAGCCTTAGTTGCCTTGCCTATAAAACGTGTATAACAGCTTCCTCATAAGCGTTTGTAAAGATTAAAAGGAGATATATGTTAAGTGTTTAGCCCATGGCCTGGCATAATAACACTCACTGAAAATTAGTTGCTATTGCAACTACTACTATTTCAACTTCTATTTGCCAGGCACTGTGCTAAAGGCTTTTGTCTATGCTAGTTAATCTTTACATACACTCTGCTAGTCAGTTATTTTTATCCCATCTTTAATCAATGAGAAAATGGAACCCCTGCGTGTTTAAATAATACAGGTAGTATATAGCAGCCCTAGACTCACCTCGAGGCATGACAAGTTTCAGACACTCCACTCTAGTCACCATCCTGCTGCTTTATTACTACAAATATAACACTTTAAAATATATTCATATTTATACTACAAATATTTTTATAGTAATAAAATAGCAGGGTGGTGACTAGAGTGGAGTGTCTGAAACCGGTCAGTTTCCAATACCTATGGAAATTGCCTAGGTTAGTGCTTAGATAATCATCATAATAATAGCAACAATGAAGATATTATAATCATAATATATTTATAATTATTATATTATAGCTATTATTAAGCGTGTGTAATAATAATTACAGATTACTATGATTATTTTGTACCTAATTATTAGGCACTAAACTAGGTACTTTTCCTACATTGGCTCATTTAATCCTTGTAATAACCCTATGAATCAGAAACTATGATTTTCTCCATTTTGCAGATAAGATTAAGTGACTTGTCCAAATTGTCTAACTATCAAGTGGTGGAGTTGTACTTTGAAGTGGGTAGGGGAACTTTACTCCAGACTCTGTGTATTTTCTGACACTCCAGCCTGCTTAGTTTTAGTGGAAGCGTTTTTCCATCTCTCTAATTTGTCCTTTTTTCTCTTTTCTCTCTCCTTTTTCTCCTTCCTTTTCATCCTTGTCTCAAGGGAATTTCTCGTTTTCTTTCTTTTTTTTTTTTATATTATACTTTAAGTTCTAGGATACATGTGCACAACGTGCAGGTTTGTTACACATGTATACATGTGCCATGTTGGCGTGCTGCACCCATTAACTCGTCATTTACATTAGGTATATCTCCTAATGCTATCTCTCCCCCCTTCACCCTCCCCCCACCCCACGACAGGCCCCAGTGTGTGATGTTCCCCTTCCTGTATCCATGTGTTCTCATCGTTCAATTCCCACCTATGAGTGAGAACATGCAGTGTTTGGATTTTTTGTCCTTCTGATAGTTTGCTGAGAATGGTGGTTTCCAGCTTCATCCATGTCCCTACAAAGGACATAAACTCATCCTTTTTATGGCTGCATAGTATTCCATGGTGTATATGTGCAACATTTTCTTAATCCAGTCTATCATTGATGGGCATTTGGGTTGGTTCCAAGTCTCTGCTATTGTGAATAGGCCGTAATAAACATTTGTGTGCATGTGTCTTTATAGCAGCATGATTTTAATCCTTTGGGTATATACCCAGTAATGGGATGGCTGGGTCAAATGGTATTTCTAGTTCTAGATCCTTGAGGAATCGCCACACTGTCTTCCACAATGGTTGAACTAGTTTACAGTCCCACCAACAGTGTAAAAGTGTTCCTATTTCTCCACATACTCTCCAGCACCTCTTGTTTCCTGACTTTTTAATGATTGCCATTCTAACTGGTGTGAGATGGTATCTCATTGTGGTTTTGATTTGCATTTCTGTGATGGCCAGTGATGATGAGCATTTTTTCATGTGTCTTTTGGCTGGATAAATGTCTTCTTTTGAGAAGTGTCTGTTCATATCCTTTGCCCACTTTTTGATGGGGTTGTTTGTTTTTTTCTTGTAAATTTGTTTGAGTTCTTTGTAGATTCTGGATATTAGCCCTTTGTCAGATGAGTAGATTGCAAAAATTTTCTCCCGTTCTGTAGGTTGCCTGTTCACTCTGATGGTAGTTTCTTTTGCTGTGCAGAAGCTCTTTAGTTTAATTAGATCCCATTTGTCAATTTTGGCTTCTGTTTCCATTGCTTTTGGTGTTTTAGACACGAAGTCCTTGCCCATGCCTATGTCTTGAATGGAATTGCCTAGGTTTTCTTCTAGGGTTTTTATGGTTTTAGGTCTAACATGTAAGTCTTTAATCCATCTTGAATTAATTTTTGTATGAGGTGCAAGGAAGGGATCCAGTTTCGGCTTTCTACCTATGGCTAGCCAGTTTTCCCAGCACCATTTATTAAATAGGAAATCCTTTCCCCACTTCCTGTTTTTGTCAGGTTTGTCAAAGGTCAGATGGTTGTACATGTGTGGTATTATTTCTGAGGGCTCTGTTCTGTTCCATTGGTCCATAGCTCTGTTTTGGTACCAGTACCATGCTGTTTTGGTTACCGTAGCCTTGTAGTATAGTTTGAAGTCAGGTACTGTAATGCCTCCAGCTTTGTTCTTTTGGCTTAGGATTGACTTGGCAATGCGAGCTCTTTTTTGGTTCCATATGAACTTTAAAGTAGTTTTTTCCAATTCCGTGAAGAAAGTCATTGGTAGCTTGATGGGGATGGCATTGAATCTATAAATTGCTTTGGGCATTATGGCCATTTTCACGATATTGATTCTTCCTATACATGAGCATGGAATGTTCTTCTATTTGTTTGTATCCTCTTTTATTTCATTGAGCAGTGATTTGTAGTTCTCCTTGAAGAGGTCCTTCACATCCCTCGTAAGTTGGATTCCTAGGTATTTTATTTTCTTTGAAGCAATTGTGAATGGGAGTTCACTCATGATTTGACTCTCTGTTTGTCTGTTATTGGTGTATAAGAATGCTTGTGATTTTTGCACATTGATTTTGTATCCTGAGACTTTGCTGAAGTTGCTTATCAGCTTAAGGAGATTTTGAGCTGAGACGACGGGGTTTTCTAAATATACAATCATGTCATCTGCAAACAGGAACAATTTGACTTCCTCTTTTCCTAATTGAATACCTTTATTTCTTTCTCCTGCCTGAATGCCCTGGCCAGAATTTCCAACACTATGTTGAATAGGAGTGGTGAGAGAGGGCATCCTTGTCTTGCACCAGTTTTCAAAGGGAATGCTTCCAGTTTTTGCCCATTCAGTATGATACTGGCTGTGGGTTTGTCATAAGTAGCTCTTATTATTTTGAGATACATCCCATCAATACCTAATTTATTGAGAGTTTTTGGCATGAAGTACTGTTGAATTTTTTCGAAGGCCTTTTCTGCATCTATTGAGATAATCATGTGTTTTTTGTCTTTGGTTCTGTTTATATGCTGGATTATGTTTATTGATTTGTGTATGTTGAACCAGCCTTGCATCCCAGGGATGAAGCCCACTTGATCATGGTGGATAAGCTTTTTGATGTGCTGCTGGATTCAGTTTGCCAGTATTTTATTGAGGATTTTTGCATCGATGTTCATCAGGGATATTGGTCTAAAATTCTCTTTTTTGCTGTGTCTCTGCCAGACTTTGGTATCAGGATGATGCTGGCCTCATAAAATGAGTTAGAGAGGATTCCCTCTTTTTCTGTTGATTGGAATAGTTTCAGAAGGAATGGTACCAGCTCCTCCTTGTATGTCTGGTGGAATTTGGCTGTGAATCCCTCTGGTCCTGGACTTTTTTTGGTTGGTAGACTATTAATTATTGCCTCAATTTCAGATCCTGTTATTGGTCTATTCAGGGATTCAACTTCCTTCTGGTTTAGTCTTGGGAGGGTGTATGTGTCCAGGAATTTATCCATTTCTTCTAGATTTTCTAGTTTATTTGCATAGAGGTGTTTATATTATTCTCTGATGGCAGTTTGTATTTCTGTGGGATTGGTGGTGATATCCCCTTTATCATTTTTTATTGCATCTATTTGATTCTTCTCTCTTTTCTTCTTTATTAGTCTTGCTAGCAGTCTATCAATTTTGTTGATCTTTTCAAAAAACCAGCTCCTGGATTCATTGGTTTTTTGAAGGGTTTTTTGTGTCTCTGTCTCCTTCAGTTCTGCTCTGATCTTTGTTATTTCTTGCCTTCTGCTAGCTTTTGAATGTGTTTGCTCTTACTTCTCTAGTTCTTTTAATTGTGATGTTAGGGTGTCAATTTTAGATCTTTCCTGCTTTCTCTTGTGGGCATTTAGTGCTATAAATTTCCCTCTACACACTGCTTTGAATTTGTCCCAGAGATTCTGGTATGTTGTATATTTGTTCTCATTAGTTTCTTTGTTTTTTTTTTTTTTTTTTTTTTTTTTCTGAGGCAAAGTCTTGCTCTGTTGCCCAGGATGGAGTGCAGTGGCGCCATCTCGGCTCACTGCAAGCTCCGCCTCCCGGGTTCCCGCCATTCTCCTGCCTCAGCCTCCCGAGTAGCTGGGACTATAGGCGCCCGCCATCACGCCCGGCTCATTTTTTGTATTTTTAGTAGAGATAGGGTTTCACCGTGTTAGCCAGGATGGTCTCGATCTTCTGACCTCGTGATCCACCCACCTTGGCCTCCCAAAGTACTGGGATTACAGGCATGAGCCACCACGCCCAGCAGTTCTCATTAGTTTCAAAGAACACCTTTATTTCTGCCTTCATTTTGTTAGGTACCCAGTAGTCATTCAGGAGCAGGTTGTTCAGTTTCCATGTAGTTGAGTGGTTTTGAGTGAGTTTCTTAATCCTGAGTTCTAGTTTGATTGCACTATGGTCTGAGAGACAGTTTGTTATAATTTCTATTCTTCTACATTTGCTGAGGAGTGCTTTACTTCCAACTATGGTCAATTTTGAAACAAGTGCAATGTGGTGCTGAGAAGAATGTATATTCTGTTGATTTGGGGTGGAGAGTTCTGTAGATGTCTATTAGGTCCGCTTAGTGCAGAGCTGAGTTCAATTCCTGGATATCCTTGTTAACTTTCTGTCTCGTTGATCTGTCTAATGTTGACAGTGGGCTGTTAAAGTCTCCCATTATTATTGTGTGGGAGTCTAAGTCTCTTTGTGGGTCTCTAAGGACTTGCTTTATGAATCTGGGTCCTCCTGTATTGGGTGCATATATCTTTAGGATAGTTAGCTCTTCTGGTTGAATTGATCCCTTTACCATTATGTAATGGCCTTCTTTGTCTCTTTTGATCTTTGTTGGTTTAAAGTCTGTTTTATCAGAGACTAGGGTTGCAACCCCTGCCTTTTTTTGTTTTCCATTTGCTTGGTAGATCTTCCTCCATCCCTTTATTTTGAGCCTATGTGTGTCTCTGCATGTGAGACGGGTCTCCTGAATACAGCACACTGATGGGTCTTGACTCTTTATCCAATTTGCCTGTCTGTGTCTTTTAATTGGAGCATTTAGCCCATTTACATTTAATGTTAATATTGTTATATATGAATTTGATCCTGTCATTATGATGTTGGCTGGTTATTTTCCTCGTTAGTTGATGCGGTTTCTTCCTAGCCTCAATGGTCTTTACAATTTGGCATGTTTTTGCAGTGGCTGGTACGGGTTGTTCCTTTCCTTGTTTAGTGCTTCCTTCAGGAGCTCTTTTATGGCAGGCCTGGTGGTGACAAAATCTCTCAGCATTTGCTTGTCTGTAAAGGATTTTATTTCTCCTTCACTTATGAAGCTTAGTTTGGCCAGATAGGAAATTCTGGGTTGAAAATTATTTTCTTTAAGAATTTTGAATATTGGCCCCCACTCTCTTCTGGCTTGTAGAGTTTCTGCTGAGAGATCTGCTGTTAGTCTGATGGGCTTCCCTTTGTGGGTAACCCGACCTTTCTCTCTGGTTGCCCTTAACATTTTTTCCTTCATTTCATCTTTGGTGAATCTGACAATTACGTGTCTTGGAGTTGCTCTTCTCGAGGAGTATCTTTGTGGCGTTCTCTGTATTTCCTGAATGTGAATGTTGGCCTGCCTTGCTAGATTGGGGAAGTTCTCCTGGATAATATCCTGCAGAGTGTTTTCCAACTTGGTTCCATTCTCCCCGTCACTTTCAGGTACACCAATCAGACGTAGATTTGGTCTTTTCACATAGTCCCATATTTCTTGGAGGCTTTGTTCATTTCTTTTTACTCTTTTTTCTCTAAACTTCTCTTCTTGCTTCATTTCATTCATTTGATCTTCCATCATTGATACCCTTTCTTCCAGTTGATTGAATCGGCTACTGAAGCTTGTGCATTCGTCACGTAGTTCTCATGCCATGATTTTCAGCTCTATCAGGTCATTTAAGGACTTCTCTACACTGGTTATTCTAGTTAGCCATTTGTCTAATCTTTTTTCAAGGTTTTTGGCTTCTTTGCGTTGGGTTCTAACTTCCTCCTTCAGCTTGGAGAAGTTTGATCATCTGAAGCCTTCTTCTCTCAACTCGTCAAAGTCATTCTCCATCCAGCTTTGTTCTGTTGCTGGTGAGGAGCTGTGTTTCTTTGGAGGGGGAGAGGCACTCTGATTTTTATAATTTTCAGATTTTCTGGTCTGTTTTTTCCCATCTTTGTGGTTTTATCTATCTTTGGTCTTTGATGATGGTGACGTACAGACGGGGTTTTGGTGTGGATGTCCTTTCTGTTTTGTTAGTTTTCCTAACTGTTAGGACCCTCAGCTGCAGGTCTGTTGGAGTTTGCTGGAGGTCCACTCCAGACCCTGTTTGCCTGGGTATCAGCAGCAGAGGCTGCAGAACACCGAATATTGCTGAACAGCAAATGTTGCTGTCTGATCCTTCCTCTGGAATCTTCATCTCAGAGGGGTGCCGAGCCATGTGAGGTGTCAGTCTGCCCCTACTGGGGCATGCCTTCCAGTTAGGCTACTCGGGGGTCAGGGACCCACTTGAGAAGGCAGTCTGTCCGTTGTCAGATCTCAAACTCCGTGCTGGGAGAACCACTAGTCTCTTCAAAGCTGGCAGACAGGGACATTTATGTCTGCAGAGGTTTCTGCTGCCTTTTTTTCAGCTATGCCCTGCCCCCAGAGGTGGAGTCTACAGAGGCAGGCAGGCCTCCTTGAGCTGCGGTGGGCTCCACCCAGTTCGAGCTTCCCTGCCGCTTTGTTTACCTACTCAAGCCTCAGCAATCGTGGGCGCCCCTCCCCCAGCCTTGCTACCGCCTTGCAGTTGGATTTCAGACTGCTGTTCTAGCAATGAGCAAGGCTCCGTGGGCATGGGACCCTCCATGCCAGGCACGGAATATAATCTCCTGGTGTTCCATTTGCTAAGACCATTGGAAAAGTGGTATTAGGGTGGGAGTGACCTGATTTTCCAGGTGCTGTCTGTCACAGTTTCCCTTGGCTAGGAAAGGGAATTCCCTGACCCCTTGTGCTTCCCGGGTGAGGTGATGTCTCGCCCTGCTTCAGCTCACACTCGGTGAGCTGCACCCACTGTCCTGCACCCACTGTCTGACAAGGCCCTGTGAGATGAACCCAGTACCTCAGTTGGAAATGCAGAAATCACCTGTCTTCTGCATCACTCATGCTGGGAGCTGTAGACTGGAGCTGTTCCTATTCGGCCATCTTGGAACCGCCCCCTCTCATTTTCATAATAAGGTTATAGATTCACCTGAAAGGGAATGCAAAAGGAAAGGGGAACACAAATCTGGAAAACTAGCATTTAACTTCACTAATGAGCAATTAAATGCAAATTAAAATCGAAATGGTATTAATTTAGGCAACAATTTTTACATGAGCAAACCCGAGTCCACAGGGAAGGGGGTTCTTTTTCCTGTGACAAGGTAAGTTGGTGCAGCCCTTTTGGCAGGGAACTTGCACTGTGTAATAACAGCTGCAAAAGGCAATTCCATTTAACAGTCATTTAATTCATTTAACACACAGCCATAGAGCTGCTTGAGAATTTTTCATAACGCCATGATGGAAATTACCTTCTTCTCATGGGAATTCCATTTAAGAAGGGGTCACATGGTACTATTTACTATTCTCCCAACTACCTGTCAATCTGGTATCTCTCCCATGGGGCTCACTGGGAGAAGCCAGCTTCTGCTACAGGGTCACATTAATTACCGTAGCCCTTAGGATCCTGTCTCCAGAGGACCCAGGTAGAGCTGGAGCCCAAGAACAGTCCCTTCCTGATGTGGGCAGGAAACTCTAGCTTCCTTATTAAGGACACCTCCCAGCTCTCCAAAGTTGAACAGCCTGACTTTGTCACTGTGATTCACATTCCTCTCATCTCTTCTTGATGACCTGGCTGCCCCGTCACTCTGGCCCCAGGGGATACTGTTTTTCCTTTAACATCCTTACTTCATTCTGAGTGCTGCTTCAGAAGGAAGGGGCCCACAGCTCTCTGCCAATGATTTAATTCCAAATACTCTTTTTTTCATCGCCCCAACCCAGACCCCATCCCCTTCCCAGCAGCCTGGAGGTCCTGAGCAAATGAATTCCTGGTCATGACCTTTCCCTATAGTCTTCCTGGACATGGTCACCTCCACTCTTGATGCCCTCCGGGTCTTGGACAGCACACTTTTAAATCTAAGTACTGTTAGCTCCGCCTGGGCCCAGGGCAGCGGGTGGGGCAGGGGGTCAGAGAGCACAGGCAGGAAGCATGCTCCTGTGCCCTTCATTGCCTGGTATTGATTTTCTCCCATCCCTCACTCTTCCACTGCCCCATAAAGAAGTCAGAGTTGTAAAGCTGTCAGGACATTTTCTATGAGACAGGTATGCAGAATGGAAGTGTTGTTAGTGGCTCTTAAAGAAAGAAACCGGGTGGCTCTGTGGTAGTCTCTGGCATTGTTGTGGGCTGTGCATAGAGAATGGGGTTTGGAGAGAGACCTGCACTGTCAAGGATGTGGTTGCTGATGTTTCTAGAGATGAGGGAACACCATGGCTAATTCCTTCCCTCAGTAAGTAGCACGACACACAAAGGAGCTGCTGCACTGCTTCAGTTTCCCAAGATGAGGGTGAAAGCTCAGTGTAACTTAAAGTTTCTGCACCTCCATGGATGCATCTGTAGTCCAAGAGAGAGAGAAGGACGGAAGAGCTGAAGGTATTTATACCTTACAGAATCCATGCATCAAGGGAAACACATTGTCCACCTTGCAGGATGTTGCAAAGGTGTTTTGTTTGCTGTAACACTCTCTAATCAAAATCCACCTCTGCCATTTACTAGCTCTATGGCATCAGGCAAGGTACACAAGCTTTCTGAGCCTCAGTTTTCTCATCCCTCAAAATGGGGCTATTTAATACCTACTTGCAGAGATGCTGTAAATATAAAAGTAGAATCCTATAAAATAATCTAATGTCTTGCATATATATATATATATACCTTTTTTCAATAAATACTTCCTTTGTTTTTCAATTGTTGGCCAGAGCCCTTAACCCAATATCGGTGTGACTGTTAATGTTTTAACAGGGGCTTATGGATCTGTTCCAGGACTTGGTGGTTTCCTGGTTTAACAAAGCCCTCTAATGGCTAATAATAATAATAATAATAAAAATTAGAGGCCTGGTGCAGTGGCTTACACCTGTAATCCCAGCACTTTGGGAAGTCGAGGGGGGCAGATCACTTGAGGCTAGGAGTTTGAGACCAGCCTGGGCAACATGGCGAAACCCAGTCTCTACTAAAAATACAAAAATTAGCCAGGCATGGTGGTGGGCGCCTGTAATCCCAGCTACTCAGGAGGCTGAGGCACGAGAATCGCTGGAACAGGGAAGGTGGAGGTTGCAGTGAGCCAAGATCACACCACTGCACTCCAGCCTGGGTAACAGAGTGTAACTCTGTCTCAAACAAACAAACAAACAAACAAATTAGAGTAGAAGGCAGAATACCACAACAACTAAAGGAGGAGATTGATAGCCATTAATAATGTTGACCTCAGATGAGTGACAGAGTTTGGTTGCTCATCTTCACAACACAGTGTTTATGAAAGGGCTGAGCAAAGTGCCTGACCTAGAGCAAGCATGCAACAAGTGTGTGGTAGGCAGAATTCCTGGGTAGTCCCCAAGATTCCTGCTCCCTGTTATGCTCCTCTTGTGGAATCCGCACACCTGGAATGTGGGCACAGCTTGTGAATGTGCTGAGGTTTCACTTTAGTAAGTTAGATGTCAAAGGTGAAGGGATTTTCAGATGTAATTAAGGTCCCAAATTAGTTGATTTTGTTGTTGTTGCTGTTTCTTTGAGACATGGTCTCCCTCTGTCACCCAAGCTGGAGTGCAGTGGTGCAACTATGGCTCACTGCAGCCTCGACCTCCTAGGTTCAGAAAATCCTCCCACCTTAGCCTCCCCGGTAGCTGGGACTACAGGCACAAACCACTCTCCCTGCCTAATTTTTGAAAATTTTTTGTAGATACAGGGTCTTGCTGTGTTGCCAGGGCTGGTCTTGAACTCCTGGGCTCAAGAAATCCTCCCACCTAGGCCTCCCAAAGTGCCACGATTACAGGCATGAGACACTGTGCCTGGCCAAATTAGTTGATTTTGAGTTAATCTAATGGGACATTATACTGGGTGGGTCTCACTAATCTAGGTTAAAGCCCTGAAAAGAGAGACTGGGCCCTTTCTGAAGAGAGAGATTCTGTTGCTGGCTTTGAAGAAGCAAGCTACCACAAATTCTACAGCTACAAGAAAATAAATTCTGCCAAGAACCATGTGCACTTGGACAAGAACCCTGAGACCAAAGCCCCAGCCAACACTTTGTGAGACCCTGACCAGGGCACCCAGCTAAGTTGTGCTTAGACTACAGAAACCTGACCCATGCAAGCTGTGAGATAATAAACGTGGATTCTCTTCAGCTGCAATATTTGTGGAAATTTGTTATTCAGCAACAGAAAACTAATACAAACTGGTAGACTCTCTTTTAAAAATTACTTTACTTTATTGTAGAATAATAGGAGAGAATCGTGCCAGATGAGACTCCACCACCCTGGCCCATGAGAAGGGCCATATAGACAAGACATTGGTTCATCTGAAATCAACTGACTGCTACCCAATAAAATAAAACACCATTCTCCCAATTCCAATACATTCTCCTGAGGAAATATCCACATGCAACCTGGTGAAGCACATCCTAGGAGTAGGCATTTCAAGGGGCACTGCTGGCTGGAGAAAGTGCAGGCTGATTCATCCTGTGGTTGGAAGCAGGAAACAAATGTCCTGGGATAATATTTTGAAATAGGAGCATGTCCCTTCCCCCATCCCCAAGAGCTGACCTTCCCCTGCTCAAACTAAATGATTCTGAGTTCCTTATCTCAGGAATGGGATGAACCCCAGAAAGGGAGAAAAGAGGAGCTTTTCTGCTTTTGATGTTCAGTAAGCCAGCCTTCAGAGGCAACAGGGAGAAATCTGGGCTTAAGCAATAGTTTGAGAAAAAAGCTGATGAGTAAGAAGCAGGTTCCACCTTCCCTGGGGTGAAGGAAGGGGAAAGTCAGAAAGAAACAGTTGAGTGCATAGACTTGTGAATCTCTGAAGAAGGGGGATTGTTTATCCTTCAGTCAGGCTGAGCTCAGGGCAAGGCAGATTCTTCAGAAAAGAGCATGGAAGTGCATATCTTGTTTCCTGTGTGGGACCAAAAAAGGTAGCAAGAGCTCAGAAAAGAAGTGCATAGTGTACAGAGAGGGGCTTCAACAGCTCCTCGAAGATTCCCACAGTCCAATGGGGGCATAACAGTGGCAGAAAGGTTGAGTGCACTACATTAGGACAGAAAGAGAGTGAAGAGGAGGCCAGACCTCAAAGGGACCACACAGACCCTCACTGAAGAGCCAGGACATCTCTACAAATGTCATCATGGAGAGATGATGATCCAGAGCAGATAATGGTTCTGTAACCCTGCAACTTGGATGGAACTCCAGAAAAGTGACAGCGGGGGGCAACTAAAAATTAAGTCTCAATTTTTACCATCCAGCAAGAAGGAGTAGGGGGCTTTCAATGAAAATTAAACTGCAAAACTAGTTTTTAAATTGAGATTTATATTCATTGAATAAATAGTCTACTTCTGGGAAACCCAAGGAGAGGTAGGTTTTCAGAAGGAAAGGGACTGCGGTGGATCATGAGACAGGAATGGCCCCCAATGATATACACTTCCCTTATTCATACCCTCATTTTACCTACTTTCTCATTGCTTCCATGTAATTTGGGACAATGGAGCATTAGCAAATGGGAGGCAAGCTGAGGCTTGAGCTGGCACTTGGTGCTTTCCCTCTGTCTTGCTGCTTTTGGAAACTATCCACCGTGGGAAGAAGCCTGGGCTATCCTTCTGAAAATACGTGGCCCAGCCAATAGCCAGCACCAACTTGTAAATGAAGCCATTTCTGACCTTCCAGTCACAGAAAGTTGCCAGATGGTGTTAGCTACACAAGCGACCCCAGGCAAAACCAGCATAAGAACCACCTACTTGAGCTCAGCCTAAGTTGCTGGCCCATAGAATCATGAGTAATGAAAATAGTTGTTAGACTGCCATATTAAGTGGTGGTTGATTATACTGCAAAAAATAACTAATAAAGGGCACACAGGGAAAACATCTTAGTGAAACATGTGATATCCTGAGCTCCAATTAGTATAGCTCAATGCAAATGAATTGGCCAAATGAACCAATAACTGCCCATCTATTTTGAATCAGACACTTATATTTCATTTGATTTGTACACTGACCCTGTGAAGTGAGATTTATTATAGGTAAGATAACTCAGGCCAAATAAGTTTTGTTAAAAGCCACAGGTTTTCTACAGAATCCAATCTGTGTTTTTATAATGTGTCCTTATCTCTTCTAGCACCCTGCAGCACTTACTGTCAGGGTGGAACCAGACACTTTGATGGGACCCAGCATGCATTATAGTGAAGTCCCTTTTCTTTCTTGTTCTTTTTAAGACTCAATCTCAAATCTGCAACCTACCTACCATAAGCCCCTTCTTCTCTCAAAAAAACAGAAGAGTTAGAGGGAAGAAGGAGGGAGGGAAAAGAGCCTTTGTAACACCACTGGGTGAGAGCTGAAAATCACCATGGAGCTCAGCGATCTCCTATGAGACAAAAGCATTTAATTTCCCGCTGTTTGGACAGCTGAGACTGGCCGCCTTCTCCCTCCAGCATGCATGCCAGCAGACCAGGGCTGAATCCTAATTCTAAGAAATAAGAGGGGACTTTTCAGGGAAGATTTTCAACAGTAAATAAATAGACACTCTCTAATGGCCCAATACTGTCTCTAGGAATACTTGAGAAAATTTTTGGCTCTTTTTTCTATCATTCTTGATTTTTTTCCATCAGGCTCAGAAAGCAGAGTGACATAAAAGCTGGGTATGTGCTAAGGAGGAGGGGGAGGGAAAGTCTCCAAATAAATCATTTAACTCACAGAGTTTAAGACTGGAAGATTCTCCTGGGCCTTGTAAGCTATAAAAAAAAGCAGATCTCTGTCAAGAGGCCTTTTCTCTAAAGCAGTTCTGACTCAGCCTATTTGCCCTTGGAAGATGCTGCAGCACCTAAGACATCCACAGGCCATCAGTCAACACGTGATCTCCTCTCTAGCTATGCTCCCTCTAGAAATGCAGGATCTTTTGCCCCATCCTAAACTCAGAAAAGGGGTTTCATGTGCAGAACATGGTGGAGAATCCTAGGTCTCTGACTCACAAAAGGATCACCTTGGGCCTGAGCTTCCTCATCTATGAAATGGGGATGGGAATTCATGCCTTGCTGTATAATTGCAAGGATTCTATGGAGTAATAAAGGTAAGCGTCTGGCATGGTTTCTGTACATCTCGGGTGCTCCTGGTACTGGCTGTCACACAGGTCAATAAATATCATTTCCTCCTAATCTTTCCACATGCATAGTTATTGGAAAGCTGGGTGGGCAGCAGGCTATAATTTTTATTTTGCCCAAAAAGGCAGGACCTTATTTTGTTTATAGAAGGCAGAACCTCTTTGTTCTGCTTGAAACAAACAAACAAACAAAAAACCTCTCCAAAGGCTCTTTTCATCCTCTGCTAAATTGGACAATCCAGTCGGTCCCTCTGGAGTGGACTCAGTTGATTGCCTACCCAGCACCCATTTCTCCCCAACTCCCTACCTCCTTTTTATTTCTCCTGCTTTATAGAACTCTGATTTCATACAGATATATTCATGTTCCTCCCTGGCCATGTGCCTCAAGGAAGGTAATCCCACTCCAGCTCCAGGGGGTTTTCTGATTGGTCTAAGACTTGGTTCTCAATCTCAGAGCTATTGATATTTTGGGTTGGATTTTTTTTTATTTTTTATTTTTATTTTTATTTTTTGAGACAGAATCTCACTCTGTCACCCAGGCTGGAGTGCAGTGGCATGATCTTGGCTCACTGCAACCTCCACCTCCCAAATTCAAGCGATTCTCCTGCCTCAGCCTCCTGAGTAGCTGGGACTGCAGGTGCACGCCACCATGCCCAGCTAATTTTTGTATTTTTAGTAGAGACAGGGTTTCACCATGTTGGCCACGATGGTCTCGACTTCTTGACCTCATGATCTGCCCACCTTGGCCTCTCAAAGTGCTGAGATTACAGGTGTGAGCCACCGCATCTGGCCAGATACTTCTTTTTTATAGGAGATGCTATCCAATGCATTGTAGGATGGTTTAGCAGTTTCCATGGCCTCTAACTACTAGATGCCATTAGCATCCCCCTTCCCCAATTGTGACACTCAAATATGTCTCAAGACATTGTCAACAATGTCCTCTGGAGGAGTGAGGGACAAAGTCATCTCCAGTTGAGAACCCCAGGTCTAAGCTAATCATAGTATTCAATTTTTTCCACCAGTAATTGATTTAAATGTTGTATATGATATATTTCTTCTGGCCAGTAGGACTTAGGAGGTCTGCTGAGGCCTCTGAAAAAGTTTCCTAACTTTTAAAAAGAAGCTCAAAGAATATATAGCTCATATAGCTCCTTTACCTTCTGCTGGACATTTTTGGGTCTGGTTATAATGAGCAGACTGTAGTAGCTATCTTGCAACCATGCAAAACTAGCCTGAAGACAAAGCCAACTCGCCAAAAGATAGACCGAACCTGAATTTTTCATGATGTCAATGAAACACTGGGTTAACAAAGCCTGGGGACATTCTCTGCTATGAGAGATCATTCACTTGTTCATCCATTCACTGGATTTTGAATGAATAAGTGAACGATCCCTGTGCACCAGCTACTGTCCAAGAAACTGGTGCTGGATTGGTAAATAAGATGGGCATATTTACTTTACTTATGACACTCACATTCTATTGAACTTAGTGCTTAAGCTACTTTGAGAAGATTTTCTATTACTTGTTGCCAGCGGCAACCAAACTAATGCACTTAACAAATGCTAAAAGTTGCCAGCATCACTTGGGCCTTCTATGAAATCTAGGAGGGATTTTTTTCCCCTCCATCTGATTCCTATCTCATTCTCCATACAGACTATTCCAAACCTTCCATGCTTTGCTAAGACCTCTGACCACCAACTCTCTTCTCCAACTTGGCCCTTACTTTTAATCTACTGGCCTTCTGTAGTCCCTGATAACACCCTATGCATACATACCAATTTCATTGCATACATCCCATCATATTGGATTGTCTATTGATTTATCTGGGATGACTGAGTGCAGACATAAACTAACTCTGAGATGACTCAAAAGCTGAAAGATGCAGGGAAGCCACAAGGAGACCACTTCTGGAACAGCATTGCAGGCTGAGGGCCTGAGAGCTTTCTATTTCCTTTCCCAGGTCCTGTAAGTTTTTGCTATAGCTTTACAGAAAGGACTCATTTGCTTGAACCAGCCCTAAGGATATCTTCATTTCATGGGTCAGTAAACTGTGGCCTGAGGGTCAACACCAGCCTTTCACCTCAAAAGCTAAGAATGGTCTTAGCACTTGAAAAAAATCCAAAGAATAACATTTCACACCCCATGAAAATTCTATGAAATTCAAACTTCAGTATCCACCAATAAATATTTTTTGGAGCACAGCTGCATTTGTTTGCCTGTATATTGCTTATGACTGCTCTTACATTACAAAGGCAGAGTTGAGTACTTGCCCCAGAGATCATATGACCCCCAGAGCCTTAGACAGGGGTGTCCAAGGGAGAGAACACCGTCATGGGTTCTTAGTTTCTGTTTCTGGCTGGTCCAGTGAAGCCCCTTCCTCATCCCTCTTTTCCATTTATCACCAGAGACATAAACTAAAAACCATGGCTTCAGGCTGCTAAAAGCCTAAAACAAAACAAAACAGAACAACAACAAAATAAAGCAGGTTGAACAAACTTGGGCCCTAAAACATTTATCACCTGAAAAATGTGCTGATCTCTTCTCTGTTTCACACAACACAGAGCCCTGCCTAAAATAAGTACCTTCTGAAATGAGAGATTGTCAGGAGCTTTAAAATAGAGAATGCTTAATAGATCAGTTAGTGTGTTACTGACTGGGTCAAGACGGTCAAGACTGGGTTTGATGGAATCATCTTCTGCTCCCAGAAAAATAGTTAGAAGACAAATAGTTAGAAGAGAAGGAATTTGGATTTAGCTTGGCAAAGAGGATGGCTGGACCAAGAGATAATAAATTCAGGCACTCACTTCTGTAGTAGATTGTTTTCCAAGTATGTTCTGCTAAGACTTTCCAGCATTTTTGAATAGGGAATGTTGCTACACAAATATAGTTAAGAAGTGCAGTCAGCCCACACTCTACATGTAGCAGAAACAAAACAGCAAGCCATGCCTGCACTCTCTGAGCGACTGAGCATCCCCTGTTGAATTTCCATGGTTGATTGAATTCATTAGTTTATTCATATCTTAGAAACATTCATTCAATCTGCAAATATATATAAGGAATCATGTAAGGAAGGTTGGAGACCAAACTGAGCTGAGACAGGTAAGAAATGTCAAAATCAACAGAACAGCCTATTATCATCTGTCTGGAAGGAGAACACATGCAGATCCCTGAATCTGGCTAACGGAGAGGCTGTAAGGGTGGTGCATGACAGAGAGAAAACAGAAGCGCTCTTCTACTGGGCTTTTGTCTTTGTCAAGGAGAATGGTCATTGGACTGGAGAGAGTGAAACCTGTATTGGCACAAGAAACTTGAGTTCAAGAAAAATGATGAGAAAACAGCTACTCCCAATGAGGCTGTGAAGCAGGTTCACTGTGCAGTAATTACTGACTTGTCTGAGTCTGATGAGACAGAATACCCACATATGCAACAAGTTACACGAAGTGGGCTTATGACTTACAAATAGGTAGCAAGGGACAACAGAAGCCTAGGATTCATTGAGAGCTGGGTCCTCAAGGCTCAGGAAAGCTGCCAGGGAAGACAGAGTTCTGACTGTGTGTGCCTCACTTGCACCACAGCTGAGAGACCCCAAAAGGCAGCCCTCCCTGGGTTATATACCTCAGGGGCAACAAGACAGACTGGGCTAAAGTGTTGAAGGACATCTGGTTTCTAGAGGGGGGGTGGGGTGGGTCACTGGAACAGAGCCTAGGCTATAGTGGCCAGTACCTACCCTATCTCAGGATGTGGCATTCCCAGCAGTTTCTACAGTTATTCTTGATGATTGTAAGCAAGAAATAGGGGAGAACAGAGTAAGTCAAAGTTCCAACCTTCTGGCAGAGGCCACATCTGGACTAAATAAATTACCTACCTAGTCATGAAGATAAGTTGCCAACAAGATCATTGGCATGTAGACAATGAAACTATGGGGGAATTTAGTGGTGCCAGAGGTCAGAAAATAGTCAAATAGTATCTTGATTTCTCTATCAGAAGAAGACAGAGTCTTCCAGATTATAGAGCATTTGGGTTGATCCTGGTCCGAATTCTAGTACAAATGAATCACATTTAGCTATTAGTAATTGAAATCCCAAAAGAGTAGCTTAATCAATTTAGAAGCTTATTTTTCTGATTATATGAGAAGTTTCAAGTGAGGCATTGCTTTAACTGCTCAAGGATGTCAGGACTGAGATCTCTGAGATTCTCTTGGCCTTTCCCTCATTGTCACTTCATGGTCCCAACATGGCTCCTCTATCACCAACCTAAGTGTCCATATTCCAGGCAGAAGAAAGATAAAGGACAAGGGCATAATTGGATGCATCAGCTGTCTCCAGCCTCCCTTTCCCTTCTGAGGGACTCTCCCCGAGGCTCTATCCGTCAACTTCCTTCTCTTATCTCACTGGTCAAAACTGTGCCAGATGGTCCAGTGGTATCTGAAACAAGTGGGGAATATAGTGATTTAGCTAGGCACATGGCTCCTCTCCCTGGCCAAGATCAGGAATTTGTTAGTAAGGAAGAAAAGAATTTATATTGAGTACATAATTAGCAGTCTCTCTTACAACAGATTTTCCAAGAAACAGTATATATGTATGTTAAAAAAAAAAAAAAAAAAGAATTGATTGCTAGGAACTGCCATGAGTTTGCAAAGAAACCCCAGCAGATTAACCCACTTTTCTTAAATGAAAATGTTACTAGGCTGATAGAAGAAGGAAATATGGTGGATGTAGTAAATGCATTTATCAATTAAGAAAGCAAAGTTACTTGTGATATTCTTTTTTCGTTGTTTTGTTTTGTTTTTTTTAATTATTATACTTTAAGTTCTAGGGTGCATATGCACAACATGCAGGTTTGTTACATATGTATACATGTGCCATGTTGGTGTGCTGCACCCATTAACTTGTCATTTACGTTAGGTATATCTCCTAATGCTCTCCCTCCCCCTCCCCCCACCCCATGACAGTCTATCATTGATGGGCATTTGGGTTGGTTCCAAGTCTTTGCTATTGTGAATAGTGCCACAATAAGCATAGGTGTGCATGTGTCTTTATAGCAGCATGATTTATAATCCTCACTTGTGATATTCTTATAGGTAAGATGGAGAAATGTGATCAACCATGACAGAGGAGTAAGGTAGATTTATAACTGCTTGAAAGACTATCAAAAGACTGCAGATGAATAGTTAATGTCAGATCTATAAGCTACAGCTATTATTACCACATTGAATTATTTTAATTAATATCAGACTTAGGGCAATAACAATATTTTTAAGTGACAGCAGATTCAGTCCTTGTCCCAGTCATGTTCCACATCAATTTCTAGGATGAGGATCTAGTAGACCTTATGGACTTGAAGATGATGTTAATCTGGATGACAAGTTCAGAATCCAAAATTATCTAGATGGGCAGGAATGGTAGACCAAATAATATTAGTCATCATTTACTGAACACCTACTGGATGCCAGATACCATGCTACACACTTTCCATATATAATCTCTTGTCCTCTTAATAACCTTACAAAGTAGGTATTCTTATCGGTTTCATTTTATAGATGAAACAACCAAGACTCCAAGAGGTTAAATCACTTGCCTAATATCCCATTGATGGAAGTGGAAGAACTAGGAACCCTGCCTAAGTCTATCTACCTTCAAGACCTATTCTCATTTTTCTACACCTTTCTGCATTCCTCTGCTACTAAATGTAAGTAATTCCTATATTTCAGGAGTAGGCAGAAGATGGGAAGATGTAGGTAGAATCAGCAAAGTAAGAAAAGAACTTAGAGATTTTAATTGCCTAAAAAGTCTATTAACTTACTTTGAAATGTATCAAAAAAAAGAAGAATATATTGTTGCCATGCTGCTATCACCAACACAACAGCAAAATCAGCATGAGAACAGCTCTGGCAGGCAGTTTAATGTTGTGCTGATTGCTAAAAACCAAAAAAGCTTTCATCAAAATATGAAATTGGCTCCATCCTAAGTGAGATTATAGTGCTAAATCTTGAGAAATATATATCTCACTCCTTTATGAAAAAGAAGGAATAAGGGACTGATACAGGGACAGATAAACAGATTTGTGACAAAGTGTGTTCACTGTAGAATCTAGTTAGTGGATATATCAGTGTTAATTGTAAAATTCTTTTAACTCTTCCATAGGTTTGAAATTTTTTCATAATTAAATGAAGGGAAAATCAATGTAAATTGACAGGATGATGTGGCAATGTTTAGTTGGGCAGGATATAGCTTCTCCCTTCTGGGATAGCACAGCCATACCCTAAAATCTGTTTTCACTTCTGAGTACCAGCCTTTTGCAACGTTGGTAACAAGCTGCAATGTGCCCTTGGGAAACAGAACAGAAAGATGATGGGCCCAGAAACCATGCCTAACCTGGAAAAGAGAAGAAAACAGTACAACATGGTAATTCTCAGAAAATATGTAAATGGCTGTGAATTTAATGTGATATAACAAATTACACCAAAATTTAGTAGCTTAAAACAACACATATTTATTATCTTATAGTTTCTGTGGTCAGAAACTCACCAGTGCCTTGACTGGGTGGCTCTAGCTCAGAATCTTTGTGTGGCTGCAAGCAGTATGTAGGGGCTGCAGTCATCTGAAGTCTTGACTGAGGCTGGAGGATTCCCTTGTAGGATGGCTCATTCTCATGGCAGGAGGCTTCAGTTCCTGTTACATGGGTCTCTACACAGGGTTGCATGAATATCCTTATGACATGGCAGCTAACATTCCCAGAGTGAGCTATCTTAGAGAGCAAGGCAGAAGTCACAGTGCCTTTCATGACCTGGTCTCTGAAGTCACACATCATAACTTCTGTTTTATTCTAGTCATTAGAAGTGAGTCACTGAGTCAAGGTCACGCTCAAGGGGAGGGGAATTAGGCTCTACCTCTTGAAGGGAGGAGCATCAAAAAATTTATGGACCTATTTTTAAATTGCCACAGGCTGCTTCTCGGAAGAGAGGTAAGCTTGTTCTGTAAGTACCCTAGGGAAGTGGTTTTCACTTCAATAAAAACAAAAATTTTCCTAATAATTAGAATCATCTAAAAGAATGGAAGGAGCTGGTGAGTTTCTCCTAACTTAAGGGATTCAAAAATAATCTGGACAATCAGTTGGAGATATGATACTCATTCAACAAATATTTGTTGAGTATTTACTACATGCTATGCACCGTGCAAGGAGCTAAAGATGTCACAGTAAACAAGACAGATGTGGTACCTACGCTCCTGGTGTTTACACTGTCCTAAGGGAGGAAGACAATAAACAAGTGGACAAGCAAATTAAATAATTACAGATCGTAATGTGTATTATGAAGGCAATAAATAAATAGGCTATTGTAATAGCAACGAAGCAACTTTCATTTTATAGAGAGAACTCATTAAAGGGATAAAGATTTGAAGCAGATAATTCTCTATATACCTTCCAATATAATAGTGGTAATTCATTCCATTGTTCATCCATTCTTTCCTTCAGCAGGCATTTACTGAGCATCTACTATGTGCCAGGCACTGTGGAAGGCACTTAGGGATACAAAGTAAACAGTTCCACATTGTAAAGACTCCAGAGTCTTGTGAGAGATAACAAGATGTATACAGAGATGCTGATCCCCTGTGATAAATCCTACAAGGGATCCTACACAGGAGCCGATGCACACAGGAGTGACAACCCTGCCTGTGGCTGCCAGCGAAGTCTTCACAGAGAGGCCATTTCAGCTGCATTTTCAAGGATAAGGAAGGGGACTGACAATCTGCATAAGAATCTTTCTGAAAAGTCAGCATCTGAGATGCCAGGCCTTGTTAAGGAGAACGAAGGAAAAGAGACAAAAGTGAAATGCACGTTTAATGAGTTAACGGAGCCTGACGAATAAATGCACTCTGAATTCTGGCTCCTGTGCCACTGCCTGAAAATGCACTGGGCTGAGAACTGAAGCTCATTGCAAATTTAAAACTTCTAGAGAGAAACCCCAACACTACGGGCTCATCACAGCCCTATTCCCATTACAGCTTCCCTGTCATTCCCCGCCACAAACCTTCTGCTCCAGACTGGGTGGCCTCTCACTACGCCACCACTACTCCAGGCTCCTACAGTCTGCATGACTTAGGATGTCTTTTCCCCTCTTATCTCCAAATCCCACCTACCCATCAAGTCCTACTGCTCCCCTGAAACCTTTGGGCCACTCTAGCCTGTGGGGATTTCTCCCTTTGAGACACCATTGTCTTAATCTGTCATTGGCACGAAAGTGTCTCTTGTACAATTGCATTGGCTCTCAAATAGATTGTAACTTTGGGCAAGCAAGTAATCTAAGGTACCTACGCCTCAGTTTACTCATCTGCAAAATGGGAGTAATAAAACACTTGTTGTAAGGATGAGATATGTGTGAAGCATTTAGACCACTGCCTGGCCCATAGTAGGCATGATATGAACTGTCAGCTGTGATTATTGCAAGCCCTCTGTAGATGGAGGCATGCTTTCCCATCCTTCAGGGACCCAGTAAAGGGCTCAGCATTGTCAGTGTCACCGCTATCTGATGAGTGAATAAATGTCTTTTATTCTTATTCCCTCTTAATGTTCATACCAACAAGCTGGGCTCAAGTTTTTCTCAGAGAAATGAGTTTTGGGCCTGAATTATGTTCTGGAGGTTTTGTTTTTCCTTTCCCTCCAGGTGCCAGCTCTTTGGGTTGTATATGTGAAATAACAATTGGATGGCACTTTATTTAAAGCCACAACCCAATTGGTAAACCTGACACTTCAGCAATTATATTTTCCAGCTGAGAGACGTGCAAAACTTGAGCCCTAGTTAATTGGAAGGCATAAAAAGAGCCTTTTTATTGCCTCACATGGATACTTCATTATGGTAATAGGAGGACGGGAGCCTCATTTCCTCTGTTGTTTCTCAGACACTCTTATGTATTTCTTTATGCACTAAATATGCTTTCTGGTCATTTCTGTCTTCTTCCCTATTTCCAGTTCTGTTTGCTTTGTCTCCTTCCCTCCCTTCTGTCTCTTTCTCTTCTTGTCAGGCAGAAAGGATGTAGGTCTATTTTCTCCTCTACTCTCCGCCCTCAGTGCCTTCCTCCAGTTCCAGCTTTATGCATGAGCAAAGGAGCGATCAGCCAACAAGCTTGGGAAGCTCTCCAGAACCATGAGTACCTTCTAGGTTACAGAGGCTAGAGTCCTACATCTTTTGTTTACCCTGGGATGCCATTGTAAACATCCTCCTGTGTCACCTTGTGAACCAGGTAGGGAACTCAAGATTACTATTTTCCCATTAGCATGCTAGCAAAATTACATCTATCAAATCGGTCTATTGGTTTGGAAATCAGAGCACAAAGCTGAGAAGTAACATAAGACAGCTAAGCTTTGAGAGTATCTTAAAGGGAGTGTTGGGGCACAATACCAACTCCCAGGTCTCTGTCTCCAGTGCTCACTCCCTTCTGAGATAGAAACCTATTGTCTTTGACAGTCCACTGTACATCCCCCTCTGAAAGACCCCTTAAATGTCAAGTGTCCACAATGGAATATATATCATCTCACACATTCCTCATTCCCACATGTCCCGTGGGTTCTCTTCTTGAATTTGTTGTCTTGGAAAAATATACCACTGAGGTGGTAGATATACAACCCAGTGGCCCTTATGAGAACTCTCAGAGCCACTCCCGTCTCCCTTCCTGCATATCACCAGGCGTTCCATCCTCTTTAGTCTGCTTCCTGAACAGCCCTCCAATTCATCCCTTCCTCCTAGCCTTAGCTCGCAGCTCTCCTCTGGACTGTTGTTAAAGCCTCTTAACATGTGTCACCCCCCCTACACTCTCACTGGACAATCCATCTTCATACAATGCCACTGAAAAGGTCACTCTGCTACCCGAAGGACACACTCTGCCTTCTCTCATCTCTAAGCTTTTGCATTAGCTCTCCTCCCCTCCTATATTCTCCATCCCCGTGTCCAGTTGACAAGTTCTGATCTGTCTTTCGAGAAGGTGTTGAGTACCTTTTCAAGTGTTACTTTACCTGGGCAGAATTAGTTACTCCCTTCTCTGTGCCCCCTTTAATACTTAGTACACATAATTCTTTGTTTTACAAATATCTGCTTTATCCATCTCTGCGGCTTCTTGAAGGCAGGAATTATGTCTTGTTTTTCTTTGGATTACCTCCTCCAATACATGTTTGCTGAATGAATGAAAGGCTTAAATTTCACAAAAATTCACTAAACACCTGCTTTATGCAGACATATTATTCTAAAATAGTGTAAAACTCAATGAGTCTATTCTCAAAGAGCAAACAATCTAGTCTAAAATGGGCCCAAACATTCCAGTTTAAAATAGGTTCAAGGAGTGCCGGGGTGCTTAGGAGTTTTTACTTAATACTGCTGCATGTTCAGTTCACTGTCACCAGGTGGCAGTAGTGTGCCATGGTCATGTGGTCCAAGCCATGAAGTTCCCAGAACTTCAAAAAAGTGGTTCTGCTTGGGTCGGGTTGCTAGATTAATAGCAAGAGAACCACAAGGGGAATGTAGACTGCGTCTGGGTTCTATGTGTGGCTGGACTTGCAAGGGTTTGCTCTTGGGAGCTGCCCACAGCTGCACCTGGCATGCTGTGCTGCATTTAGACACAGTGCTCTCTTTAATCCGTAAACCTAAAAGCAA
The DNA here is from genome assembly GCF_000001405.40 of Homo sapiens. Lineage (NCBI taxonomy): Eukaryota > Metazoa > Chordata > Mammalia > Primates > Hominidae > Homo > Homo sapiens. The sequence continues at coordinate 13,956,316 of NC_000011.10, forward strand.
GGAGACTTAGAGATCTCCAGGTTGGGAGCAGATCTATACCTTGGAAGACCTCCTGCTGTGCAATTCTTTTTAACTGCTCTCAGTGGTGAGCTTCTATTCCGCTGTTTTTAATTCAGACAACGTCTATGGCAATTAGGAGGTCTTAGGTGATCTCTGTTAGAACACTTTCCGTAAAGAGATATGAGCTGATTCCAAGCTACACCACATGAAAAAAAAAATGAGTGAAAACTGAGGAAACAGAGTTACAACAGAGGACACAGAGAGTGAGACAAGGTCAGTAAAAAGTCCAGTCTCTTGACTAGCACTACCTGAATCCCTAGTCCAATTCCCCGCCCAGGATGGGGAAGACTTAGCTAGAGCCGCAGGCCAAGGACATGGACAGAAACAGAAACAGAAATACAAGAGGGAGAGAGGATAAGAGCTAGATCAGTGTTTGGCAGAAGTCAGGAAATGAGGACAAGAATGCAAGTAGGGGATTAGCCTTGAAAAAATTGAAGAGTTAAACCCTTCTGCATTTGAGGCAAGAAGTGAACTTGGATTTTGCCAGAGTTTGGTTTGTGGAAGGAGATATGGAGATTTGAAGAAGTTCATGCCTAATGTCCCCCATGTGAGGGATAAAATAAGAGGGCAAGTAACCACCCCTCTCCATACCAAAGAGTGAGAATTAAAGAGTGATGAAGCAGGCTTGAAAAGATGGTAAGGACTAGATGAATAGGAAAAGAAACTGATTAGGAATAAATTTAAGAACTATACTTAAAGGTAGAATTCATGCATTTGTAGTAAAGTAATTGGCAGGGTTACCAGGTTTTGTGCAGCAGAACTCAGAAGTCGGGGAGGGTTCCATTGTTTTGCTTGGTTGATTTGCTGTAGGTTGGGGGTTAAAGAGGAGGAACAGAAATAAAAGAGGAGAGCTAATGAAGAATGGTGGTTAGGATATAGTTAAAATGATTGAACATGGTGTCCAGGCTGGGTGGGGAAGGAATTAACAAGATGGGCTGGAAAAAATCAGAAGTGACTAAGCAGCTGTAGACCTCAATGACATAGAGGAGGTGAGAAATGGGAAAGCTGGAAGTAAAATGAGAAAGTGCTATTGGGAGCTCAAGATTCCCAAAGAAGAGGGTGTTTCTGTGGGAGAGGGCTGCTGATATGGAGGGAGGCCAAGCTCATTGGAGTAGAGGAGGTTAGAGCAGAGACTAAATTGTCAGCTCAGACTTCATCAGGCTAATCTCCCAGGCCCATAGCATGAGACAATAGGCAGGAAGCTAGAGAGCCAGTTGCAGAGTCCACAGTGGCTGCAGGAAAGTGACCTGGAGGCTACAGATGATGGAGATAGGATGAAGGAGTATAAATTGGATGCTGGGAGTTTTAATGTAGGAGGGACTCTTATTATCTCTTACTTACTAGAATGTTGATCTGGATACGGCAATGGGCAATCGATAGAGGAATGCTCCAGAGAGCAGAAGGAAGGGCAAAACTGAATGGAGACCAAAAGACTGGAGAGACGGGTGATCGGAGGAGCTCATACCTTACATGGAATTGTGGGATGGGCCCAATCAGATTCAGGATTCCAAAGGTAATGTAATTATATATAATTGGCTGATGCCTAGAACACAGCAGGTTCTGAAGAAATATCTTTGTAATTAATGAATGTCTTTTGCTTTTAGGATTTTTTTTTTTTTTTTACCGTATGTACGTATGTATTCAGTTTCCATAACTTAGTCTTTAAACTTGCTGGCTCACCTGTAGACAGCTTCCAGGCCTCCTCACCACAGATTACAATAGATTATTCAGTGCAATTCAACTCCTTCATTGCCTATCTGTTTTCTTTCTCTAGAAATCCCTTTCTATAAAATGTCCAATTTAACTCTATATATAAGAGAAACAAAAACATAAAGTTTCTAGACTCTTTTTCTGAATTAATAAAAGTAACAATAATAACTGGGTGGGGTTATTGTGACCTCATTGCAGTTTACAAATTATCTCAGTTACCCATTTGTTTCTCAAAATCCCACAAGGTAGGCAAGATGGGTATTACTATGTCCAATTTTGCACATAATCCGTGTAGATAGGTCCTGTGACTTTCCAAGACTGCACAGCTTCACATGGTGAAAACAGAAGAGCCAGCCTGGAACCCATGTACTTCAAGTCTGAATTACGGTCTAGGACGACGGTTCCTTAAACTTCAGTATGAGTTTTTCTTCAAAGTACAGATTTAGTAGGTCTGGGATGAGGTTTCGGAATCTGCCTTTGAAGCAAACATCTGATGCTCATGTTTCAATGACCATACTCAGAAAAACACTAATCTAGAAAATCCTTTTCCCCCTTCTCTCTTAAAGCGGGGAGAAAAAAGAGGGAGATCTTACCTCCTATGAATCAAAGGACTTTTCTCGCCTTGGAGAACTGGAGCCCCCAGCTCTTCTCTTCTGCGACCTACCCACACACACTGATAAAGTTAATTATCTGCCCTGGCTAAATGACTTTCCTTAGCAACACCCTAGCAACTGACATCAGCTCTGCCTTAGGCTACAAAAACTGGAAGGAGATTTCTTGAAGTCCAGTATATTTTACAAAAGAACAAAACATCTGAACAGGAAATTAAGGGGAAAGTAAACTGGATTCATTGCTAGGAGATGAGAAATAGACACATGAAATAGTTCATGACAATCCACTGGACCACAGTAGTCAAAATGGGAAACTTTTTCTCCTCCTCAGTTCTACTGAAGTCCACAGGAGGGGAGACTGCAGGATCTCATTCTATGGAGGAAAATTTAATCAGGCAGGAGGAGGGAGGGCATTCCAGGCCATGAGAAAGCTGTAAGCAAAGGTGCTGAGGCAATACTGAAGTGGAGGACACGGGGAGCCCAGCTGGGTGGTGCTGGGAGCTCAGATTGGGATCTATGACCAGGCATGACCAGATGGACACAGTGAGACCAGATTGTGGATGGCCTTAGAGGCCAAGTCTTAAAATTTGGGCAGAGTCAGAAGGCACTGAGGGTAGGCTTGTTAAAAAGTTTTTATTCAGAGAAAAAATATTTATGGAACCCCTACCAGGGGCCGGGCACTACGATGTGCACGGAAAATACAGTGGTAAGCCCCATAGACATCCCCTACCCTTCTGGAGCTTAGAATTTAGAATGGAGACAAATACTGAACAAATGTAAAATTTTAAACATCAAACTTATAAATCAATGGGTCATTATAAATCTTAATATTAAAAGAAGCCAGGTGTGGTGGCTCATGCCTGTAGTCCCAACACTTTGGGAGGCTGAGGCAGGAAGATTGCTTGAGCCCAAGAGTTTGAGACCAACCTGAGCAACATAGGAAGACCCTGCCTCAAGAAGAAAGAAGAAAGAGGAAAGGAGAAAGGAGAAAGAAGAAGGAGGAGGAGGAGAGGGAGGAGGAAGAAGGAAGAAGAAGGAGGAGGAGGAGGAGGAGATTAAAAGAAAAGGTACTCATGAGCTTCAGCAGAGTTTTGGGGGCTGGATCTATTCTAGGAAATCAGAAAGGCCTTCTTTGGGGAGGCAGTTTTGCACTGAGATCTGAAGAGTACATAGGAGTTGGCCAATGGAGAGTGGTGGCTAGGAGAGACCAAAGAGCATGATAGGATTCCAGGCAGAGAGAACAGCACAGGCAAAGCCCATGAGAGAAGAGCTGCATGGCTGGAGAAGCAGATCAAGCAGAGCCTTGGAGGCCTGGCTGAAGATTCTGTCTTTATTCTGAGAGCCCTGAAAAACCACCAAGAAAAAATGTTAACCTCAGGATTGACATTCAAATCTGCATTTTTAAAAAGATCACTTGGGCTTCAGTGCAGAAGACAGATGGAAGGAGAGCACAAGTAGACAAGGGCAACCCAGTTAGGAAGATGAGAGAGGATGTCAACACAGACAGGGGTAGTGGTGGAGAAGAGCGTGAAACTTGATGTGGTGATGGATCGGATGAGTGGAGAAGACAGCAGAGGTCTGAGTGACAGCCAAGCTGGTTTAGGAAAACCTAGCTCATGTAGTGGGATTGGAGCTTGGTGAGCTGGTTAGAGCCTGCCGTCATAGCCCAGATGATAGGGCGAACACTGTGTACTGGAAAGTACCTCATTTGGTGTTGGGGATGCCTGTTTTAAATCCTGGCTCTTTCCCTTAATAGCCATGGAACATTACCTCAGCAGGTAATTTCATAGGCTCCTAATCTGAACAATGGGAGTGCGGAGGTGAATTGGGACTGCCTACTTCCCATAGTTTTCCTGTCAATATCCAATAAAAAGTTAAATATTGCATTCCTGCCTACTTCATGCCCACCCATCTCCAACTTAGATTTGAACCTTTTGTAGATGAATAGAGGTTCAAGAGCACAGATTTGAGCTTTCAGACATAAAATAAGCTTTGTGAAGACAGGGGTCACAATTTATTCATTTCTGTAGTTTCCTGCCCTCTGAGATAAGATCAGGTACACTTTCAAGAACCACTTATTTTAGTTTGTAGCATACATCACAATTATAATTTTAAAAGATTCATATAATTATGTATTTAATATTTGCCTTTGCCACAGGCCTGTAAAATCCTCAAAGGCAAGTAACATATCTGTGTTTTGTATCCAAGCACTGAGCACGTGGAGGGTCTTTGTCATGAATGAATGGATGGATAGAAGGATGCATGGATGGATGGATGGATGAATTTTTGTTCCGTCTTCTACCTACCGGTCAGCACAGAGTCTAGCTCCAAATCTACACTTAATGAAAGTTTGCTGGATGAATGGGACCGTGCAACTTGGAGTGCAGCATGAGCTCTGAGCCAGTCGAGTGAAGATGCAGACAATTCCCTCAGCACTCAGACATGGATCTGAGCCTCACCTCAAAAAGGAGGGCCGATCAGCTGGATCAGGTGCTGCTAGGGTCAAGAAGGGCTAGGGATGAGAGAAGAGCATAATTGGCTTCAGCAAGGGGTTACTTTCAGGTGACCTCTGAGAGAAGGCGTCCAGTTAATAGTGGCAGTGGGAATTCCAGCACAAGCACTAAGGAGTAAGTGGGCAGGCAGGGAGGAATGGAGATCTCCCATGCACCTAGCGCCCTGGGCCTGTTTGTAGCATTATGAAAGAGAAAACCCTGACCTGGAAAGCAAAGGAGATTGCTTGCTAATTGTAGGCACTTGAGGTGTGTCGAAGGCCCTGGGCAAAGAGAAGACGAGGAAACCAAAGCTTCTGAGGGCACCTGGGGAGGGATGTTTGTGTGCACTGAGAGGCAGGGGGCTTATGGTATCCCCAAGCGGGTGAGGGAGCAGGCGCCACTAGAGACCAACTAGAGTGTTTTATATGGGTCATATCATTTACTTCTAGCATATCACCCCACTACCTCTAAGAAGGATGTACTGGCACCCACCCCCACTTCCTTGTTCTCCAGAGCAGGAAACAAGCTTGGAGAGTGCGATAACTAGCCCAAGCTTCACAATGGGTGAGTGGCAGGACTGAGGTTTGATTCGGGTCTCTTCCCAGAGAGACACTGGGAGAGATTCTTGCCCCAGGTCTTTTCCCTTCAGGCCCTCAGGCTCAGCACCTCTCTGAACATCTGTCCCTGGGGAGTGAGAATCTGAACTAAAATGTAAGCCAAGAAAACACAGGCTCTTCATTGAATCTTTGGAAACTCCTTTCCTGGGCTGTAGGAGGACCTTCCTGAGCCTTAGGCACTTTTGCCTTTGCTGGCTCTTTCCTCCAAGTCAAGCATATTTTATGACTGTGGAGGTATAAATACAAATATATTAACATTATATAGTAAAACATTTTGTTTGACATAAATTTTTTCTTCTGATTTTTACAGAAAACATTTTCATAGATCTCCAAAAGTATCGTGGGCCCTAAGCGCTGTAGCTAAGTCGTTTCTCCTTTCTCAGCCTCCAGTCTGACATGTTCCACTATGGCCTTGGGAAGAGCAATGGGCCCGGAGTCGCCGCATCTAACCCTGCTGTAACTGGTCGCAAGTCACAGTTTGCTCATCTATAAAGTGAGCGAAAGTAATGTAATCTTTATTGGGAGTAGGGAACATGAAGGCGAGTCGATACAGTAAGTAAGCCGCCAAGCATATTGCTAGGCACAGAGCAGGTGTGCAACAAAAGTTATTTCTCAGGCTTTCCCTCCTCTGAGCGCCGTCCTCCAGAGGGTCCGGAGTGTAGCTGGGGGTTGGAGCAGCAGCCTCCTAGGCGATGGGACAGAGCCCACAGGGTCCGGTATGCCACGGTTTCTTCGTCAGACCCTGGGAATCCAACGTCGCAAAATAAACACGGCCGCGCCGCTAATCGCCAGTTCGGAGGAAACAAAACAGCGCTGCGCTGGGGGATCTGGGCAAAATCAGCCCTCCCTCCTCCCGCTCCTTCGCCGCGGCCCTCCCCTCCTCGCGCTGCTCTCGTTCGCTTGGCTCAGCTCAGCTCAGCTCAGCGCAGCTCCGCGGCCGCCAAGCCGAGGCGGGCACGGTCTCCGAGTCGCGGACGCCAGCTCCGAGCTCCCTCTCTCCGCCGCGCCTCCGCCAGGTCGCGCCTTCGTCGGGACCACTTCGGGCAGGAGTCGCGTGGCGAAGGCCTGCGGCCGCGGCACAAAGTTGGGGGCCGCGAAGATGAGGCTGTCCCCGGCGCCCCTGAAGCTGAGCCGGACTCCGGCACTGCTGGCCCTGGCGCTGCCCCTGGCCGCGGCGCTGGCCTTCTCCGACGAGACCCTGGACAAAGTGCCCAAGTCAGAGGGCTACTGCAGCCGTATCCTGCGCGCCCAGGGCACGCGGCGCGAGGGCTACACCGAGTTCAGCCTCCGCGTGGAGGGCGACCCCGACTTCTACAAGCCGGGAACCAGCTACCGCGGTAAGTGGCCGCCCGGCGTGGCATTAGGAGAGCGGGACCCGGTCCCCGGAGGGCGCCGACCTCGCGGTGCCGGAGGAGGGCGCGCGGTCTCCGGGCGCGTGGCGCGGGTGCAGCCCGGCAAGGGCCCTTCTGTCCTGGCTGCCCTCGGCCCTTGCAGTCGCGAGCTCGGCGCGGATCATAATCCAGCGTCCCGGGCCGTCGCGGGGGCCGCAGCCAGGAGAGGCACCCCGCGTTTCCGACGCGCGGTTCCCAGGCGGAGGATGTAACTGAGCCACACGTCACGCCGGCCTGACTGCAAGGGAGGCTCGCTTCTCCCCCGGCCGTCTGCAGGAGGGAAGTAAAACTGCCTTTCTCCAAATCGGTCTGGAGGGGACCCAGGCTTCTCTTGGTCGGGTCCCGGGCAAGGCAGCCACTCCAGCTTTCCCCGCTCAGTCCCTGAAGGAGAGGGTACCCGATTCTCAAAGACTGGCCCTGGGCGGGACAGCCACTCCGGCTTCCCTGGATAGGTCCCTTCAGGAGAAGGGACTTTGGCTTCTCCCTAACCGGTCCCGGGGTGCGGGAAGGAGGGGCAGGGACAGCCTAAAGCTCCTCGAAAGGGTCCTTGGAAAGAACCCCAAATTATTCTCTCGTGGTCCCAGACGAGATAGAGTATCTTGGGTTTCCAGAACAGGTTCCCAGTGGGGACAGGGTCCTCAAAGAGCTTGGGGTAAGCTCCGAGCTGCAAGGGGAATTGGATGAAGATGGAAAGAGAAGCCCCGATGCCCGAGGCCTGCTCCCTGGAGGCCGGGGAACCTTGGCTCCGGCAGCTCGGAGTCTCCACGTCCCAGGGATGTCGCGCCTACGCCGCTCGGCTGAGAGTGGGGTTTCGGGAGCTCAGGGAGGAGGTGTCCAAGCAGGTGAGAGCCTCCTAGGCGGGACAGGCAGTTCGACCAGCACCGATCTGAAGACGCCTGACTCTGTCCCCACGCCCGCCACCTCGCTCCTCAGCAGGGTCATCTCCCCAGACATCGTTTCCCCGTGCAGCAGCAGCCGCTCTCCGGGTGGGGGACAGGTAACCAGGAAGGGAAGCGAGCCTGTCTGGCCTCACCTTAGCTCCCGCCAGGGAGCGTGTCCTCTCACCCTCGCCCCTTCATAAGTCAGCTCTGGTGCTAAGCAGGGATGAGCGGGTCACTGGGGCACCTGGTGGGGCAAATGGGCTCCCAGCTGCTGTACTTTCCTCCTCGCCTTCCCAGTTCCCCAGAGAGCCTTGGACGGAAGCGGTGGGAGCAACACAGGAGAAAGTCTGGGGCAGCGTCAGCGGGCGCCAGGGTCACGCCGGAGACCAAAGCCAGGGGCCACCCTTCTTGGAGCGCTTTTCCCCCTTTCCCGGGTTTGTGTCCCCGACTTTCTCCACCCGGAGCTACCCAAAGCCGGCTCCTTGGTGCCCTTGGCACCTTGGCGTGCTGAGCACTTTGCGAGGAACAGTCTGACCCCGGCGCGCAGCTCCGCGGGATCCTGGGTACTCCACGAAGAAAGATTCTGGGCGGAGAACACCCCGCCCAGCCCGGGAGGGAGCGCGCGGCTTGGCACCGCGGCTAGAGCGAGCCGCGCCGACGGGCGGCGACTGCCACTCGGTGCAGCCGGGAGGCGGCCGATCCTCCCTGTGGACCGCAGGGAAGCGGGTATGACTTCAGTGGCCTATTCGGCCCTCCCCAAAACTGAGGACCTGAGTTCACAGGGGAAACTGTCCCCGCTCCACGTAGCAGAGAAAGAAGTGGCTCTGGAGTCCAACAGACTTGGGTTTACTCGCTGTGTGACCTTGTGCAAGTCATTTAATTTCTCTGCACCTATTTCCTAGCTGGAAAAAAAAAAAAGCTGTTTATCCACCCTCTCTTGGTGGTAGGGAGTAAATGAGTTTACAAAGGTGAGTGTGCCTGAGCTAAAAGAGATTCCTAATAAGCCTAACAGTTGAATGTGAGGCCTTTATTGGTTTACTAATGGAGGTAGGTTCTTGATCAGATTTTTGTTTTTGAAGAGTGTTGTGCGTTTGAAAGCAGGTTTCCTCAGCTCTCCTCCAGTCCCATTCATCTACCAGTGGTTATTTGGGTCCTCATGAATTAATTGAATGAATGAATGAGGTATTTTTTCATATCAGGAGCCTTGCCTAAGACTGTTGCTAATGCAAGCCCAGGAAGATTTTTTCAGTGACTTAGACTAGTCTGAGGTTCAGGCCAAGTGTACCCAGCGTCTCTTTTCACACTAATCCTCCGTGTTTTAGTTGAGCATTGGCAGCTGGTGGCCCTAGCACTGGGAAGGAGATACAGCTGGTATTCACGGGGCCAAAGAGGTTTCAGAACTACCTAAACGTCCAGGGCCAGCAGGTGGGGAACTGGGACTGGATAGGGAGTGTCCTGGACTTTCACCCTACAGGCTACTCCTGCCTAAACAGCCATCTGGACTTTGACACCCCAACTCAGGCTATAGATTGGGCAATCATCTTTTCTCCCTTCTTATGGCTAAAAGACCTTGGAAGAGATCTTGCAGGAACCATGCTGAGGTTTTCCAAGTAAATATCCTGCAATTAGCAAACCTGATTCTGCCACTCAAAGTCCGAAAGAAAAGGTACTGGCCTAGTTTGTGACATTTTCTGTTGGCTCCTTCTTTCTTAGAATAATTATGTTAAAAGTAACTCAAACACATTCTGCTCATTGTCCTGACTTAAGGCTGTGAAGCTGGCATTCCCCTGGTGTTCTATTTGCTTTTTAATTTTTTCATGAATTAGGATTCCTCACAATCCTTGGAATCAATGACTTGTTTTCCTGCCTCAAATCTTTGTCCACAGTATTCCAGTTCATCCCCAAGCAGCTTCTGTTCTTTGTGCCTGCTGTCTAAGTACAGTCTTTAGGTACTCTAGACCGGAATAAAATGGTCACTATTAAAAAAGACTGAAACATGGAGTTTCTTCCCCAAAACCTGAATCCAGTTGAGATCATTATTTTGTCTTTTCCAAGTTGTTAGTATTATATTGATTTCCTTTTCTTTCCCACCACTTCTCTCTACTCTCCCTCCCTCTTCCCACAGTCCCCCCTCCCTCCAACGGCAATAATTGTGCTTTAGAAAGCTCTGAAAGGCCTGCTCTGTTTCTGGCCAGGGCCTCCTTTGAAAAGGAGATTACAGTGATTAAAAATAACAAGTTGAGGATCCTCAAGGGGCTTCCCTTATACAGGAGGACAATTCGCAGGACCAGCCTTTCCCAGATCACAATTTCAAGCCAAACAGAAGAAAATCCACTGAAATATTCAAGAATTGATTGAAAATAAAAGAGGCTCTTTTGTCTTACTGGAGGTCTGTTTATTAGGAAAATAAAGTCAGACTCTGGCTAATGAGAGTGGCTTTTCCTAGATGTATTTTAAAGAGACATTTCAAGGAACTTGATGGGAAAAGAATGTCCAGTAGAGGTTTCAAAAGCTGGTCCAACTTCAAGCATAATTGAGGGGTTTATCCTAAACTGGGAGGTTTGGAGACCTCCAAAGCTGCATGGTTTTTCCTTTGTCCCACACTGAGACACACACTGACCACAGGGGTGGACACCTCAGCCTGGTGGAAAGCGCACAGGCTTTGATGTTGGGTGGGTTGGTTTCAGGTCCTCCTTGGTCACATATTCACTGTGTGATCTCAGGAAGCCACTTCACCTCTCTGAGCCAATTTCTCCATCTGTAAAATGAGGGTGTTTTGATTTTTTCCCAGCATTCCTGTGAGAATTAGAAATAATTCATGTCAAAAGAAATTGTCACACAGTGGTTGCTAAAAAAATATGTTATGAGATGATTATTTTGGAAATAGAAAAATACTTAGCAGCAAAGCCCTGGATAAGATATTGTGTTAAGTTCTTCCGACTCATCTCACTTATTCCTTACAGTACTTTGAGGAAGTTTCTGATCGTTACTGTTTTATGGATGAGAAGACTAAACCTCAGAGAAGTTTATTCCTTATCCATGGTCACACAGCTAATAATCAGCAGAATCAGGATACAGTCTCAGGTCTGTCTGACTCCTAAATCTGTGCTCTTAACCAGTCTTATGTGCTGACTCAATGAAATTAGTTGGGAATAGAATGAAATTCACTCAGCTACCCTCAGCCTTCTGGATGGTGAGCCTTCCTTCAAGGAAAACAGAACAACAAATCAAGATAGTAACTGACATCTCTCAGGAGAATTACTTTATATTACTACAAAGTAATATAAAGTGATAAATCCTTATTCACATTTGCTGTTTTCTCTTATTGGCTTCAGTGTTGCATTTCCCCATAAACTAGAGGATTAATTTAGAAACATGAAGAACCTTGTCAGCCTTTGGCCAATTCCTTTTGTTTGTGGGGAAACAAAAACAAATTGGATAGGAAAAAAAAAACCCAGAAAGAAAAAAAAAAAAAGAAAAAACAGATTTGACTGTTGTTTTGTTTTTACATACAGATGTTATATGACCATGCCTGTAAAATTATATGTTTGGAAAGGACATATTTAGGCTCTAAGAAATTTACACAAGATGAGGTCTTTTAAATAAACTATTTCCTGGATGGTGGAGTTTTTAAAAACTTAAGTGCTGCTGATGATATTATAATTAAGCCACCCCTCCTACCTCTCTTCCCTTTTTTGCACCATTCCCTGCTTTTTTGTTATGTAACTATTTCTAACCATTACTTAAGTATTTAGTTCAAACTGATAATAAAAATTAGAAAATGCAAACATAGCTAATGCTTAATGGTTGTGGAGATTGTTTATTGCTCTGAGTTTTAGGAAATGAAAGAAATAAAAACATACAAAAAAGCATATCAAAATGGAATTTTTCAAGGTTTAAAACTTGAGTACTCCCCCATACACAGATAAGCTGTTTCATTACAGCTGACTCTTTCAGTTGCATCAAGAAGCTATAATCACTGATACGTTTACCACTATGGGCTGGTATATCAGGAGCTTTTCACTCTCACACTGTCCATTTGCTTGTTATACAGACTGTCACATATATATAGGTCAATATCAATTTCTGTTGTGAGGTGGGGGGACTCTTACCATGTTATATTAGTCATAGTACAGGCTAAGCTCATGTTACTAACAGAATCCAAAACACAGTGTTTTAAACAAGAGGTAAATGGGAGATCCAGCATGATGGGAGGCTTTGCTCCATAAGGCCATCCAGGAACCAGGCTCCTTCTACCTTGTTCCCTGACATCTTCTTGCACTCTGCTGTGTAGTTGGTGGCTACTTAGCCGTGTGTAGCTATGAAGTACTTGAAATGTGGCTATTCTGAATGGAGATGTGCTGTAAGTATAAAATACACAATGACTGTTGAAAATTTAGTATACAAAGAGTAAACTCATTAATTGTGTATTATTACATATTAAAATTATAATTGTATAAAGTAAAATACACTAGTTAAAACTAATTTTGCCTATTTTCACTTATGTTAATGGATACCTGGTAACAAAATTAATTTCACCCAGCTTGAGCTTATTTCTACTAAACAGCACTGTTTTAAGTTGCTGTTCTCCTCAGCACCGTTACAGCCGAGGAGAACCTCTGCACACCTGTATTCAGTCAGCATGCAGTGGACTGGGGGGAGAGGAAGTAGAGGACTTCAGTTTTCTTTTAATAATGTGACCCAGAAACTGCACCCAGCACTTCTAAACACACTCCGTTGGCAAAAATTCAGTCATGTGGTCATACCTAGCTGCAAGGAAGGCTGGGAAATATAGCATTTAGCTGGGTAGCCACATGCCCAGCTAAAACTTGAAGAATTTATTTTTCAAAAAGATGAAACAAAGTAAATTTCTAAGGATCATATTAACGGTCTCTGTCACATATTTTCATGCATAGTCATGTAAAAACACAATATATCTTACTTTCTCAGTGAAAGGTCAGCTAGGTGGGTCAACTTGACAACATATAAACTGATGTTCCTGCTAAGAATCAGCAGAGGAAGCCAGATGCAGTGGCTCACACCTGTAACCTCAACACTTTGGGAGGCTGAGACAGGTGGATTGCTTAACCCCAGGAGTTCAAAATCAGCCTGGACAATATGGCAAAACCCATCTCTACAAAAAAAAAAAAAAAAAAAAATTAGCTGGCTGTGGTGTCTCATACCTGTAGACCCAGCTACTCAGGAGGCTGAGGCAGGAGGATCTCTTGAGCTGGAGAAGTTGAGGCTGCAGTGAGTGAAGATTGTGCCAGTGCACCCAGCCTGGGCGACAAAGTGAGACCCTGTCTCAAAAGAAGGGAAAAAGAGCAGAGGCAGGAGTGCTGGGGTGTGTATGTGCAAGCTTATGTTGTGGCTTGTTTTGTCTCATTCTCCTTTCTCAATAAAAGAGGAAGCAGCAAAGAATGAAAGGAATGAGGGTAAGGTAAATCAAGAAAACAAAGGGGTGGTGTGGGAAGAGAAAAAGAAAAATGAAAACCCACTGGGGTATACATTCAGAATGAAAATGAAAGAAAATATTTGAGTATGGCAGAGTCCCATTAGGATGGGACTACAGGGCTAGATACAAGAAGAGCCATGGAAAGCAAACATCACATAAGTCAAAATTAGTCCTTTGAAATTATACGTAAGATATAACCCAGATACCAGCTTCAACCTAGCCTTATCTAAACACCCTACCCCCAATATTCCTGTAAGTGAGGAATAGAAACGAATTGGCATGTATCAATAAGTCTAGCCCTTCTAGTTTCCCTCCAGCATTGGAAGAGAGCAATGTTTCCTCAGTTGAGTAGCAGATAAACCCTTGGTTTGCTCTGACATGCAAGTACAAAATCTTCATCATGTGATGGAGTAAGGGAGCTGAGAGGCTCATCTCATGCTCACTCAGGCACATGCATGCATTGAATGGAGTAGCAAGTGGCCCAAATCATTTAAAGCATTACATTCTCTGTTTTTTCTCCTCCAATAGTGTGCAGTTGTGTTTGATTTTTACCAAATGCACCTCTCTTGGAGCATCTATGGTGTCAGGAAGCTTGCTATATCACATAAAAAGCTTTTTGTGATGCTTGTCAGCTCCTGCTGGTATAAAATGCCCCACTTTTACAGAATGTTTTGGCAGGGATGGAGTTGGGGTGCAGATAGGACAGGGCAAGGAGTTAAGTGAGACCACTAGAAGTCCTTTGTGAGGTCTATGTAGAGCAGGCTTCTACCTTTCGCAGAATATTCATAAATTCCATGAAATGTTCAGGAAAACTTAAGGGACCTACCCACATCCACTGATTTTCTTGAGGCTAGGAGACCCATAGGAAATAACTTGAACCCTCTCTACAGTTGTGGTTGAGATATTTGCCAATATGTCTCATGGACTGGGTGAGAGAAACAGGGAAGAGTTCCAAGAACAAGTCACCATCTGTGGGGCAGGAGTGTGGGCAGGTGGGCACAGTCACAGCAGGATGAACCAAATGGTGATTCTAGGTGCTACAGGAAGCTCTTTTCTCCTCCTCTTCCTCCTCCTCCTCCTTGTCCTCCCCCCAACTCCTGCCAACACTATCCTTTGAATTTTCCAAATACACTAAGCTCATTCGCTCCCCAGGGCCTTCATCCTTGCTCTTCATGCCTGGGATGGTTGTCCTCAGATCTTTGCATGGCTGACTCCTTGTCTTTTAAGGGAATCTCTTTAAAGAGGCTGCTCTCACTACCAATTTATGTTTCCCGTCACTTTCGCCTGATTTTGTTTTCTTCATAGCCTTAAACACTCTCTGAAATTCTCTCGTTTATTGTCTGCCTCCTACAGCTAGAATACAAGCTTTATGAGAGCAAAGACTTTGTCTTTCTTATTTGCCATTTTATCTTCAATTCCCAGAACAGTGCCTGGGCATAGCAGGCATTAAATCATTATTTGTTGAAAAAAATAAAGTATCATTGAAGCCCCAAGAACCCTGGTGTGAGCTCTCTAAGAGAGCTGGATGGAGGAAGGGGAAGGTATTTCTCTCTCAGCCAGAGAGAAAGGTGAGCACCCAAGGGATGGCAGACAGGAGGCAAGGAGCTCCAGGTGGTGGCAGCAGAGAGAAAGGATGCCAGTGCCACAGGGGCGTTGGCCAGAGGCTGAGGGCAGATGGCCTGTGTCCAGAGTGCAGACCACTGGGAGGGAAGAGAGAGCAGTTGCATCATGGTGGAAGCTGAAACGCTGCTGCTGTGGCATGAAAAGCAGAGCAACAGCAGGCAAAAGGGCAGAGGCAAGGGGCTGCCAACCTCAGAAACTGGCTCTGAGAAACTGGCTCTGAGTATCTGGAGAAGTAGGCCTGAGGGGATTATTGAGCCATCAAACCTAGACATCAATTATTAAAGTGACATTCCCTAGAACCAGCACATTGTGGAGTCATTTGTAGTACTTTCCAAACCTAGCTATGCCTTTGGAGAGTGTAAAAACTAAACTAAAATTTAATTTAATAAAAAAACTTCCTGGGCCCCACCCTAACAAAAGGCTGGATTCCAGGAATCTTATATTCTTCTTTCTTTTTTCACTCTTTTAAAGGAAAATGATGAGACACAAAGAAAAGGTGGCCCTTTTCCTATGAGCATGCTTCCCCATCACCACCTCTCCTAGCCCCAGCCCCAGCCTCCCACACACTTTAGCACCTGGTCACATCATTGCCCTATCCTGTTACTATGGGACACACTCATTTAGTGACCAGTGGAATATCCTCAAAGCCAACATGACTGCAACATTTCCCGCTTGGCAGTAGGGTGATGGGGAGAAGAGAACCATGAGTTTTCCTTAGGTGGCCACAATCACAGACTGGCGAAGCTTGAGCCAGGGCTGACTTGCTTGTACTTCTCTGCCACCAAAGTCTGCCTACCATGTAACTTTCACACATCTGTCCAAGGTTCTGTCCTTTGGAATCAAGGAAAATAAGGTCTCCCCTGGGCCATATGTCAGCCCTTGAGATGTTTGTGAATAAATAGCTGTCATGGCTTCTCTTCTGACTAAAATGCCCCATTTCTTTAACCATTCTTTGTGGGTTGCAGTTGCTTGCTCCCTTGTACTTTGTGCCCCAGATGTGGTCTGTTAGGGGCAGGACATGATAGAATGATTATCTCCTTGTCCTGGACATTGTGGTTGTGTGAAGCTTGCCAGGTCTTGTGTTTGCTATTTTGGCAGCTGTGCCGTAGTCTGGAATCACACTGAGCTTGCAGCCAACTCAAATTCTTGCAATTTTCTGGAAGGCCTGCTTCCCTCTTTAACCTAGACTGGTGAAAATGGTCCTTGAACATAAAATTTGACATGGTTTATCGTTAGATTTAATCCAGCATGTTTGGATCCATCCCTGTAGCTGTCAGCCATTCATGAATCTGTATTTGGTCCCTGAGTGATTTATTCACATAATCTAATTTTGGATTATGCACAGTGTTGATAAGAAGGTCTTGTAAGTCTTTATCAATGAAGTTGATAAGAATATTGAGCAACTCAGAGTCTAGGATAGAGCCCTCTGACATTCCTTAGAGTCTTTCTCTAAAGCTGATATTTAGCTAAATAGTTTTGAAGTCAAGAGATCTGCTGTCATCCCAATGACATTTACATACCAACTGCCACCCCCAGCATAAGCCACCTCAGTTTAGTTCTGAATACTGTTTCCTGAGCCTGCTGGTGATTCTTGTAGTTTAGGCAGAGTGTTTTCTTTCTTTGCTTCAAAATTAGTCAGGACTCTTTCCACTGCAAGTGATAGGAACAAAGTCAACCTAACTAAAGCAGAAAAGGGAATGCACTGATTCCCATATTTGCAAAGCCCAGGGGTGGCTCTTGCTTCAGGCATAAATGGGTCTAGTGACTCAAATGGGGTCATTCCATCTCTCTCTCTCTCTCTGTCCCCCGTTCCCTCCTTCGCTCTATCTTTTTGTCCCTCGCTTCTACCTTCTCTGTCTTGCTCCTTCCATCCTCAATCTCTTGGCTGTGTTTTGCCCTCATTTTTTCTTACTACAGATAAACTTTCTCCAAATGACAGGGAGGATAGCTGCCAGCAACCTTCAGTGAAAATCCTCTTAGCTCATCCTGTGACTAAAAGAAAAGCCCCTTTCCTTCTAACTACAAACTGAAACATCCCAGGGAAGATTGTGATTAGTCCAGTATGGGTCACATGGCCAGGGCAATGGCATGGAGATAGACTGGATCTGGATCACAGTCACTTTTGTGACTTGATATTTGAGGAAGGAGGATGAACTGTGATTGGAAGCCCCAGTGACCACAGGGTCAGAGTAGGGGCAGCAGTGGGGGTCCCCCAGAGCTTCCTGCCCTCATCCACATTCCCAGCTACGTTCTCTTGGCTGACACATCTCTACCTCCCCAGAGGCATCCTTCCCATTATTCCTCCTGCTATCCACGTGTTGTTCAGCTCAGGACCCATTCATCTGGCTCTGAGCTGTTCCACGACGAGGTCACACAATGGGGAAAGGATTAACTTTTATTGAGCTGCTGCAATGTGCTTCATTGCATTATCTCCTTGAATCCTCATGACAAATCCACGAGATGATAATTATGATCCTTATTTCACAGAGGAGACTGATTTATTTTTAATATATTTTATTGATTTAGCAAATGTTTTTATATACTTCCTATTACCAATTCATTAATTGTCATGATGACAACAGGAGGTAAATACTATTAAATATTACTGCTGTTTTACAGGTAAGGACATGTAGACAAGGAGAGCTTGAGTAACTTGCCCAAAATTACACATAATAAACAGGGAAATTTGAACCAAGTCTGTTAACTACGTCTGTTATAGAAAAATGACCCTTACAAATTTAAGTATGCATGATCTTCAGTTTGAGTGGGAGAAACTTCATCTCTGCCTGGGGATGCTGAGAGCACTGGCTGAAGAAGGCCATCCAGGGGAACAGCATAATCCAACCCCACCATCCTCACCTGCTCACTTTTGGATTCTCAGTCTTGCCTTCCAGTCTTCCAGGCCATCACCAGCAAATCTTTTCTTGCCTGACCTGGCTAGGTGGCCTGAATTACTGTGCCAAATTTTTAAATAGAAATATATGAGTTGCAGCTCCTCAGAGCTCTGGAAGTTGTGCAGAATAGAAAGGGGAGCACTGTGACTAACTTAATGTCCCAACAGTCTTTATAACTCCATGTTATAAGTTAAAGCAGAAGCTGACGCGCATTGTGGTTGAGGTGTGTAGCAAGACTGGGGCATTTCAGTAACACATAGCAGGTGGATGGCAGGGGCTGGCCATAGGATGGAGCTGGGACTCAGGGTCTTCTCATTGAGGTTGGAGTTCTATTAATAATTCTGAAACCCAAGAGACAGAGTGCGGAGGAAGATGGAACTGGACAAGATCCAGTGAGGGTAATAGGCATAGAAGATGAATTTGGGTAATAGTTTATTAGAGTTTTTGTTAGAAGGTTGACACACCAACATTTGAAAGACCCAGAAAGCTATTTGGTAATTAGGTAGGGTAAGTGTACCCAAGGATGGAAAGAACTCTGCCCTGGGTCGGGATTTGAGGCCAGGCTCTAGTGTGAAATATCAGTCTTCATATAAATAAGGCAGGCCTTTGTTACTGATGTGGCTTTTAGGGCAAAGCTGTAATTCAATAATTACACAACCTCCAGCCTGATCTTCCTAAACCATAAATCTGAATATGAAATGTCCTAGCGCAAGCCCTTCAGTACTGCCTCATCCCCCCTCCCCAGGGTGATATCCACACTTCTTATCAAGGCATTGAAGGCCTTTGATCATCTTCCCCCTGCTTATCTTCCTCACCAAGCCTTTTATCACACCCTTCCTCCCAGAATGCAACTTATGAAATACAGAATCAGTTCTGGTTTCCAGGGCCAAGACTGGCCCATCACACATTTCTGCTACATGGGATGCTGTTGATTCCCTTGTCCACTGGATAAACTCCTATTCTTCATTCAACTTACAACACAGATACTACCTCCTCCTTGAAGCCTCTTCGAATTCACCCAGATAGACGCAGATGTTCTCTCCTCTGCAACCCCAGAACACATTGTTCATACCTCCATAACACACTTTACATGTTATAAAAAATATCTGTTGCTATATTTTTTCCCCCAGGTACTAGACTGTGTGCTCCTAGAGAGCAGACGCCATGTCTTTTTTACTCTGTGTCTCCAGGGATGTAGCACTGAGCTAGTGTAGACCAAATGCTCAGTAAAGATAAAAGGATGAGGGAGGTTGATGTATTGCTCAAGGTAACCCATGGGAACTTTGGAAAAGGGACCAGAATAGGAATGAGAAAACTATGCATTTAAGACAAATAAAACCTTTTTTGTTCATTCATTCAACAAGTATATATTGAGCATTTACTATGTGTAAAGTGGTATGCTAGATGCTAAAGATGCAGTGGAGTTCAAGACAATTTGTTTCTGCACTCATGGAGAGTACAGGTTATTAGGGGAGACAAGCATTTAACAAATAGTTTCATAAACACGTATGGAACTGAAATTGGGTGAGAGGTATTCCAGAAAAGGGGTATTGTGTGGAGGTGAAAGGGGCAGGGAGGTCCTCACAGGGCACTCTGAGTGTCATGGGCTGTAGGAAGCCTTGCTTTATTATAAGGACTTACCCAAATCTCTCCATAACCTGAACTTGTAAGAATCGTCCCCAAAGCCAATTCTCTCCATTGCAATCCTTCCAGTGGTCCTTCATTGGCACCTACTAGAGTTTTTCTTTGGAGGTTCAATCATTGTTCCTGAGGACCAGCTCTTTGAAACACATTGTTGGGTAATCAGCCTGATGAGCATTATGATCTTTTATCATAATCACAAATTTCATCATAATCTTCATCCCCAATATCACCATCACCACTCACCACCATCACCATCACCATCATAAATACTACCACCATCATTATCATCATCATCCCTTAAAATTCTTGAACAGTTTACATGTTCCAGGCACTGGGATAAATATTTATTTAACTCTACGTTCCTATAAGAAAGGCGATATCATCAACCTCTTTTTAAAAATAAGGAAATAGATTAAGTAATTTACCAGAGATCACATAAGTGGTAGCTCTGGGATTCTAATCCTAAATGTTTGCTGTTAATCAGTTCCCCGGATGTACTCACAAGATGGCTCTGAATGGAATTCCTTTTTTTTAATCCTTCATAAGCATTTTTCTTTAATTTCTTGGATCTCTTAATAGCCTCTCAGGGGAGGCAATTGGGAGGAGTCATTAGAGAGAAGATTCTATTATTTACTGCCAAGCAGTCATTTTAGGTTATTACTGGGACTCAGAACACACTGCACATTTGTACCTTTCAGAAGGAAGTTGTATAATGAGGTTCTCTGGAAAGATAGAGTCTCCTCTATTCCTTCAAATTATACTGTGTAACAACATCATCACCAGTGATAATTATGGATTAAAACCCCACACTGAGTTCAGCTTCCAGAGCCTTCATCTCATGTGTTATATTTAATAGGGTTGTGTACAACCTTAGCTTTCTAGAACCTACAGGAATGCAGTATTATGGGAAGCTGAGTTTATGATTAGCCCTTTAAGCACACTGAGCAGATGTACAAAAGTTGGGATATTTATCATTCAGAAACATTGTTTAGGAATCTTTTAATCAAAATATAACTTACATAAGGAAAAGTTTACAAATGATAGAGTGTGGTGAATTATCACATGTTGAATATACTCATGTAACCAGCACCCAGATCAAGAAACAGATCATGACTAGCTCTTCAGCAGCATCCCTTGTTCTGCCTCCATGTTGCACTCCCTCCCTTTCCTGTACATGTTACTACTGTCCTGACCTCTAGCACCATGAATTACTTTGCCTGTTTTTGAGCTTTATGTAAATATATATAAATGTAATCATACCATTTGTATTCTCTTGTGCCTGTCTTCTGTCACTTGAGATTACGTTTGTGAGATTTATCCATGTTGCATGTGGCAGTATGTGTTCATTTTCCTGCCTGTGAGGCATTTGGTTATATGAATATGCCACAATTTATATACCTATTCTAGGGCTGAAGGGCATTTGAGTATTTCCACTTGGATGCTACTACAAATAATGTTACTACTAATATTCTTATAGGTATCTTTGGTGCACATATATATGCATTTCTGTTGATTTAAGATGGTATTGCTGGGTGATAGGGTAAGAGTATGTTCAGCTTCAGTAAACACTGCCAAAGAATTTAGCAGCAAAATTGCTAATTTTCACTTCTATCAACAGTGTGTGAAAGTTCTAGTTAACATCACTGGATATTGTTAATTCTTTTAAATTTAGCCAAACTGTTAGATACGCAGTACTATTTCATTGTAGATTTAATTTTTATTTCCCTATTGACTACTGAGGTTGAGAGCCTTTGCATATGTTTATTGGCCATTGGGCACCTTCTTTTGTGAAGTATTAGTTTGTGCATTTGTCTTTCTTATTTTTCTTCTGTTGAGTTGTCTGTCTTTTTCTTATTGATCTGAAATAGTTCTTTATGTATTTTAGATAAAAGTCAGTTTCTGGTTATATGGTTGCAAATATCTTCTTTGACACTGTGACTTGCTTCTTCACTCTTAATGGTATCTTTTGATGAGCAAAAGTTTGATATCACCCCATTTATATATCTTCTCCTTTATTGTTAGTGCTTTTTTATGCTCTATGTAAGAAATCTTTGTTACTCCAAGGTCATTCGCATTTTATTTCATGCTGCCTTCTTAAAATTTTGTTTTGCTTTTCACATTTAGCTGTACAATCTATGTGGAATTTACTCTGTGTATGATGTGAGTTAAGGGCCAAGATTTACCTTTTTCTGCATGGTCATTCAGTTGTCCTAGCACCACTTACTGAAAAGATTATCTTTTCTCCATTGCTCTGATGTATTAGGTTGGTGTGAAAGTAATTGTGGTTTTTGCCATGGCAAAACCATTAATGGCCAAAACTGCAATTACTTTTGCACCAACCTAATACATCCTTTGTCATAAACCAAGCTTCTGTATATTTGTGGAACTTTCCTGGACCCTAAGCTGATCAACTGGCCCATTTTTCTTACCTTGCTATAGTCCACTGGCTTAGTTTCTGTAGCTGTGTAAGTCTTGATATCTGGGAGTATAAGCCCTTCAATTTTGCACTTCTTTCATTAAGATTGTCTTGGACAATCTTGGCCCTTTGCATTTCCATATAAATTTTAGAACCAGCTTGTCAATATCACAAAGAGCATACTGGGATTTTAATTTAGATTGATGAAACCTATAGATCAATTTGAGGATAATTGACATCTTTAGCAATACTGAGCCAACCAGTCTAGGAACACTCAAGTAAATTTAATAGCACGTCAACTCCGCACTGGTCACTGTGCTGAGCTTAGATGGGTTCTTACCCTTGAACGTCTTACAAATGTGTAAAGAAACACATAAACACAAAATATAATCTAATTCGATACTCTTATCACTGATAATAATGAGTTCATATTTACTAAGGACTTTACACATATTACTTCATTTATAGCTTGCACTGATACTTTGAGGTAAGTGCTGTTACTATGCCTATTATGTAGGTATTTTTAATTTCAGTAGGGTCCAAGAGAAAAGGCATGCAGGTCTTTATGGGGAAATCAGAGGAAACATCACACAAACGGTGGAGATTTGGCTGACTTTTGAAGTTTGCAGAATGGAGGAGCTTGACCATTCCAAGTTATATGAGTAGCTCATGAAAAAATACAACAGGGCGACATGACATGGATTTTCAGGAAACTTCTAGAGAGTGAATCCAAGGATTGAAATGTAGTATGGCAGGGGAATGGGAGCATGGTTAGTGAAGCTGGAGAGGCAGAGCCTGAGGGCTTCTTGGTCTGCGGAGTTTGAGCTTTGTCCTAAAGGCAGTGGCTGTGGAGCAGGGATTATCTGTCTTGGCTGGGGTTCCCCGGAGGCTGATTGTATTCATTTCCTAGGACTGCTGTACAAATTACTATAAATTGTTGGCTTGAAACAACATAAATTTATTCTCTCATATTTCTGGAGGCTAGACATCTGAAATCAAGGTATCCGACGGTGTTTTCTTCTGGAGGGCTCTGAGAGAAAGTTGGTTCCATGCCTCTCGCCTGGCTTCTGGTGGTTGTCAACAGGCCTTAGCTTTCTGCGGCTTGTAAATGCATGGCTCTAATATCTGCCTCTGTCATCTCGTGGCATTCTTCCCTGTGTGTCTCTGTGTCTTTTCTTATAGGGACATAAGTTGTATGGGATTTAGGGCCCACCTGAATCCAGCATTACCTCATCTTAACAAACTGCATCTGCAAAGACCCTATTTCCAAATGAGTTCACATTCCCAAGTATGGATTAGAACTTCAACATATCTTAAACCGTAACACAAGCCTCAGATGAGGATTCAGATGAAAGTGATTCTTTTAAGGAAATGCTCCCAGGGGAAACTAGTAAGAGAGTAGGGGAAGCAGGACAGCAACTGGGAAGGTGTCCTGCCAGCCTGTGATCCCAGGCATGGTCCCTTCAGGTAGTTTCAGTCAGATCCTGCGGGGCCATTTTGGAGTGTAAAGTGCCTCTAAGAATTGTCCTCACCTGATGCAAGGCAGCTGGACCTTTCATCTTAGGCAGAGTAGGCTCCAGTAACCTGAGGACCAGGGACACAAGAGCCACAGGGGCTGGCCACGGGAAGCAGAAATATATTAGTGCCAGGGTCACATTAAAATGTAAAAAGGTATTTGAAGAAATCTGGATGAAGTATCCTTAGTGTTTGTTACTTTGTCCTCTGTTCCCTTTCCTCCAGAATTGTGTATAATGGCCTTGAAGACCACCCACCCTCACCCTAGAGAGTCTAAGACTGCTTTTTGGCTGTCTGTCTGTCCTTCAGAGATTCCCAGCTCTGTCCCCTGACAGCATAACCACCATTTTTTTTGCTTGACACTGAACACTACACTTTTCTTACTCTTCTTTGCTTTATTGTGCTTTTTTTCCCCTCATTCCTTCTTTTTTTTTTTGACAGAGTCACGCTCTGTTGCCCAGGCTACAGTGCAGTGGTGCAATCTCGGCTCACTGCAACCTCTGCCTCCTGGGTTCCAGCAATTCTCCTGCCTCAGCCTCGTGAGTAGCTGGGATTACAGGCATGTGCCACCATGTCCGGCTAATTTTTTGTATTTTTAGTAGAGATGGGGTTTCACCATGTTGGCCAGGCTGGTCTTGAACCCTGGCCTCAAGTGATCCACCCACCTCGGCCTCCCAGAGTGCTGGGATTACAGGCATGAGCTGCCGCGCCTAGCCCCTTCTTTCTTTTTTTCTATCTGATCTTTTACAGACATCAGTAGCTCCTTTACTTTTGTGGGATAACCGGCCAATCACAGCATGTCATTTACCTTCTTTATGTCTTAGAGTTCTTTGCTGTGTCATTCTGTTGGTGGCTCAAGAGCAGCCACTACATTATCCAAGACAGTGGTTTTATTTGTTGGAGTTTTAGGGTACTTCTTTTTATTATTATTATTATATTTTAAGTTTTAGGGTACATGTGCACAACGTGCAGGTTTGTTACATGTGTATACATTAGGGCACTTCATTTTCAAGACTAAAACTAGTTTAAGGAATTTGGAAGACTAAATGCCCCTCTTTAACAGGAGGCTGCATATCATACTCACAAATATTATATGTCAAATGAATTGATTTTTTAAAGTTTAAAAACTTAATAATCAGTCAATATTTGTGGAAGATCTATAACATGATGAATATATTCGGTTTGTGAAGCCTTGGATATAGTGTTAAACTGGGGAGTGGGCCTTCAAATCTGACCCTAAGTTGCCCACTGGATGATTTTATGATCTTAGGTGTGTCTGTTGACCTTTCTATGTTTTACTTTCCTATCCGTGAAATTGGAGAGCTGAATTAGAAGATACTTGAGATCCCTTGAAGGTCTAATAGTCTGTAACTCCATATCTAATGTCCAGGATCTTAGCACTTTTATGCAGGCAGTAAAGTAATTTAAATCTCAATTTACATCAATTTAAAGAAACTTGAATTGAACATCTATTAGATGCCAGGCTCTGTGCTAGGTTCTGGGGATAAAAAGAGAATGAAAACCCAGCCCCTCTCCTGTATTAGCACAGCCCAGTGGAGAAGGCAAATCAACAAAGAATTGCAATTCAGTTCAAAAAAATACTGCAATAAAAGATTTCCATCTCAGGAGACTGGGGGTCCAATGGGATGGAGGACCATGATTGCCATGTTGAGAAGATCCTTGAGCTAGATTTTTTTTGTTGCTTTTGTTTTTGTTTTTTGAGATGGAGTCTCACTCTGTCACTCAGGCTGGAGTGCAATGGCACAATCGCGGCTTACTGCAAGCTCCACCTCCCGGGTTCACACCATTCTCCTGTCTCAGCCTCCCAAGTAGCTGGGACTACAGGTGCCTACCACCACGCCTGGCTAATTGTTTGTATTTTTAGTAGAGACGGGGTTTCACCGTGTTAGCCAGGATGGTCTCGAACTCTTGACCTTGTGATCCGCCCACCTCGGCCTCCTAAAGTGCTGGGATTACAGGCGTGAGCCACCGTGCCCGGCCGAGCTAGATTTTAACGGAAAAATCGTTTCCTGGGTAGATGTAGGAATGAAGAGTATAACAGACTTATAATTCCAGCTGCTGTAACAGGTGGCCCTCCACAACATAAGTTTATTTCCAGCTCATGCGAAGTACAGTATGGATGTTTCTGGTCAGTAGGTGATTTTCCGTGGGGTTGTTTAAAATCCCCAGTTTCCTTCCCTCTTGTGGTTCCACGGCCCTGCTCCTGGGACATCAGAGTCTTCTGCTGGACCCTGCATTAAGCAGGCAAAGGCAAGAGAGTGAGAGTGCAGGGTCATGTGGAAAGCTTGTACAGGTCAGGCTTGGAAGTAGAGTATAGCAGTACTCCCTTATCCGAGGTTTTGCTTTCTGTGGTTTCAGTTACCTGCAGTAAACTGTGGTCCAAAACTATCAATTGGAAAATTCCAAAAATAAACAATTCATAAGTTTTAAATTGCATGCTGTTTTGAGTATTGTTATGATTGTGTCTTATTAGTTATTGTTGATTTCCTACTGTGCCTAATTTATAAATTAAACTTTATCATATGTATGTATGTATGTATGTATGTATGTATGTAAAGGAAAACCATAGTAAGCATAGGGTTTGGTACTATCCATGATTTCAGGCATCCATTTGGGGTCTTGGCATGTGTCTTGGCCTTATCTGCAGGGGGCTACTGTATATCATGTCTGTCCATGACTTCCACTGGCAGAACTTGGTTATAAAGCTGACTTAACTGCAAAGGAGGCTGGGAAATGCAGTGTAGCTGTTTCCACAAGAAAAATGAAATATGTTTTGAAGAACACACAGCAGCCTCTGCCACAAAGGTCATCCTACAGGATTTTGTGCTGTGAAGGACTAGTTTTCTCTTGGGCCAGTCTAATGGAAGTGTAATGTTAGACAATTGTGAAGATTGAGTTTCTGACCAGGGACTATCTTTATCAAATTGTGGTTATTGGGAGAGAGCTCACCACACCCCTGGTTGGGTCAAGAATCCCCAAGTAAGATAGCAGCTCAGATATTTAACAGGTTCTGAAATGTAAGAGGGAGCTGGGTGAAGAGGGTAAGAGTTCTCACCTCAATGGATGAAGGCCTCAACACTGTCCACGGCCTCTGTAACTCACAGGTCTGGGATATCGATGGAGAACTCAGGTCTATCCCATTTGACAAATGGACAATAATTGATTCTTATACTTAAAACCTGCTTTTTTCTCTCTCTGCAGTAACACTTTCAGCTGCTCCTCCCTCCTACTTCAGAGGATTCACATTAATTGCCCTCAGAGAGAACAGAGAGGGTGATAAGGAAGAAGACCATGCTGGGACCTTCCAGGTAAGACCCTGCCTGGGCTTATTCAGTGGCCCTCCCTGCCCTAGGAGGTAGAGGCTGGAGAGGTACAAGTGTCTCAGGTGGCTTCCCATGCAGTCCCTTGACCGTTGGCCAACGGGGGCAGGTCCATTTGAAAGGGTCATCATGGAGCAAGCAGCAAATGCCGCACACCTATCTGAGCAAGGTTGGCCATGGGGCAGGCCTTGTTTTGTCTCAGCAGATCACGGGGCTCTTCTCTGGGCCCACAGTGTCCTTCAGCAGCCAAGCGTGGGGAGAGCACTTGGAGCCCTGGCTAGGCCTGGCTGTTTTGCCTGCACAGGCATTTCGTGATTGACTGGTTAATTCTCAAATGTAAACGGAACAAGAGCTCGGGACCGCCAGGCTGGAGGGAGTTCAAAGCACAGGAGAAGGACTATTAAGGGAATGTAGAGATTGATTTATGAGGGAAGATTAAAAGAATTAAACATGCTTTTCTTGGCCAAATGAACAGGGCCGAGTTTAAGAGGTGGTAATGGTCTTTAAATGTCAGTCCTCACAGAACAACCTCCTCAAGGGGAAGCTTCATTTGACTTTGCATGAAAGGGCACACTAAGACAAAAGTGGGTCAAGAAAAGAAAGGGAATCGCACAGACAAGGACCCCGACAGTGAGTCATATTTCACTGTGGAATATTCTTCCAAGGGAAGTGGTAGGAACGTCATCCCCTTTCAGAGGTTTAGAAAAGAGCCGGCAAGTTGTCAGAACACATCCCAGAAGGACTGGAGTGATCCTAGGAGGAGGCCTGGCCAAATTTGCTGTAATTACTTCTCATCTCAGATTTCCATTGTTCTGGAATTCATTTTTATCTGGCATTTGCAAATTAAGAAGAAAAAAACTCAGAGAATACTTATACCCATAGCTGGCTGCTGGAGACTCTGGTGCAATCTGTGGGCTCCGTGGAGGACCCTGACCCAAATACCTCCCTTATCCAAAGGCATCTTTTAATCCTTGTGGCCAGGTTGTAATTTTTAATCCTGTGATTTAAATTATTTTTCTGCTCTCTGGGATTCTAGGTTTTGGGCCTGGTGAGACTTAATTCCACGCTCACCGTAATGTCCTTCTATGGCAAAGAACCTCTTGGCATGTATCTGAAAGGGTGACCCAATAATAATACTAGCAACAGCCAATATTTGTTGGGTACATACCATATGCCAGACACTATGCTAAGTGCTTTACTTTATCTTAGTTTATCCTGTCTTTGTTTAGTTTATCTTTGTTTAATTCTCAAAACAACCCTAGTATGTAGGAACTATTATCCCCATTTTTGGACCAGGAAATTGAAACTAGAGAGATTAAATCACTTGCCTAAGCTTGCTTATTGCTTGTTTTAGTCCATTTTGTGTTTCTCTAACAAAACACCTGACACTAGATAATGTATAAACAATAGAAGTTTATTTCACTTACTTGACATGAGACTGGGAAGTCTCATATCAAGGTACCTGCATCTTATGAGGGCCTTCTTGCTGCATTATCCCATGGGGAAAGGCAGAAGGGTAAGAGAAGGTGAGAGCAAGAGGGGTCCAAACTCACCTTTATAACAAATCCACTCTCAAGATAACTAATCCACTCCCACGACAACCACAATCCATTCACAAAGGTAGAGCCATCACGACTTCATCACCTCTTATTAGGCCCTACCTCTCAACACTGTTGCATTGGGGATTAAGTTTCCAACACATAAACTTTGGGGGACACATTCAAACCATAGCAGCACTGTTCTGGCTAAATTCAGTAAGTTGATAGTCTTCTCTGACTCACAGTTGTTTCTGCTTAGCTTAATCCTTGTTCTTGCAACTGATTGGTGAATACAGGGCCCTGCTCATAGTGGGCAGCGCATAAATATTTGCTGAATGAGTGGATAAACATTTGACTCTTTCTGCTAGTGTCCAGACCTCAGTCCTATTTGGAACTGTTGTTGAACTCCTATCTCTGTATGCATCCTCCCTTCTTCCTCCTCTTAGAGCTTCAGACATCCTCTCTTGTTACACAGCAGTGGTTCTCAGAATGCAGTCTCAGGACCAGCAGCATCAGCAACACCTGGGAACTTGTTAGAAATGCAAAATCTCAAGCCCATCCAGACTTACTGAATCAGAAACTCTGAGGGCAGGGCCCTCACAACCTGTGTTTTAACAAGCCTTCAGGGTGAATCTGATGCATGCTCAGATTTGGGACCCATTATTCTAATGAGACATAGACCAGCCCTCTAACAGGATGTCGTCCATCATCACGTCAACACATCTGTCTGTTCCTATCTATTCTCTCATTGTTTCCACCAGCCCTAGAGGGATCAAAGTGGGATAAGAATATGAAAATGCCTAGCATATGATAACGACAATAGCTAACACTTAAACAGTGCTTGTGTGCCAGATACTGTTCTGAGTGGTTTATATTTGTTAACTGAGTTTATCTTCAGAGTGACATGATGAGGTAAGCATTATTATCCTATTTTCCACAGAAGAGAAACTTGTGGCAAAGAACAACTAAGTAACTTTCCTAAGATGCCCAGCTCTAAGTGATAAAGCTGGGGTTCAAACCCGGGCAGTCTGTCTCTGGGTACCTGCCTGTGACCACTGTGTATGCCATCTCTCAGTGTATACCTGTTAAATGAAAAAATAAGGGCCCACTATGACTTTTATGACAGTCTCTGTGCCAGGTGCTTTATATGCATTAGCCTTTTCTTTTTTCCCCTTAATTCTTGTAGCAACCTTGTGTGGTCAGTATTGTTATCTTCATTTTTCAGATGATGAAACTGAGTCCCCAAGGAGTTCACTAAGTTGACTAAGACAGTCCAGCATCTCAAGGGTCCAAACACTGTGCCAGTTTCTTATTTCTCAAAAGTTATCTCCTCACCCCTGCCCTGCCCTACCCTTGTGCCATCAAAATGCACACTCCGCTTGGGTTCCAATTGTCTCAGAGATTTGGGGGAAGGAATCATAGCCCATGCCCCTCATCTTACTTCACCTGCTCCTGTGATATGTGGCCCCCATGCTGTCCCTTCCAAATCTATCATGAAAGTATTTTTTCTCTGTACCAAAGCTGTTATCTTTGGAGTCCTTGATTTATTCAGCAGCATTTGTTGAGTGCCTGCTGGGTGCTAGGCACTGAGTTAGGCATTGGGGATAGGGTGGTGAGAAAAACAGAGATAGTCCTCATGAAGCCTAAGGAGTCCTCCTTGTCATCATCCCATAAACTGACCTCTGTTGCTGAAAGTCAACAAGTCACCCATTGAAACATAAGCCAACAATCAGAAAGAACAAATGCCATTGTAATTAAATATATATATATAGTGATTTAACAAATAGATAAAGACTTCTGTTTAACACCTTCACTTCAAATATGATGACTTTGAGGGCTTAACAACAACCACAAAATTCTAATACTCATTCATTGATACATAATATTTAACATATTTGTTGGATACGTATGATATTGTTATATATATAGAATGTGTAATGATCAAGTCAAATATTTCAGGTATCCCGTCACTTTGAATATTTATCATTTCTATGTGTTAGGAACAATTCAAATACTCTCTTCTTGCTACTTTGAAATACACAATACATTGTTGTTAACTATAGTCACTCTGAATATTCTTTTTTTTTTTTTTAAGTTCTGGGGTACGTGTGCAGTTTTGCTACATAGGTATACATGTGCCATGGTGGTTTGCTGCACTCATAAACCCGTCACCTACATTAGATATTTCTCCTAATGTTATCTCTCCCCTAGCCCCCGACCCCCCGACAGACCCTGGTATGTGATGTTCCCCTCCCTATGTCCACGTGTTCTCATTGTTCAACTCCCACTTATGAGTGTGAACATGCGGTGTTTGGTTTTCTGTTCTTGTGATAGTTTGCTGAGAATGATGGTTTCCAGCTTCATCCATGTCCCTGCAAAGGACATGAACTCATCCTTTTTTATGGCTGCATAGTATTCCATGGTGTATATGTGCCACATTTTCTTTATCCAGTCTATTATTGATGGACATTTGGGTTGGTTC
Source organism: Homo sapiens (assembly GCF_000001405.40). Taxonomy (NCBI): domain Eukaryota; kingdom Metazoa; phylum Chordata; class Mammalia; order Primates; family Hominidae; genus Homo; species Homo sapiens. The sequence continues at coordinate 13,986,986 of NC_000011.10, forward strand.
CAACTTTTTGCTATTGTGAATAGTGCCACAGTAAATATATGTGTGTATGTGTCCTTATAGTATAATGATTTATAATCCTTTGGATGTATACCCAGTAATGGGATCGCTGGGTCAAATGGTATTTCTAGATCTAGATCTTTGAGGAATCACTACACTGTCTTCCACAATGGTTGAACTAATTTACACTCCCACCAACAGTGTAAAAGCGTTCCTATTTCTCTACATCCTCTCCAGCATCTGTTGTTTCCTGACTTTTTAATGATCACCATTCTAACTGGCGTGAGATGGTATCTCATTGTGGTTTTGATTTGCCTTTCTCTAATGACCAGTGATGATAAGCATTTTTTTCATATGTCTGTTGGCTGCATAAATGTCTTCTTTTGAGAAGTGTCTGTTAATATCCTTTGCCCACTTTTTGTTTGTTTTTTTCCTGTAAACTTAAGTTCTTTGTAGATTCTGGATATAAGCCCTTTGTCAGATGGATAGAGTGCAAAAATTTTCTCCCATTCTGTAGGTTGCCTGTTCACTCTGATGGTAGTTTCTTTTGCTGTGCAGAAGCTCTTTAGTTTAATTAGATCCCATTTGTCAATTTTGGCTTTTGTTACCTTTGCTTTGGTGTTTTAGACATGAAGTCTTTGCCCATGCTTATGTCCTGAATGGTATTGCTCAGGTTTTCTTCTAGGATTTTCATGGTCCTAGGTCTTACATTTAAGTTTCTGATCCACCTTGAGCTGATTTTTGTATAAGGTGTAAGGAAGAGGTCCAGTTTCAGTTTTCTGCATATGGCTAGCCATTTTTCCCAACAACATTTATTAAATAAGCAATGGGGAAAAGATTCCCTATTTGTGTCAGGTTTGTCAAAGATCAGATGGTTGTAGTTGTGTGGTATTATTTCTGAAGGCTCTGTTCTGTTCCATTGGTCTATATATCTGTTTTGGTACCAGTATCATGCTGTTTTGGTTACTGTAGCCTTGTAGTATAGTTTGAAGTCAGGTAGCATGATGCCTCCAGCTTTGTTTTTCTTGCCTAGGATTGTCTTGGCTATTGCGGGCTCTTTTTTGGCTCCATATGAAGTTTAAAGTAGTTTTTTCCAATTCTGTGAGCAAAGTCAGTGGTAGCTTGATGGGGATAGCATTGAATCTATAAATTACTTTGGGCAGTATGGCCATTTTCATGATATTGATTCTTCCTATCCATGAGCATGGAATGTTTTTCCATTTGTTTGTGTCCTCTCTTTTGTCCTTGAGCAGTGGTTTGTAGTTCTCCTTGAAGAGGTCCTTCACATCCCTTTTAAGTTGTATTCCTAGGTATTTTATTCTCTTACTAGTAATTGTGAATGGGAGTTCACTCATGATTTGGCTCTCTGTTTGTCTGTTATTGGCGTATAGGAATGCTTGTGATTTTTGCACATTGATTTTGTATCCTGAGACTTTGCTGAAGTTGCTTATCAGCTTAAGGAGATTTTGGGCTGAGTGGTTTTCTAAGTATACAATCATGTCATCTACAAATAGAGACAATTTGACTTCCTCTCTTCCTATTTGAATACCCTTTATTTCTTTCTCTTGTCTGATTGCCCTGGCTAGAACTTCCAACACTATGTTGAATAGGAGTGGAGAGAGAAAGCATCCTTGTCCTGTGCCGGTTTTCAAAGGGAATGCTTCCAGTTTTTGCCCATTCAGTATGATATTGGCTGTGGGTTTGTCATAAATAGCTCTTATTATTTTGAGATATGTTCCATTAATACCTAGTTTATTGAGAGTTTTTAGCATGAAGGGGTGTTGAATTTTATTGAAGGCCTTTTCTGTATCTATTGAGATAATCTTGTGTTTTTTGTCATTGGTTCTGTTTATGTGATGGATTACGTTTATTGATTTGCATATGTTGAACCAGCCTTGCATCCCAGGGATGAAGCTGACTTGATCGTGGTGGATAAGCTTTTTGATGTGCTGCTGGATTTGGTTTACCAGTATTTTATTGAGGATTTTCATATCGATGTTCATCAGAGATATTGGCCTGAAATTTTCTTTTTTTGTTCTGTCTCTGTGAGGTTTTGGTATCAGGATGATGCTGGCCTCATAAAATGAATTAGGGAGGATTCCTTCTTTTTCTATTGTTGGGAATAATTTCAGAAGGAATGGTACCAGCTCCTCTTTGTACCTCTGGTAGAATTCAGCTGTGAATCCGTCTGGTCCTGAACATTTTTTGGTTGATAGGCTATTAATTACTGCTTCAACTTCAGAACTTGTTATTGGTTTATTCAGGGATTCAGCTTCTTCATGGTTTCGACTTGGGAGGGTTTATGTGTCCAGGAATTTATCCATTTCTTCTAGATTTTCTAGCTTATTTGCATAGAGGTGTTTATAGTGTTCTCTGATGGTAGTTTGTATTTCTGTGGGATCAGTAGTGATATCCCCTATATCATTTTTTATTGCATCTATTGATTCTACTCTCTTTTCTTTATTAGTCTGGCTAGCAGTCTATCTATTTTGTTGATCTTTTCAAAAAAACAGCTCCTGGATTCATTGATTTTTTTGAAGGGTTTTTCATGTCTCTATCTCCTTCAGTTCTGCTTTGATCTTAGTTATTTCTTGTCTTCTGCTAGCTTTTGAATTTGTTTGCTGTTGCTTCTCTAGTTCTTTTCATTTTGATGTTAGGGTGTCAATTTTAGATCTTTCCTGCTTTCTCTTGTGGGCATTTAGTGCTATAAATTTCCCTCTATACACTGCTTTAAATGTGTCCCAGTGATTCTGGTATGTTGTGTCTTCGTTCTCATTGGTTTCAAAGAACATCTTTATTTCTGCCTTCATTTCGTTATTTACCCAGTAGTCATTCAGGAGCACGTTGTTCAGTTTCCATGTAGTTGTGCAGTTTTGAGTGAGTTTCCTAATTGTGAGTTCTAGTTTGATTGCACTGTGGTCTGAGAGACAGTTTGCTATGATTTCTATTATTTTGCATTTGCTGAGGAGTGTTTTACTTCCAATTATATGGTCAATTTTAGAGTAAGTGTGATGAGGTGCTGAGAAGAATGTATATTCTGTTGATTTGGGGTGGAGACTTCTGTAGATGTCTGTTAGGTCTGCTTGGTTCAGAGCTGAGTTCAAGTCCTGAATATCCTTGTTAATTTTCTATCTCATTGATCTGTCTAATATTGGCAGTGGGGTGTTAAAGTCTCCCGCTATTACTGTGTGGGAGTCTAAGTCTCTTTGTGGTCTCTAAGAACTTGCTTTATGAATCTGAGTGCTCCTGTATTGGGTGCACATATATTTAGGATAGTTAGCTCTTCTTGCTGCATTGATCCCTTTACCATTCTGTAATGCCCTTCTTTGTCTCTTTTGATCTTTGTTGGTTTAAAGTCTGTTTTATCAGAGATTAGGATTGCAACTCCTGCTTTTTTTTTTTTTTTTTTTTTTTTTTTTTTTTTTGCTTTCCATTTGTTTGGTAAATATTCCTCCATCCCTTTATTTTGAGCCTATGTGTGTCTTTGCATGTTAGATGGGTCTCCTGAATACAGCACACTGATGGGTCTTGACCATTTATCCAATTTGTCAGTCTGTGTCTTTTAATTGGGGCATTTAGCCCATTTACATTTAAGTTTAATATTATTATGTGTCAATTTGATCCTGTCATTATGATGCTAGCTGGTTGTTTTTCCCGTTAGTTGATGCAGTTTCTTCATAGTGTCGATATTCTTTACCATTTGGCATATTTTTGCGGTGGCTGATACCAGTTGTTCCTTTCCATGTTTAGTGCTTCTTTCAGGAGCTCTTGTAAGGCATGCCTGTTGGTGACAAAATCTCTCAGCATTTGCTTGTCTGTAAAGGATTTTATTTCTCCTTCACTTATGAAGCTTAGTTTGGCTGGATATGAAATTCTGGGTTGAAAATTCTTTTCTTTAAGAATGTTAAATATTGGCCCCCACTCTCTTCTGGCTTATAGGGTTTCTGCAGAGAGATCTGCTATTAGTCTGATGGGCTTCCCTTTGTGGGTAACATGACCTTTCTCTCTGGCTGCCCTTAACATTTTTTCCTTCATTTTAACCTTGGTGAATCTGACAATTAATGTGTCTTGGGGTTGCTCTTCTCGAGGAGTATCTTTGTGGTGTTCTCTGTATTTCCTGAATTTGAATGTTGGCCTGTCTTGCTAGGTTGGAGAAGTTCTCCTGGATAATATCCTGAAAAGTGTTTTCCAACTTGGTTCCATTCTCCCCGTCACTTTCAGGTACACCCATCAAACATAGATTTGGTCTTTTCACATAGTCCCATATTTCTTGGAGGCTTTGTTTGTTCCTTTTTATTCTTTTTTTCTCTAATCTTGCCTGCTCTCTTTATTTCATTAAGTTGATCTTTAATCACGGATATCCTTTCTTCCACTTGATCAATTTGGCTATTGAAACTTGTGAATGCTTCAGGAAGTTCTCGTACTGTATTTTTCAGCTCCATCAGGTCATTTATGTTCTTCTCTACACTGGTTATTCTAGTCAGCAATTCATCTAACCTTTTTTCAAGGTTCTTAGCTTCCTTGCATTGGGTTAGAACATGCTCCTTTAGCTCAGAGGAGTTTGTTATTACCCGCCTTCTGAAGCCTACTTCTGTCAATTCATCAAACTTATTCTCTGTCCAGTTTTGTTCCCTTGCTGGTGAGGAGTTGCGATCCTTTGTAGGATAAGCGGCATTCTGATTTTTGGAATTTTCAAACTTTTTTTGCTGGCTTATCCACATCTTTATGGATTTATCTACCTTTGGTCTTTGATGTTGGTGACCTTCTGATGGGGTCTTTGAGTGGACGTGCTATTCCTTTCTGTTTGTTAGTTTTCCTTCTGACAGCCAGGCCCCTGTGCTGCCAGTCTGCTGGAGTTTGCTGGAGGTCCACTCCTGACCCTGTTTGCCTGGGTATCACCAGTGGAGACTGCAGAACACAAAGATTGTTGCCTGATCTTTCCTCTGGAAGCTTCATCCTAGAGGGGCACCTGCCAGATGCCAGCCAGAGCTCTCCTGTATGAGATGTCTGTTGGTTCCTACTGGGAGGTGTCTCCCAGTCAGAATACACGGGGGTCAGGGACCCACTTGAGGAGGCAGTCTGACCCTTAGCAGAACTTGAATGCTGTGCTGGGAGGTCCACTGCTCTCTTCAGAGCCATCAGGCAGGGCCTTTTAAGTCTGCTGAAGCTGCAACCATAGCTACCCCTTTCCCCAGGTGCTCTGTCCCAGGAAGATGGGGTTTTTATCTATAAGTCCCTGACTGGGGCTGCTGCCTTTTTTTCAGAGATGTCCTGCCCAGAGAAGAGAAATCTGGCAGTCTGGCCACAGCAGCCTTGCTCAGCTGCAGTGGGCCCCACCCAGTTTGAACTTCCCAGTGGCTTTGTTTACACTGTGACCATAAAACTGTCTACTCAAGCCTCAGGAATGGCGGACGCCCCTTCCTCCACCAAGCTCGAGCGTCCCAGGTCCATCTCAGACTGCTGCTGTGCTGGCAGCGAGAATTTCAAGCCAGTGGATCTTAGTTTGCTGGGCTCCGTGGGGGTGGGACCTGCCGAGCCAGACCACTTGGCTCCCTGGCTTCAGCACCCCTTTCCGGGGGGTGAACGGTTCTGTCTCGCTGCTGTTCCAGGCACCACCGGGGTATGGAAGAAAAGAACTCCTGCAGCTAGTTCAGTATCTGCCCAAATGGCCACCCGGTTTTGTGCTTGAAACCCAGGGCCCTGGTTGGGTAGGCACCAGAGGAAGTCTCCTGGTTTGTGGGTTGTGAAAACCGTGGGACAAGTGCAGTATCTGTGCCGGAGTTCCTCAGGCTCAGTCCCTCATGGCTCCCCTTGTGTAGGGGAGAAAATTCCCTGACCCCTTGCTCTTCCTGGGTGAGGTGACGCTCCATCCTGCTTTGGCTTGCTCTCTGTGGGCTGCACCCACTGTCCAACCAGTCCCAATGAGATGAACCAGGTACCTCAGTTGGAAATGCAGAAATCACCTGCTTTCTGTATCAATCTCACTGGGAGCTGTAGACCAGAGCTGTTCCTATTCAGCCATCTTGCCAGCCTCCCCTAAATATTCTTTAAATTTGGTTAAAGATTGCATTTGTGGCTCTAAAAGTGACTTTGAGAGAGGGTTACTTTGCTTCTTTATGAGTGAATCCTTATACAGAGAACACAGACTCACAAAATACAAACACAACAAAAGCAAATTTTAATGCTGTCTTTGCACCTCCCTAGACTTAGTGGCGAGGGAATGGGCTTCCTAGTACCAGGGAAAGTAAGAATTACAGCTCTCACCTCTCCAAAGAAGGCCGAGGAGAAGGGGGTGGGGCTACCTGCTCTGGCCCCAACAGCGGGTTCCAGCACAACAGCATTGGCACACACTAGATGTCAGAAAACACAGAGCCTCTCTTTGATGAGATAGCTGATTCGGTGAAAGTGGCAAGGAACTCAGGGACTCAATTGCCTGTACAAAAGTAACCCACCAATCCTTAAAAATTATATTACCAAAAACTGCTCCCTGGAATGCTGTGGCCCAGCCAGCTGCCCAGCTCACTCTCTTGTCTCCTTCAGGTCTCTGATCAGCGGTCCCTTTCCAGGGAGCCCTGCCCTGATCGTCTTATCAGGCACTTCATTCCTCCTCCCACCCTGAGCGAGGCTCTTTCTCTCTCTCCCCAACTTAGTGTTTTTCCATTGCAGTTATTGCCACCTGCCATGCTATTTTACTTATTAACTTGTGTGCTATCTGTCACCTTCCACTGAACTATAAGATCTACAGGGCAGGATTTTAATCTATCTCCCTTCAGAGTATCCCTGGCAGCAACTATGAACAGGACAGAGCAGGCACATGAATATTTAGGGACAGAATTTTAAGCACAGCATTTGCACTAAAATTTAAGCTGCTAATTTATAATACTATTCATTGCCTTGTTTTATTTTTAATTTAAGTCCTTCAGGCATCAACTAGTTTAGGTAACACTCTGCCAATCAAAGGAAAAAAGTCTCAAAACAAAAGGATATTTGTCTGAGAAGAGCAGATCAATACCATGCAAGCAAGTATCTTTTAATAGTCTTTTATATTCATAATCACCTGTTTTTAAACTATTTTTGTGATCTCTACATTAACAATAAATATTTAGTGGCATTTAATGGGTTCTGAGCCACGTTAGAACCTAAAAGGGCTTTTGACACACTTTTCTAAAAATAAAATGCTATTGCAAGCTTGTTCTCAGGAATTCTCTTTGAGTTCATAGGAAAACCTGCTCTCATTACACTAACCTAAGCTTAATCAGTCCCCTTATAAGATGTTAGGATTTTTAAAACTGCCATTCACTATTATAAATAATGGAGTAGAAACAGTTTCTTGCATAAAACTTTTTCTCATTTGGTATTGTTCACTAGGACAGGTTCCTAGAAGTATAATCACAAATGCAAAGGATATGGACATTTTTTATGGTTCTAATATGTATTGCCAAGATGATCCCCCATCCCCACACACACACACACAAAACCTGCACTCAACAAAATGGAATATGGGCATTCCATCATGGAAGTCATGGCCACTGATGTGAAGGGAAACAGACATATGAGATCAGGACTGGGAATCACAAGATTTGAGCAGGTTAAATCGATAGATCAAATTTAGCAAGATGAAAGCTAATGGAGGAAGAGAGAAACACAGAAAACCACCTACTTGGATCCAAATAACCAATTGCACGAGTACAAGATGAGAGATTTGGATTTATGGCAGCACATGAAACAAACAACAATAACAAGAAAAATACTCTAGAACTTTCAGTTGCCATTAAGTAAGTTAAGAATGAATCATCCATGAGATAGGACCACAGAAAACTCATGAGGTCTTAGGATGTATCATAGGAGCATAGTGGCCAGAACACAGGATTTTGATTTTCTTATGAGATTCTTATGCCATTCTGAGAGAGCCCACAATATTCCCTTTCTTTCTCTATATAGTATAACTTTCAGTGAATGAATATTGAAATATAAAATATACAGTGTTTTCTTTCTTTCATTCATTTGTTCATTCAAGTATTTCCATATCATTCATAGTACCCAGTTCTTTTTCTTCAGAGTAGTTATTGAAATTTATAATTATTTGTAGGATTATTTGTTTAATATTACTCTGTTCTACCAAACTGTAGGGCAAAATCATGTCTATTTAATTCACTGTTGTATTTCTAACCACTAGCACTGTGAGTGTTACATAGTGGACACTCAGTAAATATAGTAAGTATTTGCTGACATGAATTAATGAATGCACTAATGACCAGCTATGCAAAATGCAACATACTAGGCTCTGTGATATGGAGATGAATAAATAAGACATGGTATGTTAGTCTGTTTTCACACTGCTATAAAGATACTACCTGAGACTGGGTAGTTTATAAACAAAGAGGTTTAATTGACTCACAGTTCTGCATAGCTGGGGAGGCCTCAGGAAACTTACAATCATGGTAGAAGGCAAAGGGGGAGCAGTCACCTTCTTCATAAGGTGGCTGGAGAGAGAGAGCAAGACAACAAAGTGCCACACTTTAAAACCATCAGCTCTCGTGAGACCTGACTCACTTATCACGAGAACAGCATGGAGAAAACCGCCCCCATGATCCAATCACCTCCCACCAGGTCCCTCCCCTACACATGGGGATTAAAATTTGAGATGAGATTTGGGTAGGGACACAGAGCCAAACCATATCATGGCCCCTGGTATTAGGAGGTCAAAGTCTACAGAAGAACTTCCCAGTTCAGTATTTTATGTACACTGGTGGATCACAGATAGGTTGAAGGAGAACCCAGATGTGTATTTCCCTAGATATTAGGGTGGCCTCCTCTGTTTACCCTAGGGAAATATTACCATTTTCTATATGTGACATGGAGTCAAGAGACCTGTTAGAAAGAACCATATTGCAGCCTGCTAGATGCTAAAATTGCTGCATCTGTGCAAATAAGAAAACAATCATTTGCAGAAAGTGGGTAGTGAGTGCTGATTTGGGAGCACAGAAAGGACATTTACAGAGACAATAACCTTTGAGCTATCTCTTAGAGTCGTTGAAATTTCAACTGGACAAGGAGTGAAGAGTGTGTGTGAAGACCACTCTATTTTTGCCTCACACCTCTATTTTAAAATTTGCCATATTTTAATGTTTTACTATATCTTCTTTAACAAGCACCTAGAGCCTCACAAGGGCCTAGTAAAAGTTTTTTTTTTTTAATAAGAAATGAACCAGGGGATAAATGACATTCTGTCCCTTCCCCTTCCCTTGAGGAGCTCACTTGGTGTAAAATGCCTCTGCAGAGCTATAATGCACAAACAACACATTTTAAAAGCGATGTCAACACCTCTTGCTTAACACTTAGTTTTCTTGCTTAAAATTGCCGTGTGAAAAGTCATTTGTAAGAAGCACAAGAAGCAATGTGCACTGTGAGTGCCTGGAATGGACATTGGGTCCTCACACTTCTGCAGCCCTGGTCTCTAGTGCCTGCTGCCAGAAAAGATGAAAAATCATTTTCCTTCCCAGCAAGAAAGCCTGAGTCTGGGAACCAGAGGTATTATTAAGACTTAAGCATCACTCCTCTCAACAGAGCACACTTGTGTTTTGTGTTATAAAATACAGAAAAGGATAAATACAGAGAAAGATAAAAAAGAAATAAAAATATGTCATTTTATAATCTAGAGATAATCATTAACATTTGGGTATATTTCCTTCCAGGTTATATATTATATAGAAAACACACCTATGTGTGTATATATATATATACACACACACCTATATATATAATTTTTGAACAGAATATTGGAACCATTCTCTATATAGGGTTTTATATCCTGTTTTATTTTTATGGGAACATTATATTGTGAACATATTTCAATGAAATTAAATGTTCCACATGATTTTTAATGGCTTTGTAATACTCCATCATACTGTTGAATTATAATTTATTCGAAGATTCCTCTATTATTGGCAAGATAGGTGGTTCTAATTTTCTTTTCTTTACTTTTATATAAAACACTGCAGTGAACACCGTAACACATAAATCTTTGCACCTGTATTTGCTTATGATAAAAGCAAAGTTTTATGCATCTGTATTTGCTTATGATAAATGAAATTATAGGGTCAAAGTAAAGTTTCTCTCTCTGTACATACTCACATGTATGTATGCACACATGTATATGTATATATGAGCTCTATTTCTGGAGGCAGCCGTTTGGGTTTTGACAGTGTCAGTGGTGGGCACACAGGTTAGCATCACAGTAGAAAGTATTCCTATTTTCAGGCTGCTCTAACTACTCAGAAAGGACCATGCATCTAGCTTAGCTTTGCTATTTAAAATATACAGCGAGTATGTGGAAAGACTTTGGGTTTTGGAATCATTAGATCATTGGACTAGGAGTCAAATTCTGCCCTACTAGCTAAGTCAAGAAGTCTCTGAATTTATCTGAAACTTACTTAGTCCCTTCATCTACAAAATAAAAATGATCAAAATAAAATAATGTATGTAAAATGCCCAACACAGTGCCTGGACATAAGGGACCCTCAATCAATGCCTCCTACTTCTGAGCCAGCAGCCTAGGGTGCATTTTCCACATTTCTGTTTACAGTGAATCATAAACTCCATTCCTCTGTAGATTTGGGCATTTGTGGACCACTAAGGAGCACATCTGAATCTTGTCAAAGGTGTAACTACTAGCTATCTTTCCAACTCCACAGGTGAGGAGAGAGACAGTCTTCTCTAGTTCATTCTATCTTTATTGTAATAGGATTGGGATCGCTGTAAAATAAAATGAAAAATTTATGCTATGGATACATGATGCGCAAACAAAATCTGTTCAATGTGGGTGGTTGGCTGGGCTCTCAATTGCTGGTTTTATGAACTACTTCCATATAGCAGCTTCACCAAAAATGGAATTTAAATTATACCTTGGCAAAAGGCTCCGCACCAGAGGTATGAATGGATAGCGGAAACCACACTAGATACTATTCTAGTTGCTTCGTATACTTTAACTTTCTTCCTCTTGGCTGGAAGTTCCATGAGAGCAGAGACATCTTTCTTTCACAACAACACACACAGTGCTGGGTGCCATGCTGAACACATAATCAAAGCTGAGTAAATATTAGTCACATAAATAAATGTATTAACCCCTCTTCAACTCAGATTCCACTGCCTGCCCACATACACACCCATGAAGTAGGCACTCTTATTATTATTCCCATTCACAGGAAAGTTAACACTGAGGGAATCAGAGCATTGATCGATGGCACAGAGCCAGTAAGTGGCAGTGAACAAAGACTAAGCCACCAAAGGCCTGTGTCATTTTCTCTATTCTGCATCTCTTACAGCTCTGGGGAGAGATGTATGGGAGAGACAAGACAGAAATTTACTGCTAAACCCCTAAAATCCTTTCTGGGTTATTCCAGGGGTCATACCAGGTTTACAGCTTCACAGATCCACCAGGTCTCTTCCAGGCCTTTGAAATGCCATCTCTTCTGTCTTTCCTGACATTCACATTTTCCTTTCATCCCATTTGGAATCTGTGCACCCTGCCTCCTCTCTGAGATCTCAAACACTTGGCACATCCCTTTGTTCTAGTTCTTCGCTCACTGTGTTACCCTGATGAGTTAAATTCCCATTCCCCTACAAGATTCTGCAAAGAGGCAGACAACTGGGCCATGTCTGTCTCTGTATTCCTGTGGCCACCCCTGTACTCCCCTGGCCTCACCAAGGCCTGGCACACTGGCCAGGTGATAAGTGCTTTCCAAATTGATGGATATCTGCTGCTGGAATTGCTGGCCTTACCCACTTGTTTGCAAACGTTAATTGGTCTCCTACTTTCTTGCATGGAACTAGCATTGTTTCCACATCTATTTTCTAAAGGTCTAGAAATCATTTTCAAATACATGATAGACTTCTTTAATAGACAATACATAACTTTTATGCAAAAAAGAACTTTTTCATGTATCTATTAAGTAGTTTTTTAAAAAGCCAATAAGTTCCTGTGGCCTTGCAATCCTCTCATCTTTAAAATGAGAGTGATGAGCCTCCATTCCAGATCTAACTACTTTATGGGATAGCTCTTAATTCTGGTTTTGCAAACACTTAAAGCCGTTGTGTTTGTTTTTTAAAACAGGTAAAATCTAAAGAGTAAATGGGTCATAGTTTACTGAAACAGTATCCTATTGTAGGATATTTAGAGAATTTTTAATACTATAAATAATTTAGCAGTATACATTCGTATAAAGAAAACCCTCTTATTTCATTTATGAGTATATAAATGACACTGTCGTGTGTAAGGCATGTTCTAGGCTCTGAGGATATAGCTGACATAACAGACAAAAATCCCTACCCCTTTGGACATTATACTTCTATATTTTAGATCATTTCCATGAGATACAGTCCCATGTTTCTGGATCAAAGAGTTTTTAGGCTCTTGATACACATTGCTGTATCATTTTCTTTCTTTTTTTTTTTTTTGAGATGGCATCTTGCTGGATGCAGTGGCATGATCTCAGCTCACTGCAACTTCCACCTCCCGTGTTCAAGCAATTCTCCTGCCTCAGCCTCCTGAGTAGCTGGGACTACAGGCACCCGCCATCACACCTGGCTAACTTTTGTATATTTAGTAGAGATGGGGGTTTCGCCATGTTGGCCAAGCTGGTTTTGAACTCCTGACCTCAGGTGATCTGCCCACCTCAGCCTCCCAAAGTGCTGGGATTACAGGTGTGAGCCACCGCGCCTGGCCTGCTATATCACTTTCTATCACACCTGACCAAGTAGGAGTTTGAGTAGGAATCTGACTCAGAGCTTGCTTTTAGAGAGTATATAACCTTTGCCAAGTTACTTTGTCTTGGTTTTTCCCTTGGACACAAACTTTCTCTCCAGTTGGCCCCCAGCTGGTACCTTATGTCCTATAGTCCTTTGTGTTCAGGAGGACTGGGTGTTGGCTGGAGGAAGTAAGTTTGGCTGGAGGAAGTAAGTTCCCATCCTTCTACCAGGTGGTTACTAAACAGATCTTGCAAATCCTGTTCTCATAAAATTACCTCTTTGGAATAAAGTTCAATACCTTAGATTTTTGCCCTGACAAATTAATTATTCAACATGGTTCATCTCTCTAGCATTCCAAGGTTTTTCTATGTTAGACATCTTTTATCCGCCATGGTTGATCACTGTCTTCACAGCATTATGTCATCTGCAGAGTGAACAGGTCTGTCTCCCTAGGCATGGATATATGCCTCAAAAACTCTATTTCCTCATCCCTCTACCTGGGATGCTCTCAGGTAGCCACAAAACTCCCTCCCTCACTTCTTTCCGGTTTCTGCTCAAATGTCACTTTTATCAGAGTCCATTTCTGACCATATTTTATAAAGCAATACCCTCATCATTCTAAACCCCATTTGCCTTCCTTTATTTTATTCATCTGACTTATCAGCCCCAGACATGTTATATGCTTGATTGCTTATTAGCTATTACCCCTACTGCAATGTGAACTCCACAAGGGTATTGCTTTGTTCAGCACTGCATCTGTTCAGCACTATAATAGGGCCTGGCACATAATAGGTGTTTAATATATAGCTGCCAATTTATTGGGTGTGCTTTTTTGAAATCAGCCTAAGAAACAAGTTGTTTTTTCATCATGAAATGACACTGACTTATGGTATTGATAAGGATTCTGGCCCCCACCCTCAGCCCATTTTCCCCCCAAAGTCAGCTGACACCCTCAGGACTTCTTCACATGGACCAATATGAAGATACATGTGCATCACATGCACAGCCACACACCCCCTGGCCCCTCCAAAACAGCTTGTACTTATGTGGCTGCCTTTCTGGGCCCTAGCATTGGGTTTTACCTGAATCCCAATTTTACCATTTTAGTGACAACATAGCCACTCCACCCCTCATTAACTATATAAGCTTGGCCACTTAATTTAAACTTGCTGAGTTTGTTTCCTTGCCTGTCAAAATTGGAGTAATACTAAGTCGAAGAGTTGTATAAGAACTTCTAATGTCTACTGTGACATGTGAAGAGCTTAGAAATCATCACTCCTGTCCTCATATGAAAAAAAGCTGAAAAACTGAAAATCAACAACTCTAATTACTTCCATCAGAGAACTGAGGTCATGAGGCAAACCTTCGCCACCTCCTTCCTCCTCCACCCCCCAAGAAATGGAGAGACAAGTGAATACTGAAAATCACAGATTCTCAGGAGCTGCTGGAAACAGTAAATGGTAGGAGGACTTAAAGGCTAACTGATGACTAGCTACAGGCTGAGTGTAGACTGCTTGGAGAGTTAAACTCCTGGGAGCCCAATCCTGAAGGGACTCCCACACTTTTGTGAATTTTAACCCCAGGAGCCCTCATCAGGTTCTCACGGTGAAAATCAGAGAAATCTCCTCCAGCTTGAGGCATGGGAAGGGAAAAAGAACCTTTTTGAAATCTGGCCAGATGCTTCTCCCTAACAAGGTCTGCCCTCAAGGAAACTACTTTACCAGAGTCTTATCTGATCCGAAGAAAGAACAATTAGCCAGGTCCAGCCCTGTCTAGCCTTCCTGTCTCATATAAAGGAAGTAAAAAAAGGCTAAGAAACTTTTCTGAAGACCACACACAAAGATTCTGCCCCAATAAAATATTGAGATTTAATCAAAAGATAGACCGTTACCCTTTCCCAATATGTTACCATTACATCAACAAGGCTCAGTATAACAACAGTGGATTACAACAGAGAGGGCTGCAAGGCATAACCTCTACTTAAGAAGGAGTTTCTAGGGAAAACCAAAGACAAAAATGAGAAGAAAGAATGACAAACAAACATAATAACCAAGAACTGCAGGAAAATTACAAAAGATGTAACATACGTATAATGGGAATATCAGACAAATAGAGAAAAGAATAGAAGAAATATTTGAAGATTAGATGAAATAATAAAAGGGCTATTATGGTAAGTAGTTGGTTCATACTAAGTGATCAATAAATGGTAGTCATAATTACTATTATTAATTGATCAACATATCAGAGGAGGGAAGAAGAGTTGAATCAAAGGCAACTGTTTAAACAGGACTTAGTCATGATCAGGCACAGGAGGGAGGACATCTTTCTTGACATGGGGAAAACAAGCAAAACTGGTAAAAATATACAACAATTTGATGAACAAGAAGGAAAGTGAGAGTAGATAGGATTACACAGGATGCCCTCCATATAATTCTGACTTTAATAGTAATATCTTCCTTATAGAATTACTGAGAAAATTAAATAATTTATAACAATGGTTTTCAACTGGTAATGAACATCAGAATCTCCTGGATACTTGTTTGTAATTCATCTCTCTGGGCCCCAAGTCAGAGAATCTGATTCTGTGCACCTAAGGGGGTGAGGAACTGGGGCTGCGGACCCTGCATCTTTTATAAGCATCTTATGTGAATCTGACACAAGTGCCCCAAAGAGCACCTTAAGAAACACATAAGCATGTTGATTAGTGACTGACCTGAAACACAGTCAACAAATGTTTTTCAAGTAGACAGAGGCAAGCTGATCTGCAGAGGGAAAGGACAGGGCTGAAGACTGGGGAGATGGAGCAAGTGCAGGAGGAATGTGGTAGGGAGTCCATGAGAGATGGATGGAAGGATCGTGTAGCAGCAGAGACCCAGTTTAGAAAACACATATTCCTAGAGGAGACTTTGAGATTGGATTTGTAACTTTCTTCATCAACTCCCAAGAGCCTGGTGGCAGGAGCCAAGCAGACAGATGGTACAGTTTTCCCAGAACTGGAAAACCCCAAACACAGTAGAAGATAGGGGGCACAGGCATCCACCAAGGGGAGAGAGAATCAGGGAACCAGGGCACTGTTGAGAAAGCTGGTCAGGGGTTCAAGTTGGCCAGGAAGATAGTACCTCTACTATCTACCTATAATTTTTTTAAAAAACCCCAAAGTCCTAGGACCCCACATCTCCTCCAACCACTACCTCATTTCTCTGCCCCACCTCGACAGCCAAGCACTTCAAGAGAGTTGTGCCTACACATGTTTTACCCACTTCTCTGCTGTTGTTCACTTCTCGACCCCCACCAAAATGGCTCTTGAGTCTTGACAGTTTCTGCAATGGCCTCCGCGTTGTCCGTGCACACTCCATCATCTTGCACACATTCCTCAGTATCGCAGAGGGAGCTGACCACTCCCTGATTCCTAGAATATTCTCTTCTCATGTCTTTCTGGTTTTATGTATTTTGCCCCAAAAAGTGGCAGCAGGGGAGTTCCCACACAAGAAAGTGCAACACACTATCCTGAAGTGGGGCTGGTTGGGATTCCAAAGAAAGGAGCACTAAGCACCAGTGAGATCAGTCCAAAACATTTATTAGGGGAACTTACTTACAGAAGTGCTGCAGTGATCCCTGCACCGAACAGCGAGAGAAAAGGGATGTTCTGCCCAGGCACAAATGCAGTGAGGGGTCCAGGGTATGGAGTTTTTATGAGGGTTTAAGGAGTTTGGCTCAGGGATGGGGCCAGTTTCTTTCAGTGTTTTAGGCAACAATCTAGATACCTTTGTCAGTGTCTGGGAATGTTCAAGGCCCCAGTTTGGGATTAAGCCTGCTGGGAATAACCCACATTTGGCTGGGTCACAGAGTGGTCAAGGCACTCTGTGATTTTCTATCAAGACACAGAAAGAAAGCGGGAGAGCTGAAGGGACCTACATAAGCACTATTGGCATTTGGGCCATATTTGAGGTTTACAACATAATGTTATGTATAGATAGTATACATAATGATATATATATAGATAGTAAAATGGTTACTGCAGTGAAGTAGGTTAACATCCATCATTGCACATAGTTACTTTTTTTGTGACAAGGGCAACTAAAATCTACTTAACCAAAATCCGTAATACAATTTTTCATCCTCATGCTATACATTAGATCTCTAGACTTGTTCATCCTATATAACTGTTATTTTGTATCCTTTGACTTACATCTTCCTATTTTTTCCTTCTCTACCCCCTTTGATAATCACTCCCTTATCTATCTCTGCATATTTGAGCTCTTTTTTTAAAAAAATGTTTCACATATAAGAGAGATCATGCAATATTTTTCTTTCTCTTTCTGGCTTACTTCACTTAGCATAATGTCTTCCAGGTCCATCTTTGTTGTGGAGAATGGCAAGATCTCTTTCTGTTCTAGGCTGAATAATATTCCATTACACACACAGACACACACACACACATACACACACACACACGTGTACATGTTCTTTCCCCATTTGTACATTTCCTACATTTTCTTTTCCCAAATGAACATGGACATTTAGGTCGTTTCCATATCCTGGCTATTGTTAATAATGTTGCAATGAACATGGGTCCACAGGTGTCTTTATGAGGTAGTGAGTTTATCTCCTCTAGGTAAATACCCAGAAGTCGGATTGCTGTATCATATGATAGTTTATTTTTAGTTGAGGAACCTCCATACCATTTTCCACCATGGCTATACCAATCTACGTTTCCATCAACAGCATACAGGGTTACCTTTTCTCCAGACCCTTACCAACATTTGCTATCTCTTGTCTTTTTGATAATAGCTATCCTTATGGATGTGAGATAATATCTTATAGTGGTTTTAATTTGCATTTCCCTGATGATTAATGATGTTGAACACCTTTTCATATACCTGTTGGCCATTTTTATATTGTCTTTGGAAAAAATGTCTGTTCAGGTTATTTGCCCATTTTTTAGTTGGGTTTTTTTGTTTTTCTGCTATTGAGTTTTAACAGTTATTTACAAATTTTAGATATTAACTCCTTATCAGATATGTGAAATGCAGTTTTTTGTTTGTTTGTTTTTTCAGTTCGTAGTTTTCCTTTTCTTTCTTTCTTTTTTCTGTGTGAGACAGGGTCTCACTCTGTCACCCAGGCTGGAGTGCAGTGGCATAATAATAGCTCACTGCAGCCCCAAACTCCTGGGCTCAAGTGATCCTCCTGCCTGGGTCTCCTGAGTAGTTGGGACTACAGGTGCATGCCACTATGTCTGGATGATTTAAAAAAAATTTTTTTAGAGATGGAGTCTCACTGTGTTGCCCAGGCTATGCCTTTTCATTTTGTTGTTTGTTTCCTTTGCTGTGAAGAAGGTTTTTAGTTTCATGTAGTTCCATTTATTTATTTTATTTTTGTAGCATGAACTGTTGGTGTGATATCCAAAAAAATTATTACAAAGGCCAATGTTGAGGAGGTTTTCTGCTATTTTCTCTTCTAGGAGATTTATGATTTCTGAGCCAGATAATTCTTTGTTGTTGGCAGCTGCCCTGTGTCCTCTGGGATGGTTGGCAGCACCCCTGGCCCCTGGCCCCACCAGTTGTGATAACCAAAAATGTTTCCAGATATTGTCTGATTCTGATGTCCCCTAGAGAACAAGATCATCCCCATTGAGATCTGCTTCTCTAAATGATGCACTCTCCAAACTCTGTCCTGTAACCTTTTCTGTCCTTTCTCTGCACAATTAGACTCATCCGTTCCATGGCTTTGAGTACCATCTGCGTGATAATGACTCCCATTCATGCTCCACGTTGAGATTTGTGGCCCACTTTGATGTTCTAGACCCTGGGCTAAATTAAGGTAAATTAAGCCTGGGGCTTTTCAAATTAGACAGAGGGAATGTAAGCCCCTGTTCTACTCTTGCTGTGTAACTTTAACTCTTTTAACCTTTGTTTCTCTGTCTGAAAAACAAATAATAAAGATGTCAAAGCTGTAAAGATGATCATTAGAGTCCTTGGCACATAGTAAGTTGCTAAGTATTATTATAACATTCATAATTCTGATCTCAATGCCTTCAGGCTATGCACAAAGGGCTTCTGGACTTAGGGTCATTCAATAGAATGTTATAGACTGTTGAAAGTTCAACTCTAGAGCCTGAGAGACCTGGGTTCAAATCCTGAATCTACAATTCTGCTCTATGACCTCTCTAAGGCTCGGTTTCTTCCTGCTTGGAAAAGGGGAATAATAATATTACCCACTTTGGAGGGTGAATCAAATGAGATCATCCTAGGAAAATCAATTAACATGATGTCTAACATACCAGTACTTAATAAACATTAGTAATTATTATTAGGGTAACATTAGAGAAGCTGATCTTTAACTGAATCTCAAGGGCTATAGAAAGAGCAGTCTCGGCAGAGCATGAATAATGGGACAGGGTAAGGAAAAGTGAGCTATAATCTGGGAATGACAAGGAGTTCTGGATTGCTAGTGCAAGGTTAGGGCTTGAGATGAAACTAATGAATTGTCATCTAAATGCCCTTCCACGCCAGTTTGGGACTATGGGCTTTATCCTTTTAGTACCTGCTAGCAGAAATTGTTTTTTGGTTTTTTTTGGCAAGGGGAGAGGGACACCAAAGAGTTTTAGATTAGGCAACAACATGATGATTAAATTTTCAACTTAGGAAGAGAGCTCTCATCAATATGGAAGAGCTTGGAGAAGATAAGAACAGAGGCAGGAAGGCTGGGTAGGAGATTGTGGCATGAACTCCAGTGAGAGATCAGGAAGGCTGCTCATCAGGAGATGAATGCCACAGACATCAAAGAGCTAACAACTGATGAGTTGAATGCAGGGGGCTGAGTAGGACTCTGAGGCTTTTTGCTTGGTCGCACGTGGTGGACCGGTGGTCCATTGAACCCTCTGCTGTCTCCTCATCCCACCACTGCCCTCTCCTCTCTCCTCTTCCCTCCTTAGCTAAGCTCATCATCTCAGTAACACTTCTGCCATAGCCCATAACTTCTTTGCCTCTTGTCCTCACACCAATCTAGCAAAACTCCAGCCCTGAATGAACACATCTTTTCTCTTCTTTGTGCTTACACCTGAGCCCTGCACCTGGAAAAAGTCACATTTCAGTGCAGATTGGCCAGTTCACATCATGCTAATTTCCTAGAGCTGCTGTAACAAATTGCCACACATTTGGTGGCTTAAAACAACAGAAATTTAATTATCTTACAATTCTGGGGTCCAGAAATTCAAAATTCATCTCACTGGGCCAAAATTAAGGTGTCAACAGGACCACACTCCCTCTGGGGGCTCTAGGGCAGTGGTCCCAAACCTTTTTGGCACCAGGGACTAGTTTCCTGGAGAACAGTTTTTCCATGGGCTGCAGTAGGGGGAATGGTTTCAGGATAAAACTGTTCTACCTCAGATCATCAGGCATTAGATTCTCATAAGGAGTACACAACCTAGATCCCTTGCATGTGCAGTTCACCATAGGGTTTGCACTTTTATGAGAATTGAATGCCGCCACTTACTTGACAGGAGGTGTATTAGGGTTTTCTAGAGGGACAGAACTGATAGGAGATATATATGTGAATTTATTAAGAATTAACTCACACAATCACAGGGTCCCACAATCAGCTGTCTGCAAGCTGAGGAGCAAGGAGAGCCAGTCCAAGTCCCAAAACTGAAGAACTTGGAGTCTGATGTTCAAGGATAGGAAGAATCCAGCATGGGAGAAAGATGTAGTCTGGGAGGCTAGGCCAGTCTCTCCTTTTCACATTTTCTGCCTGCTTTATATTCATTGACAGCTAATTAGATGGTGCCCACACAGCTGATTAGATGGTGCCCACCCAGATTAAGGGTGGGTCTGCCTTCCCCAGTCCACTGACTCAAATGTTAATCTCCTTTCGCAACACCCTCACAGACACACCCAGGGTCAATACTTTGCATCCTTCAATCCAATCAAGTTGACACTCAGTATTAACCATCACAGGAGGTGAAGCTCAGGCGGTAATGCTGGCTCACCCCGATCTCCTGCTGTGTGGCCCAGCTCCTAACAGGCCACAGACTGGGGGCTGGGGACTCCTGCTCTAGGGACGATTTGTTCCTTGCCTCTTGCGGCTTCTGGTGACTGTCAGCAGGCTTGTGTGTGGCTGCATCACTCTACTCTCTGCCTCCATCCTCACGTGGCCTTCTCCTTGTCTCTGTCTCAAAGCTCCCTCTGCCACTCTCTTTTAAGGATACATATGATTGCATTTAAGGCTTCCAGATAGTCTAGAATAAACATCTCCTCTCAAGATCCTTAAATAAATCATATCTTTTGCCATATAAGGTACTATTCACACTTTCTGGGGATTAGAAGTGAACATGCAGTAGTCCCTTTGTATCTGCAGGTTCTGCATCCACTGATTCAGCCAAAAATATTGGAAAAATAAAAATTAAAAATTAATACAGATTTTAAAAATACAGTATAACAACTATTTACAAAGTATTACATCACATTAGATATTATAAGTAATCTGGAGATGCTTTAAAGTATACAGAAGGAGTATATGGGAGGAGTAGCTGTGGATTTTGATATTCACAGGATGATGCTGGAACCAACCCCCGACAAATACCAAGGAATGATTGTATTTCGCGGGGACATTTTTCTTCCTACCATTTACACTTATGCAGGACCACTGACCTTGGAGGGCCCTTGACCTGCCTGGCAATCTGACCAAATTACTCTGGAAGGCTTGTCCTCCCACTTTCCCTAATGCTGATTCCTTTCATTCCTGACCCACCTATGGGTCACATCACTTTTCCCACATCATTCTCAACAAGTGACCTTGTTGTGTTCTCTATGGGGGGAAAAGAAAAGAAAGAAAAAGAAATCCCTGGACCTGGACCAGAATTTCTTAACTTGTTGCTAAAGTTAATAAACCTACCTGCATCTTTCCTCACTTCTTCTCCTACTAAAATAATGGATCTCTCCATCCCTGTCCTGAGACCATCTCTACTCAGGCTCTGGATACCACTCTCTCCTGCTTCCTCAGGAACCTTAAATGGCCAATCACCCCACCTTTGTTTTGTAGAGTCAGCCTTTTCTTCTTGATAAGGTCCTTCCCTTCAGCTCAAGTTTTAAAACTCTTCCTTCAGGAATTTTCCTTCTTAAAAGAACAATTTAAAAACCTTACAACAAACAAAATTCCACCCCCTGGCCAATCCATCACTAAGTCCTGCTGATGGTACCTTGTAAGTCTTTCTAATTCACCAACTTCTCCCCTTCTCAGCCTGCTATGAGTCCAGTCTGTCATCACATACTCCTGGACGACCATAGTAACCTTTCTGCATCCATTTTTGGCACCTCACAATTGCTCTGTTAAGCTGCCTTCAGTTGTGTGTGATTGGTATGTGAGCTCCATGAGGTCAGGGACTTAGTTCCATTCATGTGTTCCCTGTGTCCTCATCATCTTGAAAAGGGCCAGAAACACAGTAGCTGTTCAATAAATGTTTGTTGAAGGTATTCACATAATTTATCACTAATTTCAGGAGGAAGACAAAGTTCCTTAACAGCCCAAAAGGCCCAGAAAGGCCTGACCCCTACTCATCTCTCCACCTCATCTTGTGTCATCTTCCCTTGTTCCCTGAGCTCTAGACACATTGGTCTTCTATGAACGCTCCCAGTTTTCTCCTGCCCCAGGGTATGTGTAGAGAAATGTTTCCTCATTGTTTAGAACATTCCCCTCTGCCCCAACCCAACTTTTCCTAATAAATACCACTCAGCCTTCAGATCTCAGCTCATATATAGCAAGTTGCTTCCTTGGAAAATCTTTCCTTAGCACCATTATATGCTCTGTTATGTTCTCGTTGCACATATATCTGTCATAGAAATTTCCCAGTAAGAACTGTGTTCATATTTGGTGACTATTTGATTCATGTCTGTCTTAGTCCATTCAGACTGCTATAACAAAATATCTTAGACTCAGTGATTTACAAACAACAGAATTTATTGCTTACAATTCTGGAGGCTGAGCAGTCCAAGATCAAGGCACCAGCAGATTTGTTGTCTGGTAAGGGCCTGTTCCCCATACATGGCACCTTCTTGCTGCATCTTCATGTGGAGGAAGGGTAAGAGAGCTCACTCAGGTCTCTTTTATAAGGACACTAATTCCATTTATGAGGGTGGAGCCCTCATCACTTAATCACTTCCCAAAGGTTCCACCACTTAATACTATCACATTGGCTATTAGATTCAACATAAGAACTTGATGGAGGGGGCTGTCAACATTCAGACTGTATCAATGTCTGTCTTTCCCATCAAATGAGGACAGGGGCCACTATATTCCCAGTGCTTAGCATACTGTCTGACACACAGAGATGCTCAATAGGTATGCACTGCAGGAACAAATGAAGGGATAATGGAATAATGGCAAGGCTGAGATCAGTTGCAGGAGGAGAAGGTTTAGTGGAAGGGTCACAACTCAGTTTTGCCCATGTTGGAGGGCCCCACAGCTAATTCAGCTGGAGAGGTACACTCTTGTTTGGGAATCTGGGCTGGGAGCTAAGGACAGAGGGCAGGCTGGATATCTAGACTTAGGTGGTTGGCAACCCTGTAGTAGATGCAAAAGATGGGCCATATAAGAGGATTCATGTCTAGAGATGAGAGGGGGATGGGATTAAGGGCAGACTGGGAGCTCAGAAAGGAAGACCCACAGATTAAAAAAAGATGAGCTAAGTGTAGAGATGTAAAGGAGGGACGAGGTTGAGGGGCACGTGAAGCAGCAGGTGAGGCCAAGTGAAGGTGAAGGACAGACTGGGGGTAAAATGAGGGATTGGGGAGAATCAGGAAGGTTTAGATTTTCTGAGAGGAAAAAAATCTCCTGCTGGCCTAGGCCAAGCAGGTGACCTGCATGAGTGGAGTGTGTTTACCTGTGTGCATGCTTATACGTGTGTCATAGGGAACACCACACCACTCTCAATGTGACTTCACTTCTCAATAGATTGCCTGGCATCTTTTTACAGCAACCCAAACTCTCTGAGGCAAGTAAGGCAGGTGTAATGATCTTTCTTTTCTAGGTGCAATATTAAGTTGGACTCATATCCTAGGCCAATGCTCTTTCCACCAAACCACACTATTTCACTGGGCTCTAGCCAGCTTGTCCGGAGCTTGAAGACATATTACTGTCTTATTTCAGCATTTCTGTCTACTGCAGATGAAATTGGCCTCCAGCCAGAGAAAAATAAAATGCCCTTGATAAACGGCAATATAGTAGGATCATAGCTTTAGGAAATTGTGATGCTCCTTGTAACATTCCCCGCTTTTTTTCTTTAATGGGGAGTCCTTAAGAATCAATTACATTTTCCTAATTAGTGTGGGTAGTCAGGACAGACCAGAACCAAAATATTATTAATGGAATGTGCCTCCTATCCTCGGCAGCTGAGTTTGGGTAGCACATGCAACCCCAAGGAAGAGCTCAGCCCTCTCCACTCTGTGGGTTTGAATTCAGCTACAGAAGCTCAGAAGAAAGAGCACTGGACTCTACTGAAAACCATGTTTCTACATGAGTTTTCATTCTTCATTCAAATTTTAGCAAATTTTAGGCTTTGTGACTTCTAGGCATGGCCCACTATTGTGTTGGACAATTTTTCAGGTAACCATATAACAAGGTACTGCGGTTCTTATTCTTAGAATCTAAGGAAAGCTATGTACTGTGTCATCAGAAAAATGCACTCACACACACAATTTTGCTTGTATTTCAGGGATTTCTCCAACCTTCTGAGGCCTGTCCATGGCTGACTCCCCCTATAGTTTAGGGGGCCTTCAGTCCACTCATGAGTGGATTCCTACTGCAGCCTCCCAATAGGTCTCTCCTCTTTGCTCTCTGACTTTCCATTCCTCTGCTAAATTAAGAATTTCCTATTGTTCTCAAGTCAGCCCAAATTCTTCTACATGGCTTATGAGGCCCTTCATGATCTGGCAACTAGCTCACATTTCCCCACTGTAGGCACGTAGAGGGAGGGGAGTGAGGGAGGTTTGAGGAGAATGTAACTCAGTGAGGATCTGATGGACAAATAAAAGTTAGAGAGTGGATGAGGATGGAAGAGGAGGAGTGTTGCTTGGAGAGGCCTGGAGGTGAGAGGGAACCCTAAAGAACAAGAAAGGAATATGACATGGGCTTTGGAATACAACATCTCAGATTTGATTCCTGGCTCTCCTGCTTATTAACCAGGTGACCTTGCACAATTCTTCAAACCTCAGTTTCCCTGTGTGTAAAATGGCAGTAATAGTAGCCTCCTCAAAGGAAGGGTGTGAGGGCTGCAATGCATAATGTGTGGAAAGTGCTTAGCAGAGTCCTGGCAGGTAAACAGTGGATGGGTGGGCTGCAGTGAGATACCAACTCTTGGGATGGGATGCCTAGCCATGAAGGCCATGTAGGTCATAGGAGGGAGTTCGTTGACACTTTATCTCCTCTTTACCAGTTGGGACTTGCTGGCCAGCCTTCCAGAGGTCTAACACTGAATGCTGCCAGCCTCTCCTGCTGGCTTCAGGGCCTCCTTGTGTCAAAAGTGATTGCAGCTCCAGACAACTGAGCCCCACTGACAGACACCTCCCATCCTAACACCCACCCTAACCTTTCACCAAAGGCCACAGGACCAAGATGGGAAGGCTGAGACTGTGCCACAGCAGGGCTTCCTATGACCCCAAATGGGGGTCAGCTTTTGACTCTGGTGAGATACATTGGAGAACCAGATTAACACCAGATTCCTCATAGAGCAACTTAGTTATGCCAAGCATATTCTCAGTGGCGACGTGCAAACCGCATTTATCCTATGTGGTAGGGAATGAGACTTTTCTCCATAAATGCATCATCACATACTGCAGCCTTCTAAGTGTTAACCATTTTGTCCACCGATTTGGCAAAAACAGACTCGTCTTTCAAGATTCAGCTCAAAGTCACTTCCTCTGTGAAGCCACTCCTGTTCCTCCTCCCCCATCCCAACACCTAGTAGAAGCCAAGCCCTTCTGAGGCTTCTGATGTCTGCCATTGGGGAGAATTTCCCTTTTATTTCTGCCTCTTTGTCTCCCTCTGCTAGAGTGCAAGTCCTTTGAGGACAAAGCATGTTTTAATCATCTTGGACTCCCCAGGGCCCAGGACAAAAATTGGCTCTCGGTAGTTAATAAGTGTTTGTTGAACAAAAGGATGGCTACATTTTTTGCCCTTTTCCTTCATTATTAAATATTAAATGTTCCTATTTACATATTCTGCCTTACTGAAGAGGTGTTGCTGGTCCCTACACAAAACGGTCCCTGATGACTGTACTCTGATATTTCTTACATTCTTTCCCTGTGAGTCTGTTTCTAACGGCAACCTCATCTTCTAAATGTAATTTCACACATGTTACTAAATCACTTTGCTTCAGCCTGAACCTAGGATGTTGCTTCTCCTTCAGAATAAGATGCCAGCTGGGAATAGAGATCCAGGCAGTCCCAGAAGCCCCATGCTAACAACTTCTGCTAATTCTTAGGCTGATTATGTGGATTATTGAATAGATCGTCTTTCTGCTTTTTATCCTTTAAACTCTCTCTGCTCGGCCTTGTCTGTTTCATCAGTAAAGGTGGGCATGGGGAACATAGAGACTGTGAAATCTAAACCTACTCTACTCCACTTCCATTTGGTCAGGTTTTGGAATAAAAAAATCTACTCTATTAGTAAAGAATTATAGTCATTTTAGAGCCATTCTCTGAGTAAAACTGTCAATTAATAAACTTGGCCATTCTGTTTGGGGAATAAAAGAAAGGAGGAGGGAGTTAAGGAGCTTATTTCCCCCAATTCTCTAACTCACCAATGGGTTTGTGGCTGCAATTGCCTGAAGTCCCATTGACTGTGTTGCCTGCCTATTGAGTAGGATCTTCTGGGGTACATACAACTTAAATGTAGTTTTGAAAGTTGCTTGTCTTTCTCTCAGGTCATATTGCTAATATTGTATACATTGCCAATTGAGCAATCAGTTTACCAACTAGAGGAAATCTGGCTCACTAGATTTACTGAGCACCTGCTGTATACCAGGCTCTAGACTGGGTGCCCTGTCTCCTTGACCTCTAATCTTCACAAGCAATCTAGGAAAAGTGTTATGAACATTTTAGAGATGAAGGAAGAGACTCAGAGAGGTTATTTACTTCTTGCTCAAGCCCATACAGCAATGATTTCCCAAACCTGTAGGGTGTTTCTTCCTTGGGTGTTTTGTAGCGGGGAAAAAGAAAGTCAAAGCCTGTTTCCATTATCGTGGATTTTAGGGAAAGGGGAGTATTAAACATAGTAATCAGAGAAGCCTGGTTCTTCTGAAGCTTCTGACTGTCATCAAATTGGAAGTTAATGCTGGGGGAGAAGCTCTGTGTGAAGGACCCACATACTCCCGTCTCTGGCCCAGCCCAAACTGCCTTGGCTTACCTGAGGCTGCCAGTGACTTCTGGCTCCTAGATCTTCATCTTGCAGCTACGTGGACAAGGTGGGTGCAGCCTGGTGCCTTATGTCTGTGCTGTAGCTTCTTAACAGCAAGTGAGATGGTAGCAGGCATGGAAGGCCATCGGTGGGAAGGGAAAGGAGGGGTTGTCATAGACCAAGGAGGGTGACCACAGCATTCCACAGATTCAAAAATGCCCATTTTTAACATTGTAGCATTTTACAAGTCAGAATGCATCTTACAATTGATATGTACATGAAATGTAGGATTCCTTTTCCAGATAAACTGTTAGTGCATCATTGATACCTCTTATACGCAATGGCATCCTGGATTCAAGGAACTATGGCAGGTTTCATCTTATGTGTCAATTCTGATCAAGTGGTGGAGACTATCTGGAGTTTGGGAGGAGAAAGGTCTGGTGCTATGTCCATGGCAGTGGTGAACAACAATAAACTGAGTGGGGCGTCACTGTGCATGAGAGATGGCATAGAATCCTACTGTCGGGCATTTGCGCCTTCATCCAATATCTTTGGTATTAAATGGAGGAGCACCTGCCATATCTTCAACTGTAAACTAAAGGACACAAAACACAGGAAGCATTTCCAAGGGACCAGGTCAGAGGCCTGCCTCTTCTCATGCAGATTTGTGACTGTGGCCTTTTTAAATACTTTTTTAAAGTATTAATTTAATTATAAAAATAGTACATGCATGCTATAATACAAAGATACAGAGGTACATGAAATTTTAAATGTCTCATTGTATAGATGTTACTATTACTGGCCTTATAGATTTTTACCCTTCTTCTATTGTAAACAAATGTGTCTTTGTGTATGTCTGTGCACGTACACACACACACTTGTCTGTCTATGGAGAAAATCTTAACAGAATTGTGGGCAGGCCTCATTTTTAATGGGCACAACATAGTCTACTTAACCTCTCCCCATTGAGGTTTGGCTCAAAGCTTATTTCTTGTTTCTTATGAGTGTAAATGCTCAGAATAACCTGTATGACCAGTGTCATAGTCCATTCATGCTGCTATAACAAAATACCACAGATTGGGTTATTTATAAAGAATAGAAATGTATTTCTCACAGTCTGGAAGCTGAGAAGTACAAGATCTAGGTGCCAGCAAGTTTAGTGTCTGGTGAGGACTGTTTTCTGCTTCCAAATGGTGCCTTGTTGCATGCTCTGGAGGGGACAAGCACTGTGTCCTCAGGTGGTAGAAGGGATAATATAAGCAGTTTCATCTCTTAAGACCTTTATAAGGTCACTAATCCCATTTATGAGGGCTCTGCCCTCATGACTTAATCACCTCCTAAAGCCTCCACCTCTTAATAGTATCACATTGATTATTACTTTTCAACATATGAATTTTAGGGGACATTCAGACCATAGCCACAAGGAATGCTTTACTTACATTTTAAATTAGTTTATTAAGATGGTTTCCCAGAAACATAAACATGCTTAAGGTTTCTGATAATTTCTGAATTGATATGTCAAAGATGTGGTTGATTGACACTTGTTAACTATGGGTAAATTTAAACTCAGTAACAAAGCTTTTGTGTTTCCATTACCAAAGAACAAGAAACTATTGGAGGTAAGTCATTGTATATTTATGTTGGCTGTTTGGCGATGTCCTTGTTAGGAATGGAGTGAGTCATGCTGCCTGAATGCAGTGTGTCAGAGGCTCAGGGTCTCAGGGACAATATCCAGGCTCTAGGTCACCTTTGACTTTACCTGCCTTATCTGACCGGCTCATAGCAGGCTGGGGTAAGTTCATGTTGCCACGGATTCTAGGAGGGATCTCTGAAGTGTCAAGTACTGCCTTTTCTTCTCATGGTTCAGTGCAGATGGCCGCAGAGGGCAGGATAGTTGATGACTTATTCTCTGGAGTCATCCAATCTTGGGATTAATTCTTTTATATTCATTTGCTGGGAAGGGAAAGGAAGAAAAGGGGAAGAAGCTCTGATGGCAGTTCCCTCTTCCTAGATTCCCTGCTGGTGGTGCCTCAGGAACTTCCTTTCTTTTTGGGTATACCCTCCTTTCTTTCCTTCCTTTCTCAGTGTTTACTATTTGTGGGAGCATGTACTAAGTGCTACGCACTTTACACATGTGATCTCATTTAACTCAATCCATTTAACTGAACTGCCAAGAGGCTAAGTGGCTTACAAAACCAATTCTATGATCTTTACATTTTTACTTGTGCAAACGTGTGAGAAAGTTTAACTGGTGAAACATCTGTCAGGTGAAGACTGATGTGCTTTCTATGGGTCAGCAAGAAGGCAGAAGTATATCCATCTAAGTATACATTTATATCAAAATAATTTATTTGGACCCATGTAACTATAGCATTGATTATTGTTTTCTAAATTTGATTAGCAGTCAACTGAACATACTATTCGTTTATTGCAATTGGGTACTTTAAAACAAGTTCTCAGAGTAAGGGTTTTTTTTCTGTTATATTTTTATACTCACATTAAAAAAAGAAATATATACCCAATCTTGTTCAAAAAGAATTTAGGATAGCTCATATCTGGTTTAATCTAAAATTAATACTTTAAAAATGGAATTTTAAAATGATAATTTTAGTAGTGTTTTGGAGACTAAAATTGGGAAAGTCAAGAAGCTGGCTGTTGACTCACACTATTGGTTTCACATTGCAGAAGATAATGTGCCATTTTTTTCATTTCAATTCAGGCAACGCTTCCTGATCACCTACTAAGTGCTGGGCACTGCATGTGGCCAGTAAGACCTCCATGTGTTGCACAGTAGCTGACAGCAGATCAGCAGACTTTTGCTACCAGGATGGGCACAGGGCACTCTAACTTTGCAAAGCAGCCTTTAGGGCCTCTTTTCAGGTGCCCAGAGATTGCTACGGTGTAAGGGAAACTTTTGTATGTTCCAGGGCTGGTGTCAGGCCCATTTTCATTGGCAATGACCTTCCTGGCATATGCTGCATTTTCCTATGTTGGTGAGAAATTTAATTTTACTCTCCAGAGGTATTAGGGAAAATATTACAAACCACTTTTCAAGTTGAGGTTGAACAAATGACCAGGTATAACTGGTTCAGGACCCCAAAATAATGTCATTGTTTCTTTAAGCATTGTCATTGAGTTGAAAGCCATGGAGGTCACAAATAAAAAGAGTTAGGCTCATATTCTAAAGATCCCCAGCTCTTTAATTTAAAAAAAAATCAGTGTCAAAATGTTTTGTTTTAATTACATCATTGTTTTCAGACTATGCTTTAAAGAATTTTAAAATTAGCTTAGTTTTTTAGTAATCTATGAATAAAGCTTCTCTTCTCGTGTGCCTGCCTTAGAGATGGACTGACTTTTTTGCAAAATGCAGCTTTTATTCTTAGAGAACTTAGTAGTGCTTAAACTGTGTTCATATTCATCCTGTCATTTGAGCTCTGTGACAGCCTTGTGATGGAGACAGAACTGGATTCTTACCCAAATTTTACAGATGAAAAGTTAGAGGTTGAACAACTTGCCTAAGGCCACCTTGCCTAAAGTAGCAGGGCCATTTGAGCCCTAGTTCAGGCATATTTCATTGGGCACACTGTCTTTCCAAATATTTGCAAAATTGGACGCTTGAATAGAAGACCTTCACCAAAACTCTGCTTACTATTTGGCTATTTCAAAAGTTAATTGTTGGATTTGCTGGGACTACCTAAGTGTCTTGAAAAATATGTGCATTCTGATAATGGATGCAATACATCAACTAAGTATTTTTAGGCCCCTTGTGTTTTTACACTTGTTACATCTTTGTAATGTATTGATCAAACTAATGAGTCGGACTATTTGGAATGAGCAGCTCAGTATTATTTAATGCTGCATTTCTTGTATTTTATTGATCACTTGCCTGATTAATTAACTTATACTATACTTGGTTTTAAGAAGACTTTGCTGGAGCTACTGAACAATTCTTTAGCTCACTTTTCTTATGAAATAACCATGGAACAAGGTACTATTTAGAGTCTTTGGGTCTTGTTGCGAATTTGTGGGTAGAAAATGTAAGATATATTTCAATACATGGATATAATCCATTTACAAGTAGCTAGACGGCCTTTGTTCAAATTTGACCACCTTTCAGACAATGAGCTTCACCTCTCAACTCTGCAGGAAGCCCTTAGTAGGTCCCAAATGGAAATAGGATCTACTCTGTCATAACTATCAAGCCTGAGATCTTAAGGCATCCAGGTAGTCACTTAGGAATGAAGAGGCAAGGATAGATTCAAACAACATTTCAGAGGTAGAAATTGGCTTGTTCAGTTTAGAAATGACATGGAAATTTCTAGTTTAATGATGCCAGTAACTGAGAGACCAACGGAGGGGCAGGGGCTGAAGGAAGGGGCTGGATTGAGTTTGAAATATTGTATCCTTCTCCTGAGGAGGTTATAACTTGGTTTGGGAATGTGGAGTTGACATGGATGAGAAAAGATAAGTAAACAAATGACTAAACTGCAGTATGATAAGGCCAGAGACAGAGATCTGCAGAGCATGCTGGGAGAACAATTTGTGGAGGTTGAGAAGTCAGAAAAAGCCTCCTAGTGGGCCTGACACATGGGCTACATTGTAGAAGAATTAATTAGGGAGAGTGTAGCACAGGGCATTCAATGCAGTAAAGGCAGTCTATACAAAGGCTCCAACGGTACAACAAGAGCCAGTAGACCAGGCAAGTTCAGTGGGCTGGAGGTTTTAGGATGGTTGAAAGATTTGAAAAGAAGCAGCAGCTTAGTCATGAAGAGCCTGGTAATAGCAGCCAGCACTTGTAAGCATTTACTGCAAGCCAGGCATCGCAGAATAGTTCAGAATATGTTTAGAAGGTAGAATTGTCAGTATGTGGTGACCAGTTGGACATGGGGTAGAAAAGAGAAGTACAAGTCCAAAGAGAGTCCCAAGTTTCTGCCTTGACCAAGACAGAGTTTGAATGAGGAGCCTATTTATGAGGGAGAAGGCTGATGAGCTCCATTTGGGACCTGTACAATTCAAGGTTCCTTTAGTCATCCATAGTATTTGGATGTATGGAGTCTGAGACCAGACTGCCCCGGTTTGAATCCTAGCTCAGCCACTTAGGAGACTTATGACCATGGGTAAGTTACTTAATCCCTCTGTGCCTCAGTTCAGTTTTCTCACTAATAAGATGGGAATAATGGCACTTAACCTTATAGAGTAGTTGTGATATTTAAATTTTACATAAAATTATGTATATTAATTATATATTATACGTAATTTTATAATGTGTATAATTATATAAATATACAATGTATATAAAATTGTATATGATTATATATATAATTTAGGTTCTAGATCATAACAGGCACTTGATAACTTATTGTTATTAATTATTATCATTATATAGTTCTGAGACTCAAGGACCTGGGTTGACACCATCAAGGTAGAGTATTATATATGATCATTATGTATGATCATTATGTATCTCTTAGGAGGTATTTGGCTATAAGAAACAGAAAATCCAATCATGGCTTTTATCATGGGTTCTTTTATTGTTTAGCAAGGAGTTTGGAGATAAATGGCTTCCACATTCTTTTAGCAGCTCAGTGACATCAGGTCCCTGGACTAGTAGCTCTGTGATTCACTCAGCCTTTCTCTTCTATTCCATAAAATGGCTGTGCTAGCTCCTCCGGTTCATAAATTGGCCACACTAGCTCAAAGCATGTCACCCTCACCAACAGTGTTCTAAATAGGAGAGAAGGAGGATAGTGGGGGAAAACACTCTCCTCATAGGCCACTACCCCTTTTGTCAGAGAGGAAAATCCCAGAAGCCTCCTGGCTGATGTTTCTGTACCTCTCATTAGCCAAAAGCAGGTCACATGGTCACCTGAAACTCAAGGAAAGGAACAGGATAGCCATAATTGGTTTAGACCAGTCATGATTCAATCTCTGGGGTTGGACACTGTAAATCCTAAACAAATAGGGTCTTTTAGCAAAAGAGAAGGAGGGAATGGCTGTTGGGCCAGTAATTAAGAATGTGCACCACTCTAGGGAGGGAGGACATTTAGAGAAGAGGACAAGAGGAGAACCCAGGACTCCATGACATTCATAGGTCTTATAGGGAACAGGGGCCAGGGAAGAGATTTCAAATGCCAAGGAAATAGGAGAAGAAATCCAGAGAAGCACCCCAAAGGGAAGAGCTGGGGGAGAGGCAAGTCTACAGGGGTACATCTGGCAGAGCTTTGAGCAGAATGAGGCTGTAAAAAGCTGTCAGAGTTGGCAGTGAGGAGGTCAGAGTGACCATTGCCAGTGCAGATTCAGTGATGCCAAGGGTTAAGAAGAGAATGGTGATCTCTATCATATGCAGTTGGTAGGCGTGCAAATTAATCCAAAATTTGTATTAGTTTGGCACTGTGTGCCAAAATTTAAAATGCTCATACCCTTTAACTCTGAAATTTCACTTCTAGGAATTAATTCAACTGGCCAATTTAGACAAGTGGAGGCTGATGTAAGTACGAGGATGTTGATTGCAGCCTTGTTTGTTATAGCAAAACAAAAAAAGAGGGGTGATTGATCTGATCTGAAAGCCCATCATATAGGATTAATTATAATAAATGGTAGTACATCTTGGCAGTGGAATACCAGGAACAGTAGAAAAGAACTGAAGTTCTGGAGTCCCACAGCCAGGGTTTAAATTCTGGTTCTGCCATTTACCAGCTGTGTGACCTCAGCTCTCTGTGAACATTTCTGGGACTCAGTTTCTTTAGCTGTAAAATGGGATAATTATAATACTAACTCATAGAGCTATAGTGAGGAATAAGGATGCAGATATAAGTGAAATACACTGAATATTTCTGGCACAGATTATTATGCAGTAATTTAAAAAGATTTGGCAGATTTACATGTATGTTTAAAAGATTGTTTATAAGATGTTAAGAGAAAGAAATGAGGTTACAGAATATCACGATATAATGATCCAACAGGTGGTTTTATCTGGGAGGTAAAATCCTGGGCACAATTCACTTTCTACTTTATACCTATTTGTATTTTTTACCTTTAAAACAAGGCATTTAATGTCTTATTCACCTGGCCAATTATAAGCCACAGGAGGGAAGCTACCATTTCTGTTTTGTTCACCACAGTATATCATAATATCTGGCATATTACAAGCAGATGATAAATATGTGTTGAATGAGTGTATGAAAAAATAGTAAGTTGTGTTTAGAAGGAAATTCCATAGGCCAAGAGTTCAAAGATGCAGTAGTTCTGCACCAACAAGTCCCCGGGTAGACCTCAGGGACAAGGCTGCAGAAATGAAGCAGAAGTCAGGGCTGAGGGTTGTATATTGGTCTTCAGTATGAATGCCTCAGCTTCTGAAACAGCTCAGGTTGCAAAACCTGAGGAAGAAGAGGGAAAACAAGCCCCAAAGCACCAGGATCCAGTCCCTGGTTTTGTTCAGCACTTCCCAAACAGGCTGAATCTGAGAGCCAAATCACATTTTAGAATTGCAGGGCATTTTGGTGCCATTGAGTCATTTCAACTTCAGAAAACCCAAGGCCCTGGAAGGAGGAGTTCTCCAAGTTCCTACAAGACCTGAGACGACCCTGCCCTGTGTTTCCCAATTCCTGCTCTAGTGCTGGCTCCTTCTTCCAAGGACTGAACATTGTAGATTTCTGATACACACGAAGTTGTTTTCAGAGGATGTCCATTCATTTGACTCCTAAGAAACCCAGTTCTCTTAAGCACAATTCAATGGCTTGCGTCTCTAAAGTTCACTGATCACCCATCGCTCTTGCTCTTTATTTGTAAAGAACAAAGGGACCAGGGATGTAATTAACTCACCCACATTTCCCATTGTCCTTAAGTCTTTTGTGCAAGCATTGATTGTTGTTTTTATTGTTGAAAGCAGAATTGTTCTCCTGGCAACACACATCCAGAAAGAGAGCCCAGTGAGGGACTCAGCAGGTGATGCTGTTGAAGTTTGACCTTACCGTTTGGAAGAATAAAAGAAAAAGCCAAAAAAAGCAATAATTGAGCAGAGGGTCGTTATGAATTGGTTACTATTCTATACTATTAAATGCTTTGGGAGAAAAGACATTTGGTTATTTTTAAGTGCATTTAGGAATTCAGAATATCAGCCAGCTGAGCTCCCAAGTACAGGTCCTCAGGGGATTCAGTTTAATGAATCTTTAAGAGCAGCCTGTTGTTAACATATTACAATTAGCACAGGTAAATGGAGGATTCGAATGTGCTTCTGGCAAATAATCTGTTCTCACTTTTATATCTTAGTCATTACTTACTCATACATTGATGTTTACTCTGAGGTTGTTTTGCTGGGAAGAAAGGATACACTTAGCAAAGCAAGATGATATGGCAGAAGAGAGCTTGAGATTTGGGATCTAAATATGACCGGGTGGAATATTGGCTCTGTTCATTAGTACAGTCGTGTGGTCCTCAGGAAATTGCTGAAATCCTCTGAATCTGTTTCCTCCTCTATAAAATGGGGATTATAAAACCTGTTTCAGTGGATTGTTCAGCTGATTCAACCAAATCATGTTAAAAGGGCTGCTGCATAGCTCAATAAACTTTAGCTTCTTTCCCTCAAAGTTAAGCTTTTCTTCCCTGTTCATCTAAAAAATCAAGCAATGAATTACTGAAACCTTTTCATAGGGAAGAGAAGGCAATGTTTTGGGTTCTTTACCCACATTTTGCCCATACATTCGACTTTATCCAAAGAACGCTTTGAGTTGCTGCAACCACCTGCACGCTGAGAAGACAAAGGTGAGGAGTAGGGTTAAAAGCAGGTTCATGTAGGTTCAACTGGAAAACCAGCTGCCACGGAAGCCTCAGGCATATCTAAATTTGTTCCTCCCTCTTTTCCTTCCTAACTCCTTAAGGTTTGTGGGCGGGATCATGTAGGATGACGACAGCCAAAGGGAACCATCCAAGGCTCTGAGGTGGAGGGAGCTCTGCTTGTTTAAGGAACTGGAGCTCGGTGGGTGAGACAAATGGTGGCAGGAGATGATGCCTGAGAAGTTGGCAGGGACCAGATTAGGTGGGGAATTGCAAGCTGGCATTATAAAGTTTGGATTTTAAGTGTAATGGAAAGCCACTGGAAGTCTTTAAACAGGGAAGTGACATGATTTATTATTTTAAATGTGCGCTCTGGCTTCTGTGGGAAGATTGGATTGTAGGGGCTAAGTATGGAAGCAGAGAGATAAGTTAGAAGGTTGTTGCAGTGGTTTATTGAGTTTGGGTGCTTTAGGGTGCTGGAGAGAAATACTGTGAAGGTAAAACTGACAGGCAGTCAAAGGTGAGGCTTAAATGAAATAACATAAATGAAGTGCCAAGTGTGTAGTAGATAATTAACAACACAAGTTCCCTCTCTTCGTGCTACAACTATATCAACAAAGTGATGTTTTTCTCTGGAATTGGATATAGGGAGATGATAAATTAATAACCACATTTTCTCAGCTATGGATTTGTTCTTTGGAGGTGGGCTGACTGGGAGATGGAGGTCAGCTTTTGCAGATCACAGCCTGCCAACTGGGAACACTTGCGAAAGGAAGAAATAATAGAAGCAGGAAGCAGGAAAGGAGGGAAGAGCAGTATGGAAAAAAGACTGGGCCAGGTGCGGTGGCTCACGCCTGTAATCCCAGCACTTTGGGAGGCTGAGGTGGGCAGATCATGAGGTCAAGAGTGCAAGACCGGCCTGACCAACATGGTGAAACCCCATCTCTACTAAGAAAACAAAAATTAGCTGGGCGTAGTGGTGGGCGCCTGTAATCCCAGCTACTTGGGAGGCTGAGGCAGGAGAATCACTTGAACCCGGGAGGCCGAGGTTGGAGTGAGCCAAGATTGGGCCACTGCACTCCAGCCTCGGTGACAGTGCGAGACTCCATCTCAAAGAAAAAAAAAAAAGACTGGAAGGAGCAATTTGGGGACCTTATCTCCCTCACAAGGCATGTGACAGTGGTATGGCTTGGCTGCTTCAGTGCCCTAGTACTCAAACCCCTAAAGGGAGAATGCAGATGGACAGGTGCAGAGGTCATGGGGAGCACTTTTGGGCTTCAACCCCACGGCAGTATCTTGGGGTGAGTGCTTACGACTCTTGAAGCCCCAGTGGGTGTGTGTTACAGTGTGCTCTTTCTGCTTTGCCATCTGCAGGTGGCTTGTGTTAATCAGCTCAAGTAGACCCTCTGCCTTATCGCAAGAGCAGAGGGCTTTCTGTATCCTGAGTTCTTGCCCAGTGTACCAGAAAAATTTGATCACAGGTGGGCTTGGTGCAAGGTTCTGTTGAGTGGTGGAGGTGGCGCTCAGCAAGATGGATGGGGGGCCAGAAGAGGGATGGAGTGGGAAGGTGGTCTTCCCCTGGAGTCAGGCTACCCAGTGGCAGACTGTCCTCTGATGGCCCCTGGCTGAACTCCCCTCAGAGTCCGCATTGTTCCACCATCGCTGGTCTGCCAGTGTCTGCTGGTGTGGTCCTCTGCTCCTCCGATGTCTAGCCGCTTGTGTGTGTGCCTGCTAAGGTCTCGGGTTTATATGGGCACAGGATGGGGGGCATGGCTGGCCAGAGTGGTCTTGGAAAATGCAACATTTGGGCACAAAAACAAGAGTGCCTGTTCTCTCTTAGGTCCATGGGCACAGGCCCAAGGGTGGAGCCCCTGCCAGGGACCCCACTCTTCTCTACCCAGGGCTTCCCTGCCCTACTTCCGCATCACTGAGAAATGTGAGGACATTGGTGTGTGTGGAAGGTGCTGGCATAACAGCTGGAGTTGCATCCTTCAAGTGACAATATAGGTATATCAGGGCAGTCTGCTATGATTAGAACTGAAAAGAATCTGGAGGCCATATCATCTGAATTCCTCATTTTAGGAAACTGATCTCTAGAGAGAAAAAGTGACTTGGGCAAAGCCACAGAGATAATGGCAGAGGCAGGGCTGGTAGCAAACTAGAGTGGGAAGAGATTGAGTTTTAAAGTAAGAGACTGGGGGTGCAGTCATTTATTCAGCAAACATGTACCAAGCTCCTGTTCCATGTCAGACCCAAGTCTAGGCACCGGGAACACAGTCAAATAAAACAGACAAGGCTCCTGCCCCCATGGAGCTTACATTCTCATTCCTCCTCTTACAGACTCTTCTGAGACTACCATGGCAGTCCACCTAGTTTGCCTTCATGAATCGATTTCCTCTTCTCTAAAAAGGGAGTAGCAATACCTCTTTAATTTTAATTAATTCATTTATTCATTCTACAAATATTGATCAAGTATATATGATGTGCCAGGCACAATGCTAGGTGCTGGTGACCCAAAAGTAAGCAAGGTAGAACCAGCCCCTGCTTTCAGATATGACGAACTAGAGGCAAGATGGTTGTCATCTTAAATGTCCATCAAAATCACCTGAAGCCCTTAGGAGGTCACTGCTGCCCTGGCCCCATGCCTGGAGCTGTCGATTCCACTGCTCTGGGGTGGGGCTAGGCATCACTATTTTCACAAACCTTCCAGGTGGTTCTTATAGGGGTGGGGTGAAGAAGTGCTGGAGAGGCAAAGATAAAGGGTCATGCGGGTGGTGGTTTGGCAGGTGGAGGGTGCAGCCTATCAGACCTGGGTTCTTGGGGCTGGGAAATGCTTCCCAGAGGAAGTGACTCATCAGGTGAGACCATGAGTAGGACTAGTCCAGGAACAAGAAGTGGGAGCAGTGTCTGGGAAGGCCAGAGCCCCCAGAGGTTGCTCTGAGGGTAAAAGGGGTAACAGAGGTGGACCATAGTCCGTGGTCAGAGACAAGAACTATGCCATTGTTCCTTTGCCTGTTTCTCTCTCTTTGTTCTTTCCAGCCCCACTCCCTTCCTGTTATGTTCTTTATCCTACAATACACCATACTGACAGCACAACAGCTGATTCTCCAGCTCCTAATAATTATCTGAAAGAGCTTCCTCCTGTCATCCATCTCATGTCCACTGCTTCTCTGCAAGGCAGGAGCCAGCCTCCGGCTCCCTTCCCACAGCTTCCAGCTCAATTGCCTCCCTACAGCAGAGGGAAATGCTCTCTTTGCTGCATGATTTGATCAGTGTATTCCCCCCAACCCTCCACCTTCAGGTGCACAAAGACAAAATGCATTCTCTTCAGATATTTGATTTGTTTTGCAAGTAAGTGCTCAGTACCCACCAGCTGATAACCACATTGGATGTGTTTGACAAATAGTCCTTGAGTGTTACCATAAATCTATAACTTGATGAGAGATTCTTATTGTCAAAATATAATTAGATCAAAGTTTGGTATTTCCCAAGGGTGTAAGGAAGTTCATGGATGTGTACCATATTCAGTAAGATATACATCTGTGCATGATGTCTGCCATTGTCACTCTAAAACAAGAGGGAAATCTGACATGCTTTTACGTCCTAAAGAAGGAAGATATTCAGTGACTTGTTTAAGTCTCTTCTGAAATAACCCTCAGCAGAGCCTGAGTTTATTCTCAAGGCGAGGGGGTGGGGGAAACGGGGTGCACAAACAGTTTTGATCCCATGCCGATGTCTGCTGACTTACGCAGAGAATACAACAAGCTTCAGGGTTAAGGAAAGGATAACAGGGAGGTTGAGAAAGAAAAATCAGTCTGCTGGAAATGTCATTGTCTTAAGCGAGGGTGGAGGAGAGTTGGAGAGTCCTTCTCTTCTATGTATAATCTTCTCAATGCATTGTAAAATGTTTTAAAGGGATTATATTATTTCTCCTGCCTGTGAGGTTACCCCAACTTGTCTCCTCCTCTCTCCCCATTTTTCCCATTTTTGGCTCTTTTGACATGTAAGTGAGACCAGAAACAAAGGCTGTCATCTCATCCAGGCAGCCATTTGTCCACACTTACCAGTAAACTGAATTTGCCAAGAACTCCCACTCTGCAGTCTCTGGGAGAGGCAAGATGATAAGCTTGTGCCTCTGATAAAGCCTGCAGCCTGGGATGATCTGGGCTGAGTGGGGAGACTGAATCCATGGGAAACTGCATCCCTTGAGGAGACTCGTCTGGACTTCTCTCTGCCGGGAGGCACTGGCGTTGTAAGAAATGAAGGAATGGGGTCAGGGGTGGGGAGCATCCACAACTCAGATGTTTAAAGAGCCAGAGCTGCAAACAAAATCTGGCTAGGAACAGTTTTCTTCGACTGACCTCACTAGATGCCTCTTTCCAAAATTCCAAGCCCTCTTGGGGCACACGGGGTCTTTCTGGAAGTTGGTGATGTCGTGGAAAGGTCACTAGGTTTGGATCCAAACTGCCTAGTATGAGTTTACCATGAGCTTCAATAATCTGATCAAGTTCCAACATTCCTCTGAGCTTCAGTTGCTTCTGTGAGATGGAAAACACCATCCCTTCTCAGGACTGTCAGGGACTTTAAATGAGCTGACATAGTTAATACAAATAAACCACCAGCACAGTGACTGGGACACAGAAGGACCTCAGCAAACTGAGTTTTTGCTCCTTTTTCCTTTGCTAAATGAAATCAAACCATTGCAAACCCCATTAGTGTATAAGAGACATTCATTTGTCCATCCCTGAAGGTGTAAGCACAATATAAAAAGGCTTCCCAAACTACTCAGGCGGAGCAGGATAGAGAGATGTATGTTTTGCTGAGCTGATCATAAATCTGAATGAAGTAATTATGTAAAGTATTCAAGAGCAATTCAGTAAGAAGATGCCTCATCTGCCTTGATGGGCTTTTCAATTACTCATTTTTAGTACTGCATTATACTGTTCTCTGGCAATAATTATTAAACATTTCAACTGTACTGCTATATAAAACTTAAAAGGCTGATTTATTTCCTAGGCATTAGACTACATTGAATAAAATCCCCCAATTACATGGTTCTATTTTTTAAAACCTGTTTATCAGTGATTTTCTAGTATTGAGTCAAAACTGACAGCAGGTCCTCATGTGAAAAATAAGGGTACAGTGTGTTAAATCCAGCGGTTATTAGCTTTGGGGTCATGGAGGATATTAATACAGACCCCCTACTTGCTAGTCCCAGTTTCTGAATCTGTAAAATGGGGATAATTCCCACTTCACTGGATTATTGTTTGAAATAATGGATACAAAGTGTTAGCAAGAATGTAGAGTCTGTGCCAGGTTTGGTGGCTCACACCTGTAATCTCAGCTCTTTGGGAGGCTGAGGCAGGAGGATTGCTTGAACCCAGGAGTTTGAGACCAACCTGGGCAACATAGACCTCATCTCTACAAAATATAAAAAATAAAAAATATTACCTCGGCATGGTGGCGTGTGCCTGTGGTCCTAGCTACTAGATAGGATTGCTTGAGTCCAGGAGTTCAAGGTTATAGTGAGCTATGATCTTGTCACTTCACTCTAGCCGGGGCACAGAGTGAGACCCTGTCTCAAAAATAAATAAAAATAAAATTTTAAAAA
The DNA here is from genome assembly GCF_000001405.40 of Homo sapiens. Taxonomy (NCBI): domain Eukaryota; kingdom Metazoa; phylum Chordata; class Mammalia; order Primates; family Hominidae; genus Homo; species Homo sapiens. The sequence continues at coordinate 14,028,501 of NC_000011.10, forward strand.
AGAATATAGGGTATTTACTTATTAAACACTAGATATTCTGAGATTCACTGGCATTTACATATAGCCAGTGAGAATCTTCCCACTTATTCAGTGTATATGCATCAATCACCTACTAGGCTCTAGGCACTCAAGATGCCACCAGGGCCCATTCTCTGATTGTCACTTCAATGACTCAAAGTCATGGTCATCAAGCATCTAGCAGCTCCAGGTCCCCTTCTGGGCTCTGTACACAGGACATCTTTCATCATGTGTAGCCATTTTCCACATAAGGATGTGTACTCACAGAGAGTTGGGTGACTTTACTCAAGGTCATTCAGTAGCTAAGGCAGAAATCAGACCTATGTCTGCTGGCTCCAAAGTCCACATCTTCTCTCCCCACTACCCCATGCTACCTCTCAGGATTCCAGGAGCACATTTCACCTGGTTTGAAGGATAATTCCTCCTCCTCTTCCTGGTTTTTCTAGAGGAGATAGCTCTTTTCTTATTGAGGATTACCCACCCCTGAAAAATTACCACTTTCCCGAAGTCTGTCTCTACTTTTCTCAGCATCTTCCAATTCTCACCTGGAAGATGAGGCTTTCTATTCTAACTGAGGACTACACCATGATTCAGGCAGTGACCCCTACACACACACACACACACACAAGCATGTGTGTGCCCAGTTCTACTGGAGCCTGTCCATTGTACTTGAGGCTCCCAAGCCAAACTGGATTTAGGTGCAGGCCAGCTGGGCTGGTACCCTGGATACCAGTCTGTAAAGAGAACTAAAATGCTGCTGGAAATGTAATACAGTGGAGAAAATGGTCTTTACCAGAATTGTTGAGAGCAAGCGGGACACGAGAATGATAATAATAATATTTATCAATGCACAGTGATTATAATATACACTGATAGTTTTGTTGATAAACTTTCTCCTTAGTTCAGCCAAAACCGGGCTCTTGTCACATGATCAGGAAAAGATTAGGCTTGTGGACACAGAATGGTGAGGAAAACAGAATTTATTGGGTGAAAAGGAAAAAGGAAAAGCAACTCTCAGCAAAGTGAGAGAGTCCTCCTATCAGGTTTCCCGCCTCACACGTTGAATCCCAGGTCACCACATAGCAACGGGAGAGGCCAGGCTCCTCCCCACTGAACTTCCTGAGGCTCCACCCCATTCTCCCAGTGCTCAGGTGGGCGTTATTCAGAAAGAATCAGTCAGGAAAGGGTGGCTTCATCCAGGAAGTGTAGTCAGGTTTTTCAGCCTTCAGGCTGTTTTAGGTTTAAATATGGAGTTTTGCTGGGGACCCTTGGCTGCCTCCTGTCTCCACTGGTTTTGTGCCAGAAGCTTCTCTAACAACTTTGTATATGAATTCATATAAACACTTCTGGCCCATTGAGGTAGATGCTATTATCAGTCCCCATTTTACAGATAAGGAGAATCAGTCCAGAAAAGTTAAGGAACTTGCCAGAGTCACACCAGTAATAAATAGGCTGCTGGACTCTCCTAGGACTTTGTATTGTCTCCTGGTAGGGGGAAAACCCCCAAGAGCACTTAAGTGACAAGAGCTGGTATCTCAGTGACCTTCCAGGCCTCTTAGTTGCTGGGTGAGGTATGCAAGTTTAGGGCAGCAGTTGAACTACTCAGGTTAATAGAGTGAGCAGTGCTGAGCTGGCAGTCTGCCTGCCCTCCTCCCACGCAGCACTCAGCCTATCCTCCAAATGAATGTTGGGCAAATATTTAGAGAATATCGTTTTGAAAGGGGGCCAGGTTATTAGCCTGCCCAGGGCGCCTACGCATCTTGGCCCAGCCTTGCTCCCAAGCCTGGCCTGCTGTCTGTGCTCCTAATATGTGAAACAACTCACATAGCATGGAGGATTAATCTGCTTTTGGGGGAGAAATGCAATCTGGTGTTTCTCAGGACTAAACTTCTGTGGATTGGATGCCACATGCCCGGTGCCAGAGGGTCCGCCAATGGTGCTCGTGGCCACGTCACCTCCCCCACAATCCCACGTGCTTCTCAAGTCTGGAAAGCACAGGGTACACTCCCGGGAAGAGAAAATAAAGCAAGTGAGATTTTAAAAGATGAATAAGATGGAGGTAAGAATCCGTTTGAAGAGATGCTAATGCAAAAAGGGATGCTAGTTCAGAGACATGCAAATCAAAACTACAACGAGGCACCACCTAACAGCAGTCAGAATGGCTGTTGTTAAAAAGACAAAAAATAACAGATGCTAGCAAGGCTGCGGAGAAAAGGGAACACTTGTACACTGTAGGTGGGAATGTAAGTTAGTTTGTCCACTGTGGAAAGCAGTTTGGAGATTTCTCCAAGAACTAAAAACAGAACTAGGATTTGTTCCAGCAATCCCATTACTGGGTATATATGCAAAGGAAAATAAATTGTTCTACAAAAAAGACATAAGCACTCATATGTTCATTACAGTACTATTCACAATAGCAACGACATGGCATCAACTTAGGTGTTTGTCAGTGGTGAACTGGATAAAGAAAATGTGGTACATATATACCATGGAATACTACATAGCTATAAATAATAAAATCTATCCTTTGCAGCAATATGGATGCAGCTGGAGGCCATCATCCGAAGCAAATTAACTCAGGAACAGAAAACCAATACCACATGTTCTCACTTGTAAGTGGGAGCAAAACACTGGATTCATATGGACATAAAGATGGAAATGATAGACACCAGGGGCTACCGGAGCAGGAAGAGATTAATGGGGAAAGGTCTGAAAGACTACCTTTTGTGTACTGTGCTCACTACCTGGGTGATGGGATCATTCGTAACAAACCTGTACATGTACACCCTGAAGTTGAAATTATATATTTTTAAAAAGGATGCTATAACTTTTGTGAAAGTTAGGCTGGAAGATGGGGGTATTTGTAGGGAAAAGGGACAGGATTTAAGCCTAAATCTTTACAGTTTAGAAGAGAGGCCACTGACAAAAAGTACACTGAATAACGCAGTCAATGCAGCCATTCAAATTATGTTTCTGTTAAGTTCAGAAAAACCTGGAAAAATATTGAGGCTCCTAGGACAAATGGAAAAAGAAACAAGACACATTATATAAACAAAATCAGTACCGCTATTAACAAATTTTAAAGAATACATGGAGAAAAGGCTAGAAGGAAACAAACCAAAATTATTCAAACAGTGGAGGATTTTTTTTTTTCCTTTACTTTTCTGTCCTGGTTAACGTTTCTATGATAAACTTACTTTTTAAATCAATAAGGGCAAAATCTGAATTTTAAAAAATCTATATTGAAAGCCCTTTCATAAAAGACAAAAGCAACTGTCTTTCCTTCCATGGCTTTCAGATTGAAAAAATACACGTAGGAAACTAGTAAGAGGTGATTCAATGACTGGGATTATTTTCTTTGGATTCTCTCTCAGGTTTTACTGAAGTAGTTAGAAAGCCCTTCCTGGGCAGATTCAGCAATAATAAACTACATTAATTTCATTTCCAGAAAAAACTTAAGATGTCAAATTTAGCTAAGGGGGATCATAATAGCCCCAAATTATAAACAACAAAATGTTCAACGTGCTGAGGTTTGTTAGGTAAAATGTGGACCAAATAAGATGAGGTATTATGCTGCCATTAAAAATTTTATTGGGATTGTACATTAAATGGAAAAGAAATATGTTCGTGATATGGTGTGAAATGACGAGTTATAACATGGGAAGCATACTTTAATCCTGTCTTTTAGAATTACATTTTTATATGTATATGTATGCACAATCTAAAATGATATACACCAAAATATTAATAACTATCTTGGGGTGGTGGAATGATCAGGAACGTTTGTTTCATATTTTTTGCTCCCCTATGTTTTCTGATTTTCTACGATGAACAAATATCTGTATGGAGTAATTATAAGAAGCTTATTTGTTTCCCCTCTTAAAAGTGTCTTCCTCCCATGTTAGCCAGCCTGTGGTGTTAATGCTTCCCTCTGGGGATGTGGGCCACGACCAGTTAGGAGAGGGGTGCACGGCACACAAGGGGAACCACAACATACCGAGGGCCTGTTAACAGCTGCTGGCTGCTTCGTCAATACTATCTCATCTATTCCTTCTGTCCATCAAGCAAGATGGATATTATCATCCTCATTTTGCAGATGAGAAAACAGACCCAGAGAGGTCAAGTAGCTTGGTGTGGTCAAAGTCATCTAATTAGAAAGTGGCAGAGCCATGATTTAGTCCAAATCTACCTGCCTCAAACATTCATCTACTTTTTACTCTATCACACTACTTCTCATGACACCTCTAGAGAAGAAATATTTATAAAGTGGTGTCATAGCACATGTCTTCCCTCATTCCCCACCCTGGTCCCTAACTTCAGTGCCCCCTATACTCCCTGACTCAACAGTGCATATTTAGATGTCCCAATGCCCTGTTCTTCAGGCCCAGCCCACCCAGTACCCACATACCCAGACCAGAAGCTGCTGTCCTCAATTGGGGGTTATCACACCACTATCCCTGATAGGAAACTTTGGTCGTGGTGCCTCAGCATTGACCACTGAGTCCCCTGAGTTGTTTCCTTAATCACATCTCACATCCTCCACAGAAGATGTCCCTTCTTATCCCAAGGCCCAGTTTCTAAGACTAGCCTCTCCTGCTCACTCTGCTCCAAGCCCATGTTCATGGGACTAGTTTCCTGCTGTGGATGCTATTCCAAGTTCCTGTTCTAATTATCTGACTTCTCCTTGATTCTCATGTGGGAACTGGAGCCCTGACCTGGCCACTAGTCCTGACCTCTGTGTCTGGGGCTCTGCTTCCTGAAGACAAATGTCCCAGATGCCACTTACGTGGACTTTGGAATCGTATTCTCCTAGATGTCTCACTGCCATGGCCCACCCACGTGTTAGAACGCTTGCAACTTCCTCTGGGACCTTGATGCTGTTCAGGTTCATCTCTTGAGGCTTGTGTCTCTTGAACCAGAAAGTGTGAGGAGGTGACGTATCAGGGGAGATAATCCAGATCAGAGTTGAGGAGGGGAGTCAAGATTAGATTTAGGGAAGAAGGGTTGTATGTTCAGATCTGAAAAAGAAAAGCCCATAAATAGGCTGAGGGAAGAGTAGGCACCCTCAGAGTAAAGATGGGTCATGATGTAGGTTTCAAAATGGGTATGGCATGTGATTTAGGACTAAGACTGCATTCAATGAAAAGTTTTAGAAGCCTAGAAAAATCATTCTATTAGCTTAAAATGCCCCTGATATTTGAAAAGGCATATTCATGACCAGATACCCAACCAGTTGCTTTAACAATAGACTGACAAGTATTGGGGAAATCAAACCTTGTCTACCTGTCTAAACTTGGTGGATATCTGGGTTGTCTCACCTGGCTGGATGGGAACCAGTCACAGATTAAGATTTCTCCGTCTCTTGCAAGGAGTCAAGCAGCTGCCTTATCAGCAAATCTCTCCCAAAGTGACTTTAAACTTAAACTTAACCCAAGAAGGTTTATTTAAACCTATATATAAAATAGAAATGTTATCATTGGAATGTTGTAATTAGGTCCTTTAAAAATATTAAGCTGGGTGTGGTGGCATATACCTATCATCCAAGCTACTCAGGAGGCTGAAGCGAGAGGATTACTTGAACCCAGGAGTTCACAGCCAGCCTGGGCAACATAGTAAGATCCTATTTAAAAAAAGAAAAATGTATAACCTCTTCATCTAAAGTAATACATCATCATTGTTGAAAATTTAGAAAACACAAAAATTATACAAAGGAAATAAAAATCACCCATAATACTATTACTAGACACAACCACTCCATTGTAATATGTTTTAATTTTCTGTCTTAGGTAAAAAGAAATCACAGATTGAAATGAATGACTGCCATTTAGTTGGTAGCTAACACGGTAGGATTCTGAGACCCACTCTAGATGACGAGTGTGGAGACGTTTGGGATTGCCAGGAGGTTTGAGAGCAGGTTCTGATAGTGCAAGGCTTTTCAGAAGAAGCTGATATTTTCTGAGAAGCAAACAATGTTTGGAGGATTCTCTGGATCGAGAGAAATAACTCCTTCTGTTCAATGTTTAATTACCATCTGGCAACTGAGGTTGTGGATAAACAACCGTATTTACCTGAGGTAGCTTCTATGGATTGGAGAACATTCTTCTTTGTTTCACTTCTGGGCCAAGGGTCTTAGTCTTATGTCCCCCTGGGATCTTGGTCAGAGTTCACCTGGAGAGAGCATGGACTTTGGCTTCAGACAACCCTGGGTCTGAATCCAGACAGATCACTCTGAGCTCCAGTTCCTCATCTGTAAAATCTTCTGTTCCTATCAAAGGTCCAGTGATATGACCATGCTAGGTACCTGGCAGATAATAAATGTTAACTCGATATGAGTGCCTTTTGGCTTTCCCAGTGTAGTCACCCAGAACCTTCCCAAGGATTTTAAAGATTTAGGATTAAAAATTCCTGCCAAAGTTCTCTGCGACCATCAGCAAACAGGGTCCTCACTGGACTCACTATTCTGCAAGTCCAAGAAAATCACATTGTTTGGAAACCTACCCTCACGTCAACAAAGCTGCAGAAGAGAGTCTAAGAACCTGTTAAGAAAATATGAAGCAAAAGTACTATTCACTTTTACCAAGTACTTATGTGTATGTTGGAGTGGAGTGGGGTCTTTTGTTGTGGGTTGGTCCAGTGTATGTGGTTTCATGGGACTAGGATTGGCTAGAGAGAAATTTCCTGCCTATCATAAAGGATATGGCACTATTAGGAGGGACTGTAGCATAGGGGAAAGAGCATGGACATTATGGCCAAGTAGGGCTGACCTCAAGCCCTAGCTCTGCCATTCTGGGACTTTGGACAGGTTGTTGAACCCATCTGCATTACAGTAGTTTCCTAAGGGGTGGGTTTAATAATGCTTATTTTTCAGTGTTTGAGGGAATGGAAATAATATATGTAAAGGTCTTCATCAAGAGAAAGTGCTGAAAAATGCTATTATTATTATCAAGGCTATTAATAACCATCTAGGGAAACAAAGTCCAAATTCAGAAGGAAGTCCAGGGAATTATCTAATTAAAGGAGCTGAGACACATATTGTGGCCAAGTCATATAGCCAGGAACCTCACAACAAAAGGGAGGAGGCAAGTACACTTAGTTCTTTTTTTTTTTTTTTTTTTTTAAGACAGGGTCTCACTCTGTCACCCAGACTGGAGTGCAGTGGCACAATCACAGTTCACTGTAGCCTCAACTTCCTGAGTTTAAGCAATCCTTCTACCTCAGCCTCCCAAGTAGCTGAGACCACAAGTGTGCACCATCACAGCTGGCTAATTTTTTATTTTTTTATAGAGATGGGGCCTCACTACGTTACCCAGGCTGATCTCGAACTCCTAAGCTCAAGCAATCCTCTTGCCTTGGCCTCCCAAAGTGCTGGGGTTACAGGCATGAGCCACCATGCCCAGCCTACTACACTTCATTCTTACAGTGCACACTTATTAGTACCAGCTACCTTGCAAAGTGGTGATGAAATGATGACTATTTTTAAAAAGGCTTTGGAAATAGGAATTGACCAGGGCCTTGGCAGGAGAAGACACCTGACCAGTGTACAAAGTGCAGGAAGCAAGGAGGGAGATGGCACAATGTGAGGCTAGAGGCAGGGAGGCAGGAACTAGCCTCTGTGTAGGATTTCAGTCTTGATTCTGAAAGCAATGAAAAGCTGTTGAAATACTCTGAGGAAGGAGATAATTATATTGTAATGATATTTGTGTTTTTAAAAGGCCTGTGGCTTGCAGTATAGATAACAAATTGGAGAAAGACGAGAGAGTATATAAAGACAGTTAGAATGATGTTACATTAGTTCAGAGAAGAAATGATGTAGCTTAGTCCAGGGTAATAGTAAGAATGGTGGTAGACATTCAGGAGATATTTGGAAGGTAAGATGGACAACATTTAAATATGGAGGATGAAGGCAAGGAAGAGCCAAGGGTGACCTCCAGGGTTTCCGACTTGCACAATTGGAGTAGGACCAGGTTAGAGGAAAGACGGTTAATGGTTAGGTTAGTTATTAACAGGGTATATTTGAGGTGTTTCTGATATATCAAAAGGTAAATGCAAGTAAAAGATAGAAAGTTGGAGATACATGCCTGGAACTCAGAGAAGCAGCCAACACTAGAAATATAAACGAATGAATCATCTATACAGAGGTAGTAATTAAAGCCATGAGTTGAATGAGATCACCTACAGATAAAGAATCAAGTCAGAACAGGAGAGGGTTTACGACTGAACCTTGAGCAAGTTCAAATTTAAAGGCCAGTAGTGGAAGATGAGTAGCCAAAGAAAGTGGAGAGAGTGGATGGGGGAAGTTGGGGGAGGGCACCAAGAAGGAGCTATGGCACAGAAGGCAAGGGAGGAGAGTCAGTTGAGAAGAAGGATGACATAGGATCCATTGGATTAAGCATTGCAGAAGCTTAGCTAGAGTTATTTTGGTAGTGCAATGTGGCCTGAAAATACACAGAACTGGGTTGATGAATAAGTGGGAGGTGAAGGGAAGACAGTAAGTATAGCTACCTTATTCAAGTAATTTCATTGTGATGAAGAGAGAGAGAAGACCGTAACTGGAGGGGGATGAAGAGTTAAGTAAGGTCTCAGCTTTTTTTTTAATTTTATTATTATTATACTTTAAGTTTTAGGGTACATGTGCACAATGTGCAGGTTTGTTACATATGTATACATATGCCATGTTGGTGTGCTGCACCCATTAACTCGTCTCAGCTTTTTAATGGGAGAGATTTGAATGTGCTTAAAAGACAATGACAACAATTCAGTTGGAGCACAAGTTGAATCCAGAGAAGAGTAAGGAGATAATTGTTAGAGTTGGGAAGAAGGGATGGGACCAAGACAGTGTGGTATTAGTAAAAAAATAGTCTAACAGAGCAATGGAGTATAATAAAAAGCCCAGAAATAGACCCACACAAATATAGTCAACTGATCTTTGACAAAGGAGCAAAGGTAATATAATAGAGCAAAGATAGTCTTTTCAACAAATGGTGCTGAAACAACTGCATATCCACATGTAGAAAAAAAAAAAGAATCTAGACATAGACCTTACACCCCTCACAAAAATTAACTCAAAATGGATTACAGACCTAAGTGTAAAATGCAGAACTATAAAACTCCTAGAAGACAACACAGAAGAAAACCTAGATGACATTGGATATGGCAGTGATTTTTTAAGTACAACACCAAAAGCATTATCCATGAAAGAAATAATTGATAAGTTGGACTTCATTAAAATTTAAAACTTTTGCTGTGTGAAAGACACTGTCAAGAGAATGAGAAGACAAGCCACAGATTTGAAGAAAGTATTTGCAAAAGACATATCTGATAAAGAACTGCTATCCAAAATATGCAAAAAACTCTTAAAACTCAACATTAAGGGCCAGGCGCGGTGGGTCTTAATTCCAGCACTTTGGGAGGCCAAGGCAGGCGGATCACTTGAGGTCAGGAGTTCGAGACCAGCCTGGCCAACATGATGAAACCCTGTCTCTACTAAAAATACAAAAATTAGCTGGGTGTAGTGGCACACACCTGTAATCCCAGCTGCTTGGGAGGCTGAGGCAGGAGAATCACTTGAACCCGGGAGGTAGGGGTTGCAGTGAGCCGAGATCGTGCCACTGCACTCCAGCCTGGGTGACAGAGTGGGACTCTGTCTCAAAAAATAAATAAATAACGACTGGGCGTGGCAGCTCATGCCTTTAATCCTAGCACTTTGGGAGGCCAAGGTGGGCGGACCACTTGAGGTCAGGAGTTCAAAACCAGCCTGGCCAACATGGTGAAACCCCATCTCTACTAAAAATACAAAAAAGTTTAGTCAGACGTGGTGGTGGGCACCTGTAATCCTAGCTACTTGGAAGGCTGAGGCAGGAAAATTGCCTGAACGTGGGAGGCAGAGGTTATAGTGAGCTGAGATGGCACCACTGCACTCCAGCCTGGGCAATAGAATGAGACTCCATCTCAAAAAAACAAAACAAAACAAAACAAACAACTCAACATTAAGAAAGTGAACAACCCAAATAAAAAATGGTAAAAGACCCAAACAGAAACCTCACCAAAGAAAATATACAGATGGCAAGTAAGCAAATAAAAATATGTTCAACATCATACGTCATTAGGGTGTTACAAATTAAAACAATAATGAGATACCACTATACATCTATTAGAATGACCAAAATCCAACACAATGACAACATCAAATCCTGTGGAGGATGTGGAACAACAGGAACTCTAATTGTTGCTGGTGGAAATGCAAAATGGTAAAGCTGCTTTGGAAGACAGTTTGGCAGTTAAATCTAAATATACTATTGCCATATGATCCAGCAATTGTGCTCTTTGGTATTTACCCAAATGAACTAAAAATTTTATGTCCACCCAAAAACCTGCACATGGACGTTTATAGCAGCTTTATTCATAATTGCCAAAACTCAGAAGTAACCAAGATATCCTTCCGTAAGTGAGTGGATAAACTGTGGTACTTTCAGACAATCAGATGTCATTCAGTGCTAAAAAAGAAATGAGCTATTAAGTCATGAAAATACAGAGAGGAAACTTAAATGCATATTACTAAGTGAAAGAAGCCAATCTGGAAAAGCTACATACTGTATGATTCCAATTCTATGACATTCAGGAAAAGGCAAAACTGTGGAGATAGAAAAGATTAGTGGTTGGGAAGAACAAGGGATGAATAAGAAGAGCACAGAGGATTTCTGGGCCAGTGAAACTATTTCATATGATACTACAATGGTGGATACATCTCATTATACATTTGTCAAAACCCATAAGATGTATAATACCAGGAGAGCAGCATAATGTAAACTGTGGACTTTGCAGGATAATGATATGTTAATATAGGCTCATTGATTGTAACAAATGTATCATTCTGATATAGGATGTTGATAGTGAGGGAGACTGTGTGTGTGTATGTGTGTGTAGGGGTGAAGGGACAGGGAATATGTGGGATAACCCTGTACTTTCCACTCAGTTTTGCTGTGAACCTAAAAGTGCTCTAAGAAAATAAAATTTATTAATGTTTTTTTAAAAAATGAAGTTGGATCCCTACTCTATCATATTAAAAAATAAACTCCAAATGGATTGAAGACCTAAATGTGAAAGGGAAAATTATAAAGCTAATGAAAGAAAATATTGGAGAATATCTATATGATCTCAGTTTCTTTAGGCAAGATCATAAAAGTGCAAGCCATAGGAGATAAGTTGATGAATTTGACTAGAAGAAAGTTATTTCTGCTAAATGAAGAATTCCAAAGGTAAGACTAACCTCTGGGTGCCAGAAAGGAAAAGATATTTGTAGATGTTGAGGTATTCATGTCTAGAAAATCCCCCAAAACAGCAAGAAAAAGACAATAGAATCCACTGGCAAAGATTTTGAATAGACAATTTGCAGAAAGGCAAACCTGATAAATTTGTGAAGATGATCAAATGTAGTAACATTAAAATAAGATACTACATTATAAGCATCAGATTGGAAACAGTTAGAAAATCCAGTAATAACAAGTACTGGTGAGGATATGGAGGAAATTAGGAACACTAGTACATGGCTGATAGAATAAAAGGTATAGCTATTCTGCAGTACTTAGTGAAATTAATATGACTATACCCACAACTTAGCAATCCTACTACATTATCAATCTTGCTGAGAAACTCTGATCACAAGTACAGCAGCATGAGGTTCTTCATTACATCAATATTTGTGGAGACAAGGAACTGGAAGTCAACTAAGTGCCCCTCACTGGAAGAATGGTTACATAAAATGTGATCTATGCATGCAATGGAATACTAGGCAACAGTCATAAACAAATTACATTTACATGTAGTAACAATGATATAGCTCAAAAGTGTAAAGTTGAATGAAAGAACCATTAAAACACAAAACAATTCTAAATAACACACACACACTCAGAACAACACAAATACTTAGGAGTGAATGCTAAGTAGAGGAGGAAAAATGGAAGTAGGATAAAAAGTATAAAGATAAAAAGTAATAGAAAATGGTCTTTGCTTTGTCCAGTGATAAAATTATATGATAAACTATGGAGTTTGAGGTACTTCATTCCTTTTGTCTGTTGTCCTAAAAAGAAAAGGAATTTTTAAAAGTAAAATAAATACAATATAGGTATAATAATTTAATAAGATTGTGTTTTGAAGATTAAGTCAGATAAAGCACTTAACTTAGTGCCTAGAACATATTAAACACTCAATGAATGTTATCTAGTAATGCTATCAACACTATTCATGATACAGCTACTACCAATCTATTGGAGTTGGCACTTAAAACCAATTGGATTTAGATTACTTTCTCCCAAAAGATCCTTTCAGGTCTAATATACTATAGTTCTGCAAGAGGGATAGGGAAATACCACAGGAGGCCCAGAAGCAACAGGCAGGAGAAGAGATGGAACATCCTTGGGGAATGGGAAAGGCTACCATCTTGTTTGTAGCATCATAGGAAACTTTGATGGTTAATTTGGGAGAATACTGATTAGTAAATACAATGCACAGATTAAGGAAGTAGGAACTGCGCTAGTAAAAAGTGCTATGAAGCTGGGATACTTTATATACTTTGCTATACTTCCTCCAAAAGGGTGTTTTAACATTTTAAGTTATAAAATTGTAGCTGAGTTATGAAGTTTTGCTATGCAGTGTTTGATTTGGATTACCCCTCCCCCATCCTCCTTCTTCCCCAAAGTGGGACACAGGTCGTTCTATTGAAATAAGCAAGATCATCACCTAGTGGTTAATTCCTCAAAGTGCTGACACAAGATTTGGTCCCAGAGAGCAAAGATGTGCCCAGTCTGCGTCCTCATACAATGTTAATTCATTCAACAAGCGTTGACTGGGACTTTATGCCAAGCACTATTCTGGTGCCTGGGGATACAGAGTTGCTAACATAAAATGATAAGTTTAAAAATAAAGTTAAGGAAGTACCAACTTAGAAGCTTAAGCGCCCTCTCAAAATGATGTTGCATGTATTTATTTCCCACTGGTTTTCCGTAGATCATAGACGAAGAAGAAACTCAGTTTATGAGCAATTGCCCTGTTGCAGTCACTGAAAGCACTCCACGGAGGAGGACCCGGATCCAGGTGTTTTGGATAGCACCACCAGCGGGAACAGGCTGCGTGATTCTGAAGTAAGTAAACATGGAATCCTTCCCTGCAGTTTATCAAAGACTTTGTGGTGTGATTGCAGGGAAAAAAAAAAAAGTTCTTTACTGAGCATCAGAAAGTTGCATCATCTCTCTGCCCTCCCTTATCTGAATTCTCAATAGCACCATAGACTATCATTGGTGAAGTGTTCCATAAAGATTCATTTGCTAGAATCTCTATTTTCATCAAATAGGATGATTCTCCTGGCCACCCTGTCCTACCAGAGATAATTATATTAGGGCTGGTTAAGAAAAATTACAAACCAGGTGAAGATAATCTTTGACTTTTTCCACCTGGAATTTAACACTTTTTCTTTTCTCGGAACATACAGCACCTAGAATCCTTAAACACTGCTTAGGCTGCCCCGAGACCCACATGTGACCTCCATTAGCCCTGAGCTCCACTTTATGATGCTATCTTCTTCTTTGCCCATCAAAATGGCCCTCTGGTGCCACTTCCTATCTGGCCTCCTGACCTCCTTTCAGTGAGTTATAATAGGTGATAAAAGGTATTAACCAGCCAAAGGAGTTTTCCTCTGGAAGGTAGCATTATCTCAAACCTGTTTCTCCAAACTTATGTGCCACAGAATGATGGTTTGGGAAATGGAAATAGATGGGCAGGAAAATGATTTCTGTGGTCAAATGTTTGCAAAATGCTGTGTACTAGATACCCTTCTTACAGATTCATAATACTAGCATAATGAAGGTTTTGCAAAGTCCTGGCGAAAAAAAAAAATCTGTTTAATTTGGTTTCACCCAGTATTTATGGTGACATCTATTAACATTCACAGTTTGGTGAAACATAGGCATAATCTATTTTAAATAGGTTTGAAGTCCTATATGGAATGATGCTGAGAATGTTAGGATTTCATACCAGCAAATTAGTCATGGGTAGATGGAGAGGGTTCCAGTCCTAGCATCCAAGAAGTCACTTTTTTTTAATGGAAGTAGGCACTGAGACCTTCCCAACAGCCTTTCTCTTTTTTAAATCCTCGAAGGTCTTATTTATGTATTTGGTTCATTTGTCAAATATAGTCATTTTGACAGACTTAACAACTGTGGTTAACTCCAGCCCACCCCTGAGGAGATCCCGATAAGAAAGCCCACCTAGGCATCGCAATACCTGCAGTTCTTAGACTTCCACTGTGCTTGGCTTATGGAAAAAACCCCACAGAATCTCTGAAGCATCTGTCCATTGTCCAGACTCACCCGTCATTGTCTGGCCTCCCTTTGCCGCCATCTGTCTGGACATTATTTGTTTCTTTCTTAGTTTAATGCAAGCTGAGCATCCTTCCTCAGATTCCTTGAGCAGTTTGGCTCTTGGCATTAATCTACACTGGTCATTAAGAAAAAATCAGAATTTTAAAAGATGAAATCATATCTATAAATGTCAATATATAACATGTCTATAGTATCTAGTTAAAATGTGGGAGATGGCCTTGTGGAAATGAACAAAGACCCCTGAAATGAGAACAGAGACTGTGTGTTCAGAGCCTGTTGTATAACAAGGGAGTCAGCTGCCATTACTAGCATTTGGCAGAGTCTCAAAGACAGGCAGAGGACTGGGAAAGCCTTCTAGTGAAAACAAGAGAAGACTGATTGGAGGTTCCTTGGCATGAGGAAGCTGGAGGCAGGCTAACTACAAGTGGAGCATCTTATGTGATTGGTTTGGAGGGCATATTTGGCTTCCTCTGGTTAGTTCTGAGTTGAAAGTTGGGGAGGTGGTGAGGGCAAAAAATAGAGCAGTTGACAGTTCCTTGGACAAATGCTGATTTTCTGTGTCAATTGCTGGGGCCCAGAGACTAGGGGTCAGAGTACTATGGTCACTGTGATAAATAACCTTGCTATTGTCTGTTAGTATTTTCACTCTTAGCCCAGAGACTGGGTTCCCAGCTTGGCCCTCAGTGCCCATCCCACTACCCATGACAGCCCAATGGCTCCACAGAGCCTGGAGCTCTAAAGAAGATGGGCTGAAAATGTCAGATCTATGTGAGGAGCCTTCCTGCTCTAAAAGCTCTCATCCCTCTGGCCCAGATCTCTGGTTTTCTTTGATTTATTGTTCTTACAACCCAGAAGCATTAGATCTTTTTGGTGGAAGCCAGAAAGGCATCTCTTGTTTACCCATTAACAATCAACGTTATGTGTACATATGTTTATCCATTAACATGTATGGCTTATTCATTTGCTCATTCTTCCAACAAATGCAACTGAGCTTCTATTAGCCCAGGCATCCAGGATATACACAATGGAGGTATATTCTTGACCCTGGAGGTTCTTACAAGTCAAATAAGGGAGAGAGAAAAAGTCAACCAATGCTTTCTGTGTACCAAGAACTCAGCACACATCTAGCAGGCTTTGTCTAATTTGATCTTCACAGAAAACGACTCCCATTTTACAGAGGAGGAGACAGGCCCTGGGGATATTAGGCAAGTTTTTTAAAGTCATGAATCCATGTAATATTAAAGTCCATGTTCTGCCTTTCTTTTATTTATTTTTTCTCTGAAGGAATCATATATAAGCTACAACTATTTATTAAATAAATAGTAATTGTATGGGCAGGACATAAATGCATTCACCTCGTAAAATTTCAAACAATACAAAAAGTAGTAAAATACAGAAAAATACAGAATAAAGAAAAAGTTAAAGATCCATGACATCTTGGCTGGACACAGTGGCTCATGCCTATAATCCCAGCACTTTGGGAGGCTGAGGCAAGCAGATCACTTGAGGTAAGGAGTTCAAGACCAGCCTGGTCAACATGGCAAAACCCTGTCTTTACTAAAAATACAAACATTAGCTGGGCGTGGTGGTGCGCACCTGTAGTCCCAGATACTCGGGAGGCTGAGGCAGGAGAATAACTTGAATCTGAGGGGTGGCAGTTGCAGTGAGCCGAGACTGTGCCACCGCACTCCAGCCTGGGTGACAGAGTGAAACCCCATCTCAAATAAATAAACAAACAAATAAAATCCATAGCATCTCTCTCAATTCCAGTTTTCTACACAAAGGCAATAATAGAATCAATTTGGTTTGTATGCTTTAGACTTATCTCTGCTTTTACATTCACGAAGGTAATCATAAAAGCACATAGTTTCATTCCTGTGGGAATTTAAGGTTACACAAATGGTATCATGTTATGTCCTGAACTTGAATGGTTTTTCACTAAATAAGATGTATTAGAGATATGTCTGGGTCAGTACATACAAAGCTACCTCTTTTTGTTTTTTAACTGCTGCATGTCTATGGTATGGATGTTAATTATTCCAAAGTTAGTGGACATTTAGATTGTTTCTGGTGTCTTACTATGACAAATAATGTTATGATGAATATCCTGAAACTTGCCTATTGAGCAAATTTCCAAGTTTTTATCCACAGTAGATGCCAAGAAATGGGATCATAAGGGATGCACATTTATAATTTTATTAGATGCTGCCAGATTTTTCTCCAGAAAGCTTGCCAACTTAAACACTCTCCCTGACTGTGAACAAGAGAGCCTAAATCTTTACTTGCTCAATGGCACTTGGTATTATCAATCTTTAAGATTCATAAAGATTGTGTGAATGGCCCATTCATATTCTTGTCCATTTTTTAATAATCTGTCTTTTAAAAATTGATTTACACGGCCGGGCGTGGTGGCTCTTGCTTGTAATCCCAGCACTTTGGGAGGCCGAGCCGAGAGGGGGGCAGATCGCCTGAGGTCGGGAGTTCGAGACCAGCCTGGCCAACATGGTGAAACCCCCGTCTCTTCTAAAAATACAAAAATTAGCCAGGTATGGTGGCATGCGCCTGTAATCCCAGCTACTCAGGAGGCCGAGGCAGGAGAATCACTTGAACCCAGGAGATGGAGGTTGCAGTTAGCTGAGATCCTGCCACTGCCATTCAGTCTGGGGGACAGAGTGAGACTCCATCTAAAAAATAATAATAAAAATTTAATTATATATTTAATTTTGTTTTAATATATATATTATATTTAAAATATAGCTTATAAAATGTTTTTATAAATATATGTAAATACATCTTATATATTTACATACATATAAAATAATTTGATTTATTTAGAACATATTTATGTTTAAAATTGCTCTTTAGGTAGTCCAGATAATGACACTTTGTTGTAAATTTCAAATATTTCTCTCCACCTTTCTTTTAACTTTGCTTGTGGGTGTCTAATCAGTCAAAAGTTTGAAATTTTTATGTAATCAAATGTATCCATCCTTTCCTTTATGAATTTTGATTTTATGTCTTGTTCAAAAATAATTTTCCTATGCCTAAGGCTATAAATATATTCCCATATTTTATAGATTTTAAAATAAATGTAGGTCTTTAATCTTCCTGGAATTTAATGTTGTGAATGATATGATATTAATAAGCTACCACAGAAAATAGATGGCATGCTCAAAATGAGGTGCCAGAGGAAAGTTTAATAAGGGTCTATTCACAATGGTGGGGGCAAAATAACAGTGAAGGAGGGCTATACAAGGAGGGCCTGAAGAAGCAAAAGGAAAAGGCAGAGAGGATGGGGTAGAGAGGACCACCCCTTTACAGGAGCTAAGACCTTCGGTTAAGGGAAGCAACTAGCCTCAGGTACCCCAACCCTACTCCTTTCTCTAATTCCTTGTGGACTCTCCCTTTGGTGTGGCTCCAACTACAGGAACACAGAGCCCATTGATATAATCTTTACGGAGTATTCTCAGTCTTTAACTAGGGAGCAGAAGAGTAGAGCAGGTATCCAGAGGAACAAATCAAAGATATCCACCATAGATGGGAAATTGAAATCTACCTATTTTTCCCCAAATGGGTAGTTGTCCCCCATCCATTTATCAAATAGTTTATTCTTTCCTTGATGGGCTGAGATGCTACTTCATTAAATGCAAAATTTTTATACAGGTCTGGTCTGTTCTGTTGATCTTTTTATGTATTCTTGCATGAAACCCACACCATTTTATAGTGTAAAATGGTTTGAAATGGTTATGTTTTGATAGCAAGTCATTGCTCATTAGTCTTCTAGTTCAAACTGTTCATGGTCATTCAAGCAGATTTCTAATTCCTGACAAATCATAGAATAAGTTTGTTGTGTTTGATAAAAAATCATTTTGGGATTTCGAATGGCTTTGCACTGAATTAATAGTTTCCCAGAATACATAAGATGCATTCTCAGTCAAAAACATGGAATGTTCCATATTTATTTTGGTCTTTCGTATCCTTCTTAAAATTTTGTAATTTTTCTTCATTTAGATTGCACATTCTTGAGAGGCTTTTTCCCCACATAGGTAATTTATAGTTTTATTTCTTTTGTGAATGGGATCTTTGTCTTGTTGTGCTTTCTAATCATTGATCCCTTGTGTTTAGAAAAGCTATCAATTTTTGTACCTTAAGTTTGAATTTGGGCACTGCTGAACTCTCTTGGTAGTTCTACTGGCTTATTCTTTCATTCTTTTGGGATTGTCGATGTAAATGATCATATCTTAAAATAATGAATATATATATATACCTTTTGTTTCTTTTTTATGTTTTACTTTATTATCTAGCACCTCTAGTACAGTATTGCATAGTAGTATTCATGCTTATTCCAGATTTTAATGGGAACACTATTTTACTTTTAAGTGTAATATTCAGTATTACAGATTTCAAATCAGTGCCTTTAATCAAGTTGAGGAAGACCCTTTAGCTAAGAAACTTCCCTTCTTTATCATGTTGAAGGTGTTATTTGGGAAACCAACCAACCAGTATTCCATGTGTAAGAGTAAGGCAAGAAGTGTAGGCACCCAGAGTATACCAGACATTGAGAAAGATTCAGGGTATAAACAATGATCCTGACTTTCAAAACACTTTCAGCCTAGTTGTGATGTATATTAAAATATTTATGCAAAAGCTAGCAAACCGAAGACAGATATTAATGGGGGACAAATTAAACATGGTAAGAGTTCAGAGAGGAGATGAATGAGGAATGGAAAAATCAGAGCCTCTTGGAAAGGTTAGCAGTTACATCTTGAAGACAGTGTTAGGGTTTGGATAAAAGGACAGAAGGGAAGAGGTTATTCCAGGTAAAAGGGGTGGATAAAGTGAAAACTGAAGTGAGAGCAAACATGGCAGCCCTAGAAGACAGTAGACAGACCTTTCAAGATTAAAAAGCCTTTGGGGACAAAATCTATTGCTAAATCATAGAGTCCCTCCAATGTCAACAGGAAGAGATTGAACTTGATTCTAAAGTAGTTGAGGGAGCCATTAGTAGTTATTAAACAGTGGACTGACACACTGGGAGGAATGTTCATTAAAAAGTTAATAAGGGTGGGCCAGGTGTGGTGGCTCACGCCTGTAATCCCAGCATTTTGGGAGGCTGAGGCGGGCAGATCACCTGAGGTCAGGAGTTTGAGACCAGCCTGGCCAACATGGTGAAACCCTGTCTCTACTACAAATACAAAATTAGCCAGGTGTGGAGGTGCATGCCTGTAATCCCAGCTACTTGGGAGGCTGAGGTAGGAGAATCGCTTGAACCCAGGAGGTGGAGGTTGCATTGAGCGGAGATCATGCCATTGCACTCCAGCCTGGGCAACAAGAGTGAAACCTCATCTCAAAACAAACAAACAGGTTAGTAAGGATACTTAAATCTGGCAGCAAAGTTCAGGACAGATAAAGAGGGGGATACCAACTGTGCTGCAGAGCCCTCACTTGTAAAAAGGAGCATTTGTGTTGTGGTGTTTGAGTAATATTCCTGGGAGAAGGCAGCCTAGTAGATAAGCTGCACAGACTGATGAATGTCTATAGATGACAGCTCTGAAGCCCACGTAGCTGGTTGTGTTCCTTTGCCCAGGAGTGCCGGGAAGGAAAATACATAGCAATTATGACTTTCCTTTTGGCACAAACCTGACACCATTTCCATTTTCCATTTGGATGCAAAGCTTTGAACATTTCTAAATTACAGACTTTCCAGGCAGCCCTCCTTATAGACTTCTCCCTACAAATGAGCGACCCAGCACTTAAAGTTTCCCTGGCATATGCTACAATGCTGCAAGAATGCTGCAAACCATCATAGACAAGTAGCGATTGATTAAAAGAAAAAGCCGCCATGAGTAGAATAAATGTTTACAGACCCCACCAGAAGGAAGTTCCGTACCCTTCAGTCTGACAAAAGTTTTATCTCATGAAGTGATCCTCTGTTTCCATGGATTTGTTACCTTTGGATAGATTTCCAACACTTACTTGTCCCTTCCTGGAAGGGTCTGAGATGTAGATCATCCGTCTCCTGAGAACACACTCATTTGGTAAACCATTAGGAAATTCATTCTTAGGAAACAGTGGTTGGTAAAAGGCAGACGTAAGAGACAAGAGCCAGGCACTGTTCTGGGTGCACTACAAATACTTATTTCATCCTCATAGCAACCCTATGAAGTAGATATGAAGGAGGAAGCTGAGGCACAGAGAGGTTCAGTAATGTTCCCAAGGTCACAGAGTAAGTGACAGAGTTGGGATTCAAACAGAAGCATCTGGGCTCCCAAGTCTGTGATCTTCATACTGTACTCTGCCATCTCAGTCTGATGCCACAGGGTCAGGTTGAACTCTGACTCTTCTCTCCCTCCAACATCATTAGAGCCAGATCTTGGCTCTTTTTTTATCACTGCTCTACATTCATTGCCTAATTCACAGACACTTCTTGCATTACTCTTACAGAAACCTCCTGACTGATCACTCTAGTTCCTTACCCTCTGGTCCTCCTCACGCTGGTATAAGACTTGCTGTCCTCAGGCCCATCTGAGTCACACCACTTACCTAACACTTGAACAGGGCTCCCCAGCACCTTCAGATAAAGTCCAAATCCTGATCAGAGCATATAAGGGTGCCTATGACCTTCACCAGGTTCCTCACCAGCCTTCCACTGCATCTCTCTCTCTGAACTCTGAATCCTCCCTAGCCTTTCTTGTCTGTCCATTCCTTTGGTAGCACTTACTGAACACCTCCTGCTTGCAGGCAGTAAGGACACAGAGGCTGCCTTTGAGGTTGGCACAGTCTAGGGAAAATCATGAACATACAAATTGGGTCCACAGCCCTTCATCCACAAACTGAAATCCAGAAAGCTCTAAAATCCAAAAGATTTTTCATAACTCATTTAGGGCCAAAACCTGCCCTAAACTGCCTCAAAGTTACGTATGGTCTTTTTGTGTACATATTAATGTGTTTGATGGTGAGATGCTGTCCCAGACCCTGATGGGGGCATTACAAGATACATGGAATGTGTACTATATTATTCAAAATATTCTTAATTTCAAAACATATCTGGCCTCAGGTCTATCAGAGAAAGGACCTTGGCCCTGTCGATGCAATCCAGGGTGGGAAATTCAGTAATGGAAGCATCACTCAGGGTGCTTAGGCAGCCCTCTGGCAGGACTGGGTTTCATGTAAATGTTAAAAAGAAGCAACTCATTTCTTGCTAGTGAAATAACCTATTCCCAGCTGCAGCTGCTACAAGATATGAGAACTCATTCAATGTTTCTCACCACCAAAGAATAAAGTCAAAATTCCTTAACATGATGTCTAACTCTGTATATTTCTAGCCACCTTTACAACCTTATTTGTAGGAACTCCTCCCCACACAGGACTCTGAGCTTCATAAAGGCATAGATCAATTTCATTCTTCTTTGTGGTCATAATGTAGGTCAGCAAATCACAGCCCATGGGCCAAAACTGGTCCATTGCCTGTTTTTGTAAATAAAGTTTTATTGGAACACAGTTACGTTAATTCATTTGTGTACTGTTAGAGCTCTATCAAGCTATAGTAGCAGAACTTAAAAGTTGCAGTGGAGACCATATGTCCTGCAAAGCCTGAAATATTTATCTGGCCCTTTATAGAAAAAGTTTACTGACTCCTGTTCTAATGTACACTCCAGCATCAGGAACTCGAAAATTATTGATTCTTGTCCTAGGTTCTTCTAAAAGCCCAGCTGAGACCTAAGTTTATAAGCAGGTAGTTTATTTGGGAAATGATCCCAGGGATCAAGAGTGAAGGGTGGGGGTGGTGATTTGGTCAAGTGTTATTGACTTGGCCACCACTGCAGGCCACTGGTGTTTGACCCCAGTTGGGGCCTTTGGAGAAGGCTTATGACATGTGTCTCAGAACAGTGTGCCCAGGGTAAACCGGGGAAGCCACTATCCATTGGCCTCCATCCTTCACTAATCAAAGGTGGCCCCATAGCATTAACTCTCCTCCACTTCTGAGATGCATACATGTGAGTATTCTTAAGATTCTGAACACTTGCTGCAGCATCAGAGAAGCTCTGGGACAGGAATCAAGTGGTACACCATGCAGGCAAGACGTGCATCATCCCATTGCAGTGGGGGCAGAGATGGTCAAGTCTGTACAGAGTTGGTCACTGCAACAGTGGTTGGAGTCAGAGTTGTGCTGAGAGGATGTGAAGAGGGGTGTAGAGTTGCCTATTATGGTCTGAATATTTTGTGTCCACCCCAAAATCCATTTGTTGAAGTTTAATCCCCATCGTGATGGTATTTGGAGGTGGGACCTTTGTGCTATAATTAGATCAAGAGGGTGAAGCCCTCAAAAATGGGATTAGTGCCCTTATAAAAAGACACACAGGGAGAGATGTGGTGGCTCACACCTGTAGTCCCAACACTTTGAGAAGCCAAGGTGGGAGGATCGTTTGAGTCCAGGACTTTGAGACCAGCCTGGGAAACATAGTGAGACCTTGTCTCTACAAAAAATAAACAAAATTAGCCTGGTGTGCTGGTGAGAGCCTATAGTCCCAGCTACTCAGGAGACTAAGGTGGGAGGATTGCTGGAGCCCAGGAGATTGAGGCTTCAATGAGCTGAGATGGCACCACTGCACTCCAGTCTGGGAGACATAGTGAGAGCCTGTCTCAAAAAAAAAAAAAAGAGAGACAGGGCTTCCTTCCTCTCTCTGTCATTCACTATGTGAGGACAGGAGGAGATGGCCATCTTTAAACCATGAAGAGGGCCTTTACAGGGCACTGAATATGGTGGCACCTTGATCTTAGACTTTCCAGCCCCCAGGACTGTGAGAAATAAATTCTGTTGTTTATAAGCTACTCAGTTTATGATATTGTATTTTGTTATAACAGCCTGAACAGACTAAGACAGTGCCCAATACATTGATTAATCAAATAATAAGTAGCTTATATTTATTGCTAACCACTATGCTAAATGCATTGCATGTCTTATATATGTCTTATGTAATTCTCATAAAAGCCCTATAGAATTTTCACTATATTATTCCCATTTTGTTCATAAGAGAGCTGATGTTTAGACAGTTGATGTAAAGTAATGAGGCCTGGGACTTCAACTCACTTCTGCCTGACTCCAAAGCCCTAATCACCACTAAGCTACACTGACTAAGCTTGACTCCCCTCCCCACAGCTCCTGCCCACCTTCTGCCTCAGTAGGTCTGTCAGGAGTAGGACAGAGCTCTTCCTATAACCAGGGGTTGGAGGTCTACCTGTGAGGTGAGATATTGTTCCCCAAGTGAGGAAACTAAATGTCACTTAGAAAATGGAAAACAAGCCCAGGGAAACTGGCAAGAGAAAGACTTGTTAGTGGGAAGAGAGGATGAGTATTAAGAAGCAATTAGCTAGCACTCATAATACTTTGTAATTTCGTAGGGCTCACTAACTCTTTTTATCTTCAAAGAAAGTAACAGAAAACCACATGCAATGACTCCGTGTGTGATTTAGAGGAAAATGGCAGGGTTAGGAGGATCTGATGTGGCTGGGGCGAAGCTTACCCCACAGTTTTTCTGGCATTAGGTAGCAAGAGGAACTACAGGCTCCTTTGTTGTAAGTCAGGGTGGTTTTACTTCAGGCAGCCTAGAACCTCAGGAACCCTGACCAGGGAGGAAGCAAGGAGTCAACAGAAAAGGGACTAGGAAACCCCTGAACCAGCTAAAGTGTCAGATTCTTGGGAGAGCAGTTGGAAAGACCAATGCCATGGCTAAATGAAAACATGTGCCTGATTAGGAAGACTCAGATACCCCAGAATCTGCCATCCAACAGGTGGAATCCAGATGCCAGAGGTTCTCGGGATGCCAGTGGGAGCATGGCTCCAGGGGATCAGTCCAATGGCAGCAGAGTTTCATTCAACAGCTGGGATCCCAGGTGCAGGATCCAGCCCCCAGGGGAGAAAACTGGAAAGAATTAAATAGGAAGTACAGGCTGCCGAGGAACAGGCCCTAGACAGAGCTCTAGGCACAGCAGTAAACTGAAGCTTGGTGGGAAGACTAAAGCACTGCCAGATTGCACCAACATCGTGGGGATCCTGGGATTGACTGCAACTTTGTTGGCATGCAAGAACACATGGCCCGCCCTATTTGTGAGCTAGCACCAGGTCTATGGCAGCAAGACTAGTTCCAATCCTCTTCCACTGATGGAGTGGGAGTTGCCAATATATTCCCTGCCCTGGTCAAGTTGGGATCAAAACGGAATGTTTCAACCCTATGAACATTTTTATAATTGAGGTTAAATTCACATAACATAAAATCAACCATTTTAAAGTGATCAATTCAGTGGCATCTGGTACATTTATAATGTGCAACCACCATCTCTACCTAGTTCTAAAACATTTCCATCATTTCAAAGTAAAACCCCTTATTCATTGAGCAGTTTCTCCCCATTCTCCTCTCCCCACCCCAGCCCCTGGCAATCACCAATCTACATTCCGGCTCTATGGACTTACCTATTCTTGATATTTCATATAAATGGAAGCATACAATGTGTGACCTTTTGTGTCTAGCTTTTTTTCACTTAACATAATGTTTTTGAGGTTCATCCATGTTGTAGCTTTATCACTACTTTATTCCTTTATATAGCTGAATAATTCCCCATTGTATGGATATACCACAATCTGTTTATCCCTGTGAACATTTTTAACATGAGATGATCAAAGGATAAAAATGAGAACTTTGGGCAACAGTGAAAAAGTATCATGGTATTATTCCTACATTAACTTTTCAGTCCCTATTTTTTTAACCAGGAGATAATTGGCATGTTGCCTCACACCTAAGTCCCACACCATCCATAGGAAGGACAGTAATGACTCCAAACAAGAGTAGAAAAGGACAAAGAAATGGTTTTACACCTACTTTGTCTTTCAGGGTCACAAAGTATGAAACAGCCTGTCCCAAAAATGGGTTGATTAGATCTTTGGACACCCAGTGTGTGACCACAGTGCAACAAAGTCATATACTTGGGCATTTGTTCCTTCATCTGGAAGAAGCGAGGGCAGAAGCCACCTGAAGGTCCTCAGTGCTGTGGAAGATGGCATTCCTCTATAGATGCTCTCCTGCTCTACCACTGTTCATTCTCAATTACTAATCAAATAAGTGCACCTGAGTTATTTACCTCCCTGCAAGCCTGCTCACAACAAAGAATACCCAACCTAAAGTCAGTGAACAATAAGATTGCATAAGAAGAAAGAATGTACCACACTCCCTCCATAATTAATTATTGTGGGCTGATTTCAGCTACATTTTTCCTTGGGCATTTTCCTAACAGTTCATATTTAACAGTCCCTGGAAGCCAGGAAAACAGAGGAGAAAAAGCTCCTTTATGTCTTAGTTCTATGCTATTCATAAATGAAAATCATTGTTAATTTAGAGTTTGACAGCTGTGGTGCACTTGTAAGTCCAGGGCAGCTGTCATCAGCACTCCAGTTTATTTTTCAAGCACATGTTTAATTTGACTTTAGCGCTATTGCCAGTTCTTAAGGAGAAAGAGGGGGAAGCAGAAACAGAAATAATCATTATCTTCATCATTTGGTTTCCTTTCAAAATGTAAATCGGCATGATTAACAATGATATCAGAATTGCTCTAATTGCAGTTTTGGGTGCAGAACTAGTTAGCTATCATCTCCTACATGGTCCAAAGTCTAGTTTTCTTTTCTTTTTTTTTTTCCTCCTAAAGTCAGAGGGTGTTTTGTGGTAATTACACGCAGACTCTGAACAACAGTCCCAGCTCCACAGAAAAGCCTTCCAAAGTGCAGAAGAAAATCAAAAATCAAGGAATGGGGAATGATGGGGGTGACTAGGCCACAATCCCAGATGAAAGCCACAGGCTGAGTCTTGTCTTGTGGCTCTGGAATCAGGAAACCAGCGAGAGCAATCAGAGCCCTTGGAACAGCAGCCAGGATCTCCCGCTCTTACATATCTACCATGCTTCTGCGGCCAGGCAGCTGGCTTTGTACAGGCTCACAGTGTGCAAATCGGTCTCAAAGTATAAAATTAAACACATCTGTAGCTCCACGTAGAAATCTGATGAGTCAGTATGTACTTGATCGGGCCCACTGTTCCAGTCCACGTTGCTTGGAGGAATCTTCCTTCGCACCAGCTGTGATGCTAGCTAAACCCACTTCCTGGATCTTTCTTCACCCTCATTTTTATATGTGTGGCTTCCGGAGGTCTCACTTGGCCTTTATTTTTTGCCATCTGTCATGTGTCCAATCACAATGTCCCAAAGAACCTCTTTGACATTGCCTCTGTAGTGGGGACAGTAGATGCAATAACACACTCCTATCTTTCTATTTGTTTCTTTGTACATTGAGATGAAAGACTGCCTTGCCTTCTTCATCAGTCAACATCTCGATATGTGCTATGCTAAAAAAGATCCCACCCAAAGGAAAACTTTGGCAAATGTCCTGGACCCCAGCTCTGAAATTAAAGTTTGATAGAGGAACAATCTACAACTTCACCCTTCTAGTGCCGGAGGATCCTCTAGACAGAACTAAAGATGTAGACCCTGAGGGGCAAGTCTGACTCCTAAAAGGGTAGTCTTCCGTCTTTTTAAATGGAAAGTATTATTTGTAGATTATGAGATCAGAACTAATTCTTCCTTAACGATAGAAAGACCAGGCTTCTGCCAGGTTAACGTCCCAAGAATCTGTGAGAATCCTTAGGGAATTATAAACATGTACCAAAAACTACTGGCTGTTGCTTGTTGCTTGCCACCTTGGCCATCCACCTGGGGCTAGGCTCTGGATCTGTTCCGTGGGCAGCTCCTCTCCCTGCCTTTGCCTCAAGCTTGGACTCCAGGCTGTCCATTAGTACCCACATTATGGTTAGGGCCAAACAGCAATGGTTAATAAGATGTTGAGGACTTGGGGAGTGCCCCAAAGTCCTCACAGAGATCCTACATAACTGGACTAAGGGTTGGCTGCTCTTAGGCCCACGAGCCCAAGCTCATCCTTAGAGGTTCCCTGCTCTCAGCTCCTGGCCTGTCTCACACAAGGTGGGCACCAGGCTGCCTGCCTAACCCCAGTGGCCTCTTTACTTCTCCTTCAAAGATTACCCCTGTACAAGTCCCAGGTTGCCCCAATTTCCAGACCTAACTCCCCTCCACACTAGTTTGCTTAGCATTGTAGTTAAGAAGGTGGACTTCCAGGTCAAGTGATCTGAGATTGAAGTCTGGCATTACCACTTACTAATGACGTTAGGCAAGTCATTTTAGACACCCAGTGCCTCAGGTGCCTCCCCCATAACATGGGGGTGGTAATATTAATAGTATGTACCTACCTCATAGAGTTGCTGAGAAGACTAAATGAGTTAGTGCATGTAAAATTCTTAGAACACTTCCTGGCACAGAATAAGCTCTAAACAAGGCTATATTATTAATGTTGCTGTTATTACTATTGCTTTACATTTGCAATAAAACAAAGATCATCATGTAGATGTTTCCTAAGACAAAGAAGTGGTCTACCCAAGAAGTGAATTTCAGTTTCTGGTACTTAGGACAAAAACTGTACATTTTAAAGGTCGTTTTTCAAGCTTCAAAAACTGTTTAGTCACACTGGATCTCCATTTCTTTTACTTGCTTGCTCCTTGCCACTTCCCATAAAGAATATGAAGTGGCATTAAGAAAAATATAAAACAAAGTGGTCGTGTTAAATTAAAAAAAATCAAGACCAGGGAAAATCAACATTAAAATATAACATCGGCTGGGCACGGTGGCTCATGTAATCCCAGCACTTTGGGAGGCTGAGGCAGGTGGATCACGAGGTCAGGAGATTGAGACCATCCTGGCAAACACGGTGAAACCCCGTCTCTACTTAAAAATACAAAAAAATTAGCCAGGCGTGGTGGCGGGCATCTGTAGTCCCAGCTACTTGGGAGGCTGAGGCAGGAGAATGGTGTGAACCTGGGAAGCGGAGCTTGCAGTAAGCGGAGATCGCGCCACTGCACTCCAGCCTGGGTGACAGAGCGAGACTCCATCTCAAAAAATAAATTAATTAATCAATTAAATAAAATATAACATCAAGACAGGAGGAAGATCTAAAGCATGCTAAGGGCTCTAAATTCTCATACACTTATAAGAGCACTGGATTACAACCCATTAAATAAAATGGAAATAAACTAAATAATATAAATAATATAAATAAACACATATACCAGTTAAACAAGTGGATGGATAATTGGAAAGTTTGATAAGGAACAGGAGGTTTCTATAATCTCAAAGTACTTGCCCTTGAAATACTTAATCACTAAAAAGGGAGAAAAGCAAGAACTTTAGAATGGAGAAATCTGGCAGCCACCTGTAATGTGTGCCACCTGATAGGATGCAATGAGAAGAAAACGACACAGTGCCACTTCTGTGATATTCCTGCTAGAGATGCATAACCTGAATCTAATTATGAGGAAACATCAGACAAGCTCAAATATTTTACAGAATAAATAACATGTAATCTTCAAGTTTCAAAGTCAAAGACTGAGGAAGATTCTAGATTGAAGGAAACTAAAGTGACATGAAATCTAAATGCAACACTGTGATTCTAAACTAGATATATTATCTGCAACAGAACAATTGTTGAAATGTGAATAGGGTTCGAGGATTAGATATATCAATGTTATCTAATCTCATGGTTATATTGTGGTTAAATGGGAGAATATCTTTGCAAGAATTACACAAAAAAAGTACTTGAGCTGATCAGCATCATGTCAACCACTTACTCTCAAATGCTTCAGGGTAAATAAGTTTTTTATACCGCTCTTGTAAGTTTTCTTTAAGGTTGAAATGGTTTCAAATTAAAAAGATTCAGGGTTGCCAGACACAGTGGCTCATCTGTAATCCCAACAATTTGGGAAGCTGAGGCTGGAAGATTGCTTGAACCCAGGAGTTCAAGACCAGCCTGGAAAACGTAGTGAGACCTTGTCTCTACAAAAAAAAAAAACAAAACAAAAACTTAAAAATAAAATTAGCTGGGCATGGTGATGCATGCCTGTGGTCCCAGCTACTAAGGAGGCTGAGGTAAGAGGATCACTGGAGCCAGGAAGATAGAGGCTGCAGAGAGCCATGATTGTGCCACTGCACTCCAGTCTGGGGGACAGAGTGAGACCCTGTCTCAAAAACAAAAAAAGGACTCGGCAAAATCAGGGGGTGTTGGGGTGGAGAGGAAAAAAGAGCTATATTGACATCTTTCCTTCCTTCCTTTTTTTCTTTTCTCCCTGGCTTTTTTCTCTCAGAAGGTTGGGCCAAGATTTTGATGAGAAGACACTGGGTTCAATCAGGAAGGCAGGCAAGGACTTGCCAGACCTGAGGGGCTGAGCTGAGTTGGTTCGTTCAGTGATCCTTCCTGTAGTGTGTGTATACTAAGCACCTTCATCACATCCCAAGTGCCATACCAGACAGCAAGGATACAGAGCTGAGCAGGATGCAGCCTGTGTGACCGGAGACTCGCAGAGTGGTGGGAAATGAGCCAGTCAACAGGCAGCAACCTCATGGTGTGAAAGGGCCTCCCCGAGAGAAGCACAGGGCGGAGTTGGGCAGGTACCCATCCTGGTTGAGGGTGGTGAGGAAGGTCCAGACAGCAGT
The DNA here is from genome assembly GCF_000001405.40 of Homo sapiens. Taxonomy (NCBI): domain Eukaryota; kingdom Metazoa; phylum Chordata; class Mammalia; order Primates; family Hominidae; genus Homo; species Homo sapiens. The sequence goes on from NC_000011.10 coordinate 14,058,485, forward strand.
GGCAAAAGGCAACAGATGAAGGGAAGCAGCGGAAACAGTGTGGGATTGTCCCTAGACCAGAGAAGGCAAGGAACATTAGGGGACCTGCAAGCAGGTGGAGCAAGGAGGACTGTGATTGGGGCGAAGGTGAGGCCATGGTAAGGAGTGGGTGCTCAATGAATGTTCCTCTTTTTCTGTACTTTCCTTCTCTTCTTTATCGCTTCCTTTGCCAAAACATCCCTTCTTTGAGCATTCAGCTGGGTATTGCTCTAATTTTTTAATGACAGTAACAATTGCTAAAATATGTGCCCACAATCCTATAATGCAGATACTATTATTTCCTCCATTTTACAGAGAAGAAAATTGAAGCACAGCTTGCTCAACATGATATAGCTCATAAGTAGCAGAGCTGAGATTTGAACCCTGGACAGTCTAACTGTGTAGCCCAAGCTTTTGATCTACCACAATGCCAGAGTACATCTTTAACAAGGCTGAATCCTCAGGGGATTATGTCTTTTATAAAGTGTCTTGAGGGCCTCAATAGTTCTATAACTAGAGGGGTAAAGGGAGTGGGGATCTTACAAGCTGTGTCTGTTGGTGCATCTTACCCATTCCAGCCACCTCCCCTCATCCCACTCACTGCCTTTTCATGCCTGCCCTGTTATCAGTTGTGTGGGACCTGCAATGGGTCCAGGGACACAGGCAGCCTGGGCTGGACCAGTGAGGGTTTTACCCAGGGTGGCTGCAGAGTCAGCACAGCTCATAGTGGAGGAGGGAAACAAAGGGTCAAATCAAAGAAGGATCAGGTCCAAAGGGCCCTCAGGGGGAAAGGCTGTGCCCAGCAAGAAACTGGGCACAAAGTTGGGTCAAGGTGAGCTGTTCGGGATGGAAACTGAATAAAGCAAAGTCAAAATGTAAAAGGTGAAAAAGGCTCTTTTGCATGTGGTCTCAGGCAGGAGGGAATGGGAAACATACTTTCCACCACCGTAGACCCCCCACTACCCCCTCAGGGCTCAATTATTTATTGGACAAATATTTAGTGAGCACCTACTATGTGCCAGGCTAATGCTAGGAACTGGGGAGGAAAGGAGAAAAAACAAGGCAGAGAGACCAGAGGGGCTGGCACATGAATATTCATCTGAGAACCTGAAATGCCAAGCTTTCTTTGGAACCAGGCTGCATTTCCATTTTCCCTTTAGCCCCTGGAACAAAGCCAGGAAGTGACAGAGTTACTGGCTGGGGAAGAGTGTGGGAGGGAGGGAAGAGCAAGTTCCCCCCAGCAGCCGCTGCCACAGTCATTTCTAAAACAGGTTTTTACAGAAAAGCCTGGTTATTCCATTATTCCTCTGCAGCCAGGAAAAATCCCCCTTTCCACACCTGCCTGGTGATCAATACAGATGCTTCTGCTAATTGTGTTGTCAAGAAGGTCCTTGACTGGTTCTAAGCATTCTGTTAGGCAAAGCTTCCCCCTTGCAGGTGGGTTTTAGGGTCAGACAGGTCAAGGTTGGAATCCTGGCTCTACCCAGTCTGAGCCTGTTTTCCTCCTTATAAAATGGGAATCAGGAGCAAAGGCATAGGAAGTACCCCTTTACATTTTTAAAAGTAATTTAGGGTTTGCAGAGCACCTTCCGCTCTACCCCCCCAACTACTTTTGCTAGGTCAACATCATAATAATTGTGAGAAATTGAAGCTCAGAGAGGTAATGTGATTTGAATTGGATCACACAGACCCTGAGTATAAATGTCAAGATATAGAAACTCGGCCTTCACTTTTAAAATAGAAATGATTTGCTAGGCTTTTGTACATTTTCTTTTGTGATGGTCAAAATCTACTGCCTAATACCAAGGATACCTACATACTATCTAATACCCAGTAGTTTTAGCTGGGAATTTCCTTGACAAATGGAAGGCAGGAGAGCCCAGTGGAGAAGGGTATGGGTTGTGGAGTCAAAGTTGTTGGGCTCCTAATCCTGGACTACCTCTTAACAGCTGAACTTGAGCAAGGTACTTGATCCCTCTATACCTCAGCTTCATTTATTTGCAAAAGGAGTACTACCTACCTCATAGGCAGGAGAATTAAACGAGATAACCAGGGATTCTTGGCCCTGGCTGCATATTGGAATCACCTGAGCAGCTTTTAAAACTTACCTGTCCTTTGGCCCCACCTCTGGAAATTCTGATCTCATCTGTCTGGGGTGGAATTAGGGCACCCAAATGATTCTAATGAGCAACCAGGGCTGCAAACCCTGGAACTAAATAAAATGTCTACTACAGAGTGCCTAGCACATCACAAGCACTCAGTAGATGCTAGTTATCACTGTCATACTGGTTGGTGATAAAACCAAGGCATGTGGGCCAACACTGATCCATTGGTACCAACATCCAGTAGGTCCCAGTTACTGTGCCATGCACTGTGGGTAGATACAACGGTGAACAAGAGTGAGTCTCTACCTTATAAGGGTTTCATTAATTCTCTAGTTTGGTAAAAAAAAAGGCATAAATATGAGAAGTTATAATAAATAGTGACACAAGGTTTAAAGGAGAAGGAAGAAGGAAAGATAAAATTTTTCAAGCTCCTATCTCATGCTAGGCACTTTCTACACCAACGTAGTTCATTAATGCACACAGGAGCCCTATAAAGTAGATATTAAGCTCAATTTGTGGGACAGAAAACTGATGCTCAGGGAAGAAATTCACCTACACACAAAACAGCTAGATCCAGAATAAAATTTTATCTGCCTGACTACAGAGGTCTTTCTATTGTACCATGTCTTTAGCACACTGATTTCATGGTGATTATAAGAACAAGTAATAAGCTGGTAAGAATTAGAATGTAGAAGGTTCAAGTCCTTATGTGTGTGTGAATGTACACAACTATCATCTATCTGTCATTCTATGTATCTATCATTCTATCCAATTATCCATCCATCCACCTATCCAGTCATCTAATTCTGTTATCCATCATTGGTTGTAAAATTAGATTTTCAGCTTAATCAAATATTTCAGTTAATAGGTCAAGCTTTTAAATTACTCTTAATTAATTCTCCATTTTCCTGCATAAAATTAAAATATTAGCATTAAGCCAAACAATATATCACTTCCAGTAAATCATGGAGGAATAGGATTGCTGATGTTATTCTTTAAAGTGTGCTAATGGTATCAGACTATTTAATGTAGATTAACTACCAGGCCTAAACAGTAATACAAATAGAGGAAAACAAAATTAACGTGATTAAATACACTTGGAGGCTATTTAGTCAACAGTCAGATTGCAGACATTTGCAGCTGCAGCTCCAAAAGCTGGTTCTCTTCTCAGCTGTCACTAATTAATGCGATTTTCCTAATAACAGTTTTCTGATAGACAGACAGCATCAAATCAAAACAACTTCATTTTTATGCTGATGAGGCCTAACTACTGCAACAAGAGCCCAACAGATGCAAATGGCAATGTTGCTAACTGCAGGCTTGCATGTGGTCTTAATCACACACAAGTTGACCATCAGTGCTGGAAGTTTATTGCACAAATACATGGGATGTGGGAGAGCTTGGCTAGTTACATCGTCACATCAGCCTTGGTAGTACTGGGTCACAGTGGGATATACCACAGCTCTAGGAGAAAAGTGCTCTAGACAATTGTCCATTGCTCCGGACCTACACCTGTGTAAGTGACTCATCTTCCCTTAATTTGACTGACACTTATTTTTCCCAAAAGACAGAATTCAAGCAGGCCGGTTCACATCATTCAATATTCAGAACCCTTGCTGGGCAGGGTCAGCAGGAAGGCAACCCCAAAATGGCCAGCATCCCTCAAGTCTAATATGGATGACTTTGGCTCAGGCATTGATCCCTGGTGTAATCAATTGCAGTTAATCGGTTTCTCCAAAGCATGTTACATAAATCATAAATATTTATGGATCAAGAAACTGGTTTACATTTCCTAAGAAGGGTACTAGACACATGGAAGGCCAGGATTTACTACCTTTTCTACTGACAACCAGTACAATAGCATCGCAAACTGGGCCAATCAGTGGCATTTGACCTCTGGCCATGAGGAACTTCTGGTCATCTCTAGGGGAGCTTGAACAGAGAAGAATCCAAATTGGCAGGAGAGTGAATTGTAGATTTTCAAGACCATGTCAGCCCAGAGAAACACTGTACATATTGATGCCTTTGGATGGAGAGGCATTAAATACAGTGCAAAATGTTATTACCAAAAGATTGTTGCCAAATATCCTCCGAGGATAAGAATTCTGCTAGTTGACTTTCTTGAAATGCATCTCACTTTATAATAGAAACATCCTTCACATGGAGATATCCAGAAAGCTAGGGAAATGTACATCTTAATCTCATGGCCCAGACTCATCCATTTACAAACAAAGCAGTGACCAGGACAAAGACCCTGGAAAAAGTTTGGGCCCACCACACTGTGAGGGTCCAGCTCCAGGGAGGTCTGTTGTGCTGCACCATGGAGGTGGCAACTACCTGGTTTTGCTCTTGTTCCCTTACACAGATGAGGAGATAGAGACTTCCCCCTCCTTCCCTCTTTTTTTCCTCTCTTCTCGGTGATTTCTACCTATCCTACTTTGTAAAGGTTTTAAGTGTTTTCAAGGGACACATTCTCTGAAGTTCAACTCCCTCATGTCTCCCAGATGTGCAACATGGAAATGTACATGTTACATTGTCAACCTTAGGATATAGATTTTTACTTATGTATTGGGTTTTAATTTATTCCTTGCCAACTTGAAAACAATTTGCAGTACCTTGTTTCACACAGACGCTCCAGAATGATTCCCAAGTCTCCCAACATAAACATGAGTGGTTTACCATTAAAATAAAAAAAATTCATCATTTACATTCTGCTCTGCATTAAAATGGGATCACATTAATTTCTTTTCCACATTATTCACTAAGAAAACTAGAGTTCTTGGTTTCCTTCCTTCCCTCCCTTCCTCCCTTCCTTTTTTCTTCCCTTCTCCCACTCTTCCTTTCTTCCTTCCTTTCTTGTAGCTGAAAATATTTCTGTGAGAAAGATTAGGAAACAGGACAGATCATGTCCGGATTTTGTAGCTTACATATGGTCTCATGCTGTTGCCCCAGAACTCTGTGAGGGTCCAAGATGACTGTGGCTTACGTCTGATGAGCTTATGCCACATAAGGATGAGGTCAGATGCTACAAGAGGGGCACAGACATTGAAAAGAAGAAACATGGGGCAACTCAATGGATGAGCAAAGTTGAATGCGTTGTGCAGTCAGCAAGTGTCTTTTTTATAAGAAAGCTCTGTGCTTGGTTTCACCTCCTGGTGCTGGACATACCATCATCCTGCTGATTCCCAACATTGTGAAGGGATTTTGAGTTCAGCCTCCGTGGTTCCTTTTGAGAACAATGGTTGCCATCAGCCAAACTGCCTAGCTTGGTCAAAACACAGAAGGCATAAACAGCCTTTATGCAGTGGGAAATGTTTCATGATTCAGACCAGTCACTGTTTGCTGATCACACAGCACTCTGGGTGGCACTGCTAATACAGAGGAGTTTGTGCTTCTTGCCAGATTGTGGACATATGGCAGACACTCAAAATTATGTGTTGAATATAAAAGAGTTGAATTATGGGGAAAGTCAGTGTATTGAAAATGTATCACATCAGCACACCTGCAATGTTTCCTGTAGGAAAGCTCAGTGCCAAATGTTAGAGGGTCCACCAGGGAATAACAAGGTTCCTACCCTCAAAAAGCTTGGAATTCAGGCAGAAATGCAAAATATAAACATGCAATAAATCAAAGGATAATACAAGATATTAAATAAAGTTCAAGCAAACATCAAGAGTACCCAATGCCTGAATGCCAAATGAACAGTAACAACAAACTGTGTTCTAGAAGTCTGGTGGAGGGACAGGTCACTTCTGATGGTCCTGGTTAATGCGGCTCTGAGGAGGAAGTGAGATGGTGACAGATGATTGGGATCTGACGAGGCAGAGAGGAGGGTAGAAGTGAGGAGGAGACATGTGACACACATCCACACAGTAAAGCTGAATTCAGGTACTTGGGGAGGGGGGTATCAGACCTGAAAGGTGGCTTGCACCCCAGTGTTCAGAATTGTGGATGTTTAGCCAAGACTTCGGACTATAACCTGTAAGCGAGAGAGGAGCCTTTGTTTAGAGAGGACCTACTGTGTGCCACACCCTGTGCTGGGGTGTGGTAGAGGTTGGGGGTGGGATAATTAGGATGTGGTGCCATCGTTGCTAACAATGTGTGAAAGAAAGTGATAATGAAGAGGTGATGATCAGTCCCCTGGCAGAGCATAGGTAAATGGGATGGGTTGGCAAGGACAGGAGACCATTAGGAGGTTACTGCAGTAATTAACCAGAAAATCCTTCACTTAATCTTCTGTGTGTGTCCTTCCTTAGGGTGAGGTAGAGGGGAGTCAGGTGGGTACTAGCAGGCATGAAAATCAAGGCTTCTACTTTAGACAGCTGCTCTTATAGAATCTCTCCCCAAAGCAATGCACATGCTTACAATTTTGCATATACTTTCCATACAGTTTTTTCAGGGGTTCAAAGATCCTCTGGAACCAATCATGGTCTATGAGGTCCTAGCTGAGAACAGTGACCCCCCTCCCACACCTCCAACCCCACCTAAAGAGCAAGCATCTCCCAACAGCCAGTTCTACTACTCTACAGGATGCTCCCATTTCCACAGCAGAAAACCTGAGTGAGAGGAAACAGAAAGAAGGCAGGTGGCCCGCCCTCAAGGACCTTGCTCTGTCACCTGGATTGTTTCCTTACACCTGAGAGGACAGTGCTCTTGCAGTCAGCCCTAGTTTGCAGGAACCCACAGAAGCGGGAGGAGGCTGAAGCCAAGGCAAAGTGGGACGAACTGCGGAGAGTAATGACTTGCATGAACCCAGCCAAGAGGGAGCTTGCAATGTGGCAGCATTTCCTCTTCCTTAGAGGCTGGGGCGATTATATGATTACACCCACGCCCAGCCACGGAGCAGCAAGGACTCAGCACAGAACACCGGAGAAACCCAAGAGCAACACTTCACTTTCTATTTCTTGTTTTCCAGCTGAGACAGGTTCTATTTTGGATCAGAGCATAGTCTGGAGAGAAAGCAGTTGAAGTCTTGGGTGCTTGGAATAAAAATTTGACCTTAATCTTTAGGAAAAAAGTGTATATCTTAGTTGGAATATTTTATTAAATGGAATGACATTCATGCCCTTCTGCGTATCTACTGTCATATATTTCAGACCTAATGGTGATTCTTAAGCTTTGTGGGGTCAGGAACCCCTTTGAGAAGCAGATGAAAGCTATGAATTCTGACTCAGAAAAATGCACTTGTGCACATCAAACAAAATTTCATCATCCTAAAACCTGTCTGCAAACCCTATGTTAAGAACTCCAGGTTTGATAAGCCTTGGCCAGATCCTCTGTTAGGTCCTAGGAATGCAATGATGAATAAGACACTAGTCCCTGGACTCAAGGGGCTCTGAGTTTAAGGAAGTGTTGTTTATAGATGTGAAGAGGTTGGCAGGGAGAGCCAGGGAGGTCACCGAATAGCAAGTGAACTGTAAGAGGCATTAATAGTCACCAGCTAAACAATGTCATAGAGACAGCCTGCCAGTTGTCCCTTGACTAGTAATACCCCAGGTACCACTAATCAATTGCAAAATGCTAAGTAATGTGCTAAGGCTGATTGAAAAATAAAAGTAATTTTTTAGTAACATCAAACTGAAAAATAAAAGTAATTTTTCAGTAACATCAAACCCCTTGTTCATGTGTTATTAAGAGAAAAGATTTTTTGGCTTAATGATGTATGTGAGATACTGCCTTCACCCCAGGCTCAGGGATTAGACAAATATCTCTTTGCAAGGTTAAGAAATACCATGGATAATTTCAACCAGAGGAAGAAAACCATTAAGGGTCAAAAGACGCTGGAAAAAAAAATTGATAGTTTGGTTTAAAACAATTATAGAAAATGAGAAATAGTCCTGTTAACTATCTAGAATTGCCTGCCTGTCAGAGCTTCCACAACCGGGACTACCTCCTGCAGCCTATTTATTTCATTCATATGAGTTGAAGAGTTTTCCAACAGCTGACAAATTTCCAGCCAGTGATCCAGCAGGTACCCCTAAGGATTTCCGCTCTTTCCTGAGCTTCACCTTACAGGCATGTGAAAGCTTCCTCCAGAGAGAAAAAAAGTATTTCCCTTGCTTGTGTTTTCCTGTCAAACTCCTACTCACAACCCCCACCCCACCTTTCCTTTACAGCCACATCTCTGGGATGTAAACTTGAAGGCCTGACCCAGCACAGGGACCCTCTGGTTCCCAAATCCAAGGCCTTCTTATAAGGCCTTGTCCACAGCTGTCCCTCTTCTCCCTCTTCTCAGTCTCTTCTGATGAAGGGCATCCCTGCCCCTCACTCCCACCAAAAACCGTCAGTGTGGGAGCAATAGCTCACACCTGTAATCCCAGCACTTTGAGGGGCCTAGGCAAGCGGATCACTTGCCAGGAATTCGAGACCAGCCTGGACAGCATAGCAAGACCCCATCTATACCAAAAAAAAATGTAAAAAGCAGCCAAGCATAGTGGCAGGCACCAGTTGTCCCAGCTACTCAGGAAGCTGAGCCAGGAGGATCACTTGAGTCCAAGAGATTGAGGCTGCAGTAAGCTGTGTTCATGCCACTGCATTCCAGCCTGGGCGAGACAGTGAGACTCTGCCTCAAAAAAAACAAAACAACAATAAAAGACCTCCAACAGCTCCCCAGTGGTGCAACCTTGTGGCCTACATATGGGACCAGACAGAGCCTGACTCCTCCTTTCCTCTGAACTGCCCTCCCTATATCCCACCATGCCTCTTTCCATCAGTTAGGCACACATTTAAGAGCAGCATTCATTACAAAGGTTGGCTGATGATGGCTTCAACAAATAGAGGTTTATTTTTCCCATACCACAAGAAGCCCCAGGGTAAGTGACTGCTGGTATTCTTTCAGCAGCTAAATGATGTCAAGGCCAGTGTCTTTGTGATTCTTCTTGGCCTTTCTTCATGGTAGCAAAATGGCTTGCCTTGTTCCACACATTGTGTTTGTAAGGGAAAGTCCATGGTGGGTCATTTGTTTTTCTTACCTGGGAAGCAAAACTTCCTCAGAAGGATCTCTTTTAGGTGTGCAGCTCTACTGCGAAGTTCCTGTCCCTGGTTTTACAGACTTAGTCTCTTCCATCTTGCAAACTTCCCGTTATGTTACTGAGGCCACATGTGGGTCACATGTCCTACCACCAGCAGCAAGGAAGGCTGGGAAAGCAGGAACAGGACTATCATGACTGGCATGTCTGATATTACCCCAAACAAAATGACAGCTCTGCAAGTGGGGAAGATGGAGGGAATGGATGCTGGGTAGACGCCAGGACTTGCTGTGCAGTGTTCTGATTCAACAGATTACGTCACTCTCCTGTCAGGTGGGCAACTATTTGGTATCACACAAACAATAGCTTATTCATCTTTGTATCTCTAAGTCCTAACACAGCTTTGTGGCACTTACTCTGTTAGACAAACTTATGAGTAAATGAATGTCTGTCTGGTTTTAATACCTCTCACATCTAAAGTAGTTCTTTTTAAAACACAATCCAGTTTTATTCTTGTCTTTTTATATCTCTTATATGAAAATCAATTCATCATTAGTTTTCCATTGGATTTGGGCAGACGGGTAAGTTGTAAAGTGCTAGAGTAATGGTATTGACAAGTTATATGATGAAGTTGAACAATATGAGAGAAAATGGGATCATGGTAACCTTGTTATCCCTAGGTCAGTTTAACTATTGAAGAGGAAATAAACTGAGCACTAAAACTAGCTTTCCTTTAGTTTTTATTAAAATCAGAACCAGGGCTTTGTAGTGTAACTTTGTGCAATGCGAATTGAGAGCTTGAGAAATCCAATGACCACACAAGTTTGGGAATGGGTTGTAGTCTTGTTAAGAGCCTAACCGACCTCTTACCCAAATTCTGGTAATAATCAAAGCTGCACATGGGTGTGCAGCACCATGTGGAGCTGATATCTCTGATTCAGGTCGAGATGTCTGCTCAGAGCAGAGAACGTTGTTTCCAAGGGCCACAGATGGTGGGCCTGCCAAGGGTCTCTTTTAGGTGTGCAGCTCTACTGCAAAGTTCCCGTCCCTGGTTTTAAAAACTTAGTCTCTAGGACTCCAAGTCCAACTCCTGTGCCATTTTTCCAAGAAGTTACACCTGGTCAACCTCATTTCTACCAACACTTTCCCCAACTCCACCTCACTCCAGCCAGAAATGGCCACCCTCCGCTGAGTTGTAGCACTTGTAGATGATTGTTTGATTGGGATTCTAACAGATTTGTGTTGTGAGAGTCATTCGGGTATGTTCCATCATAGAGAGTGCCAGAGTTTCTTTAGAATGGCATGATCTAGCTTTCATCTAACCTTATTGCACCATTTGGTACCCAGACTCAAGCCCAGTGAATTGTATCAATGTCAATATCATGGTTGTACAATTATACTTAAGTTTTGCAAAGTGTCACCATTGGGAGAAACCAGGCAGAGTACAATCACTTTGTATTCTTTTTTACAACCATATATGAATCTACAATATCTCAATAAAAATTTTAAAAATAAAAATATTTCTTTCTAATCCCCCTGTCTTTTGTGTCAATCCTAGCATTACTATGTCTCCCTCTAGTCATTGGTGTTCGTACCTAGGAGTCAGTTCCCTTACCTCCCTCTATCTCAGTTTTCTCATCTGTAAAATAGGGATGATAGTAATGCCTACCTCTTGGTTGGGGGGATTAAATGAGTTAATATTTGTGAAGCACATAGGAAGGTGCTTAACTGTTAAATAAACAATAAATAAATAAAATATCTTATGCTTAACTTTCTCTTTCTGCCTTAGATCCAATATGCTATAAGTCCTGATGAATTTTCCTACCATGTGTCTCATAGAGTCTCTATTTCCCATGCCCCTTTCTCAGTTCTGACCTTCAGAGCCGCCGCCATCATCTCCTCCTCTTGAAGCCTTGCCATTGTGAAGTTAGTCACTTCACCTCTGCCTCCCATGGCTCCTCCATTATCATGTTCCACATTGATTTCCAGTTTCCTTTTTCTGTTTATCTCTTTTCACCCACTAGCATAGGAGCTCCTTGCTGGAAGTCATCGTTTCTTATTCCTCTTTGAAGTTTCAGCTCCTAACATAGTGCCTGGCACAAAATGAGTGTTCAGCATATGTTTTTGAGTGAGTGATAATTAATCAGGAATAATCTCATTTCAGCTACTGGAATTGCTTTTTTGCAGTCATGGTAGATGACCTCTGAATCTATAGCTTTGTGACCCCAAGCAGAGACTGCAGCCTTACCCTTTAACTCTATCTACAAGTCATGGAGTCTTGTAGATAGAGTCTTGTAGATAGAGTCCTGCAGATAAGTTTTCACTTTTCTTCTCCCATGGGCCCACTGTCTTGGGCTTCCTGGATACTTGTTAACTCTTGAACATACCTCCATTTCTTGAGACCCACCTAAAGCCATATACAAGATTGGTGAGTGTGCATCCTGGCATGTACACAGCCTTTGGATAAATATGCGGCCATCGTTCAGTTAGCCCTTGGCATCCTTGTGAAGTAAAATAAGGGAGACGGCCTCAGCATCTGATATTATCATTGCAGTGACTTCAATATTTGATTCCTGGGTCATCCCACAGTTAATTTTTTCATTGGTAGATGGGAATAAATATTGCTGGTTATAAACTGGACCAACTCTATGGAAAACATTACTGAGATCATAGAGAAATTTTATAAAGTATTTCAAGAAATATTCAGTAATAAGGATTTTACTGGAATTGGGAAGAAGGCTGGCAAAAATAGTCTAGAGACCACAAACCCAACCTTCATTTTGGCAATTTATTGTCTCTGTCTGAAGCAGCTGACTAAGGTAATACTCTCACTCCTCCTTCCACAAGCAAAGAAACAGACCTGACATCAATCATAAAAACAACTACTGTTTATTAAGTACTTATTACGTGCCAGGTACTTTTTGTTAGGGGCTGGTGACTTAACAGCAGCAATGATAATGACCACCACATACTGGATATTTACCGTGTGCAACACACCACAGTAGGAACTTACATGAATTGTCTCTATATGGCTGTGACACATTCCCTGAGGATCCAGGTATATTTTTTAAGTCATTTCATGACCTGATTTCTCCCAAGTACTTCAGTTTCTGAGATCTCTCTCTCCCGGGAGCAGGGACCCCAGCCCCTTTTAGCACTAGACAGCAAACCCACAACTTCACAAACTCTAACTTCACCCCAACAGGCAGATTCCCTCAGGAAAAAGAGTGGTAAATGAATAAACCCTCCAAACAGAAAAGGGCTGAGCACCTAAGAGATTCAGGATGGCATTTTTGGAAATGTTCACTTCAGGTTGAAAAGAAAACTTTTGAAATGATTAGTGAGTTATTTAGAACCTCAATATTCTAAAGTTTGAGAAGATAACATACTGAGGAATTTAATTTAGATTTCCTTAACATGCTCTCTTATGATAAGAGAGCATTCAGTATATAAATGCTATGCAACAGTACTGCCAAATTGCAACACAGTATGGGAGAAATTTGTCATTTTGAAATGCTAAGGGAGTTCTTACTAACAGCTTTCTCATCTTGTAAAGCTATTATTTTTCTGAATGATAATATGATTTATAAACCTCAGCTGAGTTTTATAGTTTTGATGGGAATAGACTCAAAATGCATTTTCTCAGAATATAAAATTCTCTCAGGAGTTGACCAAATGAGGAATAAATAGAAACTTCCGCAACCAAGTGTACCAAAGTCTTGGTCTCCACTAGCATCTCTGTAGGTGAATGTTGGTCTTCCTCAGGGTTCTGGGCTCAGTTTGACTCTCACTCTCAACTCTGCACGCTTTCCCTGGGTGACATCAGCCACTCCAAATCCTTTGACTCTTACCTAGGCCAGCAACTCCCACGTCCACACTCCCATTCCCTCCCAGCTTTCCAGAGTTACAATGCCCTATGTCTAACGACCCACTAGACTGCCCACCATCACAACCTAAGCCACATTAGCCTCAGATTCTCTCCTGTCCCCAAACCCTGTTCCTTCTCCTAGAACATTGGTAGTAGAATGATACTAACATTTGGAGGAATAAGGTACGAATCTTGGAATCTAGCACAGGAGACTGAAAAGTGAATAGGTAACAACAGAACTCAGGGAGGATAAATGAAATTCATACATAATCTAACCTTTTTTTTTGAGACGGAGTCTCCCTCTGTCATCCAGGCTGGAGTTCAGTGGTGCAATCTCAGCTCACTGCAACCTCCACCTCCTGGGTTCAAGCGATTCTCCTGCCTCAGTCTCCCAAGCAGCATGGGCCACCTCGCCCGGCTAATTTTTGTATTTTTGGTAGAGATGAGGTTTTAGCATGTTGGCCAGGCTGGTCGCAAACTCCTGACCTCAAGTGATCCATCTATCTCAGCCTCCCAAAGTGCTGGGATTACTGGTGTGAGCCACAGCACCTGGCCCCATAATCGAACATTTTACTGCAGAATATTGATGTGTTTGATTATAGAGGTATTAGTGGTATATGTACAATCTTAACTTTCTGATATCTAAAAGTTTCTGAATTCCAAAACATATTCCAGACCACGGGTTTTGGGTGAAGAATTTGAGGACCTGTCATATATAAAGCATAAGTTATATAAGGTAATAATGTATATTAAGTGCCTCCTTAGTGCAGACTAGCACATAGTAAGGGCTCAGAAATGACAACAATTATTAAAAAGAGGAAATGGGTTGCCTTAGACTTTATAGAATATTGAGGAAGCTGAGACATCTTATAGGAAATACATGTTTTTCATCTCTAGTCCCCCAAAATTTTTATAATCATATATTTCAAAAATTTGAGGGCAATTACTTTTCTATGCACTATCATGCTTTTAAATGATAGGCTTTGCCATTGTCCCCCTATTTACAGTAGGAGGAAGAAGATTCAGAGTATTTATTACAGAGGCAAGCAAAGGCAGGCATGGGTGATTCCGGAGAGGAGGCAGCACAGGCAGAGGCCTGGTCGAGTTGAAGAGGTGTTCACACAAGAATAAACATCGAAAGTCTGCAACCCGGGAAGCTTGGCCCAAAGTGATGACAGCTGAAGCCAGGACATGTCTGGGGAAAATTATAAAGACCCTTGAATATTATAAGTTTGTATTTTATCCTGTAGATGACTGATTTTTAAATGTTTTTAGCAAGAGAGCTTTATGGAAACAAAACTTGATTTGCATGGGAGCTCTGTCCACTGCAGCCACACACCAACTGGTTTTTACTACATCCTGAGTGCTCTTTTAAAAGAGCAGATCTGATCATCTTAGTCCTCTGGGCACACTCTTCAAAGATATCTCATTAAACTTGGAGTGAAATGCCATCTCCCTGCAGGCTCTGGGTAATGTGGCCCTACCCATCTTCCCAGCTCATCTCATACAGGTCGAGTATTCCTTATCCAAAATGACTGGGACCAGAAATGTTTTAGATTTGTGATTTTTTTTTTCAGATTTTGGAATATTTGCATATACACAATGAGGTATCTTGGGATGGGACCCAAGTCTAAACACAAAATTCATGCACGTTTCAAACATATACATGAATAGACCCTTATATATATAGCCTGAGATTAATGTTATACATTATTCTTAATAATTTTGTGCCTAAAACAAGTTTGTGTTTTACACAAACATTGAGCCATCAGAAAGCAAAGGTATCACCACCACAGCCTGCCATGTGGACAGTTTGTGGTTGTTTGGCATCACCATCATTCCTAACCCTAAATTTATGTGCTGCCAATAAATGTTTTAACTGTGACCTGATACATGAGGTCAGACGTGGAATTTTCCACTGTAGTGTCATGTCAGCACCCAAAAAGTTTTGGATTTTGGAGCATTTCAGATTTTAGATTTTCAGATTAGGCTTGTATAATCTGTACTACCTCCCTGACTTACCACTCGTAGGTCCTCCCATGAGCCCATGTCCCTCCCCTCCTGAAGAACTTTATAAGGGATGCCCTCTCCCTGTCTCCTCCCTTCCACTTGCCTAATTAGCTCCTAGTTTGCTCTTTCAAACCTCAGCTCTGCCACCTTTTTTCAGGGGAGCCTTTCCCAGCATGGTTAGGATGCCCTATTCTATGCTCTCCTGCACTCCGTGGACTTCCTTGTAAACTTTAATCAAGGTTGTGTTAAATGATCAGCTGCAGGTTTGGTTATTTGATACTTTCTCCTACTATGCTGTAAACTTTGAGAATGGGTAGTGTGGCCCCATCTGGCTTGTTTATGACAGTGTCCTGGAACCTCCCTCAGGCCCCTAAGCAGACCCCCAACTATTTGTTGAAAATACACCAGTAAATATAATGGGAAGACAAATGGGGGAAGAGGCTGTTGTGGTTGAAATTAGGATGGAGCCTTTGGCTGAAGCAGGAATGTGGGGCCTGGGATACTTCCCACTAAGCCTGCCCCTTCCCCTCCACAGAGGTCCTGGAGGCACAGAGTGGAAAACACTCTGAAAAGCACTGTTGGAGATGATGGGATGATCTGACTAACAAAAGGCTTTGTTATTTGGCTTTGGGGTGAAGACTGTTATTCTCTTGGCCTGAGGAAACTTTCTTTTGCTTCATAGTCAAAAGAATGATCAAAGTAGCTTTGCGTAGACAGGAAGCATATTTCATTCATTTATTTCAACATCTTGTCTCTCTTGGGTAAGGAATGACTGTAAAAGACATCTGTAGGATGGTCAGAATTGTATTATTTTGTGCAAGACTAGATGTAGAGTAGATATTTCTTTGGAAAGTCATCCTGGCCTAGGCCCAGACCATCAGGAAGATTGCCTCTGTACTCTGTGGATCCATGCACACATGGCCCCATTCCTGGGTCTGGGATCATGTGACACATGCAGATCATGTGACTCTAATACTCCTTCAGTGTGGTCAGCTATAATACAGTCAAGGAATCCCTATATCTGTTAAACAGGGTGAATGGAAGTGAAAATTACCGTTTGACTGAGTAGCATTGCTGAAGAAAATCAGTAGAAGTGGTCCAAGATCCTTTCGCATTGTCTCAGTTCTAAATGTTGTAAACTTTCAAATTACTGAAACTCTGGGTTTCAGTATCCAACCCCTTCAAGGCCAGCTGAAAATCAACAACAGAGTGGGTTAAAATAAAAGAAGCATGTCTGTGCAATCCCAAATTAAAGCGAAAATATGTGCTGGCCAAAAGTAAGTCATTTTTCAGCCTCAAAATATTTTTTCCAAATTCTAAGATCCTGCATTTGACATGTTTAAGAGGGAGATATAACAGCTGAAGTTGTCTTTGTTCAGAATGTAGGAGACAGTTTTGTCTAGACTTTCAGGAAAGATATAGAATGACATTTTCAGAACAAATCAAAATATATTTTTAAATTCCTTTTTCCCCTTCACAAAGAGGATCTGACATGCTTCTGTGATTTGAATTTGGCTGATCTATAAATGGCCTCAATAGTTTAACATGAAAAGTAGAGTAAAATAAACCATTGAGAAAAGTTATTAAAATACTGTTAGTTCACTTTCTTACCTTCACAATAACCTTACCACCAAAAACAATTTAGTAACTAATATTGAGTGGAGTGGTTTCTAGGTATGTGTTAATCTCTTGACATACATTTTCTGACTTAGTTCTCACCACAACCCCATAAAGCAGGTATTGCTGTTATGTTAATTTTCTCATGAAGACAGAGAGAGTTGGGGTGACTCACTCAAAGCCACAAAGCCAAGCAGGGACTATGTCTGACTGATCTCCCAAACCTGCCTTCCTGCCCTCCTCACCACTGTGCTTGGGTCTTCTTTCTTCACAGGGCCAGCATCGTACAAAAACGCATTATTTATTTTCAAGATGAGGGCTCTCTGACCAAGAAACTTTGTGAACAAGGTAAGACCCTGTGGGTGGGGAGGGGGAGGGGCAGAGACATGGAAGGCAGCTCCTCCTGCACGATCCTCCTGCTGCAAGAATTAAGGCCCCTGGGCTTCGTGAGTTCCTCTGGGTTCTGCTTCCTCACGTAGCTCCGATTTTTAATCTGGCTGTGTGCTGTGGGTAATTGGATCCGCCTTAAGCTCTAATTACTCAGCTTGATTCCCTGGGTAGAAGATAATGTACCTTATATTGGTGTCGTCTTCTTATTTTTGTGAAACAGTGATTATTCTGAAGAGGTTCCTTGGAATAATTCACAGGACTTAATTAAGGAATGCACAATTGTGTACCTTTAAAAAGTCTGTAATGGTTCTTTGGAAAAAAATCACCAGCAAGATCTTGTGTGGCACCCAGACAATATGGGAGGATTTTCTCCAGAGAAGCCCAGCAGGGGATGGGGATGCCAAGGGGGTGTTGACCTTGTGATATCACCACATTCAAGGATCTAGTCCTTAGATTTGCAAACTTATCAACCTTCTCTCCTTAGGTTGAAGGTATTGTAACAAAGCTCATGGAGGCTAACTAGACTCGGGGGATAAAGCAGAGACCTGAGTTTAGATCAGGCCCAGGTTCGGATCTGCCTCTGCCCCTTCTAGCCATGTGACTTAAATAGATAAAATAGTACAGTACCTCCTTGACACATAGTAAATGCTGTCTATAGAATAGATAGCTCTTGTTATCTATATCTGAAAGCTTATTCATTAATCTACTGCAAAAAAAATTGACCTTAAACATCGGAATGTTTTTAAAAGTTATTGGATAACTAAATAAAAATAAAAAATGCTCTATATTTATACAGCATAACAATCTCATTTCTATTTAATTTTGCAGAATTTTTATTTGCATTTAGAGCAATTAGTGTTTGGAGAAGAAATAATCCTCTCCAACTATAGCAAAGTATAAGCTACTAAGAAAAAGAAAGGTTGATAAAGGTCTTCGGGGAAAACAATAATAATAGGTAATATGTTTGGGGTGCTTTGCTACGTGCCAATAACTATTTTAAGCACTTCATATGCATTAATTTTATAATCTGCACAGCAGCCCTATATGGTAAAGATTATTATTATATTTTTATTTTATGGATGAGGGGCCTGACACAAAAAATTTAAATAGCTTTCTTAGCATCATATACTCATGGTGGAAGGCTGGGTTTGAAGTCAGGAGCCAATGCCCTTAACCATTGCTTTCTAGCAAAGCAACTGCTTCCCAGTTCAGTAGTTCTTATCATTGCCTTTGACAGATCAATGCATTGTCCTCCTGTAGATGAGCTGAGCAGAAACTAGGTCCCCTGTTTGGAATTGTTTAGAGAACATGGCAATAGCAAAGGAGAGAGAGAGTTGGATACCTTGCATTAGGATCATACCTCCCAGAGGGGCTGGAGAGCTGGAATCTGCAGTCCAGAGAACCCTGGCCAGCTTCCACATGGACACCACCACACGTGTCTTCTGAGGCTTTTCTTTTTTGTGTTCAACTGCCTGCAAGTTCACTCAGCCTTTCTCTACACAGGGAGCATCTCCACTTATTAAGCTCTTGGTTCCTCAATGACAATCCCATCCCTGCTGTATCTTCATGTGATGAGATCCAGGTGCTGTGGTGGACTTGTGGGTGTTTTGGATCACACATTTCCAAGACACCTCTTGTAAATGCCTTAGACAAGTCTTCACATAACATCAGGATTGAGACTTTGGGAAGTGCACATTAGTTAATGATTGATGGCAGTACATGAGGGTGTCAGTGAAGTATCTCCTAAGAACCCTCAGCTCCTGAAAATAAGGCTGTCCTCCGACAGTCAAACTGACAAAACCACACCACAGTGCCTGGGGAGAAGACCTAGAGCTGCACAGATGAAAAGCAAAGGCAAACAATAGTTTTAAAAAGCAAGATAAACAATAGGTTACTTCCAATTAAGAACAGAGAAACAAAATATTCAAAAAAGTGACCTATAACAAACATATGCATACACATACTTTATTTTTTTTTTTTTAGTTTTTTTGAGACAGAGTTTCACTCTGTCACCCAGGCTGGAATGCAGTGGCACGATCTCGGCTCACTGCAACCTCCAACCCCCGGGTTCAGGCGATTCTCCTGCCTCAGCCTCCCGAGTAGTTGGGATTACAGGAACACACCACCATGCCCATTTTTGTATTTTTAGTAGAGATGGGGTTTCATCTCTACTAAATATGAAAAGATCTCTGTCTCACAAGTAAGATCTAAATAGAGATTTGCCATGTTGGCCAGGCTGGTCTCGAACTCCTGACCTCAAGTGATCCGCTCATCTCTGCCTCCTAAAGTGCTGGAATTACAGGCATGAGCTACCGTGCCCGGCCCTGCATACACATACTTTAATACCATGTCACAAGCAATTAAATGAAAGAGACAAAAAAAAAAGGAAAAAGGAAGGGAAACGCAGAAAAAAGAGAAAAATGTCAACAGAAACAGGATAATGAGAAAAGGAAGAAAAAGGGAAGAGGAACAAAGAATACAGGAAGAGAGTTGCAAAGGAAGTCAGTGGATTTCAAGTAGAAATGGGGAGAGAGGGCGGCTCTGGAGATGCTCCATAGCCTGAAATTACCCATGGTTGGCAGACCCTGCCTGCTGTGGTTAGAAGAGGAGTAAGTGGACGATTCTTATCACTGCCCTTTGAAAGCCTGATTCATTTTCAATAGGCTTTTCCTTAGTAGGAAAACAGTATGTCTGTTTTTATTTTCAAACTGAAAAATTTATTTTTCAAATGGGAGCTTAAAAATGTATTTTTCAAATGGAAGCTTATTTTCCTTTGAAAATCCAAAAGGTTTATTATGCATTCCTTTGAACCCTCAGAAATATCGTTAAGTTTACCACCTATATCCGAAAGCCCTTTTGATAAGGCAAAGCTACCAGTTGGCCTTCTTTTGGTTTTTGTAGAGACTATTGCTGCCTCATTTAATAGCCCCTAGTAGCTACAATTGAAACCTCAGCATGTATCTCTGATTTAGAAATCGTAGAGCTATGTAGGGAGGCAATTTTTTTTTTAGCGCATCTTTCTTCATTGAAAAAAGCAATACAGAAACAATAAAAAAGTTTTCTCTCTTTCCTATCTATGCAGACCTATCCAGATGAGGTCTTTCCTGGAGTAATGTAGTGCAGAGATTAAGGGTATGAGTCCTGGACCCAAAAAGACCTGGCCTCCAGTTCTGCCTGCCCTGTTCACTAACCCTGTGACCTTGAACAGGTTACCTAATCTGCTTCAATTTACTGACCTGTAAAATGGGGATAGCAAAAGTACTTACCTCCTAGCATTGTTAGGATTAAACGAGACAATATATGGAAAGAAATCAGCAAATAAAAGGACTCAGTATTTTGTAGTTATTATTATGATGTCTCATCCTTTCATCTCCACCCTAGAACCTAGAATTCACTTCTATCCATCATGGATTTTATATATTTAAACCAAATCAACCCAGTAAATTCCAAAAGGAAGTCTTGTAAAATGCTCTTCCTAACACTCACAATGATTTTAACATTCTTTGCCACTACTCTTTGTATAATATTTAAGAATAAATGTCCAACTGCAAAGAAAAAAAAATTATGTTAATACTACTAGAGGAAGTGAAAAAAAGCAACTGAAGCAAGTTACATCTGTAGTCATTGTTTTCATCTTGCAGGAAGCAGAACAGACTAAAAGCAACAACGTGCAGCTAGAGATGTGGGTTTGACAATCGGAAATACTGAATTTATTCATGTAATCTCTCTTTCCCCACTTATCAGCTATTCACAGCTAAAAATGAGGGCCGAGAGGGAATCTTAAGTTTTTCCTGGCTACTTCTATACCCAGAAGTACAGTAAACCTGAGCTTATGAACACATTTCCACCCCCTACTCCTCCCAGTGAAGTCTCTGAAAGCATGATAAGAAGTGACGTGATTATATATGCATGCCTCTTTTTTTTCTCCCTTCAGTAATTCTTTATCTCTCTCCATTTATTTTCACTGCTCTGCTTCAAAGTCATTCCTTCTGGTCCTGTCATTTTGGTCCCAGAGAATATTTCCTAGAGAAAGCACACATGTGTATTCCTCCTAAAATTTGTTAGAGAAATCCTGTTGTGGGAGGGGTGGGGAAGGAGACCAGGATCCGGAAAGGATGATTGAGTGAATTTTACCCCTGATTTTTCAACATAGCCCCCATCTTAAATATTCTCGAATAGCCTATGGGTTATTGCTCCCACAGATCTTCTCAATTTATTAGGGAAAAAGCTCTCTTTTTTTTTTTCAAAATATTACCATACTTAGAGGCATACAAAATCCTTTATTGCCCAAGTACTGATCTGGCTCTAAGTCTTATTAACTAATGAAAGCTGCATCTTCTTTTCCTAAGGGTTAAGGATAAAATGAGACCATGATAGCACCACCTTATATACAACCCACGTTTACTTTCTAACTTGGTGACTTTTCTGACTGTTTCAGATTCCACATTTGATGGGGTGACTGACAAACCCATCTTAGACTGCTGTGCCTGCGGAACTGCCAAGTACAGACTCACATTTTATGGGAATTGGTCCGAGAAGACACACCCAAAGGATTACCCTCGTGAGTAGAGTGGCTACTCTGTGGTTTGGGGAAAAGCACATTGTCAAAGTTCTGTCTGGTTATAGGGCACACTAGCTGCAGCATGTCAGATCTGCTCCCTAGTATTGGCTGGTTCATGAAATGCACAATCCAAGTATGTATATTAATCAAGACAGGCAGACATTATATGGGTATGCTTTCAGCTTCTTTGCATAGCATTGTGCTATTTTTTTTCTTTTTTTTTTTGAGATGGAGTCTCGCTCTGTTGCCGAGGCTGGAGTGCAGTGGCACAATCTCGGCTCACTGCAACCTCCGCCTCCCGGGTTCAAGCAGTTCTCCTGCCTCAGCCTCCTGAGTAGCTGGGATTACAGGTATGGGCCACCATGCCCAGCTAATTTTTGTATTTTTAGTAGAGATGGGGTTTTGCCATGTTGCCTGGGCTGGTCTTGAACACCTGACCTCAGGTGCTCCACCCACCTTGGCCTCCCGAAGTGCTGGGATTACAGGTGTGAGCCACTGTGCCCAGCCCCAGCATTGTGCTTTCTTATCTGTGATTTTTAAAAATATTCCCAAAGTCATGCTGCTTATATTCAGGTGAGGCATTTGGTAACCTCAATCCCCCTGCAATGACCCTGTCCATGAATTCCATGACAGACCTGCTGGAAATAGCGGCAAAAGGGACCTGCTCTTGACTCTATAGGTCAAGGTCAACAAATACTCTGCTATCATAGGTGTTAGTAATTAGTCAGCATGCCTTTTTTTTACTGACTTCAGATGCCACCTTGAAATCCCTTCATGAGGGGCCAAGCATGGTGGCTCAAGCCTGTACTCCCAGTGCTTTGGGAGGCTGATGTGGGAGGATCCTTTGAGGCCAGGAGTTAGAGACCTGCCTAGGCAACATAGCAAAATTCTAAAATTAGCTGGGCATGGTGGCACATGCCTGTAGTCCTGTAGTCTTGCCTGTAGTCCTAGCTACTCAAGAGGCTAAGGCAGGAGGATCTTAAGCCCAGGAGTTCAAGGCTGCAGTGAGCCATGACCACACCACTACACTCCAGCCTGGGCAGCAGAGCAAGACTCTGACTCAAAAAAAAAAAAAATCTTTTCATAACATTGTTATCAAGATAGCCAATACAAAGCCATGAGAGTTGTCAGGAGACCCCAAACTTACTATTTTTTAAGTAGATCCTACTAATTCCACTTTATCATATAATTGTCTCAACAAACGCCTAACATGTGCCAGGCACTGTGCTCAGCTCTAGAGTTATAATACTGAACAAAAAAAAGATGCATCCCATATTCTCAAGCCACTCAGCGGCTAGTGGAGAGACAGACACTAACCAAATAGTCATGCAGAAAGAGGTGAAGACTATAAGAAAAGTGGACTTACTGTGAACCAAGCATTTCTACATATGTTATAGTGTTTAATCCTCAAAGTAATGTGTTTTTGTGGATAAGTTTACTGGGGAGGAGAGAGATGTCATGATTTGCCCACATTGAGATGTAAGTAATGGATCCAAGATCCAAAGGGGTTTTTCAGTCTCCTATGCCTGCCTTTTGTTTGGGTTGCGTGTTGCCCATTCTCTCTGTGGGTGGCAGGATGTCCATGTGTGGCACTGAGCCTGTTTTTTTCTGTTCATTGTCTGTTTTGTTCTTGTGCATTTTACTTTGGAGTTACCGCAGTTCAGGAAGAACAGTAGGAATGGGAGAGAGAGATTAAAAAGAGGGATTTGGCTCAGGTCCCAAAGGAAAGGGGGAGAAAAGGGCACATGATTGGACTTAAGAAGACTCAGACCAGATCAGAACCTCCATGATCCCCACGCAGCCCACCCAGAGGGGACTTCGACATTTGTTGACAAATCAAGAGCTCTATTGTTTAATGTTACCCACATGCAATCAAGGCTTGGGATCTTAGAAGCCTCTTTCTAGTTCATTCTTCTGACTCTGAGATTCAGCCTGATCTGCATCAGCTGTGTGGGAGACCTGTGCGAAGAAACTTGGACTCTCTGCCTGGGGGAAAGAAAACATTTGGAACAAGCACGATGGAAAAATTTCCTCCAGCCTCTCCTATCCACTAACCAGAGGAAATAAAATGTTAGGGGCCCGTTACTCATCTTTTGTGATCCTAAGAAGCTTCTTGACCTTTCCTATTCTGCCACTGTCATTTCCCAGAATTTAGGGAGGAGGTGAAAAAAAAAAATTGTTTCTGGGTCTTTGGGCCAAATCAAGTACAAATCTATACAGAGTTTCTGTGGAGTTGTTGAGAGTTTCTTAGTAAATATAGCAGACGTGTGTTCCAGATCTTCTAGGATTGTTCCATTTTTGACATGATGTCTTATAGACAATTGTCAGATTGTGTCCTAATTTTTGGTTGGAAAAATTTGGTCACTTGTACAGAATAGCACTTAACATAGCATACTGTAGTTATTTTTTTAAAAGTCTTTCTTTCCCACTAGACCAAGAAGTCCTCCAGGACAAACGTGATGACGTGCTTATCTTTGATTCTTAGTGCCTGTTGTCTTCCCAAGCACTGTGTACTGATTGTTGAACTCCGAGTCACACTCATTATGACCTGGGAGGCAGATGTCTAGCCTTCAGCTAATTATGATGGGCAGTATGGAGGAGAGTGTGAGTCAAACCTTCCATGGAGGAAAAGGAGTGAACACTCAGGGAGACTGGAGCCGTTTAAAAGGACATGGGGAGGATCTAATCGGGATCTTGAAAATTTAATGTTCTCAAAAGTTATTTCTATCAGTCTTAAGTAATAGATGAATTTCTTTTTGCCACTGCAAAGATGATACTGTCTTGATAACCATTCTCTATCATCATGCCCAGAGAAGCTTCCCACAATAGTGCAAACTGACAATTGCCAAGCCCCCCTGTCCTTTATTAGTCATCCAAAACACTGCTTTCTCTACAGTGATCTTAGGACAGTGGTTCTTAAGCTTTTAAATCTTAGGACCGCTTTTGTATGCTTAAAAAATCTTTGAGGATCCCAACATAAGTGGTTTATATGGGTTATAGCCATCAATCTTCCATGTATCAAAAACTAAAACAGAGAAATTGAAAAATATTATTTATTTTTAAAATAAACCTAGTAAATTAAAAATAATAAACTTGTTCCAGGTTAATATAAAGAACATATTTTATGAAAATACCTATATTCAAAACAAAAGAAATGTGAAAAGAGGATCAATGTTTTACGTTTTTGCAACTGTCTTTTCTATCTGGCTTAATAGAATACACCTGGATTCCCATTTGCCTTTGCTTTTGCATTCAACTTAGATTCAAAATAGATTCAAATAGGTTCAAAAAATCTATTTTTTGGTTGAAGTATGCGGAGAAAATTCTGTCTCATATGGCTATGTAATTGGAAAAGGGAAGAGTATTTTAATAACCTTTTCTGATAATTATGGATAATCTTTGATCCTACACCAGAACTCTGCAAATTGTTTTTTTAAAGGTTAATTACAATGTGGAATTTGAAACTATATCAATGAACTTGTACTCTTACATTAAAAGTCATTGCTTTACCTTCTACTTTGAATGGATCTTTTACAAATGCATGGTTTTGTAACATCTTACGTTGATCATTTGGAAAATATTGGTTTACTGAGTTATGCAGATTGTGCAAGTGTTGACACAGTTCATTAAACAATATGAAAAGCCATATCCATTAATATCACTACCAATCTCATCAGAAAAGTATTTAATATTGGAAAGCTATCAAGTTCATAATAATGAACACAAGTTTTCTAAAATTCTGGGTTTTGCTTGAAAGCTTGAATTTTATCATTGGCAACAAATACTGTCAGTTGTTTTCCTTGAAGTGACAGGATCACTTTATTTTTTAGAAAATGTAGGCCAAATTCCCAAGTCTGAATAACCATAATTTGTCTGTCATTTGTCCTTTCAAGTGAAAATGATGTTTTATGAACATAAAAAGCGGCTAGTCCAGCTTGCACCTCAAAGAGTCGCATAAGTGCTTTTATTCAAGACAATCACAGTACTTCAGTATATAGCAGAAGTGCTTCTGCGTAGTTCCCAATTAGTCACACAGAAAAAATAAAAATATGTTTACTCAAAGGCAGAGATCTAATGAAATTAATCATTTTTATTGTTTTTTCAAGGACATTCTTTTTTTTTTTAACTTTAAGTTCTGGGATATGTGTGCAGAATGTGCAGGTTTGTTACGTAGGTATACATGTGCCATGGTGGTTTTGCCGCACCTATCAACCCATTATCTAGGTTTTACGTCCCACATGCATTAGGTTATTTGTCCTAATGCTCTCCCTCCCCTTGCCCTGCACTCCCCGACAGGACCAGGTGTGTGATGTTCCCCTCCCTGTGTCCATGTGTTCTCATTGTTCAACTCCCACTTACGAGTGAGAACATGCTGTGTTTGGTTTTCTGTTCCTGTGTTAGTTTGTTGAGGATGATGGTTTCCAGCTTCATCCATGTCCCTGCAAAGGACATGAACTCATTCTTTTTTATGGCTGCATAGTATTCCATGGTGTATATGTGATGCATTTTCTTTATCCAGTCTATCACTGATGGGCATTTGGGTTGGTTCCAAGTCTTTGCTGTTGTAAACAGTGCTGCAATAAGCATAAATATGCATGTGTCTTTATAGTAGCATGATTTATAATCCTTTGGGTATATACCCAGTAATAGGATCACTAGGTCGAATGGCATTTCTGGTTCTAGATCCTTGAGGAATTGCCACACTGTGTTCCACAATGGTTGAACTAATTTACACTCCCACCAACAGTGTGAAAGCATTCCTATTTCTCCACATCCTCTCCAGCACCTGTTGTTTCTTGACTTTTTAATGATCACTATTCTAACTGGCATGAGATGGTATCTCATTGTGGTTTTGATTTGCATTTCCCTAATGACCAGTGATGATGAGCTTTTTTTCATATGTTTGTTGGCCACATAAATGTCTTCTTTTGAGAAATGTCTGTTCATATCCTTCACCCACTTTTTGATGGGGTTGTTTTTTTCTTGTAAATTTGTTTGAGTTCTTTGTAATTCTGGAAATTAGCCCTTTGTCAGATGGATAGATTGCAAAAATTTTCTCCCACTCTGTAGGTTGCCTGTTCGCTGTGATGCTAGTTTCTTTTGCTGTGATGAAGCTCTTTAGTTTAGTAAGATCCCATTTGTCAATTTTGGCTTTTGTTGCAATTGCTTTTGGTGTTGTAGTCATGAAGTCTTTGCCCATGCTTATGTCCTGAATGATATTGCCTAGATTTTCTTCTAGGGTTTTTATGCTTTTAGGTTTTACATTTAAGTCTTTAATAATCCATCTTGAGTTAACTTTTGTATAAGATATAAGGAAGGGTCCAGTTTCTGTTTTATGCATATGGCTAGGCAGTTTTCCCAGCACCATTGATTAAATAGAGAATCCTTTCCCCACTGCTTTTTTTTTGTCAGATTTGTCAAAGATTAGAGGGTTGTAGATGTGTGGTGTTATTTCTGAGGCCTCTGTTCTGTTCCATTGATCTATATATCTGTTTTGGTACCAGTACCATGCTGCTTTGGTTACTGTAGGCTTGTAGTATAATTTGAAGTCAGGTAGCATGATGCCTCCAGCTTTGTTCTTTTTGCTTAGGATTGTCTTGGCTATACAGGCTCTTTTTTAGTTCCATACGAAATTTAAAGTAGTTTTTTCTAGTTCTGTGAAGAAACTCAATGGTAGCTTGATGGGAATAACATTGAATCTATAAATTACTTTGGGCAGTATGGCCATTTTCACAATATTAATTCTTCCTATCCATGAGCATGGAATTTTTTTCCATTTGTTTGTGTTCTCTCTTATTTCCTTGAGCAGTGGTTTGTAGTTCTCCTTGAAGAGGTCATTCATGTCCCTTGTAAGTTGTATTCCTAGGTATTTTATTCTCTTTGTAGCAATTGTGAACGGGAGTTCACTCATGATTTGGCTCTCTGCTTGCCTATTATTGGTGTATAGGAATGTTTGTGATTTTTGCACATTGATTTTGTATCCTGAGACTTTGCTGAAGTTGCTTATCAGCTTGAGATTTTAAGCTGAGATGATGGGGTTTTCTAAATATACAATCATGTCATCTGCAAACAGAGACAATTTGACCTCCTTTCTTCCTATTTGAGTATGCTTTATTTCTTTCTCTTGCCTGATTGCCCTGGTCAGAACTTCCAATAGTATGTTAAATGGGAGTGGTGAGAGGGGGCATCCTTGTCTTGTGCTGGTTTTCAAGGGAAATGCTTCCAGCTTTTGCCCATTCAATATGATATTGGTTATGGGTCTGTCATAAATAGCTCTTATTATTTTGAGATATGTTCTATCAATACATAATTTACTGAGAGTTTTTAGCATGAAGCAGTGTTGAATTTTACTGAAGGCTTTTTCTGCATCTATTGAGATAATCATGTGGTTTTTGTCATTGGTTCTGTTTATGGGATGGATTACATTTATTGATTTGCATATGTTGAACCAGCCTTGCATCCCAGGTATGAAGCCGACTTGATCATGGTGGATAAGCTTTTTGATGTGCTGCTGGATTTGGTTTGCCGGTATTTTATTGAGGATTTTCACATCAATGTTCATCAGGGATATTGACCTAAAATTTTCTTTTTTTGTTGTGTCTCTGTCAGGTTTTGGAATTGGGATGATGCTGGCCTCAGAAAATGAGTTGGGGAGGAGTTCGTCTTTTTCTGTTGTTTGGAATAGTTTCAGAAGGAATGGTACCAACTCCTCTTTGTACCTCTGGCAGAATTCAGCTGTGAATCCGTCTGGTCCTGGGCTTTTTTTGGTTGGTAGGCTATTAATTAATGCCTCAATTTCAGAACTTGTTATTGGTCTATTCAGGGATTCAACTTCTTCCTGATTTAGTCTTGGGAGGGTGTATGTGTCCAGGAATTTATCCATTTCTTCTAGATTTTCTAGTTTATTTGTGTAGAGGTGTTTATAGTATTCTCTGATGGGAGTCTGTAGTTTTGTGGGATCAGTAGTGATATCCTTTATCATTTTTTATTGTGTCTATTTGATTCTTCTCTCTTTTCTTCTTTATTAGTCTGGCTAGCAGTCTATCTATTTTGTTAATTTTTTCAAAGAACCAGCTCCTGGATTCACTGATTTTTTTTAAGGGTTTCCATGTCTCTATCTCCTTCAGTTCTGCTCTGATGTTAGTTATTTCTTGTCTTCTGCTAGCTTTTGAATTTGTTTACTCTTGCTTCTCTAGTTCTTTTAATTGTGATGTTAGGGTATCGATTTTAGATCTTTCCTGCTTTCTGATGTGGGATTTTGTGCTTATAAATTTCCCTCTTAACACTGCTTTAGCTGTGTCCCAGAGATTCTGGTACATTGTCTCTTTATTCCCATTGGTTTCAAAGAACTCATTTATTTCTGCCTTAATTTTGTTATTTACCCCATAGTCATCCAGGAGCAGGTTGTTCAATTTCCATGTAGTTGTGTGGTTTTGAGTGAGTTTCTTAATCCTGAGTTCTAGTTTGATTGCACTGTGGTCTGCGAGACTGTTTGTTATGATTTCTGTTCTTTTGCATTTTCTGAGGAGTGTTTTACTTCCAATTATGTGGTCAATTTTAGAATAAGTGCTAAGTGGTGCAGAGAAGGATGTATATTCTGTTGATTTGGGGTAGATAGTTCTGTAGTTCTATTAGGTCCACTTGGTCCAGAGCTGAATTAAAGTCCCGAATATCCTTGTTAATTTTCTGTCCCATTGATCTAAAATTGACAGTGGGGTGTTAAAATTTCCCACTATTATTCTGTAGGAGTCTAAGTCTCTTTGTAGGTCTCTAAGAACTTTCTTTATAAATCTGGGTGCTCCTGTATTGGGGGCACATATATTTAGGATAGTTAGCTCTTCTTGTTGCATTGATCCCTTTACCATTCTGTAGTGCCCTTCTTTGTCTTTTTTGATCTTTGTTGGTTTAAAGTCTGTTTTATCAGAGACTAGGACTGCTTTTTTTGGCTTTCCATTTGCTTGGTAAATATTCCTCCATCCCTTTTTTTTGAGCCTATGTGTGCCTTTGCATGTGAGATGGGTCTCCTGAATACAGCACACTGATGAGTCTTGACTCTTTACCCAATTTTCCAGTGTATGTCTTTTAATTGGAGCATTTAGCCCATTTACATTTAAGGTTAATATTGTTATGTGTGAGTTTGATCCTGTCATTATGATGCTAGCTGGTTATTTTGCACATTTGTTGATGCAGTTTCTTCATAGTGTCATTGATCTTTATATTTTGTGTGTTTTTGTGGTGGCTGGTGCCAGTTTTTCCTTTCCATGTTTAGTGCTTCCTTCAGGAGCTCTTGTAAGGCATGCCTGTTGGTGACAAAATCCCTCAGCATTTGCTTGTCTATAAAGGATTTTATTTCTCCTTCACTTATGAAGCTTAATTTGGCTAGATATGAAATTCTGGGTTGAAAATTCGTTTCTTTAAGAATGTTGAATATTGGCCCCCCACTCTCTTCTGGCTTGTAGGGTTTCTGCAGAGAGATCTGCTGTTAGTCTTATGGGCTTCCCTTTGTGGGTAACCTGACCTTTCTCTCTGGCTGCCCTTAACATTTTTTCCTTCATTTCAACCTTGGTGAATCTGACAATTATGTGTTTTGGGGTTGTTCTTCTCGGGGAGTATCATTGTGGTGTTCTCTGTATTTCCTGAATTTGAATGTTGGCCTGTCTTGCTAGATTGGGGAAGTTCTCTTGGATAATATCCTGAAGTGTGTTTTCTAACTTGGTTCCATTCTTGTCCTCACTTTCAGGTACCCCAATCAATTGTAGGTTTGGTCTTTTCATATACTCCCATATTTCTTAGAGGCTGTGTTCGTTCCTTTTCATTCTTTTTTCTCTAATCTAGTCCTCGTGCCTTATTTTGGTAAGTTGATCTTCAATATCTGATATCCCTTCTTCTGCTTGGTTTAGCTATTGATACTTGTGAATGCCTCAGGAAGTTCTCATGCTGTGTTTTTCAGCTCCATCAGGTCATTTATGTTCTTCTCTAAACTGGTTATTCTAGTTAGCAGTTCCTGTCACCTTTTATCAAGGTTCTGATCTTCCTTGCACTGGGTTAGAACACGTTCCTTTACCTCAGAGGAGTTTGTTATTACTCACCTTCTGAAGCCTACTTCTGTCAATTTGTCAAACTCATTCTCCATCCAGTTTTGTGCACTTGCTGGAGAGGAGTTGTGATCCTTTGTAGGAGAAGAGGCATTCTGGTTTTTGGAATTTTCAGCATTTTTGCATTGGATTTATCCTCATCTTCATGGATTTATCTACCTTTGATCTTGAGGCTGATGACCTTTGGATGGGGTTTTTTGTGTGGGGGTCCTTTTTGTTGATGTTGATGTTATTGCTTCCTGTTTGTTAGTTTTCCTTCTAACAGTCAGGCTCCTCTTCTGCAGGTATGCTGCAGTTTGCTGGAGGTCTACTCCAGACCCTGTTCTCGTGGGTATCACCAGCAGAGGCTCCAGAATCGCAAAAATTGCTGTTTGCTCCTTCTTCTGGAAGCTTCATCCCAGAGGGGCACCAGCCTTATGCCAGCTGGAGCTCTCCTGTATGAGGTGTCTGTCAACCCCTGCTGGGAGGTCTCTCCCCGTCAGGAAGCACGGAGGTCAGGGACTCACTTGAGGAGGCAGCCTGTCCCTTAGCAGAGCTCGAGCTCTGTGCTGGTAGAATCCTCCTTGTCAGGATCTGCTGCACTCTTCAGAGCTGGCAGGCAGGAATGTTTAAATCCGCTGAAGCTGGGCCCACAGCCACCCCTTCCCTGAGGTGATCTGTCTCAGGGAGAGGGGAGTTTTATCTCTAAGCCCCTGACTGGGCCTGCCGCCTTTCTTTCAGAGACGCCCTGCCCTGTGAGGAGGAATCTAGAAAGGCAGTCTGGCCACAGCTGTTTTGCCACGCTGTGTTGAGTTCCGCCCAGTCTGAACTTCCCAGCCTCCTTAGCACTGTCGGGGAAAACTGCTTACTCAAGCCTCAGAAATGGTGGATGCCCCTTCCCACACCAAGCTCGATCATCCCAGGTCAACTTCAGACTGCTGTGCTGGCAGTAAGAATTTCAAGCCAGTGGTTCTTAGACTGCTGGGCTCCACGGGAATGGGACCGGCTGAGCAAGACCACTTGGTTCCCTGGTTTCAGCCCCCTTTCCAGGGGAGTGAATGAACAGTTCTGTCTTGCTGGAGTTCCAGGCACCACTAGGGTATGAAAAAAAAAAAAAAAAAAAAAACTGCAGCCAGCTTGGCGTCTGCCCAAACAGCCGCCCAGTTTTGTGATTGAAAGCCAGGGCCCTGGACGTGTAGGCACACAAGGGAATCTCTTGGTCTGCGGATTGCAAAAACTATGGGAAAAGCGTAGTATCTGGGCTGGATAGCACAGTCCTGTGTCTGGAATTGGTGGGTTCTTGGTCTCACTGACTTCAAGAATGAAGCCGCGGACCCTCGTAGTGAGTGTTACAGCTCTTAAGGTGGTGTGTCTGGAGTCTGTCTCTTCTGATGTTCAGATGTGTTTGGAGTTTCTTCCTTCTGGTGGGTTCGTGGTCTCATTGGCTCAGGAGTGAAGCTGCAGACCTTTGTGGTGAGTGTTACAGCTCTTAAGGCGGCGGGTCTGGAGTTGTTCGTTCCTCCTGGTGGGCTCGTGGTCTGGCTGGGCTCAGGAGTGAAGCTGCAGATCTTCACGGTGAGTGTTACAGCTCATAAAAGCAGCGTGGACCCAAAGAGTGAGCAGCAGCAAGATTTATTGCAAAGAGCAAAAGAACAAAGCTTCCACAGTGTGGAAGGGGACCCGGTTGCCACTGCTGGCTCCCGCAGCCTGCTTTTATTCTCTTATCTGGCCCCCCCCCCCCCCCCCCCCGCCCACATCCTGCTGATTGGTAGAGCCCAGTAGCCTGTTTTGTCAGGGCGCTGATTGGTGCATTTACAACCCCTGAGCTAGATACAAAGGTTCTCCACGTCCCCATCAGATTAGTTAGATACAGAGTTTTGACACACAGGTTCTCCAAGGCCCCACCAGAGCAGCTAGACACAGCGTGTCGATTGGTGCACTCACAAACCTTGAGCTAAACACAGGGTGCTGATTGGTGTATTTACAATCCCTGAGCTAGACATAAAGGTTCTCCAAAGCCCCACCAGAGCAGCTAGATACAGAGTGTCGATTGGTGCACTCACAAACCTTGAGCGAGACACAGGGTGCTGATTGGTGTGTTTACAATCCCTGAGTTAGATATAAAGACTCTCCACGTCCCCACCAGACTCAGGAGCCCAGCTGACTTCACCTAGTGGATCCCGCACCGGGGCTGCAGGTGGAGCTGCCTGCCAGTCCCGTGCCGAGCGCTGGCATTCCTCAGCCCTTGGGTGGTCGATGGGACTGGGCGCCGTGGAGCAGGGGGTGGTGCTCGTTGGGGAGGCTCGGGCCGCACAGGAGCCCATGGAGTGGGTGGGAGGCTCAGGCATGGCGGGCTGCAGGTCCCGAGCCCTGCCCCGCGGGAAGGCAGCTCAGGCTCGGTGAGAAATTGAGCGCAGCACCGGTGGGCCGGCACTGCTGGGGGACCCAGTACACCCTCCGCAGCCACTGGCCCGGGTGCTAAGTCCCTCATTGCCCGGGGCCAGCAGGGCTGGCCGCCTGCTCCGAGTGCGGAGCCCGCCAAGCCCACGCCCACCCAGAACTCCAGCTGGCTCGCAAGTGCCGCCCGCAGCCCCGGTTCTCGCTCGCACCTTTCCCTCCACACCTCCCTGCAAGCTGAGGGAGTGGGCTCTAGCCTTGGCCAGCCCAGAAAGGGGCTCCCACAGTGCAGTGGGGGGCTGAAGGGCTCCTCAAATGCCGCCAAAGTAGGAGCCCAGGCAGGGGAGGTGCCGAGAGCAAGCGAGGGCTCTGAGGACTGCCAGCACGCTGTCACCTCTCAATCCCTCACGGCTTCCTTTTGCTGGGGGTGGCGGGGCGGGGGAGGCCCCCAGCTGCTTGCACTTCCTGGGCAAGGCGACACCCCACCTTGTTTCTGCTCATCCTCTGTGGGCTGTACCCACTGCCTAACCAGTCCCAGTGAGATGAACAGGGTTCCTCAGTTGGAAATGCAGAAATCACCCGCCTTCTGCATTGGTCTTGCTGTGAGCTGCAGACCAGAGCTGTTCCTATTCGGCCATCTTGCCAATACCCTCCAAGGACATTCTTAAGTGAAACGGACCCCTTTTGCTTTTTACTGTTGGTATGTGGCAGTGAAAAATATATCAGCGACTAACATGGTTTGGGGTCATTAACTTGATCCATGCTCAGTGCCAGAGTTAATGTCAATACATTACAAAGGGAAGTAATGTCTTAGCATTATTATAAAAATAGTTTTCACCTTCTAGACCCCCTGAAAGGGTCTTGGGGTTCCAAGGGGTCTGTGGTCCAGACTTTGAGAACCTCTGCAATAGGTAAGATAGCAACCTAAGGTGTCTGACTTTCAGTACTCTTTGACTAACTTGCCCTTGGGAATTTACGTTGGACACTATAGGAAGGATGGGGCAATACCCAGTCTCTGCAGGTGGGCCACATCTGCCGAGGCTCTTCTCAACCATTTTACAAAATGGTTTGTTCCAAGTGCTGTTTCTGGGGTTCCTTCCATTGGAGCACAGTGTTCTCTCTAGGAGGGGCTAGATGTGGTTAGATAAGAAGGGAGGCAGGGGAATCGCCTAAATGACCTCTGGCATTCCCTATCTATTGTAATGCTATAGATCTCTGCTTGTCATCTGGAAATAGTGAAATCCTTTTAAAACACTTCTAATCTAGTAGTTCTAGAAACGCATTTTAACTTATCATGTAAGTTTTACTTCCTAATTTTACAAGTGAAAAACTGAAGCACAAAGAAGTTACAGACTCAGATGACATAGCCACAGAGTGTCCGAAACAAAATCAAAGCTTAGGTCTCCTGACTCCTTTTTGCCTTCCTCTGTAGGCTATTAGGAGGCCATCAATCTTCTGTCCTTCTGCAGAAAAATTAGTATCTTATACACAAAGCATCTTTTAATAAGGCCCTGCTGTACTAACATGAACTCAACTGGTACCAAATTTGGTGCCATACTGAACAGCTTTGCCCCACTCTACAAAAACCTGCATTGCAGAGATCCTAACTTAGAAGTCAGAAAGAGAAGGTCTGGATTCACTGGTCCTGAGTGGAGTTCATGGACCTTAAAGTGTCAGAAGAACTGCCAGCTCCTGCAATGTCTGTTCGAGGCACTGTGAGTCTGTAGCTTCCAGCTATGGCTCAGAAGCAGTTGCTTCACAGAAACAAGGTGACTAGGCAGTGTAACCACATGAGGGTGTCCTGGAGGCTGGAGACATGCCCATTCTTTGCCAAGGAATTGGGAGTTACCTAAAAGATGCTGAGTCTCTTTATTCTCTAGCTCTGAATACAGCTCTTGGGTTTTTGACAAATGCTCCTATCCCATAGAGACCCTTTAATCACCTTTGACAATGTAAGCTGCATAGCTTCCCCCATTTTTGATATGACATCGGTTTTAATGCTGTTTAACAGATATGCATTGATGAAAAGAACATTTTTTTCCAGGAGCCAATCACGTTTTCCGTTTGACAATACATTGCCTAAAATATAAATACAGCAATTGGGAAATATACTCTATATAATCAAAGTTCATTTTACAATGAAATTCAGCCATCTTTTCTATTGGATCACCAGATTTAGGAAATTATTATTAAGTCCAATCACATGAAAAACCACCGCTCTAACACTTAACAACTACTTTTGTTTCTTCATATATTCATCTATGTACAGAGTATGTATATCACATTTGAACATACTGTTCTACTTTTTGCATTTGATTTTGTCTTCATACTCATATCAGCTTATTCTAAGCAACTTATCTATTGTTTTATTGATCATTTAAGTAATGTCAGGTCTTTTGCTAACATAGAAAGCACTGCAATAAAATACTTTGTACTTAGGCCAGGCATGGTGGTCACGCCTATGATCCCAGCACTTTGGGAGGCCAAGGCAGATGGATCACTTGAGGTCAGGAGTTTGAGACCAGCCTAGCCAACATGGTGAAACCCTGTCTCTACTAAAAATACAAAAACTCACCAGGCATGCTGGTGTGTGCCTGTAATTCCAACTACTCAGGAGGCTGAGGCACGAGAATCGCTTGAACCTGGGAGGCAGAGGTTGCAGTGAGCCGAGATTGTACCACTGCACTCCAGCCTGAGTGACAGAGTGAGACTCTGTCTCAAAAAAAAAAAAAAAGCCACACAACGCTTGGTACTTAAAGTCTTCCTCAACCCGTCTCCTTTCTTTGGAATTATTTCCTTGAAATAATTTCCCAAGATGAAAACTGCTGGATCAAAGGATATGGATTTTTCTTTTGGCCCTTGATACATCTTGCCAGATTCTTCTCCAACACATTTGTATCAATTCAGTTTATTACCAATAATGAATAAATGTGTCTGTTTCTCCCAGCCTTCTCAGCATTCAATTAAAATTTTAATTAAAATTTTATTTAGTAATAATTTATTAAAATTAATCTTATTTTAAATTGGCATTGGTTTAATTACCAACACACTTGAATCTTTTTTCATGTTTATTGTCCTTTGCCTTTAAAACCACTAGGGTGTTGGCATGAATCAAGTCTGATTTTGCTCCTTGTCTCCCCAGGGCATCAGTCATTGTCTGGCACACTGAAAGTTCTGAATAAATAGTGTGGAATGAATGGATGAATGAATGAGAAGCAGTTACAAAATGAGGAAGGAAGAGAGTGGAGGGAGATGAGCAATGAAAAGCTGCTGATGAAGAGGTTAGGGCAGGAGAGAGATAAGGCCATATGTGGCTGCTGAGTGGACAGCAGCTTGGATGGGGCCAGTGGTGTGTGGGAGGATGCGCAAGGAGGACATTGCAGTCAGTTAGTGGGCAATGGTGTGGCTTGGACTGCAGCGGTGAAAGTGGTAATGGAGAAAATTGGTATATTTCACATCTCTTTTAACAGTAGATTCTGTCATGAACTGGATGCGGAGGAGTAAGAGAGAGAAACATCATAGCTGACAAGCTAGGTTTCTGGCTTGGAAATGGAGGTGCTCTTTCTTTTGAAAATATTCCTCAATATTATTATCTCTCTCTTTTTACAAATGACTTTGAAATCATTTCATCAGGCTCTGAAAAGGATCCTGTCAGAATTTTAAGTGGGATTGCACTAAGTCTCAAAATTACCTTGAGAGGAATTGTTAGCTTTATAATGTTTAGCTTGTCTAGTTTTTTCCCATTTATGAATAAAACCAAGCATTTCTGGGTTTCCTTAGCACCATGCCTAGAAGAGTGATACCATATGGACCATAGCCCTTCTTTCTCAATCTAACTGCAGAAACAAAATTAAACATTATATTACAGTTCTCCAGAGAAACAGACCAACAGGAGATAGATAAATGAGAGACTAGATAGATAGATAGATAGATAGATAGATAGATAGATAGATAGATAATACATTTTTTTTTGAGGAATTGGCTCACATGATTATGGAGGCTGAGAAGTTCCACAATCTGCCATCTGCAAACCGGAGACCCAGGAGACCCAGTGGTGTAGTTCTAGTTGAATTCCAAAAGCCTGAGAACAAAGGGAGCCAATGGTGTAAATCCCAGCCCCAGGGCAGGAGAAGGCCAATGTCCCTGGTCAAGCAGGCAGGCAGGGTGTAAAGAAATGGATTTCTTCTTCCTCTGCATATTGTTCTATTCGGCCCTCAATTGATTGGATGAGGCCCACCCACACGGGGGATGGAAGTCTCCTTTGTTAAGTTACCTGATTCAAATGTGTATCACATCTGGAAATCCTCACAGATGCACCCAGAAATAATTTGGGCACCCAATGGCGCAGCTGACACATAAAATGAACCATCACAAACATACAATGAACAATAATCCCACTGCTTCCTTCTTCCATCACTGTGGAATCCCTCCCAATCCTGAGAAGTCTGCCCATCAGAGCATCTCAGCTGTGCCACTGCCAGTGCTATGATGGGACAGGAGACATTGCTGCTGCCACCAGGCTGAGTCACAAATATAGGATTTCACCAGGAAATGGAATTTGGCACCCAACACTTGTGTCGTCATACACAGTTTCAGTGAAAGAAAGGGCAAAAGAGAAAGGATTAAATATCTTCTTTACCCTTTTTCTCTTGCCTTCCTTCTGCCTCTCTGGAAAGGAAGTCCTATGACAACCAGTCACTCATGTATGGGTTGGGAGTGGAGAAGGAAAGTCCATGATCACATTTTCCAGTTAAACAGGGAAGGCTGAACACATAAATCTCTGTTGTTTCCCCAAATCCCACAAAGATAACACTAGATGAATAAAGCAGACTCAGTCCCAGAGGATTTCTCTCACTTTTTTCCAGCACTTTTAGGTACTTTGCACAGGTGTGTTTTTTAGGGATTTCATTCTCACCCCCAGATCCACTCTTCTCTCCATCCTGCTTTGGGAGGGTGACGTCGAGGGATCTCATCAAGTGGCTCTCTCGCCCTCTGCATTCCAGCTGGATTTGGTCAGTGGGAAGCCAAGGACAGAGGAAAGTGAGGTCAGGGTCTCTACCTACCCACCCACTGCTCCCTGCCAGTGGAGGCTGCAGGTGGGTGGTCCTCTTCCAGCAGCCACAGCTTCTGCCCAGCCACCCTGTCTTCCAGCTTCAACTCTCCCTCCTGGTTCCTGAAACTGCTCCTCCTCAGGTTTAGGGGTAGTCACAACTCCCTGGGAGCTTCACCTTTCCTTATTGCACTCCTTTGACTCTGCCAGGCCCTTATAAAATGTCCCTTCATCAAACTCACTTCTCTTGCCCCACTTGAGTATGCCATCTGTTTCCTGTGGGACTGAGACTGGTATTGCCACTTTTTCAGAAATTGATTCTTAGACTCTGTACATGTATTATTTTGATAAAATAAGAAGCAAAGCTAACAAAACAGTAAAGTCAGTTATTACTATAGAATTTTATGTTGCTATAGGATTTTATAAAAGATTATACATCCCCACTGTACTGAGGCTGCCCTTTCTGAATTGCCTTCCTCTCCCCCATCCCACTCAAATGCTGCTTCCTTCCATTGCTCACCTAGGACCTAAAAACACCCAAATGAGAATGTCTTTTCTCTGGGTCTGTGGCTAAACTCAGACGCCAATCCAGTTCCCATTCCCAAATCTTCTCTCTTTGCCAACACTAGGCTGTCATCTAACCCAAAACATACTCAAAGGAACAACGTTATAAAGTAGATTATTAGATAGGGGTTTCTGGAATTTTAGCTAAGAGGACACCCTTTAATAATAGGGAGTGCATTTTCACAGATCATGTTTCCTGGTTTAAAAATATATGCAATTTCCGTAAAAACTGAGACTTGAAGAGATTTTAATTTTTTCTAAATGATTTTTGTTTTCTCAAGAAGGCTTTGCTGTTTCATTCTTATATATGCTTCATCAAGTTAATTCCTAGAATTATTTTATGTTTTGGTTATTATGAATGAGATTTCCAGTTTTCATTACGTTTTCTATCAGGTTATAATTAGTGTACAAAAATGCTCTCGTTATTCCCATTTATTGTACCTCTATGTTTTTTCCTAATAGTTTTACCTAATATTCCTTGGGTTACATAAGTAATCAATAGCTATTTGCCTAGCTGGGCATGGTGGTGCGTGCCTGTAGTCCCAGCTACTTGGGAGGCTGAGGCAGGAGGATGACTTGAACCCATCCTTGAACCCATGGTTAAGGCCATTGAGCCATGATTGTACCACTGCCACTGCACTCCAGCCCAGGCAACAGAGTGAGACCTCATTTCTAAAAAGATAAATAAACAAAATAAAAAATTAATAATTTGCCTGTAAAACACAACATGTTTTTGTCTTTTTTTTTTCTGATTACTCTTCCATGATTTCTGTGGTCTCCCACTTGTTCACTGACAAGGTATGATGTTGACTCTTGGCTTCCAGGATGTTAAAGGATGTTTAAGGATGTTAAATATAGATGTACACTTCTAATTTTTTTAATGGGTGTTGCATTTTTCTTTCTTTTTGAGACGGAGTCTCGCTCTGTCGCCCAGGCTGGAGTGCAGTGGCACGATCTCAGCTCACTGCAAGCTCCGCCTCCCGGGTTCACACCATTCTCCTGCCTCAGCCTCCCCACTAGCTGGGACTACAGGCGCCTGCCACCACGCCCAGCTAATTTTTTGTATTTTTTAGTAGAGACGGGGTTTCACCGTGTTAGCCAGGATGGTCTCGATCTCCTAACCTTGTGATCCGCCTGCCTCGGCCTCCCAAAGTGCTGGGATTACAGGCGTGAGCCGGATGTTGGATTTTCTAATGCCATTTCAGCGCTTATTGATATGAACAAATAATTGTTACTATTCAATCTCTTTTGTGGAGTATTATAATTACTAGTTTTCAATTTGCTAGACTATTCATCCATTCTGTGATGAGCCTAATTTAATTGTGGTTTGTTTTTTCCTTCCTTTAGTACACATGTGTAATTATAAACTATTCACAAAGCATTATATTTTTGGTATACATTTTCTCAATAATTCTTGCCTTAGCCTCATAGGATGAATATTATGCTCCTGATTTATGGAAGAGAAAATTGAGTCTCAGAGAGGCTAGAGAGTAGGCCCAGTTCATAGAGCAAATCTGTGGTCGAGCTGGTGCGTGATATGAAAGGCAGAGAGAGAGAGAGGGGTGGGAAGAGAGAGAGAGAGAGAATAGGAGGGGAAGAGAGACAGAGGGAGAAGAGGAGAGAGAGGGAAAGAGAGGCAGCCAGAGAATGATGCACTGGCTGTGCCACAGGTTTGCACTATGAAATGCATCTGGCTTTGAATCTGGGTCCATCTGACCCTAGAGTCCTTTCTACCATGCCTCTCCTTTAAAGTGGTAATCCATTAGTATTGTCATTAAATTCTTCAGATCTACATGCAAGAGTGAAAGTGGTACACAATTCCTGATTTTTAAATCAACTCTTTATCTGACTGTAGTCTCAAGGCCATACTAGCTTTGAGGAGTAAATTGGTTAGTTCCTACCTACCTGTTTTTATTCATAATTGAGACTTTAAAAGAATTATCCACACACATTGAATACTTTCCCTTATCCTCACCCCCAAGTTATCCAATTTCTTCATCAGTTATTGGTGTATTCAAGCTCTTTCTTTTATGTCAGTTTTAGAATTTTACTTTTTCCTTTAAAAATTATCCATTTTATTTAGATTTTCATAGTTCCTAGCATACAACTATAGAGTGCAGTAAGATCATTCACTATTTCCTGGCTAAATTTACCCGTGTTAGCTTTATCTAATAAGCTGTGTAGCTTATTAAATAATGCTACTGTTATGCTGTTGGTAATTTACACACATCCACTTTTATATATACTGTTCCCTTCTATTTCTTTTGGGTTGTCCTTTTGTTCCTTTGGTGAATTTTTATATTGTTGACTTAGTATGCTGATTTTCCCATTTTGTTTTTTGTTTTTATTAATAATAAATGCACTTAAGGCTGTGAATTTTCTTAGTGTAGCTCTGAGCCCTTCCCAGGGAATTTAATATGTAGTTCTCATTTTCATTGTTTTCTTAATAGAGTGCTTTTGTGCACTTTATCTTCTTGACATATTTGTTAATTAGCAGATTATTTCAAAATTTCTAAGTAGTCAGAGAGTTTTGATTTACATCTTTGTTCCTAATTTTGTTTTATTTTGTTTTGGTAAGTGTGTTAGTCCATTTTTGCATCACTATAAAGAAATACCTGAGACTGGGATAATTTATAAAGAAAAGAGGTTTAATTGGCTGCAGGCTGTACAAGCACAACTCCAGCATCTGTTTCTGGTGAGGGCCTCAGGAGGCTACAATCAGGGCTGAAGGCCAAGCGGAAGCAACTGATGTCATACGGTGAGAGAAGGAGTGAGGGACAGAGGGAAGAGGTGCCACACTCTTCCAAACAACCAGATCTCCTGTGAACTACCAGAGCGAGAACTCACTCATCACCAAGCGGAGGGAGCTAAGCCACTCATGAGGGATCTCCCCACCTGATCCGATCACCTCCCACCAGGCCCCATCTCCAATACTGGGGGTTACATTTCAATATGAGATTTGGAGGGGACAAACATCCAAACCATATCAGTAAAAGAGTGTGTTATATATAATTTCTGCTTTTTTGTACTTACTGAGTTTTTTTTTTTTTTTAATAACCTAGCTTATGTTGACTTTCAAAAGCCTGTTTTCTTATTCTGCCTCAGGTGCCAAGCTATGTGTTACCTAGTGACACACAAGTATAATTAGTCCATGAAAGGCCCCTCTGGGCCTTGTTGTTTGTTCGTTTGATTCCATCTACCCCATATTTATTGTGATTACTGTCCTACTATAATTTTTCTGCCATGTTATTATACATTTCTGATTGTACTTTCTCATTTCTTTTTTTTTAGACACCTTCTTTTCTTTCCATTGCCTAAATTATTTTCTTCTGCTGGATTAAAAGTGATTTGATCCATTTTTTTGTTGTTGTTCTTATGGTGGTTGCCTTTAATGTAAGACACGTACTTATGTTTATCTCTGTTGAATTCATAAACAAAACAAGTACTTTAGCATACTTTATAATTCCTTTGGTCTCTACTATCCCTGTACCCAAATACACACTTTATGTTGGTTATTTTCTAGAATTTTATTTCTGGATTGTATGGATAATTTCTTTTTTGTTTTTCTCTAGTCTTTGCTTTTTTACACAACCATAAACATTACTAAAGTGTTGTTCACCCATAGCTCTTTAGCATTTTTCTTATTTCACTATTTTCTACAAGAGTATTTTTATAATACATTTTTGCAAGGCAAACCCCCTAAGGCCTTATATGCCTGAGAATTTTTTATTATGCTCTCACATTTAAATGACTGATGGCTGACATAAGACCTGCATTCAGAAACACTTTGTTTTCCATTGTCCAGTGTGTCCTTCTATCCAGCTGCTTAGAAGCCTAATCTCAGTCTGAATTTGGTTGCTTCCTAGGTGATCAAATCTCTCTCTCTGTTTTGCTTTTCCATTTTTTTGTTGTTGTTTTGTTTGGTTTGTTTTTTGCTGTCTCTTTGATGTTCTTTATTTTCACAGTTAATGTGACTTGATGTCGTTTTTTTCTTTTTAAAACCTGGTTTTCGGCTGGGCGCAGTGGCTAATGCCTGTAATCCCAGTGCTTTGGGAGGCTGAGGTGGGCGGATCACCCAAGGTCAGGAGTTTGAGACCAGCCAGACCAACATGGTGAAACCCCATCTCTACTAAAAATACAAAACTTAGCCGGGAGTGGTGGTGCATGCCTGTAATCCCAGCTACTCAGGAGGCTGAGGCAGGAGAATTGCTTGAACCCACGAGGCAGAGGTTGCAGTGAGCAGAGATCATGCCATTGCACTCCAGCCTGGGTGACAGAGTAAGACTCCATCTCAAAAAATAATAATAATTTAAAAATAATAATAAAATAATAAAACCTAGTTTTCTATTCTATGGGTCCTTTAAATATGAGGGCTTTCCTCCTTTAATTCTGGAGATTTATTTTTTGTCAAATATTTCCCCTCCTCCTTTTTTCTCTTTCTGAGCCTCTGGTGACTCAGATATTGTCACTTCTACTCATTTCCTTCATATCATCTGGGTTTTATTTTATGTGTTTTTTCCCTTCCTACCTCACTGCTGCCTTTAAAAAGGCTTAGATCATCTAAAAATACTAAAAAACAAACTCAAAAACACTAAAAAGGTCTATTAATTAAAGAGAAGAAAAAGCAAGTGAGAAGTTCCTCAGTTTTATCCCTAGGCCACTCATTCTTTAGTGCCAACCATCCTGCTTTTACCCCAACTACTATGTTGCTTATTTCAACTGTTGTGGGGGTTTTATTATAAACCTTTATGTTGAAATAGCTTCAAATTTA
This sequence comes from Homo sapiens, assembly GCF_000001405.40. Classification (NCBI taxonomy): domain Eukaryota; kingdom Metazoa; phylum Chordata; class Mammalia; order Primates; family Hominidae; genus Homo; species Homo sapiens. Next base: position 14,101,878 of record NC_000011.10, read on the forward strand.
TATAAAAGTTGCAAGAATAGCACACAGAACTTCTGATCACCTGTCACCAGATTCCACAGTTGTTAACATTTTACCACATTTCCTTTATCATTCTCTCACCATATAGATACATATTATTTTTTGTGAACTTCTGAGAAGTAGCAGACATCATGCCTGTCCTTTTACCTCTAAATACTTCAGTGTGTATTTCCTGAATGTTTTTGTAATATTTTGTAAGAGAACAAGGATGCTCTTACAAAATTACAATACACTTATCATTAACATTGATAAAATACTATAATCTAATCTATATGTCTTGTTCAAATTATACTCATTATACCTCTCATGTTCTCCAAAGCAATACTGTATCATATCACTATAATGTAAACCACAAATATGAGCCACGTATGTAATTTCAAGTGTTCTAATAGCCATATTAAAAAAATTAAACAGAAGCAAGTGCAATTAATTTTAATGTTCTATTCTATTTTATTTAAGCCAGTATATCCAAAGTAGTAGCATTTTAACATGCAATTCATATAAAAATTTATTATTGAGACATTTTGCATTCTCTTTTTCATAATATGATCCATTGTATTTTTTTACACTTAACAGCACGTCTCAATTCAGACTAGCCACATTTCAATCACACAGTAGCTACATGTAGCTGGTGGCAACCATATCACACAGCACAGTTTTGTAGCAAATCAAAAATAAAAATTCTGGTTCAAGATCCAGTCTAAGATTATATACTGCATTTACTTGTCAGGTCTCTTTAGTCTTGTTCAATCTGGAATGGTTCTTAGTCCTTCTTGACTTTCATGACACTGATGCCTTTGAAGAGTACAAGGCAGTTACTATGTAGACTCTCCTTCTGTCTGGGGCTGTCTGATGCTTTCTCATAATTAGATTCAGGTTGTGCATCTTTGGCAGGGATACCACAGCCATTATGGATATTTGTTTAACACCTAATTTACATTTTGTTCTTTTTCTCTATTTCTTGTTCTTGCTTCATATTGCTAACATGCTCCCGATCTTTGAGAATATGTATTGTGCTTCTGTTAAATTTTTGGTCCATCTGTTGCAATAAGCTGCTTCATGTTCAGCTTGCATTCTCTTTCGCTAGTTGTACTGCTTGGGATTTAGTTACTGTGGCAGGTGGTCTTCTGTTTCTGTGGTGATATAAATGTTCTGCCTGGTAGTGTATGATGGGGAAAGGCCAAATCCTAGGTGGTGCCCCTTCTGGTGTGTATAAGGAAAAGGAAGGAGACGAGGCCCAGGCATCATGTCGCTGCTATCAACTCTTCTGTTTGCTTTCTTCTACTGGGTAACTTATTCAGTTAAGGATTCATCCTGACACTCTTAGAACAAAGCAGGAATAGGAGGAAGTGATCTCCTCAGGTTCTAATCCCCAGCCCTGCAAGTCTGGAAACAGAAGGGATGAAGAAGTGTATACCCAGTGAAGGCTGGGATTCGTTTATCCCTGTCTCTCCTGAGAGGGCTTTATGCTGCTGCCCTGAGATTATTCTGGCTGGGAATAGGAATAGAGCTGGCCTAGTCCTGCAGACATCTGGGTTGCAGGACAGGCAAGGACCCAGACCCTCCCTTGGTGATGTCAAGGAGGGGAAATGAGAGAACTGCAATAGTCCTCACAAATCCATCCTCCCACCACTGGGCCAGAGGAAAGAGGAGGATTCATCACTCCATCTATCCTCTTTTTCCTGGGTCAGGATAGCCTTTGATCTCCTCTTTATTTCAGTGTCTCTGTTAGTTCCTTGGATCTGTGCTTCCCTCTGCTTCTGAAGTTTCCCTGGGTTGAATTTAGAGGATGAGGAGCACATGCTAATTCACCGTCTTATCAGGAAACAGCAATAACATTTCAGGGTTTTTTATTTGTTTGCTTGTTTGTTGTTCAATCTATTAAATTGTTGGCAATACCTACCCTTTCTGCTGTATGTTTAATTATGCTTTTCAGTCTATTAATTTATCATTTTCTTATTAATTTATCATATTCTGATAATGGGGTATTAATACCTTGTTCTAAAATTGTATACTTATTAATTTCCCTTTGATTTTTATAAGGGATTTGTTGCTATGTTCTTTGAACCTTATAGACATAATATCATTATGCTCTCATTATTAAGGCTTTTATCACATAATTAACAGTTAGCTTGCTTTAATAACTTTTACCATAATTCTACCTTGTCTGAAATCTCACTTGCTTTTTTTCCCTTTAATTAGTAGACCTTTTTAGTGATTTTTAAATTTACTTTTTAGTGTTTTTATCCTTTTTCTAAGCCTTTTTAAAGATTTCCCAGTAAATTATTGCATTATTCCAGTTGGAAGCATTTTTTTCGTTTTTGTGTTTTATTTTTTCTTCCTCAAAATTGTTTGAGCTTATACTTATTTTAACCCTAGTCCGCTTAGGTTTATGTTCTTCCATTTTACTTTTTATCTCTCAATTTTTATAGTTAATTTGTTTTTTTTTCCCCTAGATGTTCTTTGGTATTATATACACAATTAATTTGTTTGGTTTGGGTTTTGCTTATTTTAATTTCCTTTAGCAACTGTCTTCTTTTTAATTTGATTAGCTGTCAATTTAAGATAAACCACAAAGATTTCATTATCAAAATGGTATCTTTGATTCTCTTTTATGGGAAACTTTTGTTCTTTTTTTGTTCTTCCCTACTCTGTTACTGCTTCCATTTTTCATTGAATTAACTTGTTGCTCAGTTTATTTATTTTAATCTGCTTTTATTCTAACAATTTTCCTAATGCCCAACTCCTATCACAAACAATTCTTTCTATTGTTTTTGTTTACTTATCTCTTCAATAGGTACATACTAATTCAAGATTTCATACTATTTTTAATAGCATCATCTTTTTTCAGGTCTATCTTTTAAGATCAGATTTCTTTTTGTAGTAACTTTTGAAGTCAGTGCTGGTCCATTAGTGGGTGACCAAATTTCTTAAGACTGAAAATTCATGAACATCTTTACATTTGGATAAAAACTTGACTGTATAAAGACAGAAATTATACAGCTTCTTTACTCTATGGTATGTACATGGTTTTTTCATTACAATGAAGTCCTTGTCTACTTATGACTATATCTTTTACATGAAATATGTAACCTAGCTCCTTGCAGAATGTTTTCTTTTCCTTTTGTAATTAAAATAAAATATTTGATGATACATGTTGATTTCAGTTATTTTTAGTGGATCTTAAATAGGGCTCTGTTTGTACTTTAACCTTTAACTATTTTATTAATGGTTACATTTTTCTTCTAGTGGATCTTTTCTTTTTCTAATCTTCAATGTTTTATTCTTTGTTTGCTCATTCATTCCATAAATCTATTCAAAGCATCTATTTCATGCAAGCAATGTGTTCAGTTCATTCCTTCTCTTTCTTTAGGAACTCCTATCTCTTCCAGAGCACTCCATTCTCCAGATCTTCTTTTGCATATTTTTATATCTCTTTTCATGCTCTGCAGATTTTTTCCTAGTTCATTTTCTCTTTCTCTGTTAGTTACCTGTAGCATCCAATTCTACATTTTACCTATACTACCATTGTTTACTCCTTCCTGCCCCTTCCTGCTGTAATGAGCTCTTCTGAAATAGATATAATGTCTTTCTTCCACATTTAAGAAATAGTTTATAAGTATTTTCTAAATCCTGTTTTGATTCTTGTTTCATTTCATGGTTTATTGATTCATACTTCCCATCCCCACCCCACCCTGCACCCAGGTTCTTAATTCATCTTTCTTCTCTCGTGCCTGACAAACATTTTCAATGGTTCCAGTCATTTATTCCCCTTTACTCATTCTTCCTTGAGTTTCTCATGATGATATGGCTGCTATTTCTGAAACCTTTGCTTCAGACTGTTTTATTCACATTTAAATAGGCCTTGAAATTGGAAGGTTCACAGGCTCTCACTCAGACTTCCTCCTGGAGGTCCAAAAACTTTATTTCTTGAGCACATCATGTCCTAAATAACACACACCTGTATTGGATTGGCCATTCAGAATTAGATATTACATTAAATATTACTTTCCTTATATCTATCAAGGTAAAGTCCCATTACCACTGAGAGGGGTAAGTTAATTTATTGATAACTTGCTTGCCATTTACTCCTGCTGGTTGGCAGTTTAAAGAGCACATGCTTCCTGCATCTCATTTATGTAGCTTAAGTAGTCACCTGTTTTGAACTGATTTGAGAGGGAAGACTGGATTCATTGGCAAGTCATGGATCAATTATTATGTAAGCTCTAATGCTAGCAGTCTCCTAGCAAAATGGATGTGATTAACATTTAAGCACGATGACAACCCATGCATTTTTCATTTACTATTTCCTTCAAACCTATTTGCCAGTTCCTCTGCTGTGATTCCAAGAAATGCATACTTTAATAATAAAGACTTAACTTTTCCTTTGTATGAAAATATTATAAACACCAAAAAGCCTTATGAAATTATAGGAGGGGGAATATCAAAGACCATTAACAACATTATGTATGGTCACCCAGGAATTTGCACACAAAATTCTGCCAAAGCTAGTGTCATTTATGTACTTAAGTTTTCCAAACAACGAGTTGAAAAATATACCCTCAAGAATTGTTTATGCCAAGAAGGGCCAACTATTTATAATCACAAGTGGAGTTTCTGCAAAGGTCTCTGCCAGCCACTACAGTCCTGGCATACATCCCTCCCAATCTGCAAAAACTCTACTGTTTGGGGTTGAAAGTGAAGCATGAGTCCAAAGAAATACTTGCAGCTTTTTCCTAGACTCAGTTGAATTCAGAGTGAAAGAACATAGAAGACGACAAAGGGTATAGGAAATCGCAGCATAGGCAGCCCTGCCTTATTTTTAGTGAAAAGGATTAGTACTGGTAGCCCTGCAGTAAAGCTGATCGCCTGTGATCAGGGAGTAGGATAGTTGTAATCCCTTTACTATACCACTGAGTTGATTGATTAAATTGAAAGTTATGAGTCAAATGCCCCCAGAGCATCTTGGAACCTTCCTGAGTCTGTGCATATTCATATGGTCCTAATGACCTTCCACTGGAAGGAAAAAGTGTGTGCTGCCTGCAGGGAACACATGAAGAAAGGCTTAGGACGAAGCAAAACTTTTTCACAACCACCAGCAAGAGTTTAATTAAACTCTGTCTAACATTATAAGCTTGCCTCAATTTAAGAGCAAAATGTACCAGGTTTTTCCTGCACATGGAGCCTCCCAGGGTCTTGCAGCTCAAGTGGAAAGAACAATGAAAAGCAGAAGGCTTTCATTTTACATCTGGCTCCTTGAAATGGGGCTAAGAGGCTTTCTGGAGGGTTTTGCTGGCTGGGACAGTTAGTGTTTACAGATGTGAGTGGCTTTCAGTCATTGAATGTAAATTGCATTTGCTTTGTTGCACACACCCTGGGAAAACCAAGAGGAAGAAGAGAAATAATGTTCCTTTATCCGCCCACACACATTGATATTCAAGGCACAGTCTTTTCAGGTTTATTGGGTCCCTAAGCAACCTTTGAAGAGATCTGTACATCTGTCCGGCTGTCCGTACTCCAGCGGACATGGATTCCTTTGCTTTGCTTTTCAAGTCTCTGGTTCCATCTTTGGTCCGTTGACTGAATTTTTTGGTAAACATTTCTTGCATTCAGACCTGAGTGGCCACCCAGCTCCTGGGCTAATTCTGCTTCTCTCTTAAAATTTGATCTGTATTCTGAAGGCAAGATCCTCAGGAAAAAAAAAAAAAAAAAAAAATGAAAGAGGGCTAGCTTTTAATGTGGAAGCTAAAAGCCTAAGAAGTAAACTAAAATAGGAAGGTGGGAGAGAGAGCAAGTTCTTGCTGAAATACCAAATCCCCAAACCAGATCAGAGTAATGCGAGAGTGGAAAGGAAGCCTTTCTAAAGTGAGAGAAACTGTAATCTAGGTTTCTTTTGCACCTTGCAGCTCCCCAGAAAAGAGTAGCCAATGGTCAGCACTCCGCTGAGAGGCAATACATATTGTATATAGTTTGAACAATAATGGACTATTGTGAGTCAGATCCATCTAGGAGTGTTGAATCTGAGACTTACTAGAGGGGCTTATGGAAGCTACTTAACGTGTCTGTGCCTCAGTTTTCTCATCTGTAAAGCAGGGATAATCAAATCACCTATCTCATGAAGCAGTTTTAAAGACGACCTAGGTTCAAAGCTAATCTCCACCATTTACTAGCTGTAGCACCTTGCAGAAGACACTGACTTACACTGACCTCCAGTCTCCTCAGTAAAATCACAGTCTACATCACTGTATTGTTGTAGAGTTGGATGAGTTAATATTCTTAGAATAGGCTTGGAATATGATGAAAGCTCACAAAGTGTTCGTCATTATTATTTTAAAATGAGACGATGTATAAATGGTTCTTAGCTCAGAACAAGACCAACAGCAAGGACTGTGTTAGCTATGGCTATAATGTGCTTATTTCTAGCCTTGTCCTGCTACCCACCCAAATTCTCAACCTCTAAATAAGGATTTAGCTCTGATCTCATGCTGATATCTTGGATAAGTCTTCTCATCTGATTGGCTTCCATCACCTGATGAGAGTTTGCTGAGATTCCAACCTGACTCCTGAATTTCTTCCATGTACCAAGTGGAGAGAGGGCCAAGTTCCAGGTATATTTTGTCATCCCTAACTTCACAAATATCACTGGAAGTAAAGGGCCCCAAGTTTACACTTGACAGACCATTTATAAAAGATTTTATACTACAAGGCCTAACCAGCAATGAGGAAATAGAGTTTTCATTTGTGACTTTTTCCCCTATCAGAAAGGAATTTAATAACAAATAAAATATATCCATTTCAGCAGCCAACCAGACAAACACATGGAACTAATCAGCTAATTTTAAGTTAGTATTTGATGACCTTTTTTTTTTTTGTAAATAAGAAAAGAGAAGTCAGTGGAGTTTGGAATTTATGTGTTCTGTGATTTCTGTTGGCCAAGGTCAGTTTTACTTGATTTCTCTTCCCCTCTTTGCCTACCACCCAACCCCCAGGAGCACATAAGCAATTATTAGGTGGGATCTCTCTCTATGTATCCTAGGGGCTGAGCAACAAGCAGTTAGAGAGGAATCAAAGCTGGGAGAAGGTAAGGAAACCATTTAATTGTTGAGCTGAGTCCTGGGCAGCTCCTTCTCTTTCTGCCTAGTCCAGTCTTACATGGTCTTCGTATTTCAGCCTAAACCATCACTTCTTTAAGGAAGCTCTCCCTGATTCCCCACACTGGACTGGTTCTAGTTCTTAAACACTCTTTACAACTCTTTGTGCCCTTCCAGCTATCTATTGTTCTGTTTATCATTCTGCACTTGAACTCCTGGTCTCAGTCAATCCTCCCACCTCAGTCTCCTAAGAAGCCGGGACTACAGGTTCATACCACGATAAATAGAGCAACAAGCTCTATTTATTGTTTAGTACAGCTGCTTCAGGTTTCCCTAGGGTTATGTTCTTCAGGATATTCCATATAATTTAAAGCTTACAGAAATAAGATTAATACTGAAAAAGGATTAAGACTAAATTTTTAAACCAGCTGTAAAGTGGTACAGCTGTGCACCAATAACATAAACACAGCTTAAAATTCATTCAGTCACCAGCTTTGAAACTACGGTTCTTGCAATTTTTTAATTTGGGGAAAGAGAATTTGCATTGTTTTGCACATTTTGTGCACAGAGTGGCTTTACTAATATTTTTAAATATTTTTATATGTCTTTATTAATATTTTTATGTTTCTATGCCTTATGACATGTCCATATAGGTCCAAATCAGACTGCTCTGTAATTATTTGTTTAATTAAATTAACTGGCTCCCCCAATAAAGGATAAGTTCCAGGAACTGTAACTACCCTTTGTTCATTTCATTCCACCCAGTGCCTAGCAAAATGGTATGTGGTAGACACTCAAGAAACCTGGAAGGGATTTAGAAGGGTAGAAACTGACACCTTCTGAGAATAAAGGAGGAAAACTTTTTTCTTCTCTGTGGGCAGGAAGGACAGCATGTTTTCCATCTCAAAGACAGGAAAGAGTTATCTCTTCCTCTGGGATCCATCAGCATCCTGCCTACTCCTGCGTCACAGCACAGATCCTAACTGGCAAAATTATTAATCTCTCTTCCACTGAAATAGATACATCAGACAGATTCCTTTCTGACTGAAACTGTTCTGCTGTGAAAGACTAACAACAAAGCAGATGCTCCTTCATGCCTGGCCAGTTCTATCAGTTATCCTACTGGCCATCCAGGGTAGGAAGAAGACTAAAGCCTTCTAACACCTGACATCTCCCAATCCAGGAGAGAATAAGAGGAAATTCCCAGTTACTGAGAAGTGAATTGCAGCTCCCCTTTTTGAGGATCTAATACCATCAGCCACCCCATCTCCTTATGGGCCCAGAAACCCATGATCTCTTATTTTATCTCTTCCTTTATAAGAATTATTGAGTAATTGCTATGCTGCCTATACTGTGTCAGTTGCACATCAATTAAACAATTGCCTAATTGGACTATACATTCTCTACCCTACTCCTGGTACCAAAATCTGTGTTAGAGTTCTCCAGTGGGACAAAACCAATAAGATATATGTATATAAAAGGGAGTTTATTGGGGAGAATTAGCTCACACAATTACAAGATGAAGTCCTATGATAAGCTAGCTGCCTGCAAGCTGGGAAAAGAGAGAAGCTGGTAGCCTGGCCCAGTTCAAGTCTAAAAGCCTCAAAACCAGGAAATCTGATAGTGCAGCCCTCATTCTGAGGTCAAAGGCCCAAGGGCTCCTGGAAGGCCACTGGTGCAAGTTGCAGAGCCCAAAGGCTGAAGAACCTGAGGTCTAATGTCCAAAGGCAGGAGGAGAGGACGAGTCTTCCTCTCCCAGTCCACTGGCTCAAATCCAGTCCACTGGCTCAAATGTCAGTTTCCTCTGGCAACACCCTCACAGACACATCCAGAAACAATATTTTATCAGCCATCTAGGCATTCTTCAATCCAGTCAAGTTGACGTCTAATATTCACTGTCACACCTGCCCTAGGCTATTGTTTCCCTGAGGGCAGAGACTATGTTTTGTTCATGACTGCATCACTATCTCCCAGCCTATGCAAAACAAAATAGACAACTAGAAGTATCAAATGAATGACAGATAACAGAATGGATAGATGAACTGGGATTCTGGGGTTCACTCCATCTCTTGTAGTAATATCAAGGAAATGTCATAAAAGACAGAATCTAAACCTTCTTTAAAATCTATATTAGTTAAATGCATTATGCTTCCTTTAATCTATAAGGGCTGCAAAAATCTCTCATATTACCCTCAACCCTTGGGCAGCAATCATTAGTATCTTCAAGATACCACATATATTAGAAATAACACGGGACAAACTCTCTATATGATGAACACATCCTTTTCCTTACCTTTCATTTTCTGTGTCATCTTTGCTTTTTCCCTGCATTCTATGATTTTATGGCAGACTCTCAAGAAAGGCATTAGAGTTGGTTGGGACTGTTACTATATCCCCAGCTCCAGCACCATATCTGATATAGAGTTAGTGCTGAATACATGTTACTCAACGAACTTGCTGCAAGAAGTCTTCACTTTTAAGAGAATATTTCAATTACTTAAAACGATCATAGAAGGGAGGAATATGTACGTACTAACAATCTAATAAGGTTACTCAGAATTGTATACACAAAACTGCTGAAGCTAACAGCATTTATATGCTTAAGTTTTCCAAACAATGAGTTGAAAATATACCCTGAAGAATTGTTTATGCCAAATAAGGCTGACTATTCATGATCATGACTGGAATTGCTGCATGTTTTGTGCCAGCCACTTCATTCCTGCCAAACATCCTCCCAATTTGCAAGGATTCTTGGGTTTCGTTTTGAAAATAAAGCAGTAAAATGCTTCTTAAGCTCAACTTATGTGGGGTCTTATTCTTCATTAGTACTTACTTAAGCTATACTGATTAGAGTAACATCTTAACTCTTTTGAAATGCTTATTTTGATTGACAAAGTGACATGGAATTTCTAAAGTGACAAATTGACCAAGGAGCACAGAAACAAGTCAATAGAATTGTGATGTTAGCTTGAGTTCTGAACACTCAACACTTGGAAAGAACCTCATACCACCTTTTGTGCCAGAGACACCGAGAACCTGAAAGGCTGTCAGTCAGATATTTCTATTAGCTGAAGCAAGAAAACTTCCTCATCCTGGTGGCTCCTAGGCCAAAATTTGCAGGGGAAAAAAAAAAAAAGGAAAAAGAAAAAAGCTGGCAGACCAAAGCCTTACATTGACCAAGGTCTTAAACACAGCAACTAGAGATTATATGCTTGGAAAATAATTTATAACAAACAGCGCAAAAGCACTCCTGATAAGTGAGCCTGCTGAAGACCCTTCAGACTCAGTCCAGACCTAGGTTCTAAACCAGTGAGTCTCCTTATTTGGAAGAACTGCACAAGAGTTTAGCAACCCAGCATTGTACCAATTCTAACAAGACCATTACATCTAAAGCTTTATTAAGCATGTAGACTCTGCAGTCAGAATAAATCCTGCCTCCACCACTTATTACCTGCAAGAGGCTAGGCAAGACATTTAACTCCTCTGTGCCTTGGTTTTCTCATATATTAAATGGGGATAATAATAATACTAACTTCATAGGACTAATGTGAGGATGAAGTTAATTAATTTATGTAAAGCGCTCAGAAGAGCGCCTAGCATATATTCAGTGTTATATACTTGGCAGCTATTATTATGACCCTTTTTCATGATCTATTTCTTGCCTTGGACCCCAGTTCTCATAACTGGGTCTTAATTTTCATGCATGTGTCAATTCCATAGATAGTTAAGGACTGCCTGCTATCCAGCTGACTCTGTCCTTTATAAAATGGCCTTTTTCCCCAGCAAGACCCATATAGGAGCCCTGGCTTTGCCCTTCCAGGGATGAAGTCCCTTCCTTGCTCCTTCTAATTCTTCCAAGCACTAGAATTCTGCCTTTTATTGCTGCCAGACCTGCCTGATGCCCAGTGTCTCTATCACCATCTGCTCCTAATCCCTGATCTCGCCTAACACCAGGGGATTTCTGGCCTGCCTGCTCATCCCAATACCGATCTTTCTGTCTAGTCTTTAACCTCAGCTGCCTGGTCTGGTCTTGATTCTGACAGCACCCTTGAAATTTGTTCAAGCAATGAATAAGTTATTCAAATCCTTTATTTCCCTCCAAGGGAGAACTAGGAAGCCAGACCTTATAAAGCCAAAGGAATTCCTGTTGCCCCCTTACTGCAATAATTTAATCTCTAAGAAACTCAAAAAAGCACTAAGGAAATAACCCTCTAATCATAAACAATCCCTCTCCATCAAGAGAAAACAGACCTCTCCTGCCTGGAATTGCTTAAACAGGAGTCTTCCATTTCACCAGAGCTCCAGGGACAAACCAGCCACCAGCTACCACAATGGGCTGCAAGTTTCAGAAACTTGCAAAGGGGAATTTTTCATCCTGATTATTGCCTTTGCAGTGTTCTCAGCTGCCAGCATGTGATGGAGGGCGTGGGTATGAGCCTGCTTTTGTGTTCTTAAATAAGGCTAAGAGGCTGTTCTCCTTCGCTTCTTAGCCCTAGACACTCATCAATCAACCAGATTTCCTGAGTGCACCTACTATGTGCAGGTCTTTGGAAAGCAAGTCACCTCCTATGTACTTTTTAAATTTTTTTTTTTTTTTTTTTTTTTTTTTTTTTTTTTTTTTTTTTTTTTTTTTTGAGACGGAGTCTCGCTCTGTCGCCCAGGCTGGAGTGCAGTGGCGCGATCTCGGCTCACTGCAAGCTCCGCCTCCCGGGTTCACGCCATTCTCCTGCCTCAGCCTCCCGCGTAGCTGGGACTACAGGCGCCCGCCACCACGCCCGGCTAATTTTTTTGTGTTTTTTAGTAGAGACGGGGTTTCACTGTGTTAGCCAGGATGGTCTCGATCTCCTGACCTCGTGATCCGCCCGCCTCAGCCTCCCAAAGTGCTGGGATTACAGGCGTGAGCCACCGCGCCTGGCCAAATTTTTATTTAAATGTTTCTGCATACAGAGTGGGTTTATATGTGTATAGGGTACATGAGATGTTTTGATACAGGCATGCAATGTGAAATAAACACATCATGGGTAATGGTGTACCCATCCCCTCAAGCATTTATCCTTTGAGTTACAAACAATCCAATTACACTTTTTAAGTTATTAAATATTTTTAAATATACAATTATTGACCATAGTCACCCTATTGTGCTATTAAATACTAGGTCTTATTCATTCTTTCTAATTTTTTTGTACCCACTAACCATCCCCACTTCCCTTCTGTCCCCCTACTAGCCTTCCCAGCCTCTGGTAACCATCCTTCAACTCTATGTCTATGAGTTCAAGTGTTTTGATTTTTAGTCCTTTTGTACTTTAAAAAATATTGGAGGGAAGCTAATAATCAAGGCAAAACAAATAAAGTTCTGATGCTGCCAAAGCAGAAGGGACTTTCCCAAGGTCACAGAGTTCAAAAGGAGCAGATCCAGGATTTAATTACATCACCCTGTGTAATACAGATTGTTTGACACATCTCACTCAGTTCACTGGAACTTGGCCTGTTCCAGCTTAATCTCATGCCCTCTGCAAATCATACTCTTGGCTCCACATCCGTCCAGGTTCCTAGAGAGCAGCCTCTCATTCTGATCTCCAGGCCTTTGCACAGGCTGTTTCCTGTGATTGCCACCCTCCATCCAGCCTCTATTTCTTCACTTGACTGTTTGCTTGCCACCCTTTCATTCTCTGCATTAACCCCACTGCCTCAGAAAGCCGTTTCCAATTCCCCAGTCTGTATTGGCGGCCCTCCTCTTTTCTGCTCTGTGGCTATCCTATCACGGCACTTTCCACACTGCACTGTAATTGCCTGTCCTCACGTTTAATCCCCTAATATGCTGAGAGACCCTCAAGGGCAGGACCCTTGTCTGGTTTCTCTCTGAATCCCCAGGACCATATGTAGGATTTAGAGCACAAACGTGACAGTGAATTTTTGTTAAAGTAAGGTGGACCAAACTCTCTCTTTACCAAGCTGCCTCCCTGACAGGTCAAATCCCAGACTAAAAATAGTAGCTTTGCAACTCCTGGCTAATGGCTCCAGGCAGGCACTTCTGTCCCAGAGCACCTGACCTCTGATCTGTAAAATGTTCTGGGGTAACATGTGTCCTCCCACCTTTGCCTCTTACAGGCTCACTGATCATCACTGTCATTTCCCTGATACCACCCCCATTATGGGAGAAGGAAACTTTCAGTTTTCATCCAATGCAGCTCAAGCATAGGGTAGGCCAGAGTGAGCCTGGAGAGACAAGACAAGAAAAGTAACTCTGCTTCTGCCGTCACTCAGTTAGTTTTTCTTTATTAAAAGGGAACTTTTTATTGAAGCATAACATATACACAGAAAAGTGGGTAAATTGTAAGTCTATAGCTCAAAGCTTCACATTCATGTGAACACGTTCATTTCACCAGCACAAAACTCTTAAAATGACTAGGACTCCAGAAGCCTCCGTTTTGTCCCCATCCAGTCACTACTACATCTTGACTTCTATCATAGATTAATTTGGCCTGTTTTAAAACATTTTATAAAAGGAATTTTACAATATGTACTCTTTTGTATCTGGCTTCTTTTGTTTATAGTATATAGTTAACTTTATAGTTGGTGAGATTCATCCATGTGGTTGCATATCATTTTGGTATATGTTCTTTCTCATAGCTGTATAATATTCCATTGCATGAATCTACCGCTTTTCATTTATCTATCCTATTATGGATGAACATTTGGGTAGTTTCCAGTTTGGGGCTGTAATGAACAGTGCTGCTATATGCTATATCCATTCATGTATATGTCTTTTGATAAATATACATTTGCCTTTCTGTTGGTTAGATACTAGATGTGGAATTGCTGGGTTGTAATGTAAGTGGCTTAGCTTTAATAAATACAGCTAAACAATTTTCCACACCAAAAGAGATCTAATTAATCTACATCCTTGCCCATACTTGATATTGTTGATATGGTTTTGTTTTGTTTTGTTTTTCCACTTTAACTACTGGATGTAGTAGTGATATCACGTTGGGATTTTGATTTGTACTTTTTTGAATTTTGCCTAGTGTGTTGTCATTGACCATTTGGATAACCTGAAGTATTTGTTCAGATGTTTTGATCGTTTTTCTTTTTCTATTATATTCTCTGCCATTTTCTTATTGACTTGTAGTAATTCTTTATATAGTCTAGATAAAAGTCCTTTGTCAATTATATGTATTGCAGACATCTTCTCCCATTCTATGGCTTGCCTTTTTACTTTTCTAATCTTTTGGTAAATAGAGGATTTAATTTAAATGTGGTCCACATTATCTTTTTTTTGTTCATGATTAGCACCTTTTTTGCTCCATTTAAGAAGTTTTTGCCTACCTCAAAGTCGTGAAGATGTTCTCTTGTATTTCCTTCCAAAAGCTTCATAGTTTTTATCTTTCATATCTAGATATTGAACTGATCTGTAATTGAATTTGTGTATGGTGTGAGGTAGGAGTCAATAGTCTTTCTGAATTTTTTTTTACAGGACTATTGATTGAAGTGTCCATCTTTTTCCCACTTCATTACAGCATTACTTTTGTCATACATCAAGTGACTGTACATCTGTGGGTCTGTTTCAGGACTCTTCTGTTCTTCTGTTCCATTGCTGTATTTGTCTGCCCTGCAAATAATACACTGTCTTTATTATGGTTCCTTTACAAAAAGCTTTGATATCTGGGAGTGTTCTCTGATTTTTTTTCTTCTTCAAGATTATTTGGCTATTCTTGGTCATTTGCATTTCTGCATAAATGTTAGAATCATGATCGATTTATATTTTTAAAAAACCTGTTATTGAGACTGTTTTTGAACTCATAGAAAAACGTGGGGAGATTTGACAACTTTACATTATTAAATCTTTCAATCAATGACCATATTATTCCATTTATTTAGTTTTACTCTAAGTTCTCTCAATAATGTTTTATAGCTTTCTGTGGATAAGAAGTCTTGTTCACTTTTTCATGAGATTTATTCCTGGGTATTATATGTTTTATGCTATTGTGAATAATAACTTTTTAAAATTTCATTTTCCAGTTGTTTGTCACTGGTATATAGGAATAAAATTGACTTTTGTATTTTGAATTAATTTTCAGAGACTTTGCTAAATTCACTTATTGCTTCTATTACTTTGTATATAGATTATTTTGGAATTTACGTACACAATAAGTTATGCCAATAATTCCCTTCTAATCTTTATAGCTTCTCTTTTTCCTTCTTGCCTTATTGCACTGGCTATTACCTCTACGATGTTAAATAGAAGTGGCAATAATGGACATTCTTGACTTGTTCCCAATCTCATGGGGAAAGCTTTTAATATCCATCATTAAGTAAGATTATTGCTATGGCTTTTTTGTAAATATTTTTATCACATTAAGAAAGTTTCCTTCTATTATTAGTTTGCTGATATGTTTTCTTATGTGAATGTATATCAAATATAATCAGATACTTTTTCTGTGTTCTATGAACATATTCATGTAATTTTTTCTGTTAATGTGATGAATTGTATTGATTAAATTTTGAATGTTAGACTACCCTTGTATTCTTGGAATAAACCCTACATTGTTATTATATAGCATACTTTTTCTAATTTACTGGATATAGAGTTTGCTAATATTTTGGGGTTGCTACATCTATGGTCATGAAAGAGATTGGGCTTCCATCTTAACTTTTACCTCAATTTTGAGATGGATTTTTTTCTACCTGGGCTGACCCCTCTTTTGTCCTATATATAGACTTAGTTAAATAGACTTTGCTTCTATTATTAGCTTAACAAACTTCACCCAGATCCTCTAGTTTATTTCTTATTGACAGAACAAAAGCTTTCTCAACGACAAACTAGTCATGAGCCAAGTCATGGTCCAACCACTCCCTGGCAGTGTGTCCACTGTCACATTATAGATCCTCCCTGAGCCTGTTTCCTTATCAATGAAATAGCATTGAAAAAGAAGTTAGACAATGCATAATAAAGCACCTGGTACAGGCAGGTGCTCAGTAATTCCCATTTCTCACTACCTCTTCTCTTCTGCTTAAAAACTTTTCAAATACAGAAGAGCATTGGCTTACTTATTTACAGGGCTTAGCCATCAGAGTTAAGATTGAAATCTGAAAAAATGAACTAATGGGGGTGGGAGATGTCCATTCTTTTTGTTATACTCTAAAAAACAAAGCGAAGTTGTTTACTGCTCCTGCTAAGCTTCTTTAAATACAAGCTCCTAGATTTTTAAAATTAGATAAACATTGCTAGAATTTATCATCTGTAGTGCTACAGTTCCTTCCCTGGGGCTTCAAACTCAAGTGTTAGTGGAGTATTACACATTTGGAAGTTGTCCAGGAATATAGCCTCTCTCCCACATTTAACAATGTTTATGTGTAAAAGTCAGCTTGGAAGGACACCTTTAAATAATGCTCTTTCTGGATATATAATTGCAGTGTTACTTGTCAGTGCATAATAAACCATCAACCAGCCTTTATTGTACCAGTGGGAATGAGAGTTTGAGGGTGCCCTGAAATTATGTTCTTTGTGTCTGAGATGAGAATTAGGTTAGTAGCTAGGCTTTATTTATAGATATCCAAATAAATCAGGAGTCAGAAGTTCAGAAAGACTGGGCTGGGAAGGCTGAGTCCAAAGAAGGCTGAAGTCTATGAACACCAAGAGTCAATACCCCTAATGCTATCAAGGACACTGGATAGGTCCCATCCTACTTCTCCCCATTATCTCCACCCCAAGAACTAATCCCGGTGACAGGCATGAGTGACATCAGAATGACCTTCTGACTAAATCTGAACTTGGCTCAAGCTGTGGATCCCCAGTGGAGTAGAAAGGGCAAGGCCTTAAGGTTGGCAGATCAATGGCAAATCTCAGCCCTGCCACCTACTTGCAACTCAGTTCTCTCACCATAACATGGGGATGGTAACTGACCTACCTAGCAAGACAACTGTGAGAATGGAAGGGTATTAGCTGATACCTGTGAAGGACATGATGCAGGGAACATGCTCAATAATAAATGGCAGTGATTGTGATGATAGTGATACTGATGAGGATGAGACAATGACAATGAAGACAACATCTCTAGCTTTGAATAAAGGGGTGGTAGAGGATTACCTATATTATGCTTATGGAAACAGGAGGAGCATCCCTAACTGCCTTTTTTCTAATCCCCACAATTATTTTATGGATCTCTGGGCCCAGACACATGATCTTAGTTGGACAAGCCATGTCTCAATTTGTGTTCTCCTAAAAGCAGGATCTGAGGCAAGGACTGCAGGTACTTCGTGTAGAAGGTGATAGAGGAAGCAGAAGTGAAGGAATAGGGAGAGAGTGACAAGGGAGGAGGAAGGGTCAAGGTAAGAGTGCATTATTCAGGTCACTGGCATCAGCGTACCTCTGAGAGGTGTATAGAATGAGTCCAGAATTGTCCACTTTCCAGAATTTTCTACTAGCACCCACCCCCTATTGACCAAGGGTTGTCTGCAGTAGTGTGAACTTCCCCACACTCCCAGGCACTTGCTTGCTGGCTAAATTGACTCTCAAAGCTTCAGAGAAGGCCATGAGTCAGTCAACAGGAAGAGGCCCTTGAGGTAGACACTCACTGATAGCATTAGCAAGTGCTCACTGCTGCCTGCCATAGTTGTGGCTGAAATTGGAGGTGGATGGAGAGTCTGTGATACAGGGCACCAAATGTAGCTGCTGCAGGCCAAGTCTTAGTTCAAGTGCAGACTCCTCCTGCAAGCTGTCTACTTGCCACATGTGATACACAATTGTGAGAGTCCCCCGTCGTCAGTAGAGTCTTTCCTCTCCCATCCCCTTGTGACAGAAAGGACTACCTGCACAGTTGGTTCTTATATTTAGCAGTACACAAACGTACACCAAATTCTAGAGCTGTACTGTCCAGTACAGTAGCCACTCGATACACTTAAATTGATTAGTTTATTTAAATTAAATAAAATTTAAAATTTATCTCCTCAGTCACACTGGCCACATTTAAGTGCTCAGTGGCCACATATGAGAAGTGGCTACCATATTGGACAGTGAAGTATAGTATACTTCCAACTTCTTGGAAAGTTAAACTGGACAGTGCCACTCTTGAGAGAGTCAGTCTGGATCCTAATCCTGGCTCTACCATATACTAGCTGGGTGGCCCTGGGTGAGTCATTTAATCTGTCTGTGCTTTAATTTGCTAATCTGTAACATGAGTTTATTTCCATGATTAAATAACAATATGTAAGCATATAGTAAAGTCTCACTACATGTTAATGATTATTATTTCCCAATTCCCAGGGTAATATTTATGCAAGGCAGGAAGTACTTAAAGAGCCTCCAACCCTGATTCAGGCCCTGGGTCCCTTGAGGCTACTCTCTGGGCTTCTAAATTATCTCTGTGCTCAATATGGCCATGCCCATATACCTCCCAGTCTCCAAACAGGGATGTTGCTTTAGCCCTCACTGCCTTTTCAGCTTGTCAGTTCCCCACCCTAAGTCCAGAGGCTGGAGCTGGAACAGTCACCCCCAGCTTATGTCAGGAGCCCTACTGCCTGCTTCTGGAAACTTCTGTCTGTGTGCCTGACTCATTCTGTCACCATTTTCCCACCACTTGCCCACCCTCCCAATGGGCCTCTGCACTCCCAATGCTGACTATGACCTGAACTGACCACCTCACTTTAAAATGCTTGCTGTCCTCTAAGACCTTGTCCTACCCTAATGGACAGGTCCTGTGCATGTCCTGGTTTGCTACCAATTTCTATCTTTCCTAGAGAAATAAAATATTAATATTTAAAATAACCATTATTGAATGTTTTCTTGTGTGCCAGGAACTGTGCTAAGGGCTGTAATATGGATTTCCTTCCGTAACCCCATCACAACCATAGAAGATAGGTACTATTATTATTTCCATTTCACAGGTAAGAAAACTGGATCTTAGAGAATTTACATAGTTTGTTCAAGATTGCACAGCAAGTATATGGTGAAAACAAGAATGTGATGAAATCCTTAAGCCAGTAGGAGGTCCTTTTCTTCTTTCAAGACAATTGAAAAGAAGGAGGGACTGATGCATACAACAACATGGATAAATCTCAAATGCATGATGCTAAGAAGTCAGACTCAAAAGGCTACATACTGTGGGAGACCACTTATATCTTGGAAAACTTAAAACTATAGGGACAGAAAACAAACCAGAGGTTGCCAAGGGCTGGGAGTGGTGGTGGGGTTGTTACATGGGAATGTGGGTAGGTAATACAACTATTCATTATCTTGATTATAGTAGTTACTATGTAGTTGCCTGCATTTGTCAAAACTTGCTAGACTTTACATTAAAAGGGGTGAATATTACTGAATTCAAAGCATACTTTTATTTTTAAATGGAAAATAAAGAAGATAGAGAGTAATTTTCCTCTGAATGCCCCCCAGCAATTGTTCAAATGTGGGAATAGAGGGGAACAAACATCAGTTTAAAGATTTGGTGGAGAAAATAAGCTCGGGTTCAGATTGCAAGGAAGATAATTCAAGGAGAGGAAATGGAAGCAGTGGGTTCAGACTGACCTTCCTGAAAAGCCTGGAGGTGCAGGAAAGGCAAAAGATGGGCTTTTGTGAGAACAAAGCATTGATGGAAGATTTTTTTTTCACCCAGAATGAGAAAACTTGAACCTCTTTACTTAAAGGGAGAAGCTCTTCAGTGAAGAAGAGATTAAAGGTGCACCTTACCCACATATTTCCCATTTCCAGCACTCTTTATTCCTTCATGTAGATCTGTATTTCCATCTGTTTTCATTTTCCTTCAGCCTAAAGAACTTCCTTTAATATTTCATATACTGCAGATGTGCTAATAATAAATTCACACAGCTTTCATTTATTTAAAAAAACGTTTTATTTTTACCCTCATTTTTGAAGGATATCTTTGCAAGACACAGAATTCTAGGCTGACAGTTTTTTTTTTTAAGCTTTAAAGTTGTCATTTCATTGTCTTCTAGTTTGCCTTGTTTTTGAAGCAAGTCATCATTCTTATCTTTGTTTCCCTCATTGTGTCTTTTATCGCTTTTTGTTGCTTTGAAGATTTTCTCTTTTTCTCTAGTTATTAGATTATGATGTGCTTAGGCATCATTCTCTTTGTTTTTATTCTGTTTGGGGTTTGTTGATCTGGGATCTATAGGTTGGTATTTTTCTTCAAATTTGGGAGAATTTCAGGCATTGTCTCTTAAAATATTTTTTTTTATTTATTTATTTATTTTGAGATGGAGTCTTGCTCTGTCGCCCAGGCTGGAGTGCAGTGCACGATCTCGGCCCACTGCAAGCTCTACCTCCCAGGTTCATACCATTCTCCTGCCTCAGCCGCCTGAGTAACTGGGACTACAGGCGCCCGCCACCAGGCCTGGCTACTTTTTTGTATTTTTAGTAGAGACAGGGTTTCACCGTGTTAGCCAGGATGGTCTTGATCTCCTGACCTCGTGATCTGCCCGCCTCAGCCTCCCAAAGTGCTGGGATTACAGGCGTGAGCCACTGTGCCCGGCCTGTCTCTTCAAATATTTTTCTAACTCAATCTATCTATTCTCTCCTTCTGGAACTCCAATTACCACTATGTTAAACCACTTGTTTTTATTCCACAGTCATTTATACCCTAGTTCATTTTTTTCAGCCCATTTTTCTCTGTGCTTCATTTTGAATTGTTTTCATCACCCTATCTTTTAGTTCACTGATCTTTTCCTTTGCTGTGTTCAAATACAGATATTATATTTTTCACTTCTGAAATTTCCATCAGAGCTTTTTAAAATAGTTTTTATTTATCTACCAAAATTCCCTATCTGTTCACTCATTATGTCCATCTTTAAATCCTTGAACATATTGATAATAGCTGTTTTAAAGTTCTTGTACGTTAGTTCCACATGTCAGTCATCTCAGGAACTCCTGTTATTGACTGTGGGGCTTTTTCCTGATTTGGGGTTACATTTCCTGCCTTTATACTGCTCTTGTAATTTTTTTTTTTTTTTTTTGAGACAGGATCTCCTTCTGTCACCCAGGCTGGAATAGAGTGGCAATCATAGCTCACTTCAACCTTGAACTCCTGGACCAAGTGATCCTCCCACCTCAGCCTCTGGAGTATCTGTGACTACAGGCAGGCACCACCATGCCCAGCTAGTTTTTAAAAAAATTTTGTAGAGATGAGGCCTCACTATGTTGCCCAGGTTGATCTCAAACTCCTGTGCTCAAGTGATCCTCTCACCTAGGCCTCCCAAAGTGCTGGGATTACAGGCATGAGCACCATGCCCAGCCATGTCTAGAAATTTTTTATTGCATGATGGACATTGTAAATACTACATTGTTGAGTGTCTGGATTTTTTATCTTCCTTTAAAGAGTATGACAAATGGTTAATTTACTGATGGATCTGCTTCATTCCTTTCCCAGGCCTGTTTTCTAAGCTGTGTTGGGGTAAGTCTAGAGTAGCCTTTACTCTAGGGCTAATGTAGTTTTGCTACTAAATTGTAGCCTTTCTAGGGTTTCAGTTGAACATATAGTGTTCAGCAAGTTCTCTCTAACATGGATGGGTAGATATTTTATATCTCTAGCATTGTGTGACCTCTAGAATCTCTATTCAGCTCTTAGCTCCCCAGGGGCTGTTCTCTGCCAGGCCTTGTAAAGTGTCACCCTGCACAAGTGAAGCTTAGTGTTTGGTCAAAGATTTAAGGGGACTTCTATGCATATTCTGAAGTTCCATCTCCATGCAGCTTCCTCCTCTCTGGCATTCTAGCCCATAAATCCTATCTACTTTAATTGCCCCAAATTCTTACCTCTACCTCCTCAGCTCAGACAGTTTACCATGGTCAGTTCTACTCCACCTTCCTGCACCACAAACAAGAAAGTGTCTGTGGCAGAAAGCCTGGGCAAACACGGGCTCATCTCTTGTGTTTCCCTTCTGTCAGTGATCATAGTCCTTTGCGGTCTGTTTTCCAACATCCGAAAACTGGTGCTTAATATATTTTGCCCACTTATAGTTATTTATGTCCAGAGGGCTAATGCAGTGCCACTTACTTAATCAGAGTCAGAAGCAGAAGTCAAGTGAGCATATGCAGATCTGGGAGTTGTCTATAGACAGGACTATCTTATTCTCTTCTCTGCTTCACATTGCCTTAAAGATAAAATGTTTCTATTAAGACAGTCATATCCTATCATGATCTGCCTGGCTGACTGATCTCATCACTGATCATCCAGTCTTTATACACACACACTCACACACACACACACACGCACACACTACCATGACCTACTCGTAGTCTTACACATATCTCTAGCTTTTTCTTATGCCTCTGCTTTTGCATCTATTATTTTGTCTACAAAAATAACCTTCCCCCAACTCCCTACCTGCCTTCCTAACTGCTACTTATCCTTCAGAATTTAGCTCACCTGCCATCTCCTCCAGGACACCTCCTCTGGAACCATCTGGGTTAAGTGCCCCCTTATTTGTGCTGTGACATTCTGTGTTTGCCTTTATCAAAGTTGTATCACCCACGCTTTATTGTAATTGCCTGTTATGACCTATCTTCCATGCCCTTCACACCCCACCCTCCAGACAGAACATCTCTAAGACCGGGATCAAGTCTGAGTCATCTCAGTGTCTCTATGACCTGGCACAGGTTTTGAAACTTTTTGTATGAAGGGCCAAACAGTAAATATTTTAGAGATTGTAGGCCAGACATCTTCAGCTGTAACTACTCAACTCTGCCGTTGTAGCATGAAAGTGGCCATAAACAATAGATAATACATAAAATATAAGACTTTATTGAAATAGAAACAGGCAACTGTAGCTTACTGATCCTTGGACTAGCACATAGTATAATCCCAGTAAATATTCATTGAATGAATTAATAAAATATTATTATTGGAGGCCTCAGAAGAAATAGAAAATAATGTAATCAATTTTATAAGTGCAAGAGTTTTCCTGGGAACGGAAAAGTGGCACTTTCCTTGAGGCCCTAGGGAAGGAAAAAAAGACAGTGGAGTGAAGAAGGCAGGATAATAGAAAACTGGGGGATTTCTGGCCTAAATGACAGACTTCCCCATGCATGGCTTTTGCCAGGAGGCCATTCTGGGATGGGAACCTGAAAACCAGAATGGTCTGGTCAGAGTGAGTTCCCAAGGCAGCCAAGAACAGAGAATGCCAAAGGACAAGTACAAGCTGTGTCCTGGGCAGCACCCAGGCGCAAACCCGCAGAAGGCATGTTTTGCAGCCAAATTCAAAGTGTCAGAAACCAGGCAGGTTCTAGAACTGCATCTAGCATGAAAATAACAAGGGCAAGAGGGATGTGAGATCCAAAACAACTTTTATGAATACAACTGGCAGGTCCACAATACTTTTCTGTTGGTCACTGGCCACATTGTGCATGGATGAGTCTGTAGATGGGTTAACCTTGGCTTTTTCAGAAGAGTTAAGTGACCAGTTCATCTACTAAGAAATAAAAGGAGGAGGGGAGCCTAGAACTTAGAGGCTGGAGGAGATCTGTCATATATAACTACTATAGCAGATTCCATAAGGGCCCAATCAGGGCTCAAAACAAAGATTTGCTGAAAAGTACTATGGGTGAGGCTGAGGTTAGACAACAGAAGGTTGCAGCAATCTAATCACTAAGGTTGTAGGACATTCTGTAGAGAAGCATTATGAATGAGTATCAAGGAAATGAATAGGTGGCTTGCTGCAGAATTGGGATTGGCAGGGGAATGCAGCCACTGGCCAGGAGATCCAGATAGTCACTGAATACCTGTTGTATTAGTCAGGGTTCTCCTAAGAAATAAAATCAATAGGGTATGTGGCGGGGCAGGGCGGTGGTGAAGAGATTTATAAGGATGTGGCTAACCTGAGTACAGAGGCTGAGAAGTCCCAAGACAATGCAGTTAGCAAGCTGGAGTCCTAGGGGAACCAATGGTATAGTTCCAGTCTCAGTGTGAAGGCCTGGGAACCAGGATTGTTGATGGTTCAGTTCCAGTCCTAAGGCCAGTAGGCTGAAGACCCAGGAAAAGCCAGTGTTTTAGTTTAAGTCCAAAGGCAGGGGGAAAAAAGCAAGGTTCCAGCTTAAAGGCAGTTAGGCAGAAGGCATTTCCTCTTCCTCCAGGGAGAGTCTGCCTTTTATGTTCTATTCAGGTCTTCAGCTGACTAGATAGGGCCCACCCACAATAGGGAGAGCAGTCTGTTTTACTCTACCAATTCAAATATTCATCCAGAACACCCTCATAGACATAACTACTTTGATCAAATGTCTGCCCTCCCCATAGCCCAGTCAGGTTGACATATAAAATTAACCATCACTCTGCCATGTGCAGAACACCTCAGAGAATCTATCTACCATGCACCCTGTCTCCTTCAACACTAGATAAAATATCAGACAGAATTATTTGATTAGCACTGGTGTTTTAAGCATCATTGTGAATGCTGGCAATTTAGTACCAATGATGACAGCAGAAAGGATGTTAGGAAAGAGGTTACTACACATATACTCAAAATTATCTCCCTGGAGTAGCTTTTTAGACAAATGCACCTGGTTGGCCATCAGTATCTCAAACTTACATGTCTAATTATTTCTTCCTCCCAGCTTCCCCCCACCTCTGGGCCTCATCTAAGCTATTGGGAATAAATAAATAAACCCAGAGAGGCTACTTGAACTCTGCTGGAACCAGTGAGGGACATGCAAAATCAAAAAGCCATGTCCTTACCTGAAAGCCAAAAAGGATAGTGATAGTCTGCCGCTTCCCCCTAGGTCTGAGTTCCCAGTGTTTCACCAAAGACTCCAGAGGCTCTGAGTTTTCCTTTAAGGCCACAAGCTTTAACCTCGTCTCCTTTTTCCCAGCCCTCCTGATACCTGAGTCTTTTCTCTCTCCTCCTCTATTTACTAGAGGATGTGGGGCCCAGGTGTAAACTTTCTCGTGTCCCAGCTAACTGAGATCTGCTTAACCACCTCATTCTGCAGGCCCCAGATCAGAGTCCCATTTAGATGATTCCTTGACTCCTTTTTTCAGATTCAGATCCTTGCATGTGACATTCCTGTCATCTCCACACCCCTCCCCAATCACCCAATCAGATTCTCTTTGGTTACCATGCCTTACAGAAATGTGTCTGCATTTTCCCTGCTCTATTTAGATTTAATTTTACTAGCTAATATTTATTGACCCTATTTTATGCGCCAGCCACTAGTCACTATTTCATGGACTTCAGCCTTGGAACAACACTAGGAGGCTGATCATATTACTATCCCTATTTTACAGATGAAGAAACTGAGATTGAGAGTGACTAACTGATGTGTTTAATGTAGAAAGTTTCAGAACCAAGACTAGAATATACATAGATCTGACCTCCGAAAAAAAAAAAAAAACCCAGTTTTAACTACTTTACCAAAATGCCTCCCAAGGACTGTTCAGTCTTCTGTCTTATTGTCTCACACTCCTGGCCCCTTGTCCCCATTCCCCCTACCACTGCCCTAAGTCAGACACTGCATGATTCATGAAGGGAATGTCAAAGGGCCTTCTATTTGGTCTCCTCACCTTCAGACCCTCTCCCTTCCTATCCCTGGGTATGTCCTACCAAAGGTATGGTACCATGCAGCAGAGAAGAGCTGGTCTTTGGCTCTTTGACTCAACTTTGAATCCCAGTGTCATAACTCGCCTGCCTCTGCATTTTTGGGTTAACTGAATGAGAATAGCATCTGTATTAACAGTTTTCTTTTTGAGCGTTTAATGAGATAACATAGGTCGAGACCTTGGCATTGTGCCTGACACATAGTAAAGTCTCGTGTATTAGTCCATTTTCACATGATATAAAGAACTACCTGAGACTCTAATGTAAAAAGAGGTGTAATTGACTCACAGTTCCGCATGGCTGGGGAGGCCTCAGGAAACTTACAGTCATGGCAGAAGGTGAAAGACAAGCAAGCACCTTCTTCACAAGGTGGCAGGAGAGAGCAAGAGTAAAGGGGAAACTGCCACACACTTTTAAGCTATCATATATAATAAGAACTCACTATCATGAGAACAGCATAAGGGATATCACCCCCATGATCCAATCACCTCTCACCAGGTCCCTCCCTCGACATGTGGGAATTACAACTTGAGATGAGATTTGGGTGGAGACACAGAGCCAAACCATATCATTCTGTCTCTGGACCCTCCCAAATCTCATGTCTTTCTCACATTTCAAAACACAATCATGCCTTCCCAACAGTCCCCCAAAGTCTCAACTCATTCCAGCACTAACTCAAAAGTCCAAGTCCAAAGTCTCATCTGAGACAAGGGAAGTCCCTTCTGCCTATAAGCCTGTAAAATCAAGAGCAAATTAGTTACTTCCAAGGTAAAATGAGGATACAGGAATTGGGTAGATGCTCCCATTCCAAATGGGAGAAATTGGCCAAAACAAAGGGGCTATAGGCCCCATGCAAATCCAAAACCCAAGGCAGTCATTAAATCTTAAAGCTCCAAAATAATCTCCTTTGACTCTGTGTCTCATATCCAGGCCACGTCGATGTAAGAGGTGGGCTCCCGAGGCCTTGGGCAGCTCCACCCCTGAGGCTCTGCAGGGTACAGCCCCCGCGGATGCTTTCACAAACTGGTGTTGACTGCCCATAGCTTTTCCAGGTACACAGTGCAAGCTGTCAGTGAATCTACCATTCAGGGGTCTGAAGGATGATGACCCTCTTCTCATACCTCCACTAGACAGTGTCCCAGTGGGGACTCTGTGTGGTGAGTCTTCAGCCCCACATTTCCCCTCTGCATGGCCCTACTAGAGGTTCTCCATGAGGGCTCTGCCCCTGCAGCAGGCTTCTGCCTGGACATCCAGGCATTTCCATACATCCTCTGAAATCTAGGCAGAGGTCCCCAAACCTCAATTCTTGCCATCTGTGTACCCACAGACCCCCAACACCACGTAGAAGCAGCCAAGGCTTGGGGCTTGCACCCTCTAAAGCAATGGCTCGAGCTGTACCTTGGCACCTTTTAGCCATGGCTGGAGCTTGAGCAGCTGGGACAGAAGGCACCATGTCCCAAGGCTGCACAGACCAGCAGGGCCTTGGGCCTGGCCCAGAAAACCATTTTCCCTCCTTGGTCTCCCAGCCTGTGATAGCAGGGGCTGCTGTGAAGATCTCTGAAATGCCCTTGGAGACATTTTCCCCATTGTCTTGACTATTAACATTTGGCTTTTTACTTATGCAAATTTCTCTTGAATTTCTCCCCAGAAAATGTTTTTTTTTTCTTACCACATAGGCTGCAAATTTTCCAAACTTTTATGCCCTGCTTCCCTTTTAAACATAAGTTCCAATTTCAGACCATCTCTTTGTGAATGCATATGACTATATGCTTTTAGAATCAACCAGGTCAAATCTTAAATGCTTTGCTACTTAGAAATTTCTGCTGCTAGATACCATAAATCCTCTCTTTCAAGTTGAAAGTTCCACAGATCTCTAGAGCAGAAGAAAAATGCTGCCGCTCCCTTTGCTAAAGTGTAGCAAATGTAACGTTTACTCCCGTTCCCAAGAAGTTTCTTACTTTTATCTGAGACCACTTCAACCTGGACTTCATTGTCCATATCACTATCAGGATTTTGGTCAAATTCACTCAACAAATCTCCAGGAAGTTCCAATCTATCCCACATCTTCCTGTCTTCTTGTGAGCCCTCCAAACTGCTCCAACCTCTGCCTGTTACCTGCTTCCAAAGTTGCTTCCACATTTTCAGGTATCTTTATAGCAGTGCCCCACTTTGGGTACCAATTTTCTATATTAGTCCATTTTCACACTGCTATAAAGAACTACCTGCGACTCGGTAATTTATAAATAAAAGAAGTTTAATTGACTAACAGTTCGACATGGCTGGGGAGGCCTCAGGAAACTTACAATCATGGCAGAAGGTGAAGGAGAAGCAGGCGCCTTCTTCACAAGGCAGCAGGAGACAGCAAGAATGAAGGGGGTACTGCCACACACTTTCAAACCATCAGATCTCATGAGAACTCACTCACTATCATGAGAACAGCATAAGGGAAACTGCTTTCATGACCTCCCACCAAATCTCTCCTGTGACATGTGGGAATTACAACTCGGGATGAAATTCAGGTCAATAGTCAATAGTCAAATAGTCAATCATCAAATAGTCAATCCTCACTATAACCTTATCCTCATGTTACATATGAAGAAACTGAGGCCCAGAGAGCTTAAGGAATCAGCCCAAGCTCACAGAGCAAGGAAGGAGCAAAACTGAGGTTCAAGCCCAGGTCTGCCTGACTCCAGAACACATGTTCATCTCCCTACATCCCACTGTGAGGTCATGATACAGAAGAGATGATTGGATGGACTCTGGAAACAAAGAAATTAGATGAAAAAGAATTTCAGGGCTAGGTTGTGGTGGGTGCTGAGTGCCCTTGGTGGTAAATGGCATTGGAAAAGGGGGAAACATGATCAAAAGTTCCTCCTGCGAAGAATGACATAACAATAGTTAACATGTATTAGGCTGATATGGTTTGTCTCTGTGTTGTGTTTGTTCTCAAACCCCCTTATACCAGTTATTCTGACATTGTGCTTACATAATTTAGTTAAATCTTTTGAAATTGATGAGATATGAGTGAGAAAAGGAAGGCATTTTTTATGGCTGCTCTGAAAGGACTCAACAGAGGCAAGTTGTCAAAACTATTGTCAAATAGTTTAAATTAAATCAGATAAGTGTACCTTCAATCAGAAATATAAATCATGCCAATAATTTATCACCCCTGATTTCCAGTTTAGGCTTCTTGAAAATGAATCTGTACTTAAAGATACTTGCAGAACCTTCTGAGTATAGAACTCCTGAGTTTTACAACTTTTCCCAATCTTTTACAGATATCTTGCTCTCACCTAATTATATATTATTTTCAGCAACTTGCCTCTGTTGAGTCCTTTCAGAGCAGTCATAAAAAATGCCTTCCTTTTCTCACTCATATCTCATCAATTTCAAAAGATTTAACTAAATTATGTAAGCACAGTGTCAGAATAACTGGTATAAGGAGGTTTGAGAACAAACACAACACAGAGCCAAACCATATCAGCTTAATACATGTTAACTATTGTTATGTCATTCTTCGCAGGAGGAACTTTTGATCATGTTTCCCCCTTTTCCAATGCCATTTACCACCATCGGCACTCAGCACCCACCACAACCTAGCCCTGAAGTTCTTTTTCATCTAATTTCTTTGTTTCTAGAGTCCATCCAATCGTCTCTTCTGTATCATGACCTCACAGTGGGATGTAGGGAGATGAACGTGTGTTCTGGAGTCAGGCAGACCTGGGCTTGAACCTCAGTTTTGCTCCTTCCTTGCTCTGTGAGCTTGGGCTGATTCCTTAAGCTCTCTGGGCCTCAGTTTCTTCGTATGTAACATGAGGATAAGGTTATGGTGAGGATTACACATAGGAGATCATCATCCTAACACCTATTAGATGTTTGAGCCTAGCATCTGTATTGTTCATTGAATCCCTGCTCCGACTAGCCTGCCAGTCCTGCGCCCGGCAAACTATCCCCTTTTCTATCTATTTCTTTACATCTCTAGGCACCCTCCTTCCAACTGGAAAGTTCCCTTGCTCCACCACCTTCTTTTGGATTGGTGCTTCATATCTGTAATAATACTGAGAGCTTTGTTTTGTACAACTCTTTACAGCTTTCACAATTCTTTCGAAAACTATCTCAATTAATTTGTACAACTCTGGGAGATTCTCCAGCTTGGTAATTATTATTTCTATTTCTTAAAGGGAAACTGAGGCTCTGAGAGATTGAATGACTGGTTTGTGGTTATAAATGGGGCCTGGAGCCAGAGTCTTCTGGCTCCTGGTCACCATGCCTTTCTTCCCTGCACCATTTTGCACCTGAATGACTGCTGCTCACCTGACATCAATACCCTTTGTAATGTTGCAAATTGTTTTTCCATAGGTGCCTGTCTTGTCCCCCGAGGGCAGCGACATAGTCTTATTCCTTCCCCCTGGCCAAGTGCCTTACAAATATCTGTTATTTGGTTGATGTCATTAAATGTGTTAAAAATTTGAATTAGGTCGGGCGCAGTGGCTCACGCCTGTAATCCCAACACTGTGGGAGGCCAAGGCGGGCAAATCACAAGGTCAGGAGTTTGAGACCAGCCTGGCCAACATGGTGAAACCCCGTCTCTACTAACAATACAAAAAATTAGCTGGGCGTGGTGGCGGACGCCTGTAATCCCAGCTACTAGGGAGGCTGAGGCAAGAGAATCGCTTGAACCTGGGAGGCAGAGGTTGCAGTGAGCTGAGATTCTGCCACTACACTCTAGCCCAGGCAACAGTACAAGACTCCGTCTCAAAAAAAAAAAAATTGAATTAATATGTTATGTTGTAAGGCCATTGTAGGAAACTAACAGCTGTATTGGCTAGGAGGTTGAACTTGTGTAATTAAATTTTATTTAAGAGAGAGAACCATAAAGATAGGTCCCACGCTTGAGGTGCCTGTTTCTCTGCACTCGTGCCTTTGGACTTTGATTCCTTGGATCTGGGGAATTTGGAGTTAGCTGCTCCATCCTCTGTGCTCTGCATTCTTGTGCTATAAAAAACCCTGACCACAGTGGATTGTAATTAATCCGCTTATCCATCTGTTTCCCCTGCCCCCAGACTGTGAGTCCCTTCAGGGCAACACCATATCCAGTCCTCCTCAGTGTCCAGGGCCCGCCACTGTGCTTGGCACATAATGGAAGTTACAAGAATAAGCCAGAAAACTCCATCTGGGTCCCTCCCCTAATCCCCTAGGATTGTACATGTTCCCATTATCTTATCATACATATTTCTTATCTCTTATACTGAATTAAAGGCAAGTTTCATGTTTTACTCAGTTTTGTAGCCTCCCTACCAACCATGAAAGGAAGAAACTATAATTATTGACTGTCTATTGTGTGCCAGTAGTGATTTCAATATATTATCTCACTTTTAAATAATTTAATTTAATTCTCATAATAGGTTGATAAGGTAGGCATTATCATCCCTGAATTACAAACGAGGGAACTGAGACTCAGGGAAATAAAGTAATTGAATTTAACCAAGTTTACAAAGCCAGTAAGTGGTAATGCTAGGATTTCAGTCCCTGTCTGCTGGCTCTAAGACCAATGCCTTTCTTTTTTGTTGTTGCTTTTTGTTTTTTAACAGCACATAGGATACTGCCTTAGCCTAGCAGGTGTCAGGAACTCTGCTGAAATAAGACTTGAATTTAATCACGGTGAATCAAATCTGTGCAAGCCTGTTCCCAACTATGTCAAGTGCATATACTGCTGCCCTCCCATTTGATTGTTTGGATGAAATGCTTCTGGAAACATATACTGAGCACTAACAACACACTAGGCACAGCACTAGGTGTTGGGCTGAAGTCAGGCTCCCTCAAGAAACGTTCAGCCTAGTGAGATAACAGACTGTAAGAGTGATAATAAATGTGATTTGTGCTATGGCAAGACAGAAGACAAAAGTTTAGGTTGGCTTGTGGTGGTCTTGAGTAACTTCTGAGTATTTTATAAAGGAGGAATGGGAGTTGGCTAAGCCAAACAAGAGGAGAGTACAGAGCAAAGAGCATATGGTAATTCTGCACTAAGGTACAGAATTGCAGGCAGGACACGCCTAGAACAAGGAGTATTTTGGTGGAGAAGGGCAGGGAGAGCAAGAGTTTCTGAAGCTGCTTCACTCTGTGTCCACATCACGAACCTAAGGCCATTACTGGTTACCAGCCATTGCCCCTACACAAGTGTACTTTGGCTTTGATGACGGCTAGGACTCTTCACCCAGGAAATGAGTTAGAGAAACGGCTGGCAGCATCTCTATCTGTCTACTCTAGGGATATGAGAGATGAAGGATAAACATGGGGTCTGCATTTTCCCGATGTGTAGGAAATAATGAACAAGCAATTGGGCAAACCCGCATGGTGATGTCCTCTGCCTGGGGTGGGCCGTGGCTGCCCTCAGCAGGCCAGGAAGGTGCGGCCTGGCTTTACACCTATGTTCTTGATGTGGCCCTGGAGCAGAGGGCCATGGGGAAGCGATGTGAGCTGTAAACAGAACCAGGCCATGTTCAGAACCACTTTCTTTCTTTCTTTTTTTTTTTTTTCTTTTTTCAAGAGTGTTTATTAAAATAGGCAGTAATGGGGTGAAGAGTTCTGCCCACTCTGGGCCACAGGATGGGAAACTGAAAATGTTAGTTGGGTTCACCCAGTTCAAGTTTTCCTCTTTGATATGCCTGAAAATGTTATTTAACTTGAGACTTTGTTTAACCAACCAAAGAATGGCTGAGAATTGAGCCAACTGTGTGATGAACTAATTATATGTAACTTAGTCAATAATAAATGTATATGCATCTGTATTCATCACATGTAAAAAACAAATCCAGTAAGGTGCTGATACTATCAGTTCCTTCTTCCTCCAGGACTTAAATAAAATCCTCAAGTCAAGTTCTGTCTTGCTCCAGCCCAGATCTTACTCTGTTTTCCCATGCTGTTGTGTTGTGCATTAATTCCCTCCCACATCCCACTGCAGCCACCATCCCATGTGATCTTCACCAAACCACTGTGGACTGGTCACTTCCACATATCCAAACTGTCCATCACATCCTTTAAATATAGCTAACCTGCCTGCCCCTTGTACTGAAATGTACATAGAAGTCAGCTGAAATCAACCATGTTTACTTCTAAGGCTGGTCCCCACACATTTCTTTTATCTTTTGCTCCTTGCTTACCTCTCCAGCTCTCCACTCCAACTGTGCTCTCTCCAATGCATTCTTCACACTGCTGTCTGGATGATTTATCTAAAATTCAAATGCAATTATATCACTCCTCTGCCAGAACCCTTCAGTGGTTCTCAGATCCTTTCAAATGACATCCAAACTCCTGAAGCATTTAGAGCAAGGCCATTCATGAGCCAGCTTCTTCCTACCTCCCTGGCATCATCTCCTAACTTTCCCCTTGACAGTTTGTGACACAGCAATGCTGAATTAGTTATGACTCTCCAAACACACAATGTTATTTAATGTTTCTGAGTCTGGTCTATGGCTATACCACCCTGAATGCACCCAATCTTGTCTGATCTCAGAAGCTAAGCAGGGTCAAGCCTGGTTAGCACTTGGATGGGAGTCTGCCAGAACAGTCCTTTCTACTCTATTTTGCCTTACAAATATGATCAGCCTTTAACGTTCTCTCAACTATCCCCTTCTCTGAGACCTTCCTAGACAGAACGCATCTCTGGGCTGCCTCTGCGTCTTGTTCAACATCTGCTGTTGACCTGTCTGTACATTCCCAAGACCTATTTGCTTATAGGAACTCAGTCTTATCACTGAATGGCACAGGGCCTAAGACAGAATAGGTGCTTAGTCAGTGCTCTTTGAATCGATGTCCAATTACGCATCCTCCCCATCATTTAAGGGACTCGTGTTTCAGCCACAGCCATGCTGATAACTGCCTCCTGATTGGCTTTCCCAGGTCGGGCCAACCACTGGTCTGCGATCATCGGAGGATCCCACTCCAAGAATTATGTACTGTGGGAATATGGAGGATATGCCAGCGAAGGCGTCAAACAAGTTGCAGAATTGGGCTCACCCGTGAAAATGGAGGAAGAAATTCGACAACAGGTAAGACAAAAAAATCACAGAATGACCAAATAACAGAAATGCAGTCAAAGCACTCCTTAGATATCTTTCCCAGGGGCTTGAAATTTGCAGTACAATGTGGTGGAAGAAAATCTATTTGCTGAGTTTGGGGGTTTTATGTTAAGTAGAGGACAGACAGAGGCACAAATATCCATTTTGTTGTCTCAGATTGTCCCTGACTGCATTCATGTTTTCTTCAGCCTGTGCTAAATGCTGCTGCTGTGGCCATATTGTTGGGATGCCTTGTCTCTAGTCTCCTGAGAGTCAAAGCCATGAATTAAGGTTTTCTTACTGTGATCTTTGAGAGGGTCAGAGGAGTAATAGTCAAGCTGTCCAGCCAAATCCCCAAAATAAATGTTTGAGTATTGGCACGTGCTTTTTGCAACTATGTCTTGAGGTACTTGATAAATTAGTCGTTCGTTCATCATAATCATTATGGACTGAGGCATCTTCTGTGTCCTATGCTGTGTGGGCCCAGGAGCAGTCCCACTCTCTAGGCCTTCACTGATACCTCTGTGAGATAAGGGAGAAAAAGTCCATAATTCTTATCAATTCATTTGGCTGACAGTGCCATCGTCCTTCATCAAAAGCCTAATCAGGTTGACACCAGAGAGAGGCTAATGAGAGAACCTTGGAAGAAGAGCCACGTGGCTCAGTGGTGGTTTGCTGCAAGACATGGCA
This sequence comes from Homo sapiens, assembly GCF_000001405.40. Taxonomy (NCBI): domain Eukaryota; kingdom Metazoa; phylum Chordata; class Mammalia; order Primates; family Hominidae; genus Homo; species Homo sapiens. The sequence continues at coordinate 14,136,268 of NC_000011.10, forward strand.
GTGCAGCTTTAGCCATCACTACCCACAAAAGCCTGTCCAGCCTGAGAGAGCACATGGCAGCATGTCCCACTGCCCACCAAGTGCTCTGGAGGAAGTAAGGAAAGAGCAAAGCATGCTTGGGATGTGATCATTTTACAACACAGGTCACTGAGAGGCTGTTGCCCTCCCTGTGCTCCTGTCCCACATCTCCTGAAACAATGCAGGAGGCTAAGAAAACACCAGGGACCCCATCTCACAGTCTGCATGTGCCCAGAGGCCTGAGCAGCACAGCAGGGCAAGCACAGCTGAGGCCCGCAGTGTTCCCCACCATCTGGACTCCAAGCTGCCCACAGACCCTAAATTGGAGGCAACAAAGGTCACTCTGACTCCTGCTATAAATCCCCTGAGGAATCAGTTTGGACTAGAGTCGAAAAATGCCCCAGAATGAGCTTATGTTTCTTATTAATTTGATTTGAAGTCTTTCCTCCTTTCTTGGAAAAAAAGATGTTTGACCAGATGTTTTAAGAGTGCATGCTATTCATCCAAGATGAGCTATCTAACTATGCTCTGTTTCTCTGACTCTGGCTGCCATGCCTCATAATTGGCATCACTCCTTCAGACTATGGCAAAGTCATGCAGGGCTCTATATTGGTGCTAGTCTGTCTGGCCTATCATGGGGGAACCATTGTTTGGGATCCTGGAGGTTCACATTCCCAGTTCTCAAGTATGGAATTATGCCTCCCTGATTTGTCAAGCTCCATGGTGTGGAATCTTGAAAACCTTTTGTTACAAATAGTAGTTGAAATACTAAAGTTTGCCAGTTAATTACATCAGGGTCAAGGGCATCTTCATAATAATGTCAGTCTCACTTGTTGGCTTTCTTGAGAGGTTTCTGGAAAAGAAAGAATCCTGCAGGAATCATACATAACTGGAACTATATTGTGCTGGTGAACATTATCTGACATGTCATAGCAATAAAAAGATTGAAAACTCATGGATGGGACCCCCCACCACCACCACTGCCAGCCTCAGAATCCCTCTTAGGAAAAAGTTCTTTGGTATGTTCCTAATCAGCATGGCTGTGATTGGCTTGTATTACCACACAGGCAATGTCTGTCTGCCTATCCCAGCTGGCTAGTGTTTCAGACAAACAGTCGTAATAATAAGTTTAATTATGGGTACCGCACATGGGAATGAACATATCTCAGTGCCTGTCACCACCTTTCAGGCCCCCTGGGTGCTGGATATCTACTTTTCGCCCCCCTCACATCTAGGCTGAGGATGCTATTATTATCCCAGTTTTACAGATAAGGAAACCAAGGCATGGTCAACAGCAGAGAATACCAGGACTTAAACCTAAGTCTGTCTGGCTCCAAAGCCCAGACAGTACTAGACATATAATCTGCTCCGTGTAAACCTGAGGCCACTTGTTTGAAACTTGTTGAGAATCTCAAGATGGCAGTACCGTGAATTTCATAGCATGGGGTCCTGTGAGCCTGCATGGGTCACCTGCCCCTGAAGCCAGGCCTACCTGTATAATTTCCCTGTCCCACACAGCTGCCCCACAGAGAAATTCCTCTTGCCAGCCTCTGAATCTGGCCTCTGCTAACAGTGCCTCAGGTTCCCCAGCTCCTGGGAAAGTCAGTTGGATAGGGTGATTTCAGGATTCCAAATAACTCATCTTTCTAAATATTGTTCCCCGCAAGCACACAATTGATTTATTTTTTTGTAAGTCAGGTAAGAAACAACATTAAAATAAGCAAGAATATGAATCCTCCTAGAATACAAAAGTGTCCTCTGAATAACCAGAAACTTGTTTGAAAACATCTGCAAACTAACACAGTGTTCTCGGGCTTTAATACTTTATATCCTACCAATCACTTTGTCAAAGAACCTGAGTCCAGCCATGATGAAAATAAAAAGCCCTCTTTTCTCAAGAAAGACATTTATATGCTTACCAGCATTCTCTTATTATAAACTTACGGCTCACTGCAAGTTTCAAGGGCATGAAGAATCACAATAGATATTCTTGGAGGTAAATTTTATGCTAATGGCTTTCAAGCACAAATGAACAAAAATACTAATCCTATTAATAGTGGAAGTATTAATAATAATAACAGTATATTAATAATAATACTGTTGAGTATAAATTTTAATGTTACTATAACTGCAAAACACCAAGAAAATTAATGAAAAATTACAGCAGAATTATTGGCAGTAGTGACACTAGTGGCTGGGGCTGGGGAAGGCCACAATGCTCACCCTTTCGTGGAAGGACAAAGGCAAATGTGTCCTGGTGGCCAGGACACCTGGGGACTGGGAATTAGAAATACTGAGCTATGGCTAGCCTGGCAGGTCACAAATGGGTAATCCAAGGCAGGCGGGGGCTGTAGGAAATGGTAGATCACACTTGTAGGTTGGTGTGGGAGTGGAAAGTGAGCTTATGAATACTCGTTATGAAAACACTTCATCCCACTAAGACCATTTCTACTTCAGTAAGCCCATATTTCTGGCATGTTTACTAAGTGTCTGGTTCTCTGCTGGATGCTGGCCCAAAGATGATGCCCCTTTCACTCGGTTATTCAGGCTAGAATCCTTGATCTCTCCACACCCAAACTTGTGCCTTCTCTTTTAAATTCATCCAGTTCAATCTGCCCTCATCACCACCTCCCTCCACTTATCTCTTGCCTAAATTGCTGCACTAGCCTCCTGATGCCCCTGCCTCTGATTCTCCTCCTGTTGCCCATGCTGCCCCAGGGCCATCTTTATAAAAAACAAATCAGATCATGCCACTCCCCCACTTAAAATGTTTAATAGCTTCTCCTTGACCCTAAGATAAAGTCCAAATTCCTTATCAAAGCCTGAATACCCTTTATGTCCTGCCCTTGTCTTACCTCTCCAATTTTATTTCTTGCTGCAAATCTAAGTTTTGGGCATACAGAACCTCTTTCAGTCTATGCACAAGGGCCATGCCCTTCTTGTCTCTGGACCTTCTCTCAGCCAGACATCTTCCAGCAGCCTTCTAACTGGTGAACTCCTATTCATCCCTTAGGACTTAGCTTAGATGTTGCCTCTTCCAGGAGGCTTTCCCTGATTCTGTACTAAATTGATCTTGCCAGGTGCTCTCCCAGCACTTTGTCCTTCTCCTATTGTTAGCATCATCACACTTACATATTTCTTTGATGTCTCTCCCTCACTAAACAACAAGGTTTAAAGCTGCCGTTCCCACTATTATATCCCCTGAGCTTGGCATAGTATTGGATGCTTCCTAAATGTTTCTTGAATATATAGTTTGTTCATTCAATAACTTTATAAATATTTATTGAACTTATTAGTTTATTCATTTGGTAATTTTACTGAACACCTACTATATGCTAGGCATTGGAGATGCAGCAGTAATTAAGAAAACTCCTTTCCTTCATGAGCCTACATCCTAACAGTGGAGAAAAGGAAAACATGTAAAATATATATATATATATTTAAGTGAAAAGAAACCAACAAGGGTGGTAGTGACATAAAGAGGATTAGGAGTAGGGAGGGGCCTGTTTTAGATAAACCGGTCAGGGAAAGTCTCCCTAACAAATGACCATGAAGCAGAAACCCAAAAGACAAGTGTAGGGGAAAATCATTTTAGATGCTAACAACAGCACATGCAAAGGGCCTGTGGGAGAACATAACTTATTGTGCTTAGAACTAAAAAAAGACTAGTGTGACACAAGGATAGTGAGGGGATTGTGGCACAAAAGGAGGCTGGAGAGTTGAATGCCGGACCACTTTGTCTCTACTCAGACGAAATTAACAAAGTGGGAGAGGCACATACATGACTATTTCCATAGAAGGTACTTATTCCTTAGGGGAATCTGTGCATCCATTGGGGAAATGTGGACACACATTTGGGCAGGGCCTTGTTGGGTTTCCTCTCTGCTGGAGTCTCCTTTTCCAATCCACGTCTGCTTCTTTCCACTATTCTAGTCCTTCATTAGGGCTACTTTTATGTCTTCAATAATTTTAAATATGTCTAATTGTCTCTTTCAGATTATTCTATTTTCTCATAATCTTAGAGACTATTTTTCCTTTTCATTGAACTTGCTCTCTCAGTGACATTAGTTTCTTCTTTGGTTTTAAATTGTTTGATCATCTTCAGTGGTATTTGTTTTGTTTTTTTGAGATGGAATTTCACTCTTGTCACCCTGGCTGGAGTGCAGTGGTGCAATCTTAGCTCACTGCAACCTCCGCCTCCTGGGTTCAAGCGATTCTCCTGCCTCAGCCTCCTGAGTAGCTGGGATTACAGGCGCCTGCCATCATGCCCAGCTAATTTTTGTATTTTTAGTAGAGACGGGGTTTTACCATGCTGGTCAGGCTGGTCTCGAAATCCTGACCTCAGGTGATCCACCCACCTTGGCCTCCCAAAGTGCTAGGATTACAGGCGTGAGCCACCACACTTGGCCTCAGTAGTTTTTTTTCTTTTTCTTTTTTTTCCTGTTGGAGGAAAAAAGGTTCAAGTGATGGTGTCTTTACAGTGACTTTGTATTTTCTTCTCCTGGTCCCACCCAAGTTTTTATGTCCTTTCTCAGATTGGAATTGCCCACTGCACAGCTAGTATACGTCTGGACCCTGCACTAACACATGAGAGCAATTGGGAGTTCCATTTCTTGGAGGTGTCTTGGGCAGAAACAACCTTCCTTGCCATGTTCCCGAATGCTTGATGGAGGGTTTTCTCATGCCCTATTCACAAACAGGGCAGCCCTTTAAAACATCCACTGTATGCAGGCGTGCCCCCCCCATGCCCCACTTCTCACTGGCTCAAGATTTCCCCTTCTCTCCATGCATGGGCTTCTAAACCCCCGCCTCCAGCTCCTGGGGCCTGTATCCCAGTCCAGGGCCCCAACAGCTCACCACGCACTAGCTCCTGCTTACTGTTCTGAGTTAGACTTTCCTCCCTATTTCTGGCATCTGGGCAGTTTTTCTAAACTTGTTTACATATTTTTGTAATGTGTTTTGTTATATTTGTCCAGCATTTCTATCTGTTTGTAGAAGGAGAGAGAACTTTTTGTGTCAGTTCAGTTTTCCACATTTTCAGGTATCCAGCTAATATCTGTAGCACCTAACAAATATCTGAATTGATGACAAGCAAGCCATGAATGGTTCTTGCATAAAACTCTGAGCTTTGAAGAGTCACCCATTTATTAAAAATCCATTAGAAAAATCATTCCAACTTTTATATTTCTCTGGATTCAAGGCTTTCCTGACCATAAGAGGTCAGATAATGGTGGACCCTAATACAGGCATTGATTATTTCACCTTCAGGAGACCTTGTTTTGGAGGATGACTTGAACCAGCCCACAGGATTATCACACCGCCTGTGGCATGAGAAGCAATAGACAAGCAGATGTTCTTTTTCTTTAAAGTTGAAACAGTTTATATGGCTCCAGGAACTGGAAGAAAAGGTTTGAGAATTTTCTTTTCTCATCTCCTTTAAATCATTGGAGATGACATATGTCTACTAAACTATTGTTTTTTTCTGATTTTTGATTTTCTAAATTTTTAATCACTTTTCTTTAATTAAAGCCATGGCCTGACTTCAAGTGTTCTCTATGATTCATGACATGCTGCCTCATCCGGTTTGGAAAAACCACACACAAACACACACACACCCCACCAGCTTTTATTTATAATAATAAAGCTCCAGTGATCTTCCATGCTTATGAGAAGTAGTGATGTATAATGTCTAAAAGCATTGCCTCTGAATCAAGATTTCCTGAGTTCAAATCCTGGCTCCATCCCCTGCCAACTATGTGACTTTGGGCAAGTTACTTAACCCCTCTGTGTCTCAGTTCTCTCTTCTATGAGATGAAAATGGCGATTGTGCCAACCTCATAGAGTCATTCTGAGGACTAAGTGAGCTGATAAGTGTAAAGTACTTGGAGCAGAGCCTGCCCTTAGAAAGAGATTGCTGGATGTTAGCTATCATTACCATGTTTTCATTCTTCAGCCTCTGTTTCCTTATCAGTAAAATGAGGGGTTTGTCCTAAGACCCCCTGCAGGACTAGAAAATTTAATGTTCAAGTTCGTGTCATTTCTCAGTGTGAAAAGGTCCAGAGGATGAGGCCACAACTCCTTTACCATCTACTTCAACTACTTCAGCATCCCCAGGCACTGCCCAAGCCTGCCCCTCCTATCCCCACTTGACAGTGTCATCTCCCAATTTGCCCTAACATTTTTTCCCAAAGTTGATCATAAGCAATTAAGGGTATAAATTAAGCCTTCAAATATAGAAAGAGCTACAGTAAAACTCCACGCCCATTCCCAACTCACTGCTTTGCACATGCTCCCTCCCTTCCTTGGAACAGCCTCATCAGGATGCTCGCTGGAGCTAGTTCGATGCCACCTCCAGAACAGCCCTAGAGGCAGCCATGGAGCACATCTTCCTGAATGTAGCAAGACACAAGCCAAGGGGCAGAAATGTGGCTCCCAACCTAAGGAGAGAGGTGGTTTAGTGAAGTCTAGTTTGATTGTAACAGGAACCCACTGAAACTAACTTAAGAACAAAGGAAACTTTATTGTAGAAAGAAAGTAGGACACATGAGAACACAAGTTTGTGCAGAGTACAAAAACCCTCACGAAAGCTGGAATTGGAAGGCATCAGGCTGAGACGACCACTAACTCTCTCTCCCTCCTCCACACTGCCCCCAGTGTCAGGTGGTCTTTTCCATGCCCTTCCATGCAAATCTCTCCCCGACTATTTCTCAACAGAGCTGCTGCCTCTGCTTACTTGGGTTGCACATGGCCCCAAATGGTAGCCATAGGATCTTCCTCCTTGGCTTCTCACAGCTAGCTGAGCAGTTTTGGTGACTCTTAGTGAAGCACCAGAAAAACAGGTTGATCACTGGATAGCCTGGGCAATGGTGCCCCCTGCATCAGATATCTACCCTTACTCCAATCCAGTGGCCACCTCTGTGTAAAGAACCATCCGGCCTGTTATTATATCCAGTGGCTGTGGGCAGGGCAGTTTATACTAAGAAGGGAACTGAAGGCCTGGGTGTGGTGGCTCATGCCTGTAATCCCAGTATTTTGGGAGGCTGAGGTGGGCAGATCACTTGAGCTCAGGAGTTCAAGACCAGCCTGGGCAACACAGTGAGCCCTTATCTCTACAAGAAATACCAAAAATTAGCCAGGCATGGAGGTGCACGTCTGTAGTCCCAGCAGTTGGGGGACTGAGGTGGAAGGATCACTTGGCCCAGGAGGCAGAGGCTTTAGTGAGCCACGATCACACCACTGCACTCCAGCCTGGGCGACAGAGTCAGACCCTGTTTCCAAAAAAAAAAAAAGGGCAGGGGAAACTGAAGGTAGAAGATAAATTTATATTTCAGGGCAGCAGTGGATGGGCAAGAATTAGACTGAGTTGCAGGGCCCTAGCCAAAGGACAGGAGCTCAGGGCAGGATTTCAGTCCTGTAGAAGAGAGGGGCACTGAAGAGAGAAGAAGTTCAGGAGCACTAAAGAAAGAAGAGGGAAGATCAGCAGAAACCCAGAGTTCAGAGCTGCACCAATTGGGTGACAAAATGCTGGGTCTAGAGTTTGGTTTAGCAATTGAGGTGGGATCAAGGGACATTACTAGGCCTAAACACAAGGATATGGAAAGGCAGAGGTCAGAGAAAGAGTATGGGGCCCCAAAGCACTGTTAAGGCCACTTATTTACCCTTGCCACCTGCTGCCTTGCATTGTTACTTAAGAACCATGAAAACAGTAGAGAACCTGTACTTCTTAAGTCTCTGACCTCGAGTAGGTCACCTAAGCTCACTGAGCCTTAGATTTTACATTTGAAAAACAATAACAAGAATATGAATTACCTCTGTTGGTTATGAAATAATACGTGTACAAAGCATGGCTTGGAGTATGAGCTCATTATTACTCTTATTATTGCAACAAAAAAATTAAATTGGAAGGACTTAGAACCCTTTTTTCCTTCCATCTTCTAAAAGGGTATTTCGGTTTTACTGGGTGGGAATACAATGGAAAGAAGACATAAATTGGGCTAGGTAGAATCTACTAGAGCATAAAGACAAGGAAAAGGGAGAAAGAAAGATCCAAAGAAGACTTTTAGACCAGGCGTGGTGGCTCACACCTGTAATCCCAGCATTTTGGGAGGCCAAGGCAGGCAGATCACTTGAGTTCAGGAGTTCGAGACCAATCTGGCCAACATGGTGAAACCCTGTCTCTACTAAAAATACAAAAATTAGCCAGGCGTGGCGGCAGGCACCTGTAATCCCAGCTACTCAGGAGGCTGAGGCAGGAGAATCACTTGAACCTGGGAGGCAGAGGTTGCAGTGAGCTGAGATTGTGCCACTGCACTCTAGCCTGGGTGACCGAGTGAGTGAGACTCCATCTCCAATAATAATAATAATAATAATAATAATAATAATAATGAAAAATAAAAAGTAAAAACCCAAAGAAGACTTTGAGTAAATTTGATTTCTAAAAGAGGAAACTTCAAAAGAGAACTTTTAGCAGTATACTTTGCAGAATATTGTGTGATGTCATTTTCCCTTTGCTGCCTTCTCAAGAAAACTTCAGCAAAGACCTCTAATACTTTTTCAAGGCTTCTGGGAGTCAGATTGGGTCTGTTTTTTTAGGTGTGTCACCCTGCTGCAAATGGCCCCCAAGGGTGCCCAACCTTATTTGGGTTACATTGATGACACACACCTCCTTTGTTCTCCCCTACCTCATTCAAGGCTTAATTCCATGTAGTATGGGTAAGTGGGCACTTGTGGTTGGTAGAAATAAAATGACACTCAGAGTGGTGATAGGGTAAGGAGTCAAATAAAGATTCTGTCACAGATACTCGATACAGAAATTAAGACATTGTTTGAAAGGTATGATTTGAGTCATATGAAACCTCTTGTTTGCTTTCAGTTGAGTCTTCAAACAAATCCAGATTACAGTAGGACAAGCTGCCAGAGTGATTTCGTGATGCCTGTTCTTTAATAAAACTGGCACAGGCTGCCTTTGCTGGAAGGGTATAGAGCTGGCCTCTTAGCATTACTTCTTAACCTCTACAGTTTTATAAGACAGCATCATGATCCCTGGGAATTTTTCTGAGAATCTCTGTATGAGAGAAATGTGGGACAGTCTTATTCAAGACTTACAGAATATTTGACTCACTAAAATATCTATTTTTACAGTAACTGAGCCAAAATATTGCAAATAGAAGGCAAATTTAAGTGAGAGATCATTAATATATTACCTTAAGATTTAGAAGACAATTTAGCAATATCTATCAAAATTATACGTTTTCTTTTTTCTATTGTAGTAAAAGAAAACACATAATATTTACCATCTGAACCATTTTTAAGTGCACAGTTCAGGAGTGTTAGGTATATTCACATTGTTGTGTGTATATTTTCCTTATACATCAACATAATAAAATAATTCTATATCTAGGAATATGTCTTTCTGAAATAGTCTTGTGCAAAAGTATATGAGGAAGAATATTCATTATAGTATTTTATTTTTAAGAGATGGAACAAGCAAACTTTCATCAATAGGGGTCATATTAGAAACTCTGGATGCATTTAACGGGTCAAATACCATGCAGCTATTAAAAAGAATAAGGCAGATTTGTGTGTACTGATACAGAATGCTCCCTGGTGTATATAGTTAGATGGGAAAAAAGCAGAACAGTGTGTATAGCTTGATTCCATATATGAAAAATGGCAGGTTAGAGTGAAATGATTATATTCATGTATAGGATTATATATGCATAGAATATCTCTATGAACATACACCAGAAACTCCTTGCCTCTAGAGCACACAGAGAGTAAGGGGCAGAACTGAAAGGTTCATTCACATTTTGCCATACGGCCTCTTGTATTGCTTGAATTTTACCATGAACACAAATTACTATACTTTTTTTTTTTTTTTTTGAGACAGAGTCTCTGTCTGTTGCCCAGGCTGGAGTGCAGTGGCACCGTGTTGGCTCACTGCAACCTCCATCTCTCAGGTTCAAGCAATTCTCCTGCCTCAGCTTCCCGAGTAGCTGGGATTACAGGTGCCCACCACCATGCCCGGCTAATTTTTACATTTTTAGTAGAGACGGGGTTTCACCATGTTGGCCAGGCTGGTCTCGAACTCCTGACCTCAGGTGATCCACCTGCCTTGGCCTCCCAAAGTTCTGGGATTACAGGCGTGAGCCACCACACCTGGCCTACTGTACCTTTTTAAAAGAATAATATTTAAATGAACAAAGAAAACTTGGATAAGAAACCAAATATTCCCCCCAAAAAAAATACTGCATAACTTAATCTGTAAATTTAAAGTGTTCCCTCAAAAATCCCAGATAATTTTTTAAAAATTATACAGGCTGACGCTATAGAAATAGAAAACTAAACAGTCAACAATAGTCAGAAAATGTTTGAAAAAGCATATAATGAAGGGAAGACTGGCTAAACCAGATATAAAAACGTTATAAAACAACATTAACTAAAACTGTGTGAAGCTAGAGAGTGAATACACAGATCAATAGAATCTAATAGAAAGTCCAGAAATAGACACAAATTCTTTGTAAGTTAAGTATATGAAAAAAGTATAATTTTATATCAGTTGGAAAAACACTAGATCCTTCAATAAGTGGTAATGGCACAACTGGAAGCCATCTGGAAAAAATATTTTTCTTCATACCTTAATCCTGGAACCAATACAAGCTCCAAATATATCAAAAATTTAAATATTTTTAAATGAAAACATAAAAACGTTAGAAGAAAACATGAAAGAACCTTTTTTTTTTTTTTTTTTTTTTTTTTTTTTGAGACGGAGTCTTGCTCTGTTGCCCAGGCTGGAGTGCAGTGGTGCGATCTTGGCTCACTGCAGCCTCCACCTCCCGGGTTCAAGCAATTCTCCTGTCTCAGCCTCCTGAGTAGCCGGGACTATAGGCACCTGCCACCATGCCTGGCTAATTTTTGTATTTTTTTTTAGTAGAGACAGGGTTTCACCTTGTTGGTCAGGCTGGTCTCAAACTCCTGACCTCAGGTGATCCACCTGCCTTGGCCTCCCAAAGTGCTGGGATTACAGGCGTGAGTCACTGCGCCTGGCTGGAACCATTTTTATAACCTAGAACAAAGCTTCTTCCAAGCACATCACAAAACCCGGAGATCATAAAAGGTTAATGAAGTAAACTAAAAACATTTCTTTTTTTGAGATGGAGTCTCACTCTATTGCCCAGGCTAGAGTGCAGTGGCACAAACTTGGCTCACTGCAACCTCTGCCTCCAAGTTTCAAGTGATTCTCCTGCTTCAGCCTCCCAAGTAGCTTGGATTACAGGCACCCACCACCAGCCTGGCTAATTTTTATAGTTTTAGTAGAGATGGGCTTTCACCATGTTGGCCAGGCTGGTCTCGAACTCCCGAACTCAACTGATCTGCCTGCCTTGGCCTCCCAAAGTGCTGGTATTATAGGCATGAGCCACCACGGCTGGCCCAAAACATTTTTTAAGTAGTGGAAAATACTAAGACTTTTTTTTTTTTTGAGAGGAGTCTCGCTAAACAAAGGGCTAATTTTTTTTTGATATATAAAGAGCTTCTTATGGTCAGTTTTTAAAAGACCAACAAACCAATAGATCAAAACACATGGACAGGTCTCAGAAAAGGAAAATGAGATGGCTTTTAGATATTATAAATGATGTTCAACTTCATTTACAATCATAGAAATACAAATTAGTTTCACAGAGCTACAATTTTTGATCTGTTAGACTTTTGACAACTATATTGTCAGAGGTGTAGGGAAACACCTTTCTACACTGGAGAGCGCTTTCTTCTGACTCAGCAGTTCAGTCAGAAATTTATATACACAGATATACTCACATTTAGGCACATTCTATTTATTGGACATTGTAACACAAGAGTGGAATAAATTAAATATCCATGAATAGGGGACCAGTTAAATAAATATGAGATTTTGATATTAAACATTTCCAAGACAAATTGTTTCATTAAAAAAGAAAATGCAGCAGGGTACTCATGATTGGTCCCATTTGTGCTATCTTTCTAAAGATGTGTACTTACGTCTCTTGAAGGGTATATAAGAATATTAATAGTGGTTGCCTCTGGGGTGGAGAGTTAAGAGATTGCGGAAAACGAAGAGAGGGACCTTTCACTGTATTCCCTTTGGTGCCTTTGGAATGTGGTACCATGTTTTTGTGCTATCTATTCAAAAAGTAATTATTTTATAGTTGAAATAAAAAAAAATAAGCCAACCAACCAACAAACACCCAAGCTTAGGAACATTTAAACGATGCTGTATCTGAAAGCACATTGTGGGGTCTTGGTAGATCGTTCTCCTCCTGGTGACCAAGAGAGCTACAGTCCACCTGTTATTTTAGGTGAGAAAACTGAGGCTCAGAAAATATACTTCACATGTCCAAATGCTAGTGGCAACACAGGACTTTTGACTTCCCTCCTGGTACTTTTTTCTGTCTCTGCTAAAAGAGAAGAGACATAGGCAGCCCTGAAAACGTCACTCTGGTGTATGTACTCCTCCAGTGTACTGAAACATTTACTTTTCACCAGATTGTGTCTCTGAGACAGTTTAGAGCTGGACTTTTCAATGAATACTTGCCATCTAGTGGTAAAAAAAGATGTGTGCACCTAACATAGACTGCATTCATTCATTCATTCATGCATCAAACACCATACAGTCATGCACTGCATAACATTTCAGTCAACGACAGACTGCATCCATGACAGTGGTCCCTTAAGATTATAATGGAGCTAAAAATTCCCATTGCCTAGTATTCACTATACTGTAATTTCTATCATTATTTTAGAGGGTACTCCTACTTATTTTTTTTAAGTTAGCTATAAAACAGCCTCAGGCAAGTCCTTCACAGGTATTCCAAAGGAAGGCATTGTTATCCTAGAAGCTGAAAGTGATGAGTTACTGCCCCCGAGGACCTTCCAGTGGGACAAGGTGTGGAAGTAGAAGTCAATGATGTTGATGATCCTGACCCTGTAAAGGCTTAAGCACATTTTTTAAAATGTGTGTGTTTACATCTTAGCTTTTAACAAAAAAGTTTAAAAAGTTAAAAAAAGAATTAAAAAGGCCTGTAGAATAAGGATATAAAGAATGAAAACATTCTTGTACAACATGCACTGTGTTGTTGTTTTAAGCTAAGTATTATTACAGTCGTTAAAAAGGTAAAAAAAAGTGTATAAAGTAAAAAGTTAGAATAAGCTAAGGTTAATTTATTATTGAAGAAAAGTGTTTTTATAAATTTAGTGTAGCCTAAGTGTACAGTGTTTATTAAGTCTACAGTAGTGTGCAGTAATGTCCTAGGCCTTCACATTCACTCACCACTCACTGACTGACACAGAGTAACTTCCAGTCCTGCAAGCTCCATACAGGTGTACCATTTGTTATCTTTTATACCTTATTTTAATGGTACCTTGATATGTTTAAATATACAAATACTTACCATTGCATTACAATTGCCTATGGTATTCAGTACAGCCACATGCTGTACAGGTTTATAGCCTAAAAACAATAGGCTATACCATATAGCCTAGGTGTGTAGTAGGCTAGACCCTCCAAGTTTGTGTAAGTACCCTCTATGATGTTTGCACAATGAAGAAATTGCCTAATGACACATTTCTCAGAGCATATCCCCGTTGTTAAGTGAGGCATGACTGGGAAATCACTTGTCCTTAAGGCACTCCTAGTCTCTTGGGAAAGACTGACAGAAAAACAGGTGATTACACCAGTATGATGAAGAGACAACTGCACTCCCATGTTTATTGCGGCATTATTCACAATAGCCAAGATATGGAATCAACATAAGTGTCCATCAACAAATCAATGAATAAAGAAAAATTGGTGTATATACACAATAGAATACTATCTAGCCATAAAAAAGAATGAAATGCCATCATTTGAGGCAATGTAGATGAGCTTGGTTGACATTTTGTTAAGTGATAATAAGCCAGGCATGGAAAGATAAATATCACATGCTCTCACTCATATGTGGGAGCTGAAAAAGTTGATCTCATAATAGTGGAGTGTGGAATAGTGGTTACTGGAGACTGGGAGTCAGGGGATGGTGAGAGGTTAGTTAACGGATGCAAGATTGCAACTAGATAGAAGGAATAAGTTCCAATGTCACTGGAGCATGACTGTAATTAACAACAATCTACAGTATGTTTTCAAATATAGCTAGAAGAGCAGATTTTGAATGTTCTCAACGCAAAGAAACAATAAATGAGGTGATATGCATGCAAATTACCCTTTGATTATTTTACATTGTGTACATGTATCAAAATATCACACTATACCCTGTAAATATGTACAAAACTATGTGTCAACTAAAAATAATAATAAAAGATAAAAGAATAGAAAAATGGGGAACAAAAAGACCCATGGTGAGCGTGAAACTAAAAAAATAGAATAGAAAATGTCTCATTAATGTTTTCGTTATATTGATTACCTGCTGAAATGGTAATCATTTGTGAAAAAGAAAAATAGGTGATTCCACTACAGTGCAACTAAGGCTAGGAAAGTCAAGTACAGGACACAGGGAGCACAGTGTAGGGCTTAACCTTGCCTTGGGAAATTGCAGGTATCAGGAGCAACACTGAACTCACTTTTCTGGATTCTCAGTAGATGCTAAAATTACCTCCTTTCTTGTCTTCCTCTTGCTGGACCCCATCAGGACCAGGATAGCAGTTTTTGTTGTTACGTTCTCTGTGTCTGAGGATGGACTCATTAACTGATCATGTTAGGAAGGCAGCCAGTGTATGCCCTTTGGCTACATGGAGTAGCTGTTCCAAGAGCTGAATCCGTGCCACCGTTGCATCTGGTCTGCAGATCTGTTTTCCAAAGAGCCATATGCGAATGCATTGTTCATTTCCCACCTCTGGTCAGAACATCTGTGGAATGTCCCTCCTGCCCATGTAGTTTTTCAGCTCTGTTATCCTGAAGCTCTTTCAAAGGTTAGCCTTTCATTCTCCAAGCAAACAAGTTCTTGTAGCCCATAGAAGATGTCCTCCATAGAAACCAAAGCAGTCCACCCAGCTTGCCTAGAATGAAAGGTGCCTAAAGTGGTAGGGGGTGGACCTGCAAAGAAAGGTGGAGTCCTTTCATAAATGAACTTAAATACCAGGCTGGAGAGATGCAGAGATTACAAGTAGACCTAAAGTAATTAGGAAGCCATTGAGGGTTTCTGAGCAAGGAAGCGACCAGAGACCAACGTATTTGTTCATTCAACAAATAATTGTCAACATCTACTGTGTGCAAAGCTCTGAGTGAGACCCTGTGCTACAGACCCCAGCACAGAGATGAATAAGACCCAGGGTGGGAGACATGTCATCCTCCTGGGTTATAATGCCTTCTACCTCCATGCAACAGCTTAAATTTTTTGTCTCAGAGAAGGAAAGAAATGTCAGAGCATAAGAAATTAGTGACAGAAATTATAAACTATAAATCACAGTTCTAATTGTTCTATAATCATGTAAACATAGCAATTTTTCTTTAACATAGAAATATACAAATCAAAGATAAAACAGGAGCCCCATCTCATGGAGAGATAGTCTGCTGCCTCTTCAGATTCTACCTCAACATTATAACATGTCCTTTTGACACTGTGGAGCCAATAAGGTTTCCATCCCTAGAAGACCTTTCTCTCCCAATCTGTATCCATCAGAATTCCACTCAACCTTCCATACCCTCCTTGCCAGAATACCTTTCCAACTCCTTCCAAATGCATGTCATTTCTGCCTCCTTGGATCTTCCAGACCATATTGTAACCCCATTTGGCCCAGTTCCTGCCTTGTATTATGGGTGTCTGCTCCTAAAAACAAAAGTAGGAGTCAGTCTGAGCTGGGGTGTAGTCTGGAATCACCCCTCCATCTCCCTAGTCATGCTTTTCATATGTCTCATAGTACATTGAGAAGTGTCTGTTGAATTGAGTTGAATGCTTTAGACCTCGGTTCACTGACAGAGGGACTCCTTTAGCAAAGTTAGCCATTTTACCTCCTTTGTCTCCATAGCTACTTCCAGTTCTCCAAACTACAACCTATTTCCCAACAGACTCCAGTTACAGTACTTCTTAATTTATCTTCTATTCAAAGGCAAAACTACTGCTTCATTAATCAATGAGTAAGGAAAATCAAAAGCTTATTAACTAGCAAGCCAATGCTCTTCTAAAGGGCATTGATCCATGTATGTTATGGGCAGCCTGTTCATTGATAGCTACAGCTCTTGGAGAGCAGCTCTCTGGAGTAGCATTGGGGAAACTGAAATCTTATTTTGAAATAGCTTTTAAATGCATGGAAACACATCTGATTCTTACTGGGAATTTCTTGATAGGGAATACAGAAGGGAAGACTATTTGCTTGTCAGTAATATGATATAGAGACAAATCATTTCATAGGATTTCATAAGTGCATATATGTAACCAAGAAACACAGGTACTTTCATATTATCTTGAGAAAAATGAATTCATTCTTTAAAATGCAATGACTTCCCTGCATAATGCATTCAAGAATCAATGCAAATATAAAGGATGTGTTTATTGGCTTGTGATCTGTATTCATGACTGCAAGCATGGTTGGATCTTTTGAGATGGGGGTTTCCTCTGTTTCAGTGGCCAAGGGATATTCTTTCTCAAATGGACATGGTGATCATTTGAAACTTATCCCATGCATAGTGACCCCAAATTCGAGTAAATATATATCAAGTACATATAATACACAAAGAAGTGAGTCTGAAGTCAACCTCCAAGCACTCCAAATTAGGGCCCTAAGACAACTGCAGAATTTGTTGCAGGGCAGATGTATGGCCTGGTTTAGAACTTTATTATTTTGACCTCCATTCGCATGTTAGTTTTACTTCTTCTTCTATCTTCAATCTTTTACAACATACATCCTTTACTTATTAGATTCTAATATATTAGCATTTAACATACTTTTACTATTTCTTGGACAATGGAAAAACCTTAGAACACTGTAATTCCCTTTAGCCCATGTATTAGTCTGCTCTCACATTGCTATAAAGAACTACCTGAGACTTGGTAACTTATAAAGAAAATAGGTTTAATTGGCTCATGGTTCCACAGGCTGTAAAGGAAACATGGCTGTGGAGACCTCAGGAAGCTTGCAATCATGGCAGAAGGTGAAGGGGAAGCCAGCATGTCCTATAAGGCTGGAGCAGGAGGAAGAGAGCAGGGAGGGCCACACACTTTTAAACAACCAAATCTCTGAGCACTCACTCACTATCACAAGGACAGCAAGAGGAAAGTCCACCCAATGATTCAATCACCTCCCACCAGACCCCTTCTCCAACACTGAGGATTACAATTCAACATGAGATTCATGTGGGGACACAGAGCCAAACCATATCATTCTGCCCCTGGCCCCTTCGAAATCTCATGTCCTTCTCACATTTCAAAACACAGTCATGCCTTCCCAACAGTCTCCCAAAGTCTTAACTCATTCCAGATTAATTCAAATGCCCAAATCCCAAGTCTCATCTGAGACAAGGCAAGTCCATTCTGCCTATGAGTGTGTAAAATAAAAAAACAAGTTAGCTACTTCCAAGATACAATGAGGGTAAAGGCATTGGGTAAATGCTTCTGTTCCAAAAGGGATAAATTGGCAAAAAATAAAGGGGTTACAGGCGCTATGCAAGTTTGAAACCCAACAGGGCAGTCATTAAATCTCAAAGCTCCAAAATAATCTCCTTAGACTCCATGTCTCACATCCAGGCCATACTGATGCAAATGATGGGCTCTCAAGGCCTTGGGCAGCTCCACTTCTGTGGCTATGCAGGGTATAGCCCCTGCAGCTGTTTTCACAGACTGGCATCAAGTGCCTGCAGCTTTTCCAGGCACATGGTGCAAGCTGTTGGTAGATCTACCATTCTGGGGTCTGGAGAATGGTGACCCTCTTCTCACAGCTCCACTAGGCAGTGCCCCAGTAAGGATACTGTGTGGGGGCTCCAACCCCACATTTCCCCTCTGCACTGTCATAGTAGAGGTTCTCCATGAGGGCTCCATCCCTGCAGCAGACTTCTGCCATGACATACAGGTGTTTCCATACATCCTCTGGAATATATGTCAGCCTCAACTTTTGCCACCTGCACACTCACAGGCTTAACACTGTGTGGAAGCCTTGGTGGCTTCCAGCTTGCACCCTCTGGAGCTGTGACCTGAGACATATCTTGGCCCCGCTTAGCCATGGCTGGAGCTAGAGAGGCTAGGATGCAGGGCATCATGTCCCAGGGCTGCACAAGGCAGTGGGACCCTGTGCCTGGCCCACAAAACCATTTTTCCCTCTTGGGACTCTGGGCCTGTGATGGGACAGGCTGCTGTGAAGGTTTCTGAAATGCCTTACAGGCATTTTTCCCATTGTCTTGGCTACTAACATTTGGCTTCTCTTTACTTAGGCAAATTTCTGCAGCAGGCTTGAATTCTTCCCCAGAAAATGGGTTTTTCTTTTCTACCACATGGCCAGGCTGCAAGTTTTCCAAACTTTTATGCTGTACTTCCCTTTTAAGTATAAGTTTTAGTGTCAGGTCATTTCTTTGTTTATGCAGGTTAGTGTAGGCTTTTAGAAGCAGCCAGGCCACATCTTGGATGCTTTGCTACTTAGAAATTTCTAAATTTCTAAGATAAAATTTCTAAATTTTAGATACCCTAAATCATCACTCTTAAGTTCAAAGTTCCACAGATCTCTAGAGCAGGGACACAATGCCGCCAGTCTCTTTGCTAAGGCATAGCAAGAGTGCCCTTTACTCCAGTTCCCAGTAAGTTCCTCATCTCCATCTGAGACCTTAGCCTGGGCTTCACTGTCCATATCACTTCAGCTTTTGGTCACAACAATTTGACAAGTCTCTGGAAAGTTCCAAACTTTCCCTCATCTTCCTATCTTCTTCTAAGCCCTCCAAATTGTTCCAACCTCTGCCCATTACCCAGTTCCAAAGTCACTTACACATTTTCAAGTATCTTTGTCGCAATGCCCCACTCCAGGTACCAATTTTCTGTATTAGTCCATTCTCACATTGCTATAAAGAACTGTCTGAGACTGGGTAATTTACAAAGAAAAGAGGTTTCATTGGCTCACAGTTCCACAGGCTATACAGGAAGCATGGCTGGGAAGGCCTCAGGAAATATACAATCATGGCGGCAGGTGAAGGGGAAACTGACATGTCCTACATGGCTGGAGCAGGAGGAAGGCAGGGGAGGTGCCACACACATCTATTTTTTTATTTATTTTTATTTTATTATTATTATACTTTAAGTTTTAGGGTACATGTGCACAATGTGCAGTTTAGTTACATATGTATACATGTGCCATGCTGGTGCGCTGCACCCACTAACTCGTCCTCTAGCATTAGGTATATCTCCTAAAGCTATCCCTCCCCACTCCCCCTACCCCACAACAGTCCCCAGAGTGTGATGTTCCCCTTCCTGTGTCCATGTGTTCTCATTGTTCAATTCCCACCTATGAGTGAGAATATGTGGTGTTTGGTTTTTTGTTCTTGCGATAGTTTACTGAGAATAATGATTTCCAATTTCATCCATGTCCCTCAAAGGACATGAACTCATCATTTTTTATGGCTGCATAGTATTCCATGGTGTATATGTGCCACATTTTCTTAATCCAGTCTATCATTGTTGGACATTTGGGTTGGTTCCAAGTCTTTGCTATTGTGAATAGTGCCGCAATAAACATACATGTGCATGTGTCTTTATAGCAGCATGATTTATAGTCCTTTGGGTATATACCCAGTAATGGGATGGCTAGGCCAAATGGTATTTCTAGATCCCTGAGGAATCACCACACTGACTTCCACAATGGTTGAACTAGTTTACAGTCCCACCAACAGTGTAAAAGTGTTCCTATTTCTCCACATCCTCTCCAGCACCTGTTGTTTCCTGACTTTTTAATGATTGCCATTCTAACTGGTGTGAGATAGTATCTCATTGTGGTTTTGATTTGCATTTCTCTGATGGCCGTGATGGTGAGCATTTTTTTCATGTGTTTTTTGGCTGCATAAATGTCTTCTTTTGAGAAGTGTCTGTTCATGTCCTTCGCCCACTTGTTGATGGGGTTGTTTGTTTTTTTCTTGTAACTTTGTTTGAGTTCATTGTAGATTCTGGATATTAGCCCTTTGTCAGATGAGTAGGTTGCAAAAATTTTCTCCCATTCTGTAGGTTGCCTGTTCACTCTGATGGTAGTTTCTTTTGCTCTGCAGAAGCTCTTGAGTTTAATTAGATCCCATTTGTCAATTTTGGCTTTTGTTGCCATTGCTTTTGGTGTTTTAGACATGAAGTCCTTGCCCATGCCTATCTCCTGAATGGTATTGCCTAGGTTTTCTTCTAGGGTTTTTATGGTTTTAGGTCTAACATGTAAGTCTTTAATCCATCTTGAAGTAATTTTTGTCTAAGGTGTAAGGAAGGGATCCAGTTTCAGCTTTCTACATATGGCTAGCCAGTTTTCCCAGCACCATTTATTAAATAGGGAATCCTTTCCCCATTGCTTGTTTTTGTCAGGTTTGTCAAAGATCAGATAGTTGTAGATATGCGGCATTATTTCTGAGGGCTCTGTTCTGTTCCACTGATGCCACACACTTTTAAACAACCAAATCTCTGAGCACTCACTCACTATTACAAGAACAGCAAGGGGAAGTCTGCCCCCATGATTCAATCACCTCTGACCAGACCCCTTCTCCAACATTGAAGATTACAATTCAACATGAGATTTGGTCGAGGACGGAGAGCCAAACTATATCAATCCACTACCATCTTAAGTATTATTGTTACCAAATAATTAAATTTCATATATATTTTAACCCTACAACACATTATTAGTATTGCTTTGCCCAGTCAAAATTCATTTGGCTTTACCCATATATTTATTCTTTCTGTTGTTCTTCCTTTTTTTATGTCCATTTTCCTTCTGGGATGATTTCCTTCTACCTGAAAAACTCCTTCAGCATTTTTTAGAATTTGCAGGCAAAGAATTCTCAGTTCTTATTTATCTGAAAATGTCTTTATTTTGTCTTTATTTTTGAAGAGTATTTTTAAATAAGTTGCCACTTATTTTCATTCAGTATTTTTAAGGCATCACTTGTCTGTCTGTGGCTTTCATGATTTCTGTTGAGAAGTCATCTGTCAGTCTTATGGTTGCTTGTTAGAAAATAACATGTCTTTTTACATAGCTGCTTTTAAGATTTTGTCTTTATCTCTGATTGTCAGTAGTTTTACTACATAGGTAGGCATGACTTTATTTATATTTATTGTTTTTGAGATTTCTAGCACTTCATGCATCCATGTCTTGGTATCTTTTGTCAGTTTTGGAAAATTCTGGCCCTTATTTCTTCAAACATTGGTTCTATCCCAATATTCTTTCTCCTTTCCTTCTGGAACTTTAATTATATATATGTTCAACTTTATCATCATTTTCCATATGCTTCTTATGCTTTTTTTGTATATTATTTATCATTTTCCCTCCATACTTTAGCGTGGATATTTCCTAGTCCTCTCCTCTGCTAGTCTGAAATGCTATTAAACTTGTTCTTAATTCTAGTTATATTTATTAATATTAGTTCTAGAATTTTCATTTGATTCTTTTTTTTAGAAATTCCAGTTTGTTGCTAAAATTCTCCATCTAGATTTCTATTTCCTTGAACATATTAATTATAGTTTTTAAGTCCAAGTCTGGTAACTATAATATCTAGATCATTTGTAGGTCTATTTCTATTATTTGTTTTTCCCTTGCTTCAGTTTCTTGGTATGTCTCATCATTTTCTATTGAATGCCAGACATGTGTATGATAAATTATAGGGGCTCTGGATGACATTATCTTCCTTCACAAAGATTTGCTTCTTCTAGCAGGCAGTTGGAGTATGGAAAATCACCTAATCAGGCCTTGGGTTGGGTTGTTTTTAAGCTGGATTCTGTCTTTGTGAGGGCTCTTTTACTTATGGTTCACTCTTATTCCATGGGTGTAGCTCTTCAGGGTTCCTCACTTAAAGCCTGTAGTGCTTACCAGTGTGTCTCTTCCTTATGGTTTCCAATTTCCAATTTTAATCTTCCCCAAATCTGAGGCTGCTAAAAGCTCTGTTTAATCTCTTAGCCACTAATTTCTACCCAGAGTTGCAAACTTCCTTCACCATGACTCTTACAAATTAGCAACTGCCTCAGAAGAAACAGCAGTGCCAAACATCAGGCTCACTTCTCTGTCCCTTTCTCTTCAGGGACTTGATCTTAGCTCAAGTCATTTTCTCTCCCCAGTCTTATGAGACTGATGAAAGCTGTACTCAGCTTCTCAGCCTCTTAGCCTTGTGTGGCTGATGAAAAAGCCAGAGCCTGAAGGGAAAAAAGCAGTTTGGAATATCTGACTCACCTCCATGCATTTCCCTTCTCTCCAGGATCTTGGCCTTCAAGTCCTGGCTGCATTGAGACCTTTCCAATACTTTAAACCAAGTTACTTTGTTTTGTTTTATTCATTTTTTGTAGTTGTTCTTGGGAGATTGTTGGCCTCATATAAGCTCGCTTATCAGTGTTGCAGGTGAAACTAGTATCTCTTCTTTAAGTACTTGGGTTCTGTCTCTCCTACATGCAAGTCTTTCTCTTGCATCTTTCTGATTTGTGTCTCTAACCCAATCTCACTTGCTGGTATCAGTTCTAATATGCTAGGTGTGGAGAACTGTACGTCTGTCTGCAATTGTTCAAATCTTTCCTCTTAAGTAATATCTCTTACTTTGTTTCTATTCTTAATTTATATTGGGAAATATAATATTACATCAAGTGTGACTTCCTTCAATGTGAGTGCCTTGGTAAAACTCTGCAACTCTTAGGACTGAAGAAAAAAACCTCTATGGATTTAACATAATTAATTACTTATAGTAATTAGTAAGACTCTAATTGATTATTACCTCTAAGATGTCATGAATTGATGCCACTTTTTTCTGTTTTTTGAGTTATTAGATGTGAAACAGTCATTATTAAAAATTTTTTTGATGCCTTTGGAAAGAAATTACGGGAAAGGTGCTCAACATCATGATCATCAGAGAAATGCAAATCAAAACTGCAATGAGCTATTATCTCACCCCAGTTAAAATGGCTTATATCTAAAAGACAGGCAATAAAAAATACTGTTGAGGATGTGGAGAAAAGGGAACCCTCATACACTGTTGGTGGGAATGCAAATTAGTACAAGAACTATGGAGAATAATAGTTTGGAGGTTCCTTAAAAAACTGAAAATAGGGATACTATATGATTCAGCAATCCCACTGCTGGGTATAGATCCAAAAGAAAGGAAATCAGTATATCAAAGAGATATCTGCACTCCCATATTTGTTGCAGCACTGTTCACAATAGCCGCAATTTGGAAATGACCAAAGTGTCCATCAACAGATGAATGGATAAAGAAAATGTGATATATATACACAATGGAGTACTATTCAGCCATAAGAAGAATGAGATCCAGTCATCTGCGACAACATGGATGGAACTGGATATCATTATGTTAAGTGAAATAAGTCAGGCACAGAAAGACAAACATCACATGTTCTCACTTATTTATGAGATCTAAAAATCAAAACAATTGAACTCCTGGACTTAGAGATTAGAAGGATAATTTCCAGAGGCTGGGAAGGGTAGTGGGGGGTGGGAGGTGGGGGGGATGGGGATGGTTAACCGGTACAAAAACATAGTGAGAACGAATGAGTACAACCTATTTGATAGCATAATAGGTGAATATAGTCAATAATAACTTAATTGTACATTTTTAAATAACTTAAAGAGTATAATTGGATTGTTTGTAACTCAAAGGATAAATGCTTGAGGGAATGGATACTCCAATCCCCATAATGTGCTTATTACACATTGCATGGATGACCCAAATCATCTCATGTACCTCATAAATATATACACCCACAAAATTTTTTTAAATTTTTTTTAAAAAGAAAAGAACTATAGATACTCCTTGACTTACAGTGAGGTTACATCCTGATAAACTCAGGATGTTTTATCAGTTACAACTGAAAAAAGTTGAAAATATCACTAAGTCAAAAATACACTTAATATACCTAAGCTACTGAACATTATAGCTCAGCCTAACCTACCATATATGTGCTCAGAACACTTACATTATTTTTATATATATATTTATATATATATATTTATATATATATATTTATATATATATTTATATATATATTTATATATATATATTTATATATATATTTATATATATATATTTACATATATATATTTATATATATATTTACATATATATATTTATATATATATTTATATATATATTTATATATATATTTATATATATATTTACATATATATATTTATATATATTTATATATATTTATATATATATTTATATATATTTACATATATTTATATATTTATATATATATTTACATATATTTATATATATATTTATATATTTATATATATTTATATATATTTATATATTTATATATATTTAATTTATATATATTTATATATATTTATATATTTATATATATTTTTATATATATTTATATATTTTTATATATATTTTTATATATATTTTATATATATTTATATATTTATATATTTATATATATTTATATATTTTTATATTTTTATATATTTATATATATTTATATATTTATATATATATTTATATATTTATATATTTATATATATATTTATATATTTATATATATTTATATATATTTTTATATATTTATATATATTTTTATATATTTATATATTTATATATCTATATATATTTATATATATCTATATATTTATATATATTTATATATATCTATAATTTTTATATATTTATATATATCTATATATTTTATATATATCTATATATCTATATATTTTATATATATCTATATATCTATATATTTTATATATATCTATATATCTATATATTTATATATCTATATATATTTATATATTTATATATATCTATATATATTTATATATTTATATATCTATATATTTATATATTTATATATCTGTATATCTATATATATTTATATATTTATATATATATTTTTTTATATCTATATATTTATATATATATAAGATGGAGTCTTGCTCTGTCACTCAGGCTGGAGTGCAGTGGTGCAATCTTGGCTCACTGCAAACTCCACCTCCCAGGTTCAAGTGATTCTCTTGCCTTAGCCTCCCAAGTAGCTGGGACTACAGGTGCACACCATCACACCCAGATAATTTTTATATTTTTAGTAGAGACGGGCTTTCCGCGTGTTGTCCAGGCTGGTCTCAAACTCCTGACCTCAGGTGATCCACCCACCTCGGCCTCCCAGTGTGCCGGGATTACAGGCATGAGCCACTGCATCCAGCTAGAGCACTTACATTAACCCAAAGTTGGGCAAAATTATCAAACACAAAGCCTATTTTGAAATAACTGTTGAATATCTCATATAGTTTATTGAATACTATATTGAAAGTAAAAAATAGAGTGGTTGTATGTGTACTCGAAGTACAGTTTCCACTGAATGGGTATTGCTTTTATACCATCATAAAGTCAAAAATTATAAGTTGAACCATCATAAGATGGGGACTATCTGTATATTAAAATAATGAAGGTTTTCCACACCAGGTGTGGTGGCTCATGCCTGTAATCCCAGCACTTTGGGAGGCCAAGGTGGGGCAGATCACTTGAGGTCAGGAGTTCGAGACCAGCCTGGCTAACATGGCAAAACCCCATCTCTACTAAAAATATACAAAAAAAATGGCTGGGCATGGTGGCAAGCGCCTGTAATCCCAGCTACTCGGGAGGCTGAGGCATGAGAATCACTTGAACCCGGGAGGCAGAGGTTGCAGCGAGCTGAGATAGTGCCACTGCACACTAGCCTGGTCAGAAAAGCAAGACTCTGTCTCAAAAAAAAAAAAAAAAGACAAAATAATGAAGGTTTTCTTAAAATATAAAATGAAATATGAACACTAACCCATGTATATTACACATATATGTAGAGAGAGGGGGGAAACACTAACCAATGTATATATAGGAATGTCTAGTTTGGTAGATGCCCTCCATTCCAATTCAAATGAGAGCAGAAGTTGATTACTATAACCTAAAGAAGAATGTGTTAAAGCAGGGAATTTAAAAATTAATACATGGATATGTCAAATAGTTTAACTTAAATCAGATAAGTGTACCTTCAATCAGAAATATAAATCATGCCAATAATTTATCACCCCTGATTTCCAGTTTAGGCTTCTTGAAAATGAATCTGTACTTAAAGATACTTGCAGAACCATCTGAGTATAGAACTCCTGAGTTTTACAACTTTTCCCAATCTTTTACAGATATCTTGCTCTCACCTAATTATACATTATTTTCAGCAACTTGCCTCTGTTGAGTCCTTTCAGAGCAGTCATAAAAAATGCCTTCCTTTTCTCACTCATATCTCATCAATTTCAAAAGATTTTACCAAATTATGTAAGCACAATGTCAGAATAACTGGTATAAGGAGGTTTGAGAACAAACACAACTTACTCTTGGTAAACATGCAAGTTTACTGCAGAAGCAGAAGCGTGCTGCCACAGCGGAGAGTGGGCACCCAGCTGAATCATCCGGATGCCCTAGCTCTGTCAGTGTTTATAATACTACAGAGGGAATGGCAAGCATCGGCTGGTCCTGCAAAGAGGTTAAGTGTTGGCTAGTCAAGAGAGCTTCTGCAATACAGTTATTTTGAGTATAGTTATTTTGCTTAATCTTGGGTTGAATCTACATCTTTTTGAAGTCACCTTCCTTGTCACCACTCATCTTATCCTCACATTCACTGGCATGATTTCAGAATGATTGGAGATAGCTTCTTCCAATCTAAATATCACAGATTGCCTAAGTTTAATAATAACAGTGCACTTTTTGTGTGTTAACAAATACCAGACTTCTAAACACTTTACATGAATGTCATTGAATCTTTAGAACCCTAAGAAGTAGGGCTATTATTATCCACATTTTGTACTTGAGGAAATGGAGGCTCAAAGGAATGAAATGGCTTGCACATAGGCTCATAGAAAGTAATGATAAGTGCAAAATTCAAGTCCAGGTCATGAGCATCTACAACTTACATGTGTACCACACACTAAGTGCATCCCTTGTCATAGAACTTGGGGGCTGGTGGTGGGCTCCCGCCTGTCAGGCTGGGGCCAGCTCCCCACCCTGCCATTCTCCTTTTATTTCTCCAGTCAGCCTCCCTAAACTCAGCCCACTTTGCCTTCTTTCAGGAAGTGATTACTTCTTATAGCCCCCCAGATTCTCCCCCCATACCTGGCAAAGGGCTGGGTTCAGGCATCCTCCATTCCCTCTTTCACTGACTCTGAGGATATTTGTTTGAGCTCCTTGTGATTTCAGAATTTTACTGTCATCACTATGGAGACATGGGGTGAGAGAAATACACATGCAGAAAAATGACAAAGGCTTCAGAAACTTACTACATTCTTGGATTCTGGTTCCTGAGCTACCATTCTTCATGCCCGTGCTGTGGTGGGAACCAAATGCTCCCATGGACTGCTGTCCTCCATATTGATTCCTGAGAGAAAGGCTCTCCAATTCCCTCCCCCGCTTTAGCAACAGCCCTGGTTACCCCCACACCCATAAAGGCTACTTTGCCCAGCACAGTTGTCCCCTTGTTTATAGTGGAGACTTGTGCTCTAAAGCCCTTCAAACTGGG
This sequence comes from Homo sapiens, assembly GCF_000001405.40. Classification (NCBI taxonomy): domain Eukaryota; kingdom Metazoa; phylum Chordata; class Mammalia; order Primates; family Hominidae; genus Homo; species Homo sapiens. The sequence goes on from NC_000011.10 coordinate 14,163,957, forward strand.
AAGCATTCAATTCTGGCCCCCACATACAGCAGCAGTAATGACCCCTCTGGGCATTACCTGATGGTCACTATTTAGAACTAAGTATCATGACTTCTGGAAAAACTGTTAAAATGCCAAGTATTTTTGCCTGGCACAAATCAGGTTGAGTGGCCAAGGCAAAAGAGCCACAGCTTCAGCCACCGTTAACCGTTAAAGGTGAAAAGAAATTCGTTTATCCACATAGCCTATATCCAAGATGGTTTTACTGGCTGTGCTGAAATGGCAGAAACTCACGGGAAGTCCATGGATAAATTTAAATTTCCACTATCCAGTGCATCTAACATGTATCCCAGTATCAATCCTCCCACTCCTTTTAATATCAGGATACCAGTTGTCAGCTGGATACATGGCCACCCAGAATAATACATTTCCCAGCTTCTCTTGAGATAGCCATAGTTATGAAACTAAGTTCTGACCAATAAGGTGTAAGAAAAATAATGTGTGCAATTTCCTGAAAGAGTACTTAACCAGAGGGAGCATGCCCCTCTTTGTCTTCTGGACTGTCCACCTACAAACTTTTTTACATAAGACAAAAATAAACCCGTTCTAAGCTACGATATTTGAGGTTTCTCAGTTATATGCAGTCAAACCTAATCCTAACTGGGTTAACCACCCAAGAAGTTCATCTTGCCCACTGCCTAGATAGCCGATTCATCACGACAGGGGCATTGCAATAGAGAAAGAGTAATTTATGCAGAGTTGGCCATGCAGGAGACCGGAGTTTTATTATCACTTAAATCAGCCTCCCCTAGCAGTCAGGGAGCAGAGATTTTAAGGATAACTTGGTGGGTGGGGGGAAGCTAGTGAGCCAGGAGTGCTGATTGGTCAGAGATGAAATCACAGGAAGTCAGAGCTGTCTTCTTGTGCTGAGTCAGTTCCTGGGTGGGGGCCACAAGATCAATGAGCCAGTTTATTGATCTGGGTGGGGCCAGCTGGTCCATCAAGTGCATGGTCTGCAAAATATCTCAAGCACTGATCTTAAGAGCAGTTTAGGGAGGGTCAGAAACTTGTAGCCTCCAGCTGCATGACTCCTAAACCATAATTTCTAATCTTGTGGCTAATGTTAGTCCTACAAAGGCAATCTAGTCCCCAGGCAAGAAGGAGACCTGCTTTGACAAAGGGCTGTTACCATCTTCCTTTAAACTATAAACTAAGTTTCTCCCAAAGTTAGTTCAGCCTACACCCAGGAATGAACAAGGACAGCTTGGAGGTTAGAAGCAAGATGGAGTTAGTTAAGTTAGATCTGTTTCACTGTCTCAATATGATTTTGCAAAGGTGATTTCAATCCCTCCTTTTGGGTTTTTATAACACCTTGATCTTAAGGTGTAGGCTATGAGGATGGGAAAAGGCCGTCGATCACTCTGGCTTCTTTCTGCTGACAGGAGATGTAGTGGGAATGGGAGTGACCCCCAAGGTGAGAAGAGTAGAACCACTTTGCAATTGTCTGAGTGTACTCATGCAGGCCTGGCTGGGTTTTCAAGGCTTGCATGGCAAAAAACATTAGTACTCTCATCTATAGTTTTACTACAGTGTTTAAAGTGACCAGCCTACTATAAGGTAAATAACGAGTCCGAGGATGAGGAGTACAATTCCCAATTTTAAAAGCAAAGATCTGAAAGCATTAGTTTGGGGACTTCTAACCCACAAAGAATTTAGAATTTAGTCTAAACTGCAGAAAAAACCTCAAGAACAGCTAACAACAGTGTACTATAGCTTTTCTTTTGAAGCATAATTTTTCTGTCTCCAGTCCCCATTTTTATTCAAAACAAATCATGATAGAACTGACTTGTTTACAAAATAAACTTTACTCTTACTGTACTTGGCCTGATTATTGGCAAAAAGTGCAGCAAGAATAATTATTTTTCACTTAGGCTTTTTAAACTGGCTTTGATAGAACTCTGCTCTATGAAGACTCTCAGATAAGACTTTTTAAAAGGTGAGCCCAGGCATGGGTTTGTATCCTCAAATACCTATGAGTTGGGCAAATTCCTCTTCTCTTAAGGTCCCAAGATAACTTGGGGTTCCTGGGCCTGTTAGAAAGTGGCATTCTTTAACTTTCCACAGGTCAGGAACCTGGTACAGGGACTCTGTGTACACAAGGTATGAGGCCAGATTCCCCAATGGACTTTAATTGGCTCTATAAGTCAACTTTGATTCTTTAAAAGAAGCATGCCATTCCAGTCAAAGCCTTGGTAAAATAACCAGTTTATCCAATTGTGTCCTGTTACAAAAGGAAAGAGATTCTTACTGTGCTTATACAATTAACTATACTATAATGCCATAAATTGAGAATATTCACAAATAGTTTCCGAATTCTGGAGAAATCAGGTAGAAAAGAACAAATATGATCCAAATTTTGTTCACAAGAGTATATTTTACTCACTTGTTAAAAGTTGCAAATAGCTCTAAAGAAATTAGTCCTCTTGTCTCTGAAAACAAAAGGTTTAGCAATGTTTAACACATTAGCTCTCCATGAGAGTCCTAGAAGTTTGGCTTTTTCATGTACTCCAATAGCACAATTTTTAAAGTTATCTGAGTCCTGCACTTAAGAGTCCTATATCTGATCATAAACTGCCTTTTGAAAAGGACCAAAACAAGACAAAATGTCTGTGGATGACAAAAGTCTATAGCCACTATTAAAGCTACAATTGACTAGGAATTTGGGTTACTTCTGTGGCATAAAACAATTTTATATAACAATTACAATTAATAATGTACACTAAATTATACTAACATTATAGAAGTTTCCCATAATTTTGGAACACATACTCATAACATTTATACAAACACAGTCCAAAGTAAACCAAACAGCATTTACTCTTCTATTTGAAACTTTTTCTTCTAATCTCACAATCTCCAGCATTATTCATCAGAATCCTGCATTTAAGAGCACCTTAAATAGCTCATTATAAAACCATCTTTTAAAGAGGACCGAAACAAGACAAATGTCTGTAGATGACAAAAATATTTTAGGGCAGCCACAGTTAAAGACACAATTGACAAGGAAATTTTTACCTCCATGGCACACAGTCTGTTACCAAAATAATTATAATACTGATAACATATATTAAGTCATATTACAATTATAGGAGTTTTACATAATTTTGGAACATATACCAATAACACATTTACATAAATATAGACCAAAGAAAGCCAAACACCATTTCATATTTGATGATGCTTCCTGTATAATTTTTGTACCAAATAAGCCAAATGTCATTACTGGACTTTAGAGGACCTAACATCTAAAATATTAGGCTAGAAAGAGACATAATTTATAATTTTTTTTTGGAAAGTTGTCAGATATCAAAGGTTTAAAACACTGGATATCACAAAATAGAATCACAGGTCATCATAAGTCATTCATTTGGCCAAAATGATAACTCCAAAATCTTAAAAGAAAAATCTTTACTCAGATAGGAAACTTAGCCAATAAAGATAGCATGAGGCCAGCTGAATTTGTCTCTTCTCTCTCCTCCCCTTTTTTTCCCTGCCATTTACCCAAAGGAGAAAACAAAACCATTTTCATTATCTTTTAACATTACTTAAAAATCGTCTTCAAAAAAGGAAACCAAATTTCATGTTTGCATTACAGCATCTTTAATGTTAAAGCTAGTTATTTAAATAAAATTTTATATTTCTATCCAGTTTTAATTAATTTGGCCATAAGGTAAGATTTTCATTAACTTTTTAGAACACTTTACAATTTTCCATCAAATAGCAGATTAATTTTCTAAGAAAACCCTGTTACTTGGACACATGGGCCCAGATTCTGGTCCCACATCAGTATGATTTTAATGTGTTAACCTGTGGAAAAAACCTAAATAATTTCTCTTAAATCTTAGCCACCTTGTTTATACCCACAGAATTTTTTCATAAAATTAACCAAACCCTTTTCACTTTGCTTAAGACTTCAGTTTTGTCCCATTACTCTTTTAGGTTAAGACAATCTATAAAATCCTCTGAACTGGACAAAATTACATTCTCTTTAACAAAATCCATATTCCTATGCCTTCTTATAATCTTTTACCAAAAACACCTTCCCTATACACCTTGTACGTAAAACTGTTTCTCCAGTGGTCTCAACTACATATTATACTGTTAACTCTTACTCCTTTTAGCATAGCTAGTAGGCATGGCTCTCCATATGTTCCCAGGCCTTATTTATAACCTAATGCTCCAAAGTAGGTAAATTGAACAATTTTCAAAAGTCAAACAGTTTGACCTTAAAGCATTTAGCAAATCTGATATCTGACCTTAATTTAGACCAAATGTCTACATTTTCAAGACATTTTATTTTACCAATAATCCTTAAAACTGTCTTTATTTCCAAAAGATTACTAAAGTCACGTGAACAAAAAGGCATTAAAGCTTCTTTTTTCTGACAAAATGTTTGATTTAAGTGCTTTTTCTAAGCCAATTAATCAGAGCTCTTTTATAGATAAACATACAACACATACAAAAATGCAGACAGAAGATTCAATGCTTGTAAAATTTTTCTTTTTTTTTCTTTTATTTTTATTATACTTTAAGTTTTAGGGTACATGTGCACAACGTGCAGGTTTGTTACCTATGTATACATGAGCCATGTTGGTGTGCTGCACCCATTAACTCGTCATTTAGCATTAGGTATATCTCCTAATGCTATCCCTCCCCCGCCCCCACCCCACAACAGGCCCCGGTGTGTGATGTTCCCCTTCCTGTGTCCATGTGTTCTCATTGTTCAATTCCCACCTATGAGTGAGAACATGTGGTGTTTGGTTTTTTGTCCTTGCAATAGTTTGCTGAGAATGATGGTTTCCAGCTTCATCCACGTCCCTACGAAGGACATGAACTCATCCTTTTTTATGGCTGCATAGTATTCCATGGTGTATATATGCCACATTTTCTTAATCCAGTCTATCATTGTTGAACATTTGGGTTGGTTCCAAGTCATTGCTATCGTTAACAGTGCCACAAAAAACATATGTGTGCATGTGTCTTTATAGCAGCATGATTTATAATCCTTTGGGTATATACCCAGTAATGGGATGGCTGGGTCAAATGGTATTTCTAGTTCTAGATCCCTGAGGAATCACCACACTGACTTCCACAACGGTTGAACTAGTTTACATTCTCACCAATAGTGTGAAAGTGTTCCTATTTCTCCACGTCCTCTCCAGCACCTGTTGTTTCCTGACTTTTTAATGATTGCCATTCTAACTGGTGTGAGATGGTATCTCATTGTGGTTTTGATTTGCATTTCTCTGATGGCCAGTCATGATAAGCATTTTTTCATGTGTTTTTTGACTGCATAAATGTCTTCTTTTGAGAAGTGTCTGTTCATATCCTTCACCCACTTTTTGATGGGGTTTTTTTTTTCTTGTAAATTTGTTTGAGTTCATTGTAGATTCTGGATATTAGCCCTTTGTCAGATGAGTAGGTTGCAAAAATTTTCTCCCATTCTGTAGGTTGCCTGTTCACTCTGATGGTAGTTTCTTTTGCTCTGCAGAAGCTCTTGAGTTTAATTAGATCCCATTTGTCAATTTTGGCTTTTGTTGCCATTGCTTTTGGTGTTTTAGACATGAAGTCCTTGCCCATGCCTATCTCCTGAATGGTATTGCCTAGGTTTTCTTCTAGGGTTTTTATGGTTTTAGGTCTAACATGTAAGTCTTTAATCCATCTTGAATTAATTTTTGTCTAAGGTGTAAGGAGATCCAGTTTCAGCTTTCTACATATGGCTAGCCACTTTTCCCAGCACAATTTATTAAACAGGGAATCCTTTCCCCATTGCTTGTTTTTGTCAGGTTTGTCAAAGATCAGATAGTTGTAGATATGTGGCATTATTTCTGAGGGCTCTGTTCTGTTCCATTGGTCTATATCTCTGTTTTGGTACCAGTACCATGCTGTTTTGGTTACTGTAGTCTTGTAGTATAGCTTGAAGTCAGGTAGTGTGATGCCTCCAGCTTTGTTCTTTTGGCTTAGGATTGACTTGGCAATGTGAGCTCTTTTTTGGTTCCGTATGAACTTTAAAGTAGTTTTTTCCAATTCTGTGAAGAAAGTCATTGGTAGCTTGATGGGGATGGCATTGAATCTATAAATAACTTGGGCAGTATGGCCATTTTCATGATATTTATTCTTCCTACCCATGAGCATGGAATATTCTTCCATTTGTTTGTATCCTCTTTTATTACATTGAGCAGTGGTTTGTAGTTCTCCTTGAAGAGGTCCTTCACATCCCTTGTAAGTTGGATTCCTAGGTATTTTCTTCTCTTTGAAGCAATTGTGAATGGGAGTTCACTCATGATTTGGCTCTCTGTTTGTCTGTTAATGGTGTATAAGAATGCTTGTGATTTTTGCACATTGATTTTGTATCCTGAGACTTTGCTGAAGTTGCTTATCAGCTTCAGGAGATTTTGGGCTGAGAAGGTGGGGTTTTCTAGATATATAATCATGTCATCTGCAAACAGGGACAATTTGACTTCCTCTTTTCCTAATTGAATGCCTTTTATTTCCTTCTCCTGCCTGATTGCCCTGGCCAGAGCTTCCAACACTATGTTGAATAGGAGTGGTGAGATAGGGCATCCCTGTCTTGTGCCAGTTTTCAAAGGGAATGCTTCCAGTTTTTGTCCATTCAGTATGATATTGGCTGTGGGTTTGTCATAGATAGCGCTTATTATTGTGAGGTACGTCCCATCAATACCTAATTTATTGAGAGTTTTTAGCATGAAGTTGTTGAATTTTGTCAAAGGCCTTTTCTGCATCTATTGAGATAATCATGTGGCTTTTGTCTTTGGTTCTGTTTATATGCCAGATTACGTTTATTGATTTTCGTATGTTGAATCAGCCTTGCATCCCAGGGATGAAGCCCACTTGATCATGGTGGATAAGCTTTTTGATGTGCTGCTGGATTCGGTTTGCCAGTATTTTATTGAGGATTTTTGCATCAATGTTCATCAAGGATATTGGTCTAAAATTCTCTTTTTTTGTTGTGTCTCTGCCAGACTTTGGTGTCAGGATGACGCTGGCCTCATAAAATGAGTTAGGGAGGATTCCCTCTTTTTCTATTGATTGGAATAGTTTCAGAAGGAATGGTACCAGCTCCTCCTTGTACCTCTGGTAGAATTCAGCTGTGAATCTATCTGGTCCTGGACTTTTTTTGGTTGGTAAGCTATTAATTATTGCCTCAATTTCAGAGCCTGTTATTGGTCTATTCAGGGATTCAACTTCTTCCTGGTTTAGTCTTGGGAGAGTGTATGTGTCCAGGAATTTATCCATTTCTTCTAGATTTTCTAGTTTATTTGCGTAGAGGTGTTTATAGTATTCTCTGATGGTAGTTTGTATTTCTGTGGGATTGGTACTGATATCCCCTTTGTCATTTTTTATTGCATCTATTTGATTGTTCTCTCTTTTCTTTATTAGTCTTGCTAGCAGTCTATCGATTTTGTTGATCTTTTCAAAAAACCACCTCCTGGATTCATGGATTTTTTGAAGGGTTTTTTATGTCTCTATTTCCTTCAGTTCTGCTCTGATTTTAGTTATTTCTTGCCTTCTGCTAGCTTTTGAATGTGTTTGCTCTTGCTTCTCTAGTTCTTTTAATTGTGATGTTAGAGTGTCAATTTTAGATCTTTCCTGCTTTCTCCTGTGGGCATTTAGTGCTATAAATTTCCCTCTACACACTGCTTTGAATGTGTCCCAGAGATTCTGGTATGTTGTGTCTTTGTTCTCGTTGGTTTCAAAGAACATCTTTATTTCTGCCTTCATTTCGTTATGTACCCAGTAGTCATTCAGGAGCAGGTTGTTCAGTTTCCATGTAGTTGAGCGGTTTTGAGTGAGTTTCTTAATCCTGAGTTCTAGTTGGATTGCACTGTGGTCTGAGAGACAGTTTGTTATAATTTCTGTTCTTTTACATTTGCTGAGGAGTGTTTTACTTCCAACTATGTGGTCAATTTTGGAATAAGTGTGGTGTGGTGCTGAAAAGAATGTATATCCTGTTGATTTGGGGTGGAGAGTTCTGTAGATGTCTATTAGGTCCACTTGGTGCAGAGCTGAGTTCAATTCCTGGATATCCTTGTTAACTTTCTGTCTCGTTGATCTGTCTAATGTTGACAGTGGAGTGTTAAAGTCTCCCATTATTATTGTGTGGGAGTCTAAGTCTCTTTGTAGGTCACTAAGGACTTGCTTTATGAATCTGAGTGCTCCTGTATTGGGTGCATATATATTTAGGAGAGTTAGCTCTTCTTGTTGAATTGATCCCTTTACTATTATGTAATGGCTTTCTTTGTCTCTTTTGATCTTTGTTGGTTTAAAGTCTGTTTTATCCGATACTAGGGTTGCAACCCCTGCCTTTTTTTGTTTTCCATTTGCTTGGTAGATCTTCCTCCATCCCTTTATTTTGAGCCTATGTGTGTCTCTGCATGTGAGATGGGTTTCCTGAATACAGCACACTGATGGGTCTTGACTCTTTATCCAATTTGCCAGTCTGTGTCTTTTAATTGGAGCATTTAGCCCATTTACATTTAAGGTTAATATTGTTATGTGTGAATTTGATCCTGTCATTATGATGTTAGCTGGTTATTTTGCTCATTTGTTGATGCAGTTTCTTCCTAGCCTCGATGGTCTTTACAATTTGGCATATTTTTGCAGTGGCTGGTACCAGTTGTTCCTTTCCATGTTTAGTGCTTCCTTCAGGAGCTCTTTTAGGGCAGGCCTGGTGGTGACAAAATCTCTCAGCATTTGCTTGTCTGTAAAGTATTTTATTTCTCCTTCACTTATGAAGCTTAGTTTGGCTGGTTATGAAATTCTGGGTTGAAAATTCTTTTCTTTAAGAATGTTGAATATTGGCCCCCACTCTCTTCTGGCTTGTAGAGTTTCTGCCAAGAGATCAGCTGTTAGTCTGATGGGCTTCCGTTTGTGGGTAACCTGACCTTTCTCTCTGGCTGCCCTTAACATTTTTTCCTTCATTTCAACTTTGGTGAATCTGACAATTATGTGTCTTGGAGTTGCTCTTCTCGAGGAGCATCTTTGTGGCGTTCTCTGTATTTCCTGAATTTGAATGTTGGCCTGCCTCGCTAGATTGGGGAAGTTCTCCTGGATAATATCCTGCAGAGTGTTTTCCAACTTGGTTCCATTCTCCCCGTCACTTTCAGGTACACCAATCAGATGTAGATTTGGTCTTTTCACACAGTCCCATATTTCTTGGAGGGTTTGTTCGTTTCTTTTTATTCTTTTTTCTCTAAACTTCTCTTCTCACTTCATTTCATTCATTTCGTCTTCCATCGCTGATACCCTTTCTTCCAGTTGATTGCATTGGCTACTGAGGCTTGTGCATTCGTCACGTAGTTCTAGTGCCATGGTTTTCAGCTCCATCAGGTCCTTTAAGGACTTCTCTCCATTGGTTATTCTAGTTAGCCATTCATCTAATTTTTTTTCAAGGTTTTTAATTGCTTTGCCATTGGTTCGAACTTCCTCCTTTAGCTCGGAGTAGTTGGATCTTCTGAAGCCTTCTTCTCTCAACTCGTCAACATCATTCTCTGTCCAGCTTTGTTCCGTTGCTGATGAGGAGCTGCGTTCCTTTGGAGGAGAAGGGGTGCTCTGATTTTTAGAGTTTCCGGTTTTTCTGCTCTGTTTTTCCCCCATCTTTGTGGTTTTATCTACCTTTTGTCTTTGATGATGGTGACGTACAGATGGGTTTTTGGTGCAGATGTCCTTTCTGTTTTAGTTTTCCTTCTAACAGTCAGGACCCTCAGCTGCAGGTCTGTTGGAGTTTGCTGGAGGTCCACTCCAGACCCTGTTTACCTGGGTGTCAGCAGTGGTGGCTGCAGAACAGCGGATATTGGTGAACCGCAAACGTTTCTGCCTGATCGTTCTTCTAGAAGTTTTGTCTCAGAGGAGCACCTGGCCGTGTGAGGTGTCAGTTCACCCCGTAGGGGATGCCTCCCAGTTAGGCTACTCGGGTGTCAGGGACCCACTTGAGGAGGCAGTCTGCCCAGTGCTTGTAAAATTTTTCAATTGCCAGTTTCTTAATTGGATTACTGGCTTCAGGGTGGAGCCCTTGGAGGAACAGGGCCAGGAAAGCATGCATTTCTAGGGCCAAATAAGCAGCTGAAGGCAAAGACAGTTCCCCAAAATTAAGGGTGCCATTTTATACTGGATCCTGGATCCCCAAAAGGAGGGAAAGACTATGGGAGAAGATAGTGCAATGCTTCTACCCTGCATTTCAGCATTTCATTGCAAGGCAACCCAAAGCCAATCAGCCCATTTTGTAATCACCCCATCTCTCATGAGGGAGTCTCATCTCCCATTTGGGGATGAGGATGTTTCCTTGTCTTCCAGGTGGCCACGAGCCTGCTTCTCTGATCCAAGTGTGCTAAGAGTCAAGTATCCCTCCCTAACTACTGTTAGCCATCCCTTAAAGTGTATTTCCTACCTAGTTATAATGTGAAGTAATTTGATACCCCCAAAACTCAAAACCTTCAGATAACACAATGCAAAACAGAACACAGCCTTTGATTTTGAGAGGGATTTATCTGCTTTTAATTCCTTGGGTTTCATGAGGAAAACAGAGGGGTTTTTTTTTTCCCCAAAATGGGGCCTGTGGCACCTCCTCTGTTTTCCCAATGAGTCCGAGGCTACCGGAAGTTATCTTAGGGCCTCTCCTGTGTGCATTAAGTGTGGCAAGACAAAAAAAAGAAAAAAAAGAAAAAAAAGGAGAAAAATAATTCAGTCAATTGAGAAGAAAAAACCTTTTTCCAGAAAAACAAGTTCCAAGAAGAGAAAAACATAAAGGCCTTTTAAATATATCTGTAGCTTGTTTATCCACTTTTAATTAAGCTGATTTTTAATCATAGTGCTCTCTAAAAAAGAAATCCTTTCAAATCTCTTATTACCTGACTTTATCCATGCCAAGTGGCCAATATTTCTAGCTTCTAAACTTTATGAAAGGTAACCTCCTAGGTGCTTCAAAGGCATGGTAAGCAGTTTCTTTTTTTATAGGAGTTAGAAGCTCTACAAGATAGTTCAGAGAAAGGAAAATTAAAGAGAGGAAATCAGAAGATAACCATGGGTGGGGGGAGGGGGAGACTCAATAAATGGCAAAGTTACACAAATAACAAACCAGAAAGGAATCATTCCAGAAGCCAACAATTGAACCTAGGCCACCACTGTCAGAAGATAAAGCCTTAGCTACTGAGCTGTACAGCATTGAGCAGTTTCTATTGCTTTTCCCAGAAGGAGCCTAGAGAAGCCAGTTTCAAGCTTTCAAGGCTTTAACTGCTCACAAAAAATTTTTAGGACTAACTATGACAAGAACCCCCAAATTCCTGTCCTCTGGATGGTGGAAATCAAAAGAAAGTATTCCCACATGGTCACTAAGTTAAGCTGTTAAGGACACAAAACAAGACAGAGAAATTTCCTACAGTATTGGTTTCAGGGACCCATAGCAAAGTTTGTAACTGACCAGCCTGCCAGGCTGGCTTGAAAAGCAGGGTTATAGGGGTCCTAAACCCACATGCTATCCTGTGATACCCCTGTCTCCATTACAGAACACAGAAAGACAAATTCTTATTACAAAGTACACCAGATTTGCTACAGCCTAAGACTAGTCTCACAAATCCTTTTTTCTATTAATCAAACCCTTGCAGAGGACACCAGTAGTTTACTGTTTTACTCAAACAGAGAAAGAGAGAGCAAGCAGAAACTTGGCTGGTAAGAATTTCTTACCCTTTTTGCTGGCATACCAGGTTTCTAGGTTCCCTTTCTCTGCAGTTTCCAGAAGAACCGAGTGGCTTCTGGCGACCCTGCTCACTTGTGCTATAGCTGGGGATTCAAGCCACTTTACAAGAGAAAATTACCCTTTACTGTCTTACAGAACCATAGGCAAGGTTCTTAATTTGCAAGATGCTGCCCAATGGGCTGCATGGGAAACTGAATTAACATTTTCCGTTCCAGCAAAACACACATAACAAAACAGACATTACTTACCTTGTTCAGCACCCACTATCAGCCTGGCAAAGCTCAAACTTTTTCCCATTGGTCCCTGTCATCTTTGATCTACTCTATGTGGGGACAGATGACCTCTGAAGGGTAATTCATATTGGGGTCTCTGGGAAAGGCAAAGAGCAGACAGGCACTCCGAGACAGGCCTGTTAAGCCCTCTTTAGGGTTCATTGAATGTGACCAGACGAATAAGGAGGGTTCTCTGAGTTAGGCCTGCTGGACTTCCATCAGCAACCCCTCTGAGATCCCTTCCACATATGCAAACACACACAAAGATGAGACAGACAGAAGGCCTTCCAAATCAGATCCCTAACCAAGAGCTCCAAGAATATCCCTTATTCCAAACTATCCTCCTATTCTCCGTCTGAGAAACCGCCTCAAAATCTTTCTGATTGAGAAGTCTCCAAAGCCAGGACTCTTCCTACTAGTTAGAAAGAGCCAACTGAGACCCCCAGGAGCCGAACAGACACCCTGCAATGAGGCTACAGGTATCCCATGGTAGAGCTACAAAGAGACACCCCACAATGGAGCTACAGACACCCCATCATAGGGCTACAGACACCCCACCATAGGGCTACAGAACCAGTCGGGAGAAGGAAGGTGGCCTTGGCAGCAATACTCACCAATCCAGACACCCCTCAATGGGGCTACAGACAGATATCCTGTGATGGGGTACAGTTAAGGGACATCTCAGGACTATTTCTCCATTGCAATTAAATCCATGCACATTGGGTCGGCAGTGCCCCACCAGTAGAGAGAGTACCAGAGTCAGTCCCCAGCCCAAGAGAACTAGGCGACTGCTTGGGTTGGCTTCTGGATCCATCCATAAAAGGGGTGCCACCGAACCACAGGCATGTAGCCACAAGGGCAATCCCAGACAAGCCCTTAAATTTGTAACCACCCGAGGGGTTCGCCTTGCCCGCTGCCTAGACAGAGCCGATTATTCAAGACAGGGAAATTGCAACAGAGAAAGAGAAATTCATGCAGATCCTGCTGCACAGGAGACTGGAGTTTTATTATTACTCAAATCAGTCTCCCTGAGCATCTGGGGAGCAGAGTTTTTTGTTGTTGTTTGTTTGTTTGTTTTGAGATGGTGTCTCGCTCTGTCACCCAGGCTGGAGTGCAGTGGCGCCATCTCAGCTCACTGCAAGCTCCGCTTCCCAGGTTCACGCCATTCTCCTGCCTCAGCCTCCCGAGTAGCTGGGACTACAGGCGCCCACCACCATACGCAGCTAATTTTTTGTATTTTTAGTAGAGACGGGGTTTCACCTTGTTAGCCAGGATGGTCTCGATCTCCTGACCTCGTGATCTGCTTGCCTTGGCCTCCCAAAGTGCTGGGATTACGGTCATGAACCACTGCAACCAGCCCAGAGTTTTTAAGGATAGCTTGGTGGGTAGAGGGAAACCAGTGAGCCAGGAGTGCTGATTGGTCAGAGATGAAATCACAGGAAGTCAGAGCTGTCTTCTTGTGCTGAGTCAGTTCCTGGGTGGGGGCCACAAGATCAATGAGCCAGTTTATTGATCTGGGTGGGGCCAGCTGGTCCATCAAGTGCAGGGTCTGCAAAATATCTCAAGCACTGATCTTAAGAGCAGTTTAGGGAGGGTCAGAAACTTGTAGCCTCCAGCTGTATGACTCCTAAACCATAATTTCTAATCTTGTGGCTAATGTTAGTTCTACAAAGGCAATCTAGTCCCTGGCCGTCCCCATAGGTGACCAACCATGCTAGTCCTTCTCTAGCAAGAAGGAGGTCTGCTTTGGGAAAGGGCTGTTATCGTCTTTGTTTAAACTATAGACTATAAGCTAAGTTTCTCCCAAAGTTAGTTCAGCCTACACCCAGGAATGAACAAGGACAGCCTGAAGGTTAGAAGCAAGATGGAGTCAGTTAAGTTAGATCTGTTTCACTGTCTCAGTCATAATTTTGCAAAGGCGATTTCCCTGACACATGTAAGAATTCCAAAAGTATTTCAGAGATTGAAAGACTTGTTTCTTATTCCTGTTCAAAGTACTTGTCACATGAAATACATTAAATCCAAGATTCTCTGATTCTCTCACTGTTGTAAAACACACACACAAACACACACACACACACACACACACACACACGCTTTGGTCTCCAGTGACTGGGGAGGAGTCGTTTGCTCTCACAGATTATTGTATTCTACACACAATTCTTCAATTAAATGAATGTTTAGAAGTCACAAACACTTTGGGAGGCTGAGGCGGGTGGATCACAAGGTCAGGAGATCAAGACCATCCTGGCTAACATGGTGAAACCCCATCTCTACTAAAAATACAAAAAATTAGCCAGGCATGGTGGCGGGCGCCTGTAGTCCCAGCTACTCGGGAGACTGAGGCAGGAGAATGGCGTGAACACAGGAGGCAGAGCTTGCAGTGAGCCGAGATTGCACCACTGCACTCCAGCCTGGGGAACAAAGCGAGACTCCGTCTCAAAAAAAAAAAAAAAAGGAAGTCACAAACAACACAGAATCCTGCACAAACTTGGTCTCAGTTTTCAACCAATCCCTACCCTCACTCGCGAGATGAGAAAACAAAAGAAATCAGCCTGCCTTTTTTTATTCCTTGGGCTAAATTGTTACATACTCTGCAAGGAAATGAGCATAGATATTTCCAAGACTAAACCATCATACCCAAGCAGTCAGTAATAAATATGATGAATGCCTAAATAAATTATGGCTAGAGTTGGTAAAGTAATTCTTCACCATCAGATGATTCCTGTAAAAAGCACTAAAGTGTCAATCTACATGAAGCCCCCGGCCCTGTTTCAAGTTATCTGTTAATTACACATCCCTCATTTATCCAGTGACTCTGCTATTATGGTAAGTGTCGGATTCATTTTATCCCATTGCTCAATAGATTTTAATTGCAGCTGCTGCAGCAGACACCTTGAGATACATTTCCTATTGAGACCGTGGCAGCCTGCTAGACTGGCCCAATGATGATTAATTTCAATGACTTGAATCACTGAGAAGAAGGGAAGCCACTTCCATTTTAATTACATCTACAAGAGTGCAGCACTTTTATACCAGTTCATTGTCCTTAAACAAAAGAATACCTGAAAGGAAAACAAAATTCAGGGTATGGTGGTCTCTATTTGTACTGATCTCCTTTTTTCAGTTCATTGCACCACAACTCAGTCAGCTCTGTATTGGGAAATATTGGCAAGCCATTGGGATTTGCACACAGATTAGAAACCATGAAGAAAGCGTCATTCAGCTTGTTTTTGTTTATCTTACTTGGGCAATTAGAATCCATTGAGCGGGTTAAGATATGACACAGCATTTTGCCATCATCGCAGATGTTCCACATAAAAGGGTCAAGAATAATTAACTCTGACATGCATATGTATTTATTTATTGTTCCAGGGAGACAGAGCCAAAGACATTCTTGGGATTTTACAGAACACTCCATACTCATTCATACCCTTGGATGCTGGCACATGCTAGTCCCTTCTCTTCCCCATCCATTTGGATAAAATTTTCCAGCAAAGGCCAGCTCAATTGTCATTTCCTCTGTCCTGCCTTGAGATAGGGGTGGAGTGAGGGTGGGGGTTGAAAGAGCAGAGGCCTTGGATGAGACATATCTGACTGGGACTGCCAGTGCTGTGTGACCTTGAGCAAGTTACTTAGGCTCTCTGAGCCACAGTTTCCTCATCTAAATGAAGAAAAATTAACATTCTCCTATGTTATTATCATGTGGATTAAATGAGATACTTTCTAGAAAGCACCCAGATTGATGCCTGGTCATAAAAGGGTGTGATGGGTATAAGTCTACTTTCCTCTTCTGCACTTCTCGCAGTAGCACTTAAAAAAAAAAATCTCCTTTATGATGCTAATTGATCAGCAAGCCAGAAAACAGGAATTTAGGCTCTGTCCTTTCCTCCTTCCCCTCCCCGCGTAAAAAGATGATGAAATGTATTTGTCTCTACTTCCTATTTCAGATTCATTCTCTTCTCTTCGTCCTCACTGCTAACTACCTTGATTCACACCTGGTTTCTTCATCCCTCACCTGAATTAATGCAGAAGACTCTTTACAGATCCCCACACCTCCCATCTGACCCTTCTATTGCATCTTCCATGAGGCTTGCACAGTGATCTTCCCTGCCCCTCCCCATAGGTGACCAACCATCCCAGTTTGTCCAGGACAGCAGGGGTTCCCAGGATGTGAGACTTTTCAGTTTTAAAATCAGGACATTCCCAGGCAAACCAAGATGAGTTAGTCACCCTGCATCCCTTAGTTAAAATCTCTCAACAGTTTCTCAAAGATTCCAAGATAAACTTAAATTTGTCAGTGTAATACACAAAACTGTTTGTAATCTAGCCCTTCCTCTCTACCTTCATCTTCATCATGCCTCCGTATTTCCTGCACAAACACACACACCCTTTGCTTTGGCAATACTGGGCTCCTAGAACTTCCTCCGCAGATATTTCATGCTCTTTCTTGACTCCTTCTTTGTCTTTGCCCTTGCAGTTCCTTCCACTTGCAATGCCCATTCCCCTACTCCTTTCATCGGCTAGCTCCTTCAGATCCTGATGCATCATCTCCACTAATAAGTCACCCCTGAGAGTCTAACGTAGAAGCTCCTCTACTGTGACTTCTATCGCACCCTGTTTTAAACTCTGACCTGACATATCTTATGCTTCACTGTGATTATGATCTGCCTGCCCTAATAGACTGGGCAGTTCCTGAGGACAGGGACTATGCCTTCTTTAAGTCAGGGAGTTGACGCATGTCTGTGCTCATTATTGGCTGGACGAACAAATAAGTTGTATATATTTGCCTTCTCACCTCCACTACTAAGTGACCTCCTCAAAGGCAGAAAGGACACATCTTGATTTTCTTTGATCTCTTGATTTTCTCCCCCAGCACCTGGTCCACAGCAGGGCTTAATTAAATGTTTTGAATATATGAATGAATGAATAAATACATCTTTCTTTAGATATGAGCCTAGCTTTCCTGGTGAAATAAACTTCCCTTCAGTTTGTTCACTACCCCCTGCCCCAGCTGGCTGTGTGCCCTAGACAAGGAACTAGTTGTCAGAACTAAACATGGCCCCACACTGTCCCTCAAGTGGCCATCAGCCCGAAGACACTGGGGTCAGGACCTCTCCTATAGGCATGAACTCCAGAAGGAAAAAGATTTCTGTCCAAAGGCTGATTTCAGTCAAATCTAATAAAATTTTCAACTAGATTCCTTACACAATTAAATATAAAGACCACTAGCATATGGGGAGGAAAGCTACACCAGATGGCTTTCCCACTACAAAGAGATGAAATATATGTCATTTCCACTTCCATAGTGGTTTAGTCTTCTTGGAGCTCAGCATTAAACAGCTGGGAGCCCTTTCTGACAGCTGGGAGCCCTTTCTGACAGTGCAGATTCCACTGCTGATGGCAGGAAGTCAGTATCAGGCAGCATCCATCCATTTTCTCCAACTACCTTTCCAGCCAACCACCTATGACTTTCTCTCCTACAAAAGTTTTATGACAAGTTAAGTAGAAAGCTTAGCAATGAATAAGACCTCAAGGGATTTGGCAGGATGGAGAAAATGAGGAAAGTTTGGAATAACATTGATTGTTCCTGGGAATAAATGTAAAGTGGAAAAAGGTCTAAGGGCATTGTGGTCGCACAGACCAGGGATCAAAGCCTCACTCTTCCATGTAGAAGCCACCTGACCCCAGTTCACTGGGCCTGGGCTTCAGTTTTCTAATCTCAACAGGGAGAAGAATGACAAGACCTAGTTGGCACAGAGTATGTTCAGTACATTTTAGCTCTCTTCCCCTCTCTTGACTCCTATTGTATTTGCTAAAATGACACTTCTGGTCTGAAATGGATTTTTTCTTTTCCTCATGTGTGGGTTTTTTGTTTTTTGTTTTTAGTAATGATAACGCCCATAAATATTGTTTTAAATGAAATCAGATTTAGATATGCATTTTTAAATTACTTACTTTTGAATAGAAGGACAAGACTATGCTGAACAGAATAAAATTAGAATTGTCAAGGGGTACCTGGGAAATGTGACAGCTCTATCCATGAGGCAACCATGACAGCTAAAAAAATTGGTAACTTGTAATTGGCTTTGGGTCTCCAGTATATTCTGCTGTGAGTCTCACATTTGCTCTCCTAAGTCTCCCAAATGGAGAGGGGTCTCTAACACTCTTAAGCTCCCTGATATACCCCTTGATACCTGTCCCTGAGACTACTTGTTTCCATACACTATTGTTCCTGATATTCATTCACCTCCAAGTCCACTCATCTTTTAAAATCACATTTGAATAGGCATGTGTGAGAGAGGCTAACACACCTGTAAGTCAAAATCCCATGGCGCGCTGTAGAAGACATCCCAGTAAGGCTAAATGAGCAAGGGTTTCAGAATCAGAGGCCTAAATTCTAACCTTGGCCCCTTCATCTTTGTACAAGAGCAGCGCTTATGTCTGTGGGCTGTTATATAAAATCTACAAATACCTGTCATTCAGTCCAGTTTCCCATTCAATGAGAAGCCCCTTTCATCACATTCCTAGCAGATAGTCACCCCATCTCTGCTTCAGTTCCTCCAGTGACAGAGACCTCCCTTTTCTGAACTGCCATATAAGTTTGTGCAATTTGGGTATTGCACAAAAGCACCAACCTGAAGAGGCAAATGGGAGCTAAAATCGAGTCCCCATTCTGCATGTAAAGCTTGTTGCCTAAAAGGGATGCCTTTTTCTTATTTGACGGTCCATAAAAGGCTCCTTTTTCTAACCTCACAAAGGCACCATATAGACTATCAGTGACCCTGCCAGGTCAACACACTCCAGCGCTCACTGAAAAATAGAAGGAACTTCAACCTCTGCCATGAAGGATGTTGTTTCAGATGCCAAGTGGACAATGAGACTGTGTCCTTTGGCTCCTCTTAGCAAGGGCCACGACCCCAAATGAGCCCAGGTGTTGAGAGACCAGCAATTAGTTGCCGTCCAAGCTAGTGTCTCTGCAAGAGAAGAATATAACAAAATAAATAAAGACCTGCAGCAGCACACCATGCTTGATCATTTATCAAATTGCAAAATCTTATCCATGACTGTGAAATGGCTTTATAGTTAGGAAAATGTACTAATAATGTTATTAGGCAGCAATTAAACTTAAATTCCTTTTAACTGTATTTGATGTCATTCTTTTTCTGGGCCCATTAGACTAACATTAAGGTGTTTGTGCAGATAGCTCAGTCATTTCAAATTACTTTCTTGTCTAATGTGGGAGCCTTTAATAGCATACTCTTAGGTTGAATTCAATTTTGGAGACACCAGGCATGCTAATTAGATTGTCTCAGTGTTCCTTGCAGAAGAAGCCAAAGAAGAGCTATTTTTCTCCCTCTTCTGCTTAGCAATGTTCATGGAACACAACTTTCTGTGCAATTAGAGGTATAGACCCTTTACCACACAAAATCTCACTTGAACCGTAAGTATTGCTAGCAGACACAATGTCTGGTTAATATGCCACCATTGTTGAAATGTTTTTAAGTTCTCATTAGAGCCAGTAAGTTTTCTCCCCTATTATTCTGAGTATCGTAGCCAGTGTTTGTTCTGTCTCAGCATGTTAGAGTTGGAAGAGAGGGAGAAATAAGTGAACATTTATTAGGCACCTACCATCTGCCAAGTTCTGGGTGAGATGTTTAATGCCTCCAACAGCCCTGTGAGCTGTGGGTCATTATCTCCATTTACAGATGGGGAAACTTTGACTCAGAGAGGGTAAGTAAAGTGCCCAAGGTCTCACAGCTGGCAGGTTATGGAGTTGGGATTTAAACAGATCTGACTCTAAAGATATGGTCTTCCCCTTCTCTTAGCTCCTCTGCTTACTGGTTTGGAAACTTAGAAAGTCACTTTAACATCTTGATCATCAAGATCACATCTATAAAATATGATAATAATATTCACCCCCTCACAGTACATTGTATTTATCAAATATAGTAATAAACGTAAATGGCCCTTGGAGAAAGTGAAATGCTATACATATGTTGATGAAAAGCAACTCCTGAGGGACCTTAGTTTCCCCAGGCTGATATATGGATCAGATGGGATAGTATTATGTCAAACATCCAGCCCACGGCCCAGAACTCAAACATTCAACCGAACAATAATTTCATCATCATTTCAACCAGCCTTAGTCCCTGGAAGCCTTCCAACTATGTAATCTCTGCTCATTTACAGATTCCCTTTTCTAAGTCTCCTTTTTCATTGATCTATTAACATAAATTCTTTCTTCAAGTAGTCATTGCACTTGGCATTGATCTACTAACTTATAGCTATTACAATCATGATTGCAATTACCATTTGGCTCCCTGCAATGCTATCATCATTTTCTCTTGGTTACCATGATAAATCTTACTAATAACTCCTGCCTCAGATCCTTTGTGGAATGAGGCAAGAGATTAATTTATTAATTGATGGATTAATGACTCATAACAGTTACAGTCATCATTAATTGCTATTACCTCTGAAGCATCAAATGGTTGAGGGGGAATAAGAGTAAGGCTAAGTGGAGTGTTTCTTCCTCTCAGAGGGCCAGCCTGGTAGAGAAGGTGAAAGCTGTCACCAGCCAGGCAGAGAAAGTAAATGTCACCTTGGGAGTATGAGTGTATTAAAACTGTTATGGCACAAACCACCGCTGTTCCAACCCATTCCTTTGTCTTCCCTGGCTCTGACTTGGCTTTCCCCATAACTACTGTGATTCTTTCAACATTAGACATCCAGCTCTGGGCTGCTGGCCCTTCCCTCATCCCAAGGTCATTCTCCACCCAGGAATTCCTGAGAGCCAGCCAGGCAAGATAAGAAAACAACAGGCCTATTTGCCCCTCCAGCCTTTGGGATCCCTGAAAGCTCTGGTGAGTGCAGCAAGTAGCTACAAACTTGTCACCCTGTCTTTGAGAGATCACTCATCCTTGAGCCCTCAGATTCCGTGGAACCCATGGAAGACCAGAGCTCAAAGTCAGAAGAAGGGTACACCATGAAGAACCCAAACTTTTCATCAGTCCACACTACCCCATCTCCATTCATACCCAGCTCTCCTGTGTAAGAAAGGTAACCCTTCCAGAGCCACATGAATCTCTTGTGCAACCCTCTTAGCCATGCAGCATTTCTGCTTAGATACAAGAGTGGTGCCAATGCAATGCACATGCTTTTGCTAAATTATTCCCATCAAGGAAACAGTATTATACATTCTGCTTATCACAGGGTCTACCTGTAATGACCCCCCACCATCAGCAAAGCCAATCATTTTCCCTTAAATATTATAGCTATTGTTCATTACTATTGGCTATAGAGTTTAGTTTGAAGGTTTGCCCATAGCATATCCCCCATCCTTTACCATCCAAGATCTATATGTATGAACTGTTTTTCCTCTATTTACTATCAACTTTGAATGTATGTGCCCCCCGCTCCTTTCTCCTAGAGAGCCTTTCTCATATAGACCTGACCTCTCTCATAACTCATCTATAGAATCTTGCAACCATTTTCCTGAAAAAACAATGGAAACAGACCAGGGGCTTGGTTCAGTGAAAATGTTAGTTAAACCTGAGTCTACATGGTAAAATGGATTATACATAGTTTACCAAACAGATGAAATGTATACACAGCTACCCCAAATAGCACACAGGCATCACTGCAGAGTAAAGTTGGGTTAATGATCAATCCCTCCAAAACAGGGCATTAGGAAAGCCCTTGGCCTAGGCCAGTTGAATGGATTTTTCTTGGGCTTCTCCAGACTCCTTTTGTCTTTGTGATGGTTCTGTAGTTTCTGCTGATTGACCTCTGAACCCAAGATGAGCAGCGCCCCTTCTCATCAGACTGGCCACTTCCTTATATCAGAACTGATCAGAACATTGCAAAGAGTTATTTAATATGCCCGTCTAACTGATCTGGCAAAGTGGAAGGAAGACTGGGCAACCTTTCAATGCCAGACTTTGCATTTGATCTCATAGTCAGTAAAGATTATTGAGCTGAGGAGTACATCTTGGTAATAACAATATGCATCTCCCTGAGTTGTCTGAGGATCAAATGAAATAATATATGCAAAATGAATTTGAAACCTATATAGGCCTGATGATTGTTATTATTTCTTTCTGAAGGAGTTCTTCCCCATTAGTGATTCCTGGCTTGTCTTTGGACTCCTCTTTCAGAAAAGCAAGCCAGACACATGTGACAAGTTAAACAGGCATAGAAGATATTTTTATCTGCTCAAGCCAACAACAGTAAATGCATCCAACACAGTGTGTGATTAATTGCCAAATGAATTGTGAAAAGAATAATTGCCAGAAGAGTTTGAACAAGGGAGGGCTCAGCTCTAACAAGTGGGCAAGGGAAGAAGGAGGATCAGGAGAGGCTGTATAGAAGAACAGAGATTTTGTTTTTGGTCTTGTGGGCCAGATAGGATTTGGATTGGCAGGGAGAGGACATTCCAGGGAAGATAAGTTATGTATGGTTGGGTGGACATGCTAGGGATTGGAGTGTTCAGGGAGCTGGGAGTGGGGGAGATGCATTTGATGTAGTGGGAAATTGTGAATGGTATTTTCTTTGACTCTGTACCTTTAACCATGCCCTACATAATTGTGCCACCCACTCCAACCAGCCTCTCCAATCCTGGCTGTCCCATTTATCCAACACTCACTCCTGCTTATGCTGTACCCACCCTTTGCCATCCTGGCTCATCTTCATACCTAATCTTGACTACATTTCCCATTTATATCCTTGTGCAGGGCCCTGTGAACTTGATTCAAATTTTTGACCTCAGAGGTTTCTTCCTCAATTCCCACTCAAGCCTACAGAAGTAAAGCTAACACTAAGCCAGATCTTCGTGTGAGATCTTGAAATCTTCTATCTCCTTAAAGTAATCCTGTGAAGTGAAATTTCTTTTACCCCCATTTTGCAGGAGAGGAAACTGAGGCTTGAGATGTTAATTGTGAGCACTGTGTATTATTAGTCCACTTTGCATTGCTATAAAGGAATACCTGAGACTGGGTAATTTATAAAGAAAAGATATTTATTTGGCTCATGGCTCTGCAGGCCATACGAGCACAGCACTGGCATCTGCTCGGCTTCCGGTGAGGTCTCAGGAAGCTTTTACTCATGACGGAAGGCAAGGGGGAGCAGGCATGTCACAAGATGAGAGAAGGGGCAAGAGAGATGCCAGGCTCTTTTAAACAACCAGCTGTCCTGTGAACTAATAAGGTGAGAACTCACTCATTACCTCAGGGAAGGCACTAAGCCATTTATGAGGGATCCACCTGCATGACCCAAACACCTCCCACCAGACCCAACTCCAACATTGAGGGTCACATTTCAACATGAGATTTGGAGGGGACAAATATCCAAACCATATCAGGGTGAGATTTGAACCCCAACCTGTCTGACCCCATAGCCTAACTCCCACCACTAGGCAGATGACAAAGCCTCTTATTGCCTTGGCCCACCATATTGGTTTTTTTCATCGTTAGTACCCTTGGATAGGATATTTTACTCTAGGCAACCCTTGGAACTTAGACCCTGCCTCATATTGCCATCCTGCCGCAAATCCTTGGGTAGCAAGGACATGTCATAGGTAGGAATTCTCAGTGCAGCAGTTAGTTTGGGGTCCTAAAAGACTTTATTTTCTTTTTGTTGTTGTTGTTTTTTGAGTCAGAGTCTCGATCTGTTGCCCGGGCTGGAGTGCAGTGGTGCAATCTCGGCACACTGCAACCTCCACCTCCCAGATTCAAGCAATTCTCCTGCCTCAGCCTCCTGAGTAGCTGAGATTACAGGAGTGTGCCACCATGCCCAGCTAACTTTTTTTTTTGTTTGAGATGGAGTTTCGCTCTTGTTGCCCAGGCCTGGAGTGTAATGGCGCAATCTCAGCTCACCACAACCTCCACCTTCTTGGGTTCAAGCAATTCTCCTGCCTCAGCCTCCTGAGTAGCTGGGATTACAGGCATGTGCCACCACGCCTGGCTAATTTTGTATTATTAGTAGAGACAGGGTTTTGCCATGTTGGTCAGACTGGTCTTGAACTTTCAACCTCAGGTGGTCTGCCTGCCTCAGCCTCCCAAAGTGCCAGGATTACAGGCCACTGTGCTTGGCCAATTTTTGTATTTTTAGCAGACGGGGTTTCAGCATGTTGGCCACGCTGGTCTCAAACTCCTGACCTCAGGTGACCCACCCACCTCAGTATCCCAAAGTGCTGGGATTACAGGTCTGAGCCACTGTGCCCGGCCCGTAAAAGACTTTCAACACCAGCATTTATATTTGATTCTATTGACAGTGCAAGCCAGTGAAGGTTTTAAGATGGTTATAAACATGAGGATAACATGATCAAATGCCATATTTTCAGAAGATAAGTCCTGGACACAGTCCAGGACTATCCTGCCTCTTCCCTCCTATACAATGAAGAGGTGGCAGGAAGACACAATTTGCACCCTATTTTGTGGTTTAAGTTAAGGTTATAAGAGTCTGAATTAGGTAGTGGTGGTAGAAATGGACAGAATATGATAATAAGTAATTGACTCATTTTACTCTGAAATAAATGTATTTCTTCTGAAAATAAACTTTCTCACCAATAGCATCATCTGGAAAGAATAAGCTCATAGCTTCATAACTCTCGGGGACCCAGGATGTATCTCAGGTGTATCATTGTTCCTTGGTTCATATTCTTGAAACTTTTGGCAACAGCATGATGTGGAGGGAAGCTTAGGGGGTTGAAGTCAGGCCCGCTTTCTAGTAGTGACTCTGCCACTCAACTAACCATGTGACCTTGGGAAAGTCCTTAATCTCTCTGAGCCTGTCTTCTCATCTGTAAAATGGGGTTAATGTCTGTCACACAGGGTAGTTGTGAGGCTTAAATACAACAGAAGATAGAAAAGCTATGATGAGCACAGAATAAATGTCAGTTTTTATACTATCTTTTCTTAGCCAAACATCTCATTAAAAGCCCTGAGTAATCACCCTTAAAGTCATGTTTGAAAGAAAAGTGATTGGGTTTAACCAACCTTTTAGAAAGAAATTTGGCTTTCCAAATGTTTTCCACTGTGTATTAAGACACATAAAAATGTTCATATCTTTTGACCCAGTTGTTCCACTTCTCAGAATCTATTGTTAGGAAATTGTCCTCAATACAGAAAGAGTGGAATGCACAAAGAGGTTCAATGCACAGATGGCTACAATAGTGAAAAATCAGAAGCAATTTGAATGTCCAGAAGCCAATGATTGCAGAGTCCCACTGCAGTCTGCTGATACTTTAAACATGCTTTAAATCAGTATAAAATACACAGCTCAAAACAATATGAAAACGGGCAAAGTAAATCAAGGATCAAACATTCTTTTCTTCGATTCATCACCTCCCACCTCTGATGTCCAACCCCACTCTTCTGCAGGGCTTCCCTGTGTGGCCCATATACCAACAATTCTCTTTTTCTGCCATCTGGGTACTACCAGGGCTCATTTGCACAGCATTAAGCTTCCCACCCAGCTGCCTAAGCCCCCTCGGAGGCAAATCTCAGCTCTTTCCCCTGCAGACACAGAGGTTCTCTCCAAGCTTGGCAGTTTTTTGGCACAGCTCTCTCTCTGTCTCCCAAGGCTTCCTTGCTCTGGCCCCACCCCATATCCCTATTACCTTCCCACTTCCAACTTCTTTCCCGATTGTCTCCAACGCAGTTCGCTGTGCCCTTCTAAGTTAGAGAAAGTATTTTCTCAGGTGTCCAAAATTTGTTCATCTACATAAACTTAAGGAAGAGGGAAAAAAGATAGATTTTGATGTCAAAGTTTATTTAGAAGCCAGTTTACACTCAGTCTCCAAGTCTTTCAGTCTTGACTGCTTCGTGGAATCCCTCAAGAGAAGACTAAAATGTTATTAAACTACATCATTTCAAAGCTGGAATTCATGAAGTTAGAAACACAGACAGTTAGCTGGTCAAAAATAAAAATAAAAATCACATAAAGTCATGTGGTGCTACCTGTATTTTGTAAGCGGGCACTTCCTCTTTTGGTAACTCCTTGAATGAAGAGCATTTGGTTTCTCTTGAGTTTGTATAATTATATGCATTGTGCAATTTCTTAGCTTTGGCAGGCGCTGGGTAGCATTTGGCTTCAGCACTTTCAACTCTAAGGACAATTTCACAATTGGGCTTTTCCTGTCAGCTCCAACATCTGGACCCAGGGGAGACTGGGTCCACCATGCGATGAAACCCTATGTGAACTTCCTCAGCCAAGCAAGAACAAGCTGTACAAGGGCAGGTCCTTCCCTCACTCCAGGAGCCTGAAAGCAGGTCTTTCACTGTGGCTGCCAGGTTATGGCCATTTTTTAAAAGAAAATAAGCTGATCATTTTTTAAAATGCTGCTTTACTGGTTGAACAATAATCACTATTTCAAATCAATATTTATTCAGCACCTACTGCATGCCATGAGTTCCACCCTGTGTGCTGGAATACAGAGACAGCTCCTGCTAATCCATCCTGCCTCTTCTATCTTCCTTCTTCTTTCCTCCTTCTTCCTTCCTTCCTTCCTTCTTTACTTCCTTCCTTCTTTAGTTCCTTCCTTCCATCCTTCTTCCTTCCTCCTTCCTTCCTTCTTTACTTCCTTCCTTCTTTGGTTCCTTTCTTCCATCCTTCTTCCTTCCTCCTTCCTCCCTTGCTTCTTTTCTTTTCTTTTTCTTTTTCTTTTTTTTTTTTTTGAGACAGAGTCTTGCTCTGTCACCCAGGCTAGAGTGCAGTGGCATGATCTCGGCTCACTGCAACCTCCACCTCCCAGATTCAAGTGATTCTCCTGCCTCAGTGCCCCGAGTAGCTAGGATTAAAGGGGCCCGCCACCGTGCCCAGCTGATTTTTGTATTTTTAGTAGAGGTGGGGTTTCACCACCTTGACCAGGCTGTTCTGGAACTCCTGACCTCATGATCTACCCACCTCGGCCTCCCAAAGTGCTGGGATTACAGGCATGAGCCACCACGCCCAGCTTCCTTTCTTAAATATTGTTTAAATAATGCTGAAAACAAAAAAGAAAAAAGCACTTACAATCCCATCACTTGGTATATAAAGAATAAAAAAGAGCATTGTTCTAAAGCTTATTTAGAAGCCCATTTACACTTAGACCTCAAGTCTTTTAGCCTTGAATACTTTGTGAAGTTCCTCAAAAGAAGAGTGAAATGTTATTTTAAACCACATCATTTAAAAAATACATTGCTCATCCTACCCTCTCTGAGTCCGCTGCTGCCTCTGGTGGCCTGGGGCAGGGAATCCAATGCCTGCCCCAACTGGCCACGGCAGTGATGGAAGGTGGACCAATGAGAACTAGTCTCTGCCTAGGAAGCACTCGTAGGTTATGTTATATACAAAGGATGATGCCTTCACAGTTTAAACTCTCCCCTTAATTTATAACCTTGTGCTGAGCTTTCTGCCTCTCCCACAGATCTTCCAGTCCCACCTCCTCTCAAGTAGAACTCCTTAAATGTAGAGTTGTTTCCTTCTTCCTTCCCCACACACTTAAAACAGGCAGGCACATTTTGTTCTTCATGAACGTTCAGGACCCGCACACTGTGAAACAATGAGTGAAAGGAGTAGACAGCACGGACTCTGACTTCCTGGCTCTAGAAAATTCCTTCCAGAGTAAGTTTGCATGCAGTTCACTGTTGCACACAGTCCTGGGCCAAAGGATCCCAAATGAAAGCAAAAACCCATCAAGAGAATTGTGATTTAAAAGTTAAGAAAACAGCCTGTGCATATTTTTAGAACAGCCCAGAAAAGAATACATCTGTGACTTGAAACAGCTGGAAATCTACTTTCTGCCAAAATTATGCTGATTATGAAAGCTGTAATGGTCAGACAAGAGACAGTCAGAATCCAAGGAGTCCTGTATTTTCATGTATTCAACTTTCAAATAATCTTTACTTTCATACATTAAACATTGACCCCTCTACACTGCCTTTCAAACACCAAATGCCAGCCAGCCATGAAGTTTTTACAGCCATGTTTGTATAATTGAGGATTTTATTGTATTTTGCCCTTATCAGTTTAGTAGTAAGAATGATCAACCAAAAGAACAAAAGTAATCAGAAGCGTGGGTTTTATAAACTCATAATATACTTCAGAAAATAAAGAAAATTATGAGGCATCCTGAAAACAGAATAACATTAGCCCTGGATAGTCATTGGGTTACACCAGTCAACCATGTGTTCAATTCTGAAGGAAAACAAAATTTTAAAATATGTGTGAAATGTTAAAAATATTGGTAACAACTTATGGCTAAAAGACAAGGTATCATTAGGGATATATATATATATATATATATATTAGGATTACTGAAAATGAAGTCTTCTCCTACTTGGCACTCTGCTAGGGTATGTCTGTCATTCACTGTTATGTCCTCAGTGCCTTGCACATAATAGATGCTCCATAAATATTTGTTGAATAAATGAATAAGTCATTTGTAGCTTTGACATTTTAAAGAATTTATTATGCATAAAAGTAGAGATATATTTGCCTGTCTCTAAATATAGAAAGAGAAGTAGAAAAAGGATTTCTGAAGCTGCCCCGTCAATGTGCGTAGAGATGGATCAATCTCTTACAGGGGTACAAAAGGTGAATTTAAGCAGAAAGGGTGACAGTGAGCTGTTTGTCAGACTATTGTCCAAATGCCCTCCCTCACGGTACACCCTCCTCCAAGCCACACATACCCCTGACTGAAATCAGGCAAAAAAACAGACCTGGTAAGGCCAGGACAAAGACAAGGCTTAGGAGTGAGGTGCCCCACCCCCCGCCCCCATCACAGGATGCAACGTCTGGAAAGAGGTGGGACAGGAAGTTGTGCCCGGGGGAGAACATCAAATTCTAGTCCAATATAGTCCAAACTGAGGAATAAAATGAAAATGTACAACCAAGGTAAAGAACCAAACCAGAGATGCTGGTGAGTGAAGAGCATTCAAATGGACATTTCTAGAGGAATTCTCGGGGTAGAGTGCAGGCATCCAAACTGGTGTTTCCCACCAACTTGCTGTGTGCATTTGAAGAAACCAGAGCAGAATGCATGCAGCTCCTATGCAAAAGACGGATAAATTACAACACAGAAAAGACAGTCTAAACTCGTGCACCAGCAGAGCAAGTCTCTGATGTATTTGCTCCAAAATGTAAATGATGAAGCCAAATATTGGACACAGTTGAGATCAGGCACTGGAAAATTATTTCAATGGTGCCAAGGCCACACGCATGGAGGAAAAGCAGTGTCAGCAGCAAGTGTGGTGAGAAACAGGGTAAAAGCAGGATGGTCCTGAGATTCTAAGATCAGAACCAGGAAGTGTTGGCAGGAAGGCCTGGGAGATGATCAGAACAGTTCTCCCTCCAGAGAGGACCCAAGCCTCACTCGCACTGCCACGCCACCCCAATCTTGAAGGTACCCCATGCCGAACCTCATCACTGACAGCTTGTGAAGGTGTATAACGCCCAGGAGGAGTTGTGGTAAACGTATGCACACATATATATAAATATCATCTTGCTCCAAGGTTTTTGAGGATGGTGAGCTCTGCTTGTCACAAAGGTAACAGGGGTGGTCATTGGTTTCACTTTATGTGACCTTAAAGTGCATTTTAAGTGAACTCACATTCAATGTCACTTTGTGGGATGCTTGGGGAAGAGGGTCTCCTTTAGTGTCCAGTCTTCTGAGGCTCTGCCTTTTCCCTCTCTGGCCCTCCTCAGACAAGCAGAGCTGAGACTCTGCCTTCAAAGCTCGGGTATTGCCTGGAATCCCTGAGGCAGTGCTAGCTGGGGAATCCAGTCAGCTAACACATGCCTCTCAGACAGTCTATACTCTCTCCTCTGACATCCAGGAGGGCTCATGGCAGGGCCACACGGTGAGACCTTGCCCATCACACAGCCATTACAGAGGATTCCCACAGAGCCTTTTGACAGTGGTGGCCACTCATGGCTTTCAGAGTATGCTGCTTCCCTGAGGAGCTCACCAAGGGCTGTGATACTCTCAGAAGTGCCTCTGAAAGGCAGCAGTTTACAGAAGGACCCCTGCTGAGCCCCTGGTGAAGCTGAGCTGCTGCACAGCTTGCCCAAGGAACACGTTTTAGAAATATCTTCAGATCCACTGGGACTGCCAGAGGCTCCTCATCCTGTGCCCAGCACAGGCCAGTGGTTCTAGCCCTTTTGGTTCAGGATAAAACTTCACCCTTCCTAGGTTTTTGTCTTTCCACTCATCCCTCACTGGTGAGGTAAAATATGCCTATTAAATCTTCCCATTGGTGTGCGAGAGTCAATATTTAGGGTACTTGACAAAAGCTCTAGATTCCTCTTCCTCTGAGTCCTTACACAGCATACACCTATGGGCATGGAATTGAATAATCTGCCAGTCCTCCATTTCCTTCAGCTCCCTAAACAGCAAATACAAACTGAACTTCATTAGCAACTCCAACTTGAATGGCAAATGCCAGCCACTGGGTCAGCTCAAAGCTCAAGGATAAATTTCAGTGGTGAAACATCCACAGAAAACCCTCAAGTGGGAGAATGCTAAGAAACAGTGGGAAAGAACTAATGGGAATCTAGGCCTACTTCACACACACACACACACACACACACACACACACACACACGGACTGCCTGCGTGGCTGGTACAATAAAAGTGTGTATTTACACTCGCTCATCTATTTCATTACAAGGGACCAATCACAAAGACATTTATTTTGTCTTCTTTCCTGCTCTGGTAAGCTAATTACAAAGTAATTGAATTAGCTACAGAATAAATTAGTTGTTATCAAACTGCAAGTAAAGGGATTCTTCTAAAAATGATTTTAGGGTAAAACACTGGCTTGCACAATTATTCCAGGTTAGGAAATATTTTTAAAATTTATTTTATTAATATGTTTATTGTAGGAGGAAATCCTAAATTTAAAGGTAAACCTAAAGTAAATATTTATTCTACCTTTAATGAATGACAAAGAAAGGAAAGCATGGGTAAATTCTTGAAAATGCTAGAGGGGGCAGTCTACGTGAAATGTTTACATGATAATCTTTGTTGGTTGAAGTCACTGAAATATTGAAACGTCTTTAGTGGTGAGCAAGTGGGGTGGAATGGTGCTTACTCTACATAATGTTCGATTTAGCACCCTTACCACATGTAATTACTAAGTAGCCAGAAAGAATGTCTTTTTCAAAAGTACATACTCTGCCCTCTTAAAAATCTCAAAAATAGCATGTTTTCTTTTCAACTTCTAAATTACACTTCTATTAAATGCTATGCAGAGTTCAGAAAATGGCTGCCTCTGATCAATCTGGTGTGCAAAGCCCTTCATGAAGTCATATCCATTTGATCATAAATAAGCTCAAAGATACCTTGCAATAAAAGTGTCAGGCTTTCAGCTCTCTGGCAAAGTAGAAGTTATTTATACATTGAAAGGGTGTGGGATATTAATGGCAAAGACAAAAATGATTGGAAAAGGCCTGGAATCAAAGGACAAAAGCTGGAATTATTAAACACAATACAACATAATGCCACAATCAGAAACACTGTAATACCATGGAATTCTTACAGTGCCGGTCAAATTATGCCCATGAGCATAATACTTGAGACTTGAGGGTGAAATGTCAGGTCCTATACTTGGGCCTGGAAGCAACAGCACAATTACAAGATCAAATAACAGTATTGGGAATAAAAATAGTTTGCAGGTTTTAGTGGGCAGTGAACTCAGAGTTCATGGCATGCAGAGGCTGCAGAAAGGCCAATTTGAGGATGGACAGTCCTACAAGGCATAGTCTGGAAGCAGGGTTCTTAACTGGGGCTCTGTTGGTGGGGAGTGGATTTGGGAGTCACAGCCTCTATTGTCAGACATTTATTTCACAGTTTCATAGCAACATTGTCATGATTAGCTATGTACATATAACTTTGCAACCATCCTTAATGAATACCTAAGGATCATCCTAGAAGTGAAATTTCTGGGTCTGAGGGTGTATACATTCTTAGTGCTTTTAATACATACTACCATGTGCCTCTAGAAACATTTTCTGTTTCTAATAAGAGCAGTTGAAAATTCCTGTTTCCCCAGCTATCCACCATTTGCCTCATGATTTTCTCTAGGACTAAATTTTAAAGTAGAGTCTTTAAAGTAGAAGGGAGTCCAAATTCCATCCCTTTCATTTTATAGGAGAAAAAAAATTGAAGCCCATGAAGGATAGGCGATGTGTCCTCTAATACCAGAGCTTCTCAGGGGGAGAGAAGATGGGGGTGGCTATAGCTCCCTTCTCCTGGCCTTAGGCCTGATATAGAACAGGTGCATGGAAACGTCCAGCATAGAGAAATCTACAGAAACAGAAAGTAGATTAGTGGTTGCCTAGGCTTGTGGATGGGAGGGAAGATGGGGAGTGACAACTAACGAGTATGGATGGGTGTTTTGGTGGGGCCATTGAAAATGTTCTAAATCTATTGCGGTGATGTTTACACAACACTGTGACGATACTAAAAATTATTGAGTTACTTTAAAGAGGTAAATTGTATGTTATATAAAATATATCCCAATAAAGCTGCTATTTTAAAAAAAAATGTGCTCAGTAAACATTTGTAGAAGGACAGAATAGAGGGAGGAAAACAGATCAAACATCCTTGTTCCTTCATTTCCAACCAGTGGTCTTTCCACTTTCTCACTTTCACTGAAGTAGAACATGTCTAAAATTGTCCCCAGCTCAGTGCTGGGTTTCCCCTAGGTGTTTCCCTGTGTTTCAGGAATGTGTTTTTTTAGTAAACACTAACCTGCCTCTTCCAGAACTTTTGAGTAGAGAATTTTTTAAATCTGAGCTTCAGGCCAGGCATGGCAGCTCATGCCTGTAATCCCAGCCCTTTGGGAGGCTGAGGTGAGTGGATCACTTGAGATCAGGAGTTTGAGACCAGACTGGCCAACATGGCGAAACTCTGTCTCTACTAAAAATACAAAAATTAGCCAGATGTAGTGGTGCATGCCTTTAGTCCCAGCTACTTGGGAGGCTGAGGCAGGAGAATCTCTTGAACCCGGGAGGCTGGGGTTGCAGTGAACAGAGATGGCACCACTGCACTCTAATCTGGGTGACAGAGTGAGGCTCTGTCTCAAAAATAACTAAATAAAATCTGAGCTTCAGCCTTTTATATTTTCCTGAGAATCTAGCTCAGGGCTGGTCACAAAGTAGGCACTTGATAGATGCTTATTTACTGAAATACTGGTGAACTGTATGTACATTAAATATTAAGTAATAAGGCAGTAATATAGCATTATTTTCTAATATTGATGCCTAATTTCTCCAGCTGTCAGTTCAAGCTCTGTCAATTCAGTTGGCAGTTAACACTCTGGCATTTCAGAGATTCTGATCTCCCCCCTTACATTTCACTGTGCATAGTGAGTTGTTACGGGCCCCACTTTGCCCTCAGTGCCCGAAAGCACAGGACTAAATTTAAGGCTCAGAAGTATTGACTGCAGCATCTGGGGGGCAAATCTAGAATCCATGAAGCTTAAACTTTATTCACTTTGGAAGGAGGAAAGGTCCTCTTTAAAAATAAATAAATAAATAAATAAATAAATAAATAAACAAGTGGGGGCTGCGCATGGTGGCTCACGCCTGTAATCCCAGCACTTTGGGGCAGTATCACCTGAGGTCAGGAGATCAAGACCATTCTGGCTAATGCAGTGGAACCGCACCTCTACTAAATATACAAAAAAAAAAAAAAAAAATTAGCTGGGCATGGTGGCACGCACCTGTAGTCCCAGCTACTCGGGAGGCTGAGGCAGGAGAATCGCTTGAACCTGGAGGCAGAAGTTGCAGAGAGCTGAGATCACACCACTGCACTCCAGCCTGGGTGACAGAGCGAGACTTCCATCTCAATAAATAAACAAATAATAAAAATAAAAACACAAAATTATAAATGCTAAGTACAGCACCTTGGAAGGGGCCTGACCAAAGAAGCTTCCTCAGCTTCCTGATAAGTCTGCTTGTGGCTTTGTTCGTTTCTCTCTCCTTTTCATTGGATTTAATTTTGTTTTTATGTTTAAAAGTCCATTGTTAGTAGCAATTTAGCATCATAAGCCTCCTAATTCTTCTTAAAAATACAGTGCATTTAAGTAATTGTGTAATTAACTACCCACACCATCTAGACGATAACTAGAATGGTGGGGCATCCCATCTGGAGTGGAGGATGGGCTCTCAAATCGGTGCCTAATGTGAAAATCACACATAGTCCTAATTGTCTTTAAAATCTCTTAAATTGCCTGTTAAGTACAGAATGTGTGGTTTTATGTGTCTGACCTTGTCAGTAGTTCTTAGACATACTCAAGTTTGAAAATCACTAAGCCAGACCAAAGGAAGGAAAATCCAAATGCAGGTGCCTGGAGGTAAGAACCTCTTTGCCTTATGACCGCTCTCAAATCTCTAGCTTGAACAAAGGTAGGTGCTCACCTGGGATGTTGACTGCCTCTTGTTTTTGATACTGAGCCCTTATAAACTTAATAAATGTTACCAGCTTGGTTTGTTGCTATGGAATTTGAAAAGATGATATATTTGAAAGCTGATAGACTGGGACTTGGCACAAGAGGTGCTCTGTGAATGTCAGTTGGATTTAAATCTCATTTGATCAGGTCTCCATACACACTGCTCTGCTAAAGATGGTGTCTTCCAAGCTGGTGTTTCTGTTTGTGGCCTCACTACATGACAATCCCACTCATTCAGGGCGTGGGCCCTGGACTCAGCACCTCTTTCGGGGTAAATAAAGGATTCCTTTTACCTGAGGGAGGGTTCTCAAGTCTCCCATTTGAAAACATTTCTTCATGACAACTACATGATGTAACTTTGTATAAACAAAAGTTATTTGAAATGAACTTACTTAATAATTTACTTGCTACATTTGCTTTTTTACTTCTTTGTAAAGCTTAAGCTTAGAAAAGGTGCTTCTGTTGTATTTGCATTTTTTTAAACTGACTCGAGTAAGGCAATGAATGAGGTTTCCGAAAGATGACCAGAGATAAATCTAGCTAAAATCAGTCTCAGGACTTGAGTTAGTTTTGTTCCTACCCTTATACTTATTTCACTGACATAAGTAATAGTGTTTCCTACTATCTACTACTTTGGGGGAAGAAAAGAGAGTCCCTTTGGTACAGAGTTACTAAGCACCTAAATATCAGCCCTGTTTGCTGGGCATGTGGGATTCGGAAATGAATAAATAGTGCACAGCCTTGACCTGAAGGTCACATATGTCTGAAGATATTTAGTCCCCTAGATACTTTCTTAAGGAGATGTAAGGGCACTAGCTTTCAATGTACTTTTGAGGGAAGTAACCATATTCCTCCAATGTCTTCATAGTTACATTGCTTTATACAAAAACTCTCTTCGTAATAGCACCAACGTCTGCCTAGGTGTTCAATCCAGACACCATGAGTCACCCAGACCACTCCTTCCCTTCACCCCCACAACAGTTGACCACCAAGACATAGTAGCTCTAAGTCCCAAAATATCCATCTCTCCCTCTTACTCCTCTATCTCTTTCCTGGTTCAGGCCTCATCACCTCTTGCCTTGACTATCACCACTTCCTAAACTTTTCTCCCTGTCTCCCATTCCCACTTCCTGCCTTTTCCCAATCTCCCTGCCTTACCCAGCCCATGTTCCATACTATAACTAGAAAGGGCTTTTTAAACACAAAGCTAACAATGGCACCCTCCTGCTTAAATTCCTCTGTGCTTCCCCGTTACTCTCAGCTGTGGTCCTGCACCTTTTTCTCCTGCTAATGTGCATGCTCATATGTATGTGCATTCAGAGGTTCATTCGCTCATGCACGGTTCTGAGCATGCCAGCTATAATCTTGCCCCATCACTCTGGAGGGTGCAAGCCCTCAGTGGGGAACCCCTGCCTTAGAGCATGAAGCTCAAGTTCCTTGGCCTTGCCTAAAGGTTCTTTCTGATCTGGCCTATTCACATCTGCAACCTCATTTCCTCCCAGCCACGCATATGTGCCCTGTTCATCAGCCTATTCCAAACCGCTTACAGTACCCTCAAAGAGACCATGCCCCATGCGTTTTTACACATTGCTCTCTTTTCCTTGAATACTTTCCCCCCACCCCTCATCCACCCATTTAGCAACTACTAACCCTCCAAGACACAACTTAAGAACCACCACCTCCAGGAAGCCTTCCATGCTCCATTTATGTCCCTATTCTCTATGTTATATGTCCCTCCCCTATAAGATCATTTATGGCTTCATGCTTATCTGTAATTAATAGAGTGTTCAAGTTTATAGCTTGTCTTGTGTGCTAGGGAATAAGCTCCTTGAGACCAAGAACTTTGGGTTATCAATTGTTAAGATCTCAGTTCTTTGCACAGTGCTTTTCATCCTAGGAATCCGCTAACATTTGATATTTGTGGGAGGAAGGAAAGAAGTAAGAGAAGGTGGAACTTTGAAGCTGTGATCATTTTCTTTCCATCAAAGCCATAGCAAAAAGAACAATATTTTTAACATCCATTTAATTAACTTCTATAAAGATTTTTTGTTGACTTCATGAATCTTAAAATTCTTTATTAAAAGATCTTTTGGCTGGTTTCTTCATTCTCACTTTTGAGGATTTGTCTTAAAGTTATATAAAGGATTCATAGGAGAGAGGCAGAGGTGGACAGATTACTTGGGGCCAGGTTTGAGACCAGCCTGGCCAACATGGGGAAACCCCGTCTCTGCTAAAAATACAAAAAATTAGCTGGGCATGGTGGTGCATGCCTGTAATCCCAGCTACTCAGGTGGCTGAAGCACAAGAATAGCTTGAACCCGGGAGGTGGAGGTTGCAGTGAGCCAAGATCACGCCACTGCACTCCAGCCTGGGTGACAGAGCAAGACCCTGTCTTAAAAAAAAAAAAAAAAAAAAAAAAAAAAAAAAAGATTTATGGGAACATTCAATGGTCCCAGGTTTCAACAAAAACTCTGTAGCTCTAGAGGATGGTGGCCGGAAGTTGGGCTTTGAAGTGAAACAGACCTGTGTTTGAATCCCTCTTGGCCACTTAGTATCTGCATGGCTTTGGCAAGTTACCTACCTCTCTGAGCCTCAGTTTCCATATCTGTAAAATAGGGATACTAAAACTACCAACTCCTGGCCAGGTGCGGTGGCTCACACCTGTAATCCCAGCACTTTGGGAGGCCAGGGCGGGTAGATCACAAGGTCAGGAGGTCGAGACCATCCTGGCTAATATGGTGAAACCCCATCTCTACTAAAAATACAAAAAATTAGCCAGGCGTGGTGGCGGGCACCTGTAGTCCCAGCTACTTGGGAGGCTGAGGCAGGAGAATGGCGTGAACCCAGGAGGCAGAGCTTGCAATGAGCCAAGATCACGCCACTGCACTCTAGCCTGGGTGACAGAGCGAGACCCCATTTAACCAAAACAAAAAAACAAAAAAACAAAAAAAACTACCAACTTCATAGCATTAGTTTGATTTTTTTTTTTTTCTTTTTGAGACAAAGTCTTGCTCTATCACCCAGGCTGGAGTGCAGTGGCACAGTCTCAGCTCAGTGCAGCCTCAACCTCCCGGGCTCAATCAATCCTCCCACCTCAGCCTCCCAGGTAGGTGAGATCAGAGGCCTCTGCCACCACACCTGGCTATTTTCTTATTTTTAGAAGAGATGAGGTCTCACTATGTTGCCTGGTCTGGTCTCAAACTCCTGGGCTCAAGTGATCCTCCCTCCTCAGCCTCCCAAAGTGTTGATGTTATAGGTATGAGCCACCTCACCCAGCCTAGTTTGAAATTTAAATGATAAAATACATACAATTGAGTATATACACATAAGTATTTAATGTATGATGATGATTATTATTATTACAAGGACAAAATCTAGTGCATCTGATCTTAAGCTATGGTTTCATAGTAGGTGACTGTGAAGTGGTGGGGGGAGTCCTTGAAAGGAGAAACAAAAAATTCAGTGGGAACTTAGATAAGGAGAAGATGGAGAAGTCATTTTTTTTCCTAATCTGTTTAGCTCATTCTCTTATAATTAAACTGCAAGATTATTCCTTCAACTACAAAATGGATAAATTATTCATTATATTGACTTGTTTGAAAAGATATCATAGTTTAAAATTGAATGAATTTCTCTTTAATATGATTTTCTGGCAAGATTAGATTCTAATGTGGATTAATATCCTAAATTGAGAGCTCTAATTGAACACTGTGGGAACCAAGCATGAGTCAAAGACATCGTCCCTTTACAAGTGGCAGTCACCGAGGAAACGTTCACTTGTGTGTCAGAGGGACACCTAACATCAGCAAGAGTAACAGTAGCTGAGGCTGAATGAAGGCTTGCTGTGTTGGGTACGCATGTCAAGGGAGACGCAGGACGCTATTTGCCTCACATCTCCCTCATCTTGCAGTCATCGCCGTCCTGTGCCTTGGTGGAGTTTTTAGTGTATGCAGCTTCTGTGAACACAAGGACCTCCCCATCATGTCCATTGCACTCCCTCCATACCTAGCACAAGTGCATGGTCCGGAGTAGTGCCCAGTGAATATGTGTCAGGACAGTGGGGAAGGGAGGAGGACAATACCCTCTAACGGCCCCAGAGTCTGTGCCTTCTGGCCCAGATTCAGTCAGACTCCACCAAAGTCAGTCTCCAGGACTCTGTTTTCCAAGTTTGTTCAGCCCTTCCCCCTCAGCTAACCTGTTCGTCCCTTTGAGCCAAACTCACTGATTAGCATTCAGCTTCTTTCACTTTCAATCATGCCAGACCCGGTGTTTCATGCTTAACCGTTAGGGAAACATCCTGTCTTTTACCATGATTTTTGCAGGTGGCTAATATCATCAATTATTTTACTCACTCAACTCTCAGAGGGTAATCACTTCTTTGATTCAAGTTTCAAGGCCATCTCACTGTGGGCTCCTATACATCACCGATTACACCGGGCAGAGTCAAGCAGAGGTGCTGGCCCTGTTCTTTACAGATTCATCTGGAAACTATGGTGCTGTTAATCTGCTCTGTGTTCATGCTAATAGTGTCTGTCTATAATCAACCTCAATCTACCATTCACCACGCCAAAAAGATAAATGCCAGACTTCAGAAAATGAACTAAAGGCAGCCCTCAAACCCCAGAAAATCTCCTGTCCACCCCTGCCAGGGCGCAAGATGTCCTGATTTAGGAGGTTGATCCCTCCTCTAATTCCTCCTTAGAATGTATTTCAAAATCAAAAGCCAATAGTTACATTTCTAAGCAACGGAGCAGACCAAAAATGTTTTGTTTGACACAGAAGCAATAGAAGCAAGACCATGTTTCTATTTTATGAAACCTCTGAGGGTAATTCACTGAAATCTTGACATTTAATATCACCCAATCACCTCTCTAGCAAGCTATTTTCTTTGGCTCCATTAACCCCACACACACAGACTGGGCTGCTGGCACTTACTGGGTCTTGTCGTTAGGTGGGCTGCTTTTAATACCAGGGCAGGATTTGGCAGGAAGAAGTGGCACCTGCTTTATTGAAAGACATCTTCATATTTTAGCCTCTGAAAGAGAAATGTGCAACATAAATGTCCTTAAGAGACGATTATCGTACATCAAGATGTCCATTCCAAAAGGCATTGTACCAGATGCCCAATCACACACAGTCACCCAGAACAGACGTGACAGATGGAGACTTTGAGCTTTTAAAGAAAACAAATGTGCAAATTCCAAAGTGTCTGTGTGCTCCAGGCCAGCACATGCCCAGGTAATTTGAGTTGTGCCCATTGGCTGAAAGATAAGATTCAGGCCTCAGAGAGGGTTTGGGGAGAGGATGAGTACAGGTTTCTTGTTGCCCAGAGTCTCCAAATAGATACACACAGGATACACCACCTCAGCCCAGAGATATTTAAGCACTGAGTTAAAAGAAAGGATTGAGCATGCAGCATCAATTGATACATTAATGCTGGTTCTCTGGCATCAGGGAAGACATTAACATACAGAACTTGTCTTCTCCACTGTTCAAAAATGGGAAGAATCATTCCAACAGGGAGAGCAGGGAAGTCCAAAATCCATAATGCTCAGGTACAAAGTAATGAAACCAGAAATCCAGGGTATTTTTGCTATTACTACCAAGGGCCTATCTTCGGTGTAATGGCAATCTTCTAAATCTCTGCATAGTTTGACACCTGCAAATCTGATTGAGTCTGATTGAACCATTTGCTGTCTAAAATCCTTGGGAGACCCCGATAACCTAGAGCTGTAGCTTTCAAATTGCTCCATGGGCTCGGGCCAAGGCTTCCACAGGGACTGAGGGAGGAAGGGTACAGCTCTTGGGCACATCCCCTTGGCTCCAGTCAGAAAAGTTATTTCCTCTGTTTTACAAATTGAGCTTCCAAGTAAGATTTTCTTCTTTTCTCTTTTTATCTGTCTCTGAGGTTGGGTACAGTGGCATGATCGCAGCTGACTGCAGTCTTGACCTCCCTGGCTCAAGTGATCCTCCTACCTCAGCCTCCCAAGTAGCTATGACCACAGGTGTGCATCACCTGTGGTCTAATTTTTTTATTTTTTAATTTTTTGTAGGGACAAGGTCTCACTATGTTGCCCAGACTGGTCTCAAACTCCTGGGCTCAAGTGATCCTCCCGCCTCAGCTTCTCTAAGTGCTGGGATTACAGGCGTGAGTCACCATGCCCAGCTCCAAGTAAGATTTTCAACAAAGAGTCTTGAGGCTTAAAAACAAAGTATGTTTGAAAAGAAGGGGTCTGCAGGATTAAATTCAGATAAGATCCTCCCCATTCTTTTTTGTTTGTTTGTTTTTGGTTTTTTTTTTGTTTGCCAGGCTGCAGTGCAGTGGCGCAGTCTCGGCTTACTGCAAGCTCCGCCTCCCGGGTTCACGCCATTCTCCTGCCTCAGCCTCCTCAATAGCTGGGATTACAGGTGCCCGCCACCACCCCCGGCTAATTTTTTTTGTATTTTTTAGTAGACACGGGGTTTCACCGTGTTAGCCAGGATGGTCTTGATCTCCTGACCTCGTGATCCACCTGCCTCAGCCTCCCAAAGTGCTGGGATTACAGGCGTGAGCCACCGCGCCTGGCCGATCCTCCCTATTCTTTATCCTGTCTTCCTCTTAGACGTTCCCCAGCACACCCAGATAATCCAGTCATGTCCAGTGACTTCCTTCTCTCTATATCAAAGTTTCCTTCCGTTCCATTTGCCTGGAATGTTCTCCCTTTTCTCTTCTCTGCATGGTAAATCTGTATTCTTGTTTTAAGATTCAGTTCAAATTTTGCCTTCGGAGTACTACCATTCCTGCTTAGCAGCAATTATCCATATTCCCACTGCATTTGTGCATGTGTTGACGCATATCGTATTATTACATGTGTCTGAATCTTGGATCAGTCTGCACACTCATAGAATATAGAGTCCCTGTCTTATTCTGTCCTCCTCCATCTTCCTCCAGGGCCTGGTATGCTGTGGGCACTCAATAAATATTTGATGGATGGATGCTTAGCTATTTAATTCACCACTAGATAGCAATTTGGCATATTCCCAAACAATTTTATTCAGAAGGAATTCAAAGAAATAGGCCCACATTCTCATAACCAACTCAAGCAGCTCTATGTTAACAAAGAATATAACTACTTCTAACTA
This sequence comes from Homo sapiens, assembly GCF_000001405.40. NCBI lineage: Eukaryota > Metazoa > Chordata > Mammalia > Primates > Hominidae > Homo > Homo sapiens. The sequence goes on from NC_000011.10 coordinate 14,205,542, forward strand.
CTTCTGTTTAGGTCGGAGTTTTATTTTTTTAATAAAATTTATGATTGCAACAACATTAAAAGAGATATTGTATAGAGGTCACATGCTGAAAGCCCATGGACAACAACAGTCTTTTAAATTGGCATGGTTTGACCCTGCCAATCTGATTGGGTCATTTCTTCACTTAAAATTCTCACGAGACTTCCTGTTGTCTGTGGAGTTCAGAGGTTTCTAGGACACCTCCAATGCTAAGGCCTCCACATGGAGGCCTGAATGGAAAGGAAGTGGCTCAGGGTCTCACACCTTTTGCTTCAGTCAAAGAGGTTCTACAGAATCAAAGTGTTTTTTGTCTTAATTTCTTTTTATTGGAATGGCTATGGCTGAGCCTGACTCTCCAGGTTTCCATAGTTCCCAACACTTGCTACTTTCCCCATCCATCTTCACCTGCTTGATTCCTGATATTTGAGTTTGCAACTCAAAACTCACCCCTAACCCCAGCCCTCTAAAACCGTTTTCATTTTTATGAACCTATTTCCAGGCCCAGAGCACTATGCCTATTTTTATATATACTTGCAATTGTATTGCATATACAATTTTATATTCTGTTTTCTTCACTTAACACTGTATCATAAATATTTTTCCAGTATGTGAGATGTGAGACACAGCCTCTGATGGTTACTTTTTCTTTTTTGAGACTGAGTCTTGCTCTGTCACCCAGGCTGGAATGCAGTGGCACGATCTTGGCTCACTGCAACCTCCGCCTCCCAGGTTCAAGCGATTCTTCTGCCTCAGCCTCCCAAGAAGCTGGGACTACAGGTGCACACTACCACACCTGGGTAATTTTTGTAATTTTAGTAGAGATGGGTTTCACCATATTGGTCAGGCTGGTCTCGAACTCCTGACCTCGTGATCCGCCCACCTCAGCCTCCCATGGTTACCTTTTTAAATGACAAGTTTTTAAGTTGGTTGGCTCTAATTTATTTAGGTCTTCTGTTATTGTTGTATCAACTTTTTATTTTTTTGCTCTTAGAAGTAATAATTGTGTTGAAAATCTTCATACATATGAATTTTTTCTAACAATAAAAGTGTTCCTCATATTCCCATTCACAATTGCCACAAAAAATAAAATAAAATACCTAGGAATACAGCTAACTATGGAGGTGAAGAAACTCTACAAGGATAACTACAAAATACTACTCAAAGAAATCACAGATGACACAAACAAATGGAAAAACATTCCATGCCCGTGGATAGGGAAGAGTCATTATTGTGAAAACAGCCACACTGCCCAAAGCAATTTATAGATTCAATGCAATTCCTATTAAACTACCACTGAGACTCTTCACAGAACTAGAAAAAAACTATTTTAAAATTCATGTGAAACCAAAAAAGAGCCCAAATAGCAAAGGCAATTCTAAGCAAAAAGAACAAAGCTGGAGGCATCATGCTACCTGACTTCAAACTGTACTACAGGGCTACAGAAACCAAAAAAACATGGTACTGGTACAAAAACAGGCACATAGACCAGTGGAAGAGAATAGAGAATTCAGAAATAAGACCACATGCCTACAACCATCTGATTTTCAACAACCCTGACAAAAACAAGCAATGGGGAAAGGATTTCCTGTTCAATAAATGGTGCTAGGATAATTGGATAGCCATATGCAGAAGATTGAAACTGGACCTCTTCATTACACCATATACAAAAATTAACTCAAGATGGATAAAAGACTTAAATGTAAAGCCCAAAACTAACCTAGGCAATACCATTTAGGACATAGGCACAGTCAAAGATTTCATGACAAAGAAGCCAAAAGCAATTGCAACAAAAGCAAAAATTGACAAATGGTTTCTAATTAGAGCTTCTGCACAGGAGAGGAAAGTATCAACAGAGTAAACAGACAACCTACGGAATAGGAGAAAAATTTTGCAAACTGTGCATCCAACAAAGGTCTAATATCCAGCGTCTATAAGGAACTTAAACAAATTTACAAGAAAAAAACCAAACAACCTCATTTAAAAGTGGGCAAATGACATGAACAGATACTCTTCAAAAGAAGACATATGCGACTAACAACCATATGAAAAAAAACCTCAACCTCACTGATCATTAGAGAAATGCAAATCAAAACCACAGTGAGATACCATCTCACACCACTCAGAATAGCTATTATTAAAAAGTCAAAACATAACACATGCTGGCAAGGTTGTGGGACGCTTATACACTATTGGTGGGAGTGTAAATTTGTTCAACCATTGTGGAAGACAGTGTGGCAATTCCTCAAAGACCTAGAGACAGAAATGCCATTCAGCCCAGCAATCCCATTACTGGGTATATACCCAAAAGAATATAAATCATTCTATTATAAAGACACACGTACACGTATGTTCACTGTAGCACTATTAACAATAGCAAAGACATGGAATCAACCTAAATGCCCATCAGTGGTAGACTGGATAAGGAAAGTGTGGTACATATGTACCATAGAATACTATGCATCCATAAAAAAGAATGAGATCATGTCCTTTGCAGGGACATGGATGGAGCTGGAGGCCATTATCCATAGCAAACTAACACAGGAACAGAAAACCAAATATCACATGTTCTCCCTTATAAATGGGAACTAAGTGATGAGAACACATGGACACATAGAGGGGAACAATGCATGCTGGGGCCTATTGGAAGGTGAAAGGTGGGAGGAGGGAGAGTATCAGGAAAAATAACTAATGGGTACTGGGCTTAATACCTGGTTGATGAAATAATCTGTATAACAAACGCCAGTGACACAAGTTTACCTATGTAACAAACCTGCACATGTACCCCTGAACTTAAAAGTTAAAAAAAAAAAGTTGTTCCTCATTTTAGCACATTCCTTATACGTTATTGATTGTATTATTTTGATGCAAATATATTTCAATATGTTTTTCTTTTCACTTCTCATATTTTTATGATTAAAATATGTTAAATGTTACCCAGATGAATCTTTTGATCACTTCCATTGTTATTTCTTCTATTGCTTCAAGCTAGTGAGAGTTCTTCATAGTTCATTACTAATAGCTCCCAAGATCTCATGCAATCTTCATTCTCTTTTCCTTTGATTGCTCTATGTATTTAAAAAGTATGCATTTAACTCTTTAACTCATCTGAGCATATTTGGCACATGTTTAATAAATGGTTTTTACATTGATCATATCATTATTATTAAATAACTTCTCCTTTGCCCATTGTTTATTGTACTTCATATAACCAAATTGTCATGTATAAATAGGTGTATTTCAGTGCTGCTAATTCTCCTCTACTGTTCTATATGCCTGGTTTTGTGAGTACTTTATTAATTATTATTGCTTCATAATATGTATAGAATTTATAGTACTGTAGTACTAGTCTTCCCCAATTGAAGGTCTTCATTTTTCAAAATATCATTTTATATTCTTGGCATTTTGTTTGCCTCATAAGTGTTAAAATTGCTTTGTCAAGTTATAAAAATAAGTGGCGATTCTGATTTAAAATATATCAGCTTCTTAAGTCATTGCATACATTCTAAGCATCTTATTTTTGTTGTTGTTGTTGTTTTCGTTTTCTTATGGAGAGAGAGAGAAAGGGAGAAGTTACCCATAGTTGCATAGTTGCACCATTGCCTGAGATATCCTGATGCAACTTTGTTATTGACAGCTCACAGAATGGAGCAAGGTTTTTTGAGGCCCAAAGCTTATATGAGTGAGAGGAGACTTCTTTAAGAAAAATAATTTTTTTATTATACTTTAAGTTCTTGGATACATGTGCAGAACGTTCAGGTTTGTTACATAGGTATACATGTGCCATGGCGGTTTGCTGCACCCATCAACCCATCATCTACATTAGGTATTTCTCCTAATGCTATCCCTCCCCTAGCCCCCCACACCCCGACAGGCCCCGGTGTGTGATGCTCCCCTCCCTGTGTCCATGTGTTCTCATTGTTCAATTCCCACTTATGAATGAGAACATACGGTCTTTGGTTTTCTGTTCCTGTGTTAGTTTGCTGAGAATAATGGTTTCCAGCTTCAACCATGTCCCTGCAAAGGACATGAACTCATCCTTTTTTATGGCTGCATAGTATTCCATGGTGTATATGTGCCACATTTTCTTCATCCAGTCTATCATTGATGGGCATTTGGGTTGGTTCCAAGTCTTTGCTATCATAAATAGTGCTGCAATAAACATGTGTGTGCATGTGTCTTTATAGTAGAATGATTTATAATCCTTTGGGTATATACCCAGTAATGGATTGCTGGGTCAAATGGTATTTCTAGTTCTAGGTCCTTGAGGAATTGCCACACTGTGTTCCACAATAGTTGAACTAATTTATACTCCCACCAACACTGTAAAAGCATTCCTATTTCTCCACATCCTCTCCAGCATCTGTTGTTTCCTGACTTTTTAATGATCACCATTCTAACTGGCATGAGATGGTATCTCATTGTGGTTTTGATTTGCATTTCTCTAATGACCAGCGATGATGGGCTTTTTTTCGTATGTTTGTTGGCCATGTAAATGTCTTCTTCTGAGAAGTGTCTGTTCATATTCTTTGCCCACTTTTTGATGGGGTTGTTTGTATTTTTCTTGTAAATTTGTTTAAATTCCTTGTAGATTCTGGATATTAGACCTTTGTCAGATGGATAGATTGCAAAAATTCTCTCCCATTCTGTAGGTTGCCTGTTCACTCTGATGGTAGTTTCTTTTGCTGTGCAGAAGCTCTTTAGTTTAATTAGATCTCATTTGTCAGTTTTGGCTTTTGTTGCCATTGCTTTTGGTGTTTTTCTCATGAAGTCTTTGCCCATGCCTATGTCCTGAATAGTATAGGTTTTCTTTTTCCTTTTTTTTTTTTTTTGTTTTTTGTTTTTTGTGTTTGTTTTTGTCGAAGTCTCACTCTGTTGCCCAAGCAAGCTGGAGTGCAGTGGCACAATCTCAGCTCACTGCAACCTCCACCACCCGGGTTCAAGCGATTCTCCTGCCTCAGCCTCCCGAGTAGCTGGGACTTACAGGCACAAGCCACCATGCCTGGCTAATTTTTATAGTTTTAGTAGAGATGAGGTTTCACTATGTTGACCAAGCTGGTCTCAATCTCCTGACCTCGTGATCCACCCACCTTGGCCTCCCAAAGTGCTAGGAGGATTACAGGCATGAGCCACCGCACCCGGGCATCTAGGTTTTCTTCTAGGGTTTTGATGGTTTTAGGTCTTATATTTAAGTCTTTGATCTATCTTGAGTTAATTTTTGTATAAGGTGTAAGGAAGGGGTCCAGTTTCAGTTTTCTGCATATGGCTAGCCAGTTTTCCCAACACCATTTATTAAATAGGAAATCCTTTCCCCGTTGCTTGTTTTTGTCAGGTTTGTCAAAGATCAGATTGTTGTAGATGTGTGGCATTATTTCTGAGGCCTCTGTTCTGTTCCATTGGTCTATATATCTGTTTTGATACCAGTACCATGCTGTTTTGGTTACTGTAGACTTGTAGTATAGTTTGAAGTCAGGTAGTGTGATGCCTCTGGCTTTGTTCTTTTTCCTTAGGATTGTCTTGGCTATACGGGCTCTTTTTAGGTTCCATATGAAATTTAAAGAAGTTCTGGCCAGGGCAATCAGGCAAGAGAAAGAAATAAAGGGTATTCAACTAGGAAAAGAGGAAGTCAAATTGTCTGTGTTTGCAGATGACATGATTGTGTATTTAGAAAACCCCATCGTCTCAGCCCAAAATCTCCTTAAACTGAGAAGCAACTTCAGCAAAGTCTCAGGATACAAAATCAGTGTGCAAAAATCACAAGCATTCCTGTACACCAATAACAGACAAACAGAAAGCCAAATCATGAGCGAACTCCCATTCACAATTGCTACAAAGAGAATAAAATACCTAGGAATACAACTTACAAGGGATGTGAAGGACCTCTTCAAGGAGAACTACAAACCACTGCTCAAGGAAATAAGAGAGGACACAAACAAGTGGAAAAACATTCCATGCTCATGGATAGGAAGAATCAATATCATGAAAATGGCCATACTGCCCAAAGTAATTTGTAGATTCAGTGCTATCCCCATCAAGCTACCACTGACTTTCTTCACAGAATTAGCATCTTATATTCTTATATTATTATACGTGTAGTTTTCTAGGGGTTTACTGCTTGTGTATAATAATGTATATAGTAATGTAGTATATATGAAAACATGGTGTATAGTAATATATTGGGCATAGTAATGCTACTGACCTTTGAATTTTAATACCAAACTGTCCTCTTTCTAAACTGGTTGATTTAGTTCCAGGTGTACAGCAAATTCTTTGTAAATATTTTTTCTTCTTTCCCAGTAATTATTGTCCTTTAAGTCTTTTGCAGTTTGTCTAAAGCAATATTATGTTATAATAGTAGCTATATTATTTTCAGGGGCCAATTTTTGAAAAAAAAAGCTTTTAATCTTAATCCATTATTGATTCATTATTTAAAATAGGTATCTTTATCAAGTTAAGGTAGTAAATAGTATCACTCCAAGTAAAGGTTTTATCAATTTTTCTTTTGACATATATTGAAATAGATTATGTCATCTAATGTTAATATAATGTTAGTCTTTTATTGATTTTTTTTTTTTGCATTTCTTTAGTAACCTTCCTTAAGATCAAATTTGTCACACAGAATAATTAGATGGAGTCCGGCCTTGTCTGTGCTTTGATGCAGTCAGCATAGCTTGGGAATTATCTGTTCCTTGTGAGCTTGGAGGAATCCATTAGATCTGTATGCCTTGCTTTTTGGGGATATTCTGAATTTTTAAAAAATTTCTACCTCCATTACTGCTTTAATAGGGTTTCCTACCTCATTGCGTCATTTTTAAATATAAGATTGAATTAAAATCATATATGTTTATTATAAAATATCATCCATTTGTTCAGGTTTTCAGTCAGTTAGCATATAATTAGACATAGTATTCCATATAAGTGGTTTAATTCCTTTTGCTACTGAATATATTGAGTCAGACCTGAATTCTCATCCAGGTTCCACCACTGATTCATGTGACTTTAACCAAGTAACTTGACTTCTATCATCATTTCCCTATAAATAGGGGTCATATTACTTAGAGTATAGGATTGCTGTGAGGATTACAGATGATGTATATGAAGTTCTTAGCACAGTGCCTGTCCTCACTAAGTAGAAGATATTACACTGTTCTCTTTCCTAATGCTGTTTGTCTCCTTTTTTGCTGTTCTTTAATTATATTTGCATGGGTTGTCTATTTTTCATAGTCTTTCCAGTATTTTCAGAAGCAACATATAAGCAATGGGGAGCCACTGAAGGAAAGAGTACCAACTCTGATAATCGAATGTCTGAGCATCATTTGTGGGTGGATCATCAAAAGATGGGTCTATGCTGTGAGAAATGACAGAATTGACAAGAGGCCATCTAGACTCTTCTTGCCAAGCAAAATGTGGAAGTGTAGTCCTTATATTCATAGTCAGTAAACACAGTCTCCAGAGCTTGGGAGAGACTCTTTTAAGGGCTTCTGAGAGTGGGAAATTGACCAGGCCCCCAGTTGTCCTGTGCCTGCATCCAAGCCTTTAGGGCCTGGAAACAGAGATGCTGACAAACACCATGACCCAGACTGAACCCAGCTTTTCAATGGGACAACAAAATGAGCTTTGTTCATCCTTTTGAAATGGAGCCCAATTATGTTTGATTAATAAATGAAACTCTGTGTCCAAATAGGAGAGACACTGTAGAAAAAATGGTCAGAAAACACTTTGTGTAAGAAAAGGCTGATGAAGTTTTCATCAGAGGGCTTTCATTTGCCTGGAGCTAGTCTCAGACAGAGAGAAATGTTCAGCTTCCAAATCCTTCTCTTGTTTCTCATTCCTTTTTTTTTTTTCTTAAATATGTTTAACTCTCCTGCTTAAGATTTATTTTGGGCTCCTTAGCGATGGATTTGTGTTTATTGTGTCATTTAAAGAAAAATGCACTATTAAAAACACTCCTAATCCATTTATAAATGTCAACAGAAAAACAAGTCAAAGGTTGACAATAGTAATTAATCAAACGATATTTATTGAGCACTTTCTATGTACAAAGCACTTTCTATGTACAAAGCTATATGCTATTAAGTAAGAATAGGAAACAGTCTCCAGCCTCAAGAGTCCTTCAGTTGAGCTGAGGAAATAGCCAAATAATTGACTAGCTATAATACAAGGGAAATGGAAATAAATATTAAAGTCAGTACATAAGCCACGCTGTACTGAAGTACATATCCCAGGGATGGATTAGCAAGGACTTCATGAGCAAGTTGCATTTGGGTTGCATCTTGAAATGTAAGCAGGCTTTTTTATAAGGATGTGTTCTCTTAGATTTTTAGGTGAGCCAGCCAATGCACCTATGTATTATGCCCCAGATGTCAGCAAACACAAGCAACTATTCTAAGCTAGTCCATCAAACCCATGTGTGCACACAAGCACACAATCATGTTGTTCCCAGGTCACCTATGGTTACTTTCCTATTCCTCATTGCATTTGTCCCATCCAAATGCTTACTCCCAAACATGCCTCTGAACCTCTTCAATTTGATGACCTCCAAAGCTTAGCTTCTTAAATCTGGTCCTTTTTACATGGTTTTTGGTTTTGCTTCCTTCCTTAAGTTTTAGCCTTTCACTCCATGTTGTCCTGGGGAAAGAACTCTCGGCTCTGGTCCTCTGCGCGTAGGGCCCCCATCCCTAGCCGGATCAAATCTTGGAATGAGGAAGCGTTGGAAGAATTCCCTGTGTTATCCACCCAGGAGTTGTGTAGGTAATACAGGTTCTCCTCCACTCCCTGGCCCCAAGTAAGATGATGCTTCAGAATAAAAACATGCCCTTGCATAGATAGGTGGTTCCCTTCACAGCTGGCTCCTTACCAGAATGGAGAACAGTCCTGCTAGCATGGGGTTCAGAGTCTTCCTGTGTGTGCATCTTTCCAAAGATATTAAGAGGAGAAAAAGATCCAAGTGAATTTCCAGGTTTCTCCAACACTTTAAACTATACATTTGATATTCTTAACCAACTTGATGAACATGTTGGCCTGTCTGTTCCACACACCAAGGAGGTAAAGAGAAGGCAAGTGAGATGATGAGCCATGGAATTCCAACTGCTATGTCAGTCATCAGGCTAGAAAAATGGGAGGCTGTGCATTAATTTCAAGAGAGCCTCGGAGAACTGTCTCAGGATAAATCAGCCAGAGTGACTGGAACATTGTACCATTTTCAACTGGCAAATTTATTAATGAAGTAAGAGTACAGTCTCAAGCCAACTCCTCTTGCCCCTGTAACAAACTCCCCCTGTGAGAGAGGATGAAGGGGATGTGTTTGTTAGAATACTTAGAGGCCATGAGTAACACAAAGCCTAACCAACAGTGCTTTAAATTTTGTGGACTTTTACTATTTCATTAAGTGAAAAGTTTGGAGATAGGTAATTCCAAGGTTAGTAGAGTGGCTCATTCATGTCATCAGGGACTAAGACATTTCCATCTTTCTACTCTGCCTTTTTTATGTTTTTGTTTTTGTTTTTTTAAGAGATGAGAGTCTCACCATGTTATTCAGGCTGGAGTGGCTATTCACAAGCAGGATTATAGCACACTACAGCCAAGAACTCTTGGGCTAAAGCAGTCCTCCCACCTCAGCCTCCCAAGTAGCTGGGACTACAGGTATGCACCACACCCAGCCCACTCTGCCATTTGTAATATGTCATCAGTGGCTCCCTTTATGGCCACAAGATCAGTATTAGCATAGTAGTTCCACACATTGCCTCCTTAGGTGACCTGGGTTATTTCTTCTTCTCAGAGTGCTATTGGCCAGGTTACTTGTGGTATTCAAATACAAATGGGCTGGTGTAAAGGGTCTGAGATGGTATTATTCATATGACTGGAAACTTCAAGGGGTATCTTGAAGGCAGGGACTGGCAACTGAAGTGTCTGCATGACTCTTCAGCATGGTGGTCTCAGGGAGTCAGACTTTCTACATGATGGCTTGGGGTCCTCAAAGGCAGTATTACAAAAGGCAGAAAGTGGAAGCTGCCAGTGTCTTAAGGCCGGGGCCCAGAAACTGGCCAAAGCAGTCACAAAGCCCCCCACATTCAAGGGGAGATAACATAGACCCCCATCTCCTAATGGGAGGAGTGTCCAAGAATTTAGTTATCTTTGGGTCACATGTAGGTTATAAGTTAAGCTGTTGTAATAAAGAGACCAAAAATATGCCGACTTAAGATAGAAGTATATTTCCCCTTGTACATCACAGTTTAGAGGTGAGCAACACAGGCTGGTGGTCTATTTCTGCCAGAAAGTTCCCATATCTGGATCCAGCATGCTTTGTCTACTACTTCTTCTCAAGTGGTGGGAAAGGGAAAATGAGAATTGCAGACAAACAGCTTCCTTGTAAAAGATAATCCAAAATTTCTACACATCCCTTCTGTTTGCATCACATTGGCTAAATGTTAGTCACATGGCCACACCTGTCTGTAAGTTATTGCCAAATAGAACGTAGGGAAAATGGGTATTGAGGACAATTGTTCATCAAGGTGGTTAAGAATATCAAATGTATAGTTTGAAGTGTTGGAGAAAATTGGAAATTCACTTGGATCTTTTTCTCCTCTTAATATCTTTGGAAAGATGCACATACAGGAAGCCTCTGAACCCCATGCTACAAAAGAAATAGGTAGTGTTGGAGGAGATTCAACTCTAGACAATGAAGTTGGCATCTGTGGTGGTTTATGAATCAACCCTGTACCTGCAAAGGGTTTTCACATCTGGGGCTGGGTGGTAAATCATAGGGTGCTCTGAACAGATCTTTAAGTATTGGGCTATTCACAAAACAGAAGCAAACAATGTGCAGATGCCTCCCCCCATGAGGAGTAGCTGCCTATTTGAATCTCTCACTGGATGGTAATGGAAATGATCAGTTGGGTTCACTTGGTAGGGTACTCCTTAGAAATAGCTAATGAGGTTTCTTATTGTCTTAGTCTGTTTTTTGTTTCTATAACAGAATACCACAGTTAGCTTCATAGTTCTGGAGGCTGGGAATACCAAGAGCATGGTGCCAGTATCTGAGGAAGGTCATCCCATGGCAGAAGGCAGAAGGCAGAAGTGATTGATTACATGAAACATAGAGGCACCAGGGGCTGAACTTACTCTACAACAACCCACTCTTCAAATAACTAGCCCACTCCTACAATAACAACATTAATCCATTCACAACCCAAATTACCTGTTATTGGACCCCACCTCCCAACAAGGTTGCATTGGAAATTAAGTTTCCAACACATGAATTTTGGGGGAACACATTCAAACCATAACATTTACTCTGAACTTCACAAAGACCACAAAAGAATTAGTTGATAAAGAATGAGCTAAATAGTTGACTAAATGGTTTAGCAATCATAAATATAAAGCAGCATAACTATTGTGTTAAAAGCATTACTATGAGGCAGATATAGCAACAGCATCAGCCTGATCTAACCAAACAATGCCATCTCAGTAGGATACTGGTGAAGCCATTCCCTAGGAGAAGGTGGCGTGCGTCATAGGTGTTTGCTGGACTTTCTTCTGCCTTATTCCTGGTTCAGAGAAACTCAGTGATCCATTTTTCATCCCACTCCAAAGCAGATCAGATGGTTGTCTTGCTTGTATCAGAGCTAATGCTTCCGTGGGGAGAGCTCTCTGTTTCTGCCTGCAAGTGCTCACAGTTCGGTTGTTTCAGCCAGCACCAACATTTGTTTCTTAGATCTAAAAGTAGCCCTATTCCTGTCTGCTTTATATATTGGAGTTCTGAGTATACTTTTGTTTAACAAAATGTGTTCTATTACGTAAAGAAAAAAAAAGATTGATAGCTATTAGCTTAGGAGGCTTCTAGAACTCAGTGCACAGCCAGCTCTTGCTCTCTCATATATTTTTACAAATATCTTCAAGAAACAAATGGCCTTTCCACTGGCTCTTGAGGGATAATTTTAATAATATATTTGCAGAAATATTTGAAATGGAATAAGGGTATTATGACTGTAGACTTCACTTATTTATTGTTGAATCTTGTAGCTTCTGTATTAAAAAGAAAGAAAAAACACTTTTATTGAAGACAGTATGTCAGAAAAAACATGGATTTTTTTTTTTTACTCAAAAAGACTTGTGTTTAAATATAATTTGTGCCACTTATTAGCTCTGTGATCTTAGGCAAAATATTGAGATCTCTGAGTCTCCATTTTTTCATGTATAAAATAAAAATAATAACAATTCCTGTAATATACTGCTATTATAAGGATAGTTAGCTAATTTATGTGAAGTGCCAAGCACAGTGCCTAATAGTATTTGTAACTACTATTTATTGAACCCTTACTATGTGGCAGACACTGTCTAGGTCAATGGTTCTCCCTTGGGGACTTGTTAGAACTGCAAATTCTTTATCAGGCCCCAGCCTACACCTACTGAATCAGAAACCCTGGGGGTAGGGCTCAGCCGTCTGTTTTATAAGCCCTCCTGGTGATTCTGATACACACTAAAGTTTGCAAACCACTGTTCTGAGTGTCCAAGAAATTGAATGTATGATTATCATATTCATATTACACTACAGCTAATAATTTGTGCTGAAACAAATATAGATATGTCCTCTTCTATTTTGTTTGATGACAGCCCTAGATTTTTCCCACCTTAGTCATATCTGTGACCATTCCTTACAAGGAGATAGGCGACCTGGAAAACCCAAATATCATACCTCCTTCTCCCTCCCGAGTCCTCTCTTCCTCCCCTAGCGGGTCTGCATCCTGTCTGTGTCAAGCAGTTTATGAAATACCTGGTGAGAACTCAGCCACTCCAGAAAGAATGAATAGCTCCTCCTGAATGCAGCTCCAGCACCTGGAGTCAGTATCTCCCTGACTTGCCATTATGTGTTCCCATTGGTCCCCCTGATAAAATATGATCTCCCTGAGGGCAGGAACAACATCCTAATGATTTCTGTGTCCCCAGCACCCAGTACACTTAATAGACACCTAATAAATGAGTGGTGAATGAATGAAGTGTCAGCCCCAAATCAGAGGGACATTTGTTCCTGGAGCATTCAGGTGTTAGGCATACCCTAGCAGCCAGTATATTTCTAGTCATGGTGACAAGTAGGCAACGGGATTGCCTAGAGACCCATGAAATGTTATCTGAGCCATGTCTTCATTCATCCATAGGATCAGTTCTGTGCCACAAGGAAAGCTGTGTGACAGTCTCATGGCAGATCAGACCCACATTAGGAACAGCCTAGAAAAGCAAACTGCAAATATCCATTTCTTTTCTCTGTCATAATTTGTTTTCCCAGTTGCTGGCGAGGTTGAAATTAGCTCTGTCTGTTGACAATTTGGATACAATAACCTTTCTGTTTCGTGAATTCTGAACAGTGAAGGACTGAATTCTGCTCTGGGCTGCAGAAAAATAACAAAGCACTCAGTAGGATAGATGGGAATGGAGCACGGACTTAGCTGAGGAAGAATTTGGCCCTGCTCTGGAGCTCTCTTTGAATTTATTATTCCTGCCTTCCATGTCTTTTCATGCTAGGTGGGTGTAGAAAGCCATCCTGCTCACCACTTTGTCCCCCACCCACTGCCACCTATGCTGTCAGCCATTCATCTAACCCACTTAGAAGAACCAGAATGAATATAGATTTCTTCTTTCACACATTAATTTATGGAGCCTTCCTATTTCTTCTCATTGCAATGTTCCTACCTGCTGCAGTCACATTCAATTTTATTGAAAAGCAGCAGGGAATTCATCCTTTGCTGGAAAACTTTGACAATTAAATTCAAACTATAAGGAAAAAGTTATCCTAGTTTCAGTCTCTCTTTAAATCAAAGTGTAGACAGTATGTAGTGGGTTATGGTGAAAGGCCCCCATAATGAGGAGAGCAGGTACCCTCTAAGAGTTGAGGGGAAAAATCGATGCAGATGATATGAGTTAAACCACATACAGAAGTGACCCTGAGATCTGGATTTTAAGTGGATGATGGCCAAATTCCAATCACAACTGGTATGAATCCTCTAAAGTTGAATGTTTGTCATAAAACTGCCACCTATTTGGGTCATATTGTAGCCTGCTTGAAGAAAGATCTAACTAGGAGAGGGTGGTCTGCATGACCTCTAGAAAGACAGGAGTTTGTCGGGGTCTTCTGTGCAGTCCAAGAAGATAGCATGACCAGATGACATGATGTGTTTATCTGCAAGCCAGATCTATTCCCATAATGGGAGGTAAATGCATTTGACTTAGATAGCTCCATGATGTCCATAAAAACCATTCAGCTAAATACCTTTGCTTCAACTCTGTGCTTCCCAGGCAATATTCCATTAAGATTATGGCTTATCATGAAGACTTTCCTCCAACCCAGGCAACATGGTGAAACCCCATCTCTACAAAAAGTACAAAAATTAGCTGGGCGTGATGGTGTGCATCTGAAGTCCCAGCTACTCAGGAGGCTGAGGTGGGAGGATTGCTTGAGCCCAAGAGGTGGAGGTTGCGGTGAGCCGAGATTGTACCACTGCACTCCAGCCTGGGCAACAGAGTGAGCACTTGGATCAAAAAAAAAAAAAAAAAAAACTTTCCTACATATGGAGGCTGTGTTGCCCCACGCCCATAAGTTTACATAAAGTCCACTTGGCATTCCTGTTTCTCACTGTTGGGCATGTCTTCTACATCTTGAAAGTTTGGGTAGTGTGAGCCAGTTCCTCTGGTTGAACCCTTCTGCACATACCATCAAATTCAAGATCTGGACCAGGAAATAATAGGACCACACTCCGGACATGGTTCAGTAAACATCCTAGGTAACAAAACTCTTGAATTCAACTGTGAGAAGGTGATTTTTCTTCCCTATCTCTGTCTTCAGAAGACCAGCGTTAAAGTTGACTGATAATCACAGCCTTTTTTAAAAAAATTCTTACTAAGGTGACATTGTTAGGCTGTTTTGGGCAATCCTTTGAAGTGGTTTTTCCTCCCAAATTTTCTAATTTTTGTTCATTATATATTTGAAAAGAAATTCAAATTGCCTGATAATAGAAAATGAAAACATGACAAGCTATAAACTCTGACCTTAAAAGCATCTCTAATATAGCATCATAAAATATAATTAGAAATCCATTTCAACATCACATTACAGATCTATGACTTACAGGTAATTTCTGTCATTTAAATATGAGGGTGAGCTGATGGCTGAATTGGATTCTTAGGAGAAAAACAATTTCTTCTGCATTAGGAGTTATTAGTTTAATTGAATAATATCTGGATCATACTGGTGGTAATGTTAATGTTATTACCCATTATCTTGGTGATGGTCACACCACTGTTTCCAGGAAAAATATAGCCCATTAACTGAACAGAAGGATTAAAATAGGAACAAAGTGGCAAGCTTTTCATGGCTTATTATGCCAGGGTCAGGACAAAGGAATGGCCCTGACCTTGAAATGGGACAGAGGACCCAGCCTGAGCTAAATGCCTCAAAGAATTCCAAGGGAAGTCCTTTCAGGCATGACAGAGTGCATTTGGTTTCCTCAGCATGTCGTTCTGAACATTTCTACTCATTAATTTATTCATTTATTCACTTACTCGTTCATTCATTCAACCAGCCCATTCATTTATTCAACCAACATATTTTGTGCATCCTCCTGAAACCATGAATGGTGATAGATCATGGAGAGACAAAGATGACTTAGTCAAGGAGAGAGGGTCAAGGCTTATTGAGAACCTGCTGTATCTCAGACATTATAATGGGAGATTTCAGACAATATCTGTTTTATTCTTCTCGAGAATTCAGAAGGTAGGTAGAGTTGTTATACCCATTTTATACATGAAGAAACTGAGGTTCAGACAGGTAAAATGACTTGTCCAAGGCCTAGAAAGGGAAGGAGTCAGAACTCAAACCTAGGCCTGTCTTAATTCAAGGCCTAGGCTATTTCTACTACACCTGGAATTTGGACTTAGAACATAAACACATTTTTAAAACATTATAATACAGTGTGATGAATGGGATACACAGTCATATAAAGCAAGACAGCTGCCACGGCGAAAGCCAGATTTCCACTCTAAGTGACTCATCCGACGTTTTTAGGTAATAGGAAATGTCTAGGTGGCCCTAATATGTCCTCCAAATCTCTTCTTCATCCTCAGCCCCACACCCAGCTCTCCCTCCATCTCCTTCTTATCAATGGGGGGTTCTCTGCTCCCCCCATCTTCACAAGCGAAGGGCATTTGTTCTTCCACACCCCACATGATGCAGGGCAAGAGGAAAGGTCAGGCTCCACCTCATTCTCATCACCTCCTCACCTCTCATTAGAACCGTGATCCTGTGAGCCTCCTAATGCCCAGCCATTAACTAGCATCTGTCCTCCTGGTCTCTGCTACCTACCAGCCTTCTGGTCACTCCCAGCCCTCAGTGAAGATGTTGGCCCTGGGATCACTGTCTTATCCAACCCAAGTAGCTCTTCCTGGGACTAGGACCACTTTCAGCTGCTGTGAATACTGGAGTCATGTTGGCACCATGAGATATTTTATCATCCTATGAACTCATTTGGGAACTCAATGACAGGTGATACAATGGCCTAAGCCCATTTCAAAGAGTATTTCTGACAAAGCTTTGTGTAAGTACAAAAAAAATTTTCAGACCATGCTTTTTCCCATTATAACATTTCATAATCTCTTCCTTGTTTTGTCCCTGCACCTCTACCTCCATTAACCAGGTCTCATCAAGTTGTGACATAAGCCAGGTTTCATCAAGTTGTGACAGGTGACAGAGGCGTCACATGACAGGGGACCTGATTAGGAAATCCATATCCTCATAGGATGCACTTTAACATCTTCTTGAGCTGTCTTGATATTTTGAGACATACGGCAAAGATTCCATATACTGTTCCAGTGACCAGTGACCTTGAGAACATATTTAAAACTATAGATTTCTGTGCCCCACCCAGAGATCCCAATTCAGTAGCGCTGAGGTGGGATCTGAACATGAGTAGACTTAGAAAGCCTCTAGCTGATTCTGAAGCACAGCTAGTTTGGGGAGCACTGACATATAGCCACTGCCCATGAACCTGGATGTTCCTAAATCTTGATACCAATTGAGTGACTTGAATCCTCCCTCATCTGTATGTATACCATCATCAGGTCGGAAAAATACCTCCAGCTTCCAGCTTAAGGTTGCCCTCTCCTTTCCCACCACCAGTAACATGCTAGTAAACATTTAACAATAGGCTCTCAGAAAGAAAAAAAATTAAGCCCTGATTTATAATGTTTGCCAGTTTCCATGGTGTAAATACTCTCACCAGGGCCAATTTCCAGCTACCAATGTGATGCCACTGAACGTAGAGGTGGGAAAAGATGCATGTAATTAACATTCCTTAGACAGAAGTCAGCTCCAGCACATCACTGTCCCACCCATCCTTTACTGATTCCCAAAGATCAAACAAACTACACCCAAGAAACAGAGGGGTCTCTCTCAGATCCTACAGCACAGCCAGAGCCTCTCAGAAGTAAGGTTGTCTCCATTTTTTAAAAAGCTCTGGCATATTAAAAAGTGGAAAAGTGGGCCGAGCATGGTGGCTCATGCCTATAATCCCAGCACTTTGGGAGGCTGAGGCGGGTGGATCACTTGAGGTTAGGAGTTCGAGACCAGCCTGCCCAACATGGTGAAACCCCTTCTCTACTAAAAATACAAAAATTAGCCAGTGTGGTGGCACATGCCTGTGATCCCAGCTACTTAGGAGGCTGAAGTAGGAGAATTGCTTAAACCCAGAAGGCGGAGGTTGCAGTGAGCCAAGATTACACCACTGCACTCCAGCCTGGGCGATAGAGTAAGACCCTGTCTCATAAATAAATAAATAGTGGAAAAAGTGCTACTGCAAGATTGGCAAAATTGGGGTAACGCTTTAACACCAAAATACGATGCAATAAAATTGTATTAATCTCAAGATTATTTATAAGAATTATAAAAATATTCATTTATACTTCACCATAAATGGGGTCAATTGGTAGCAGGACATGTGGAAAGCCGTAAGATGAATGTCATTCGGTTCTGTCGGTGTATCTCTGTGACTCTGGAGAAAATGCCAGACTCTTTATCTGAGGCTTTTGTGAGTGTGAAAACTGGGGCATACCCCCTCACCACTCCGAATCCTGTCTCCACCCTTCTACCTCCCACCCTCACGCCCTCCCCTTCAATCCATGAGAGACCCTGGACATAGTTTTCTCCCTCCTACCTTCTGTTCTTTGCCTCTCAAGAATTTCCAAAGCTAGGTGCCCTGCCACTGGGTCTTATCTGGGTCACAAAATAGCCAAGTGACAAGAATTAAATGTAACAAGAAAACACTGGGGGGTCCAGGTCCCTTCTGCACCACTGAGGACCTGCAGTTAGTTACTGATGACGGGCTCTTTTATCTGGCTCCAGTCTGGCAAGAGATCTGGTGGAGAATTCTTTCTGGCTTTCATTTTCCTTATTTCTCTGAGCCATTTCTGGCAGGAATGTTATAAGCAAATCAAATTTTGATCAGTTGAAGACTATTTGAAGACTCTAGGAGCTGCTGCTGATTCATTCATTTATTAAACAAACATTTATTTAATACCTCCCTTGTGCCAAATCCTGTACTAGACAGTGGGGAAGAGGGATAGAGAGAGGAGATGAAGAGCACACAGTTCCTCCCCTTGAAGCACGGAGAGTGGAGGAAATGGATACATGATATGTAAGGGGGTAACAGCAGTCCCTGAGGCAGATCCCATGACAGGGTGCAACGTAGGGTACCTTGGAAGCACAGAGGAAGGGTGGCTAAGCTAAACCAAGCGGTCAGGAAAGCCTTGAACTGCATTCTCAAGGACAAGTAGGCATTACCTAGGTGAGAAAGGGTTAAAAGGATTAAAAGGGAGATGGTAGTTTATGCAAAGAAGCTTAAAAAAAACAAAAGCTATGTGGTTCGGGAAACTGCAAGTAGAATATCTTTGATATGGAGGACCCTGGGTTCAGAGGCTGGTTCCTTTGCTTATTAGCTGCATGAATGGGACTGAATTTAGCTTCTCTAAGCTGCAGTTTCCTCAGCAGGAAACCCCACCTTAAAGGACTGTTAGTATGCAGATGAGATAATGCATGTAGCACTCTCATATCTAGCATAGAGGCCATACCCAGTACTTGACAGCTTGGTGATGAGGATGAAGATGAGGATGGTGGTGGCTGGCATAAAGGATACACATAAGGGTGAAAGACTGAGGGAGATATGAGGCCGGAGAAGTAGGTGGGGCCAAAGGGTGAGCCCTTGGGCTCCATGCTGAACAAAATTGGGCTTTACCCCTAAAGCCAAAGGAAGAATTTCAAGAGTGGAGTAGCCTGATCAAGTGTCTGTTTTAGAAAGTTCTGTCTGATGGACTGGGTGCAGGGAGTAAAACGGGAGGCAGGAACTGATTTTGGAGGCTCTTGCACTAATGTAAAGACAGTGAAGGCAATAGACATGGCACGGATGGAGTGACGGAAGCCTCTCCAGGGTGTGGCTGAGGGCGCCATTCCTTTATGATTTCTCAGGCTATGGATGTGAATTTTCCTAAGCCAGGTCTGCTCACTCACAGCAGGGCCCAGCTGCATGGAGGAATATAGAATCCAGGGTATTATCATTAGAATTAAGCTGCTTCGTTGAGTCCATAAATGTCACACTCGGGCATACCAGCATGTCTTTTTTTCTGGCTTACAATGTAAAAAGTAACAATGGTTATCTGTGGGTAGTGGGATTATGAATTGTTTTTATATTATTCCTTTTGCCTGTGTCTATTTTCTAAGTGTTCTACAAAGAACATATTTTGTATACGGAAAAATTTATTATAAAAATGTTTTTTTAAAAAAACAAAACTATACATAGTTTCGATCCAAACAGCATCCTCTCTCCTTACTGCCTGAGTAAGGAAATGCTTGATTGAATTAGAAATGGGAGGGGAGGTTGTTGATAGGATCCAACTTCAAACTTCTAAGCTATTTATTTTCTTCCTTTTGCTTTGGAGATTGTGCTGTGCCAATGAAGATAGACTGAAGACGTGAATAGTCTTGAGTTTGAAAAATAATCGTCGTTTTTATTGTTACAGCTTCAGGCATGGATTATTTCCATCATTTATATTTCAGGAAACCTCAAGTACAGCAAAATTGCCCAATAGTTAGAGAAGATCGGATTATTGATACTCTCTTTTTAAAGAAAATAAAATATCTTATCAGAGAGAAGTCCAAGTGACAATAATATCACCATACGTCTACAGGGTTGCAAAAGTAAGGAGTTGAAAGGAAGCTCTGGTTTAAGTACGTGATGTTTAAGAGAACTGCAGACAGGGGTCTAACAGCTGAGATTTTTCAGCACCATGTTCTAAAGCACTTTCTTGCTGGGCCTAAATCAAATGTTTGTCTATATAATGTCTTAGACATTGTATGCATCATCGGGCCATCTTCCTAAAAGGTGGCATTTTGATTACAATCTTCAATTTGGATTTTTAAAAATTTGTAATACCAGTAATGATAAATAGTGCACATAGTTGTATGGTTCATAAAGTGTTCTAACATTTAATCTTTACAACTCTAAGTGTTTGAGTTCACTTTAGTCCATTTTAGAGATGAAGAAGGTAAGGCTCATAGAAGCTTACTGACTGGCCTGAGATCACACAGCTAGGAAGTAGAGAGAGAGGATTCAGATCAAGCTCTTCGGACTTGAATAGGAATGCCCTTTACACTGCTCCCTTCTAATGACAGGTTTTAGTTACAGATGCCTCTTTACCCACCATGGGGTTACTTCCCAGTGAACCCACTGGAAGCTGAAAATATCCTAAGTGGAAAACTGACATTTTTTAAAACATAATGGGATGTGAAAACACAAAATACAATATCCAAAAAATGCTGGCAACACAGTACACTGTACAGTATCGGTTGTTTACCCTTGTGATCGAGTGGTTGACTGGGAGCTGTGGTTCACTGTTGCTGTCCAGCACCACAAGAGTATCATATCACAAATTGCTAGCCTCAGAAAAGGTCAAAATTCGACGTACAATTTTTACTGAATGCATATAGCTTTCACATCATCATAAAGTCAAAAAATTGTTAAGCCAAACTATCTTAAGTCAGGGACTGTCTGCCTTTTATTTTCATTAGACTCACTAATCAAAAAGGCAAGCAGGGCCCATAGGAATTATATCCATTCCTGTTGCTGTTGTAACAAATTACCCACAAATCTGGTGCCTTGGGGTAACACAAATTGGTTCTCTTACAGTTCTGGAGGTTAGAAGTCCAAAATGAGTCTTACAGGGCTGAAGTCAAGATACAAGCAGCGCTGGTTCCTTCGGGAGGCTCCATTGCACAGTCAGTGGCTGCCAGTCTTCCTTGGCTTGTGGCCACATCATTCCAATCTCTGCTTCCATTATCACAGTACCTTCCCCTCTCCTTTAGTCAAATCTCCCTGTGCCTCTGTCTTGTAAAGACACTTATATTTAGGGCCTACCCTGATAATCCAGGACAATCTCCCCATCTCAAGATCATTAACAATATCTGCAAGGCCTTTGTGGACATATAATGAAGCATTCACAGGATCCAGGGATCAGGATGTAGATATTTTGGGGGGCCGTTACTCAGCTTACCATGGCAATATTCGTTTCATTCATTTATTTAGTTATTATTTAGTTATTTTTGTAGAGACGCAGTGTCACTATGTTGCCCAGGCTGGTCTCAATCTCCTGGCCTCAAGTGATCCATCTACTCAGCCTCCCAAATAGCAGGGACTTCAGGCACAAGCCACTACACCCAGCTTTATTTCATTTATTAAGTGGTCCCTAAATGTAAGATTCCCTGAATTTAAATTTAGGCCATAGCTCTTCACAGTTTTCTATTTTAACCTTTCACTTTTGTGTGCCTTGAGGCCTTAGTATTTGTTTGCTTGCTTGCTGGCTGGCTTTTAAGCAAATTTAACTCTGACTTTCTATTGAAAATAACTCACCCAAAACCCCTCCTCCTGCTCTCTGTCAGGGATGGATGCAGACCACTGACTTTTTCCAGGCCAGGCTTGGAAAGGGCTTACAGAGAGGTGCATTCTTTATTGTTCGGCCTCTCCTAACTACTGCCATTTATTGAGCACTTAATATGTGTCAGAAACTTTGAAATCATTCTACATTTATTTACAGCTCATTTGTACCTTGGAACAGGCCTGTAAGGTAGATTATTATCCCCATTTTACCAATGAGAAAATCAAGGCTCAAAGAGTTAAGTAACATTCCCAGGGTTACACAGTTAAGCCACAGACCCTCCAAAACCCAGCCTCTTAATACCATGCTTTTGCAAAATTAAATAATTCCCAAACCTGCGTAATGTATAGATCTCTTTTAAAGGGCAAATACAAGCTCACAAACACCCAAGGTTGAGTTATAAGGATTTTCATTATCATATTATTTAAATATGTGCAAAGATAACCAGATATGAACTCCTTATGCTTATAGCTCTCTTAAGATGATAAAAACAAAATAGTGATACTAATAATAACACAAATAAAACTGCAAACACTTTAAATGCTAATTAAGAACATTGCTTTAATGTGATGGGTGATGCTGTTTTGCTGAAATTAAATGACTGCTCACAATCTCGATGCAATGCTGACCCTCGTAGCCTGGGTCCTTCCGAGTTTGGTATGCATACACCAGGGCCCTTTGGGCTAACTCAGTTCTCCCACTGTTCTTCCAACCACTGACAACACATTGTTCAGGCAGCAGCACACGTATCCTTTGGGCTTTACCTAGTCAAAATGTCTTTGATTTGTTAACTCTGCTTTCCTTTTAGAACCCACTCTCTTTAGCAGCTGGGTTCTCTGGGAAGGAGACCTGCATCAAGATTAGAGTGCAGGAAGTTACCAAAGAATGTTCTTGGGAACCACAGCTGTGGGAGGCAGGGGAAGGAAGCAGGATGTGCAGAGGGAGAAGTTGAGCTGTGTCGCAGGCCCAACAAAGACCTCTACCAACCAACTCACTGGGCTGGGTGGCTCTTCAGAGTTGTCCTGCCTTGGGGACAAGAGCACTGACCTTTGTGCCCCTGGAGGATCACTGGATGAGGGTCACCCTGGAAGGAAGTTTGACCTCACATTAGGCTGTGTTATCTAGCCAATGCCAAAGAACTGACAGCTAAGAGCAACCTTTTACCATCATCCCTGCAGCTGGGAAGTAAGTCCTTCACTCCTGAAGAGAGATCTGGACAGAGCGTCACATTGTCTTCCACACTAACGCACAATAAAGTTGTATAGGGCAACCGTGAGATGTGAAAACAAATGCATCCCAGCCACTGAACTGCCTGGTGATGCTTGACTAGATCTTTGAGATGATCCTTAATATGTACACAATCTATTATTTTATTCTCACAAAAATATAAATATAAATGTTTAAATTCCCACAGAGAACTAAGAAGACTCTAACAACATATTTACAGGCCCCTAGAGGTCTTCAGAACCTACTCCAAGAAAGAGGAAGGTTAGGAAGCTTCCACCCCAGTTACCTCTGCTGGGAATTGCTGCATATACCTGTGATATCTCCGTGGTGTGACAATCACAAAGTTTTACGAATACTTCTTTGGGTGGCAGTAATCATGATGGACAGATCCTCTCACAATTCACATGTAATATTTGGGAATAAAAACTTGATTGAACATTCATTCAACATATTTGATCAGGCACATACTATGACGTGGGTACTTTGCTAGACACCTGGTGGGGAAGATACCTTTATACGAGTGAACAAATAATCATGGACAAAGAGGATCTGAGAGTCTTGGGTCATCAGTAAGCCTTTTCAGAAGAGGAGTGGCTTGAGGGGACAAGGGCAGGAGCATTCCAGACAGAAGGATCCAATGCAAAAGCATGAGCCTTTGGTGCGTGGGCATGACAGGTGATGTAGGAGATTTGGTCAAAAGGTGGGTCAGGCAGTAGTGAGAGGTCGCACTGACAGAAGCGGAGTGGAGAGCCTGCCAGTATGATTAAGTCATCAGAGGCACCCCCTTCATTACTATTCACCTGGCCCTGACTGATACCGTCTCATTTAACCTCCATGCACTGTGATTAACCCAGTAGGGAACAAGCTCCACAAGGGCAGTCTGTCTGGTCTACTGCCCTGTGACGGGAGCCCAGCACAGTGTCCGACCCAGAAAGGAGCTCATTAACATGTGTTTTACAGACAAAGAGTCAGGTTCAGAGAGGACAGCACTTTCCCCAAACTTGCGCAGCATATAAGTGACCAAGCCAAGAGCTGAACCCTCGGTCTGCCTATTCCACCATACCGCTCTTCAATTCCTGCTCCGTGAGCCACGAAAATAACTAAAAGAGCGTTTTCACAGTCAGAGAAACTTCTGTTACCATGGGAAACCTGGAAGAGAGGCCAGCCTGTGTGTGTGTGTCTGTCTGTCTGTCTGTGTGTCCGTGTGTGTGTGTGTGTGTGTGTGTGTGTGTGTGTGTGTTCTCAAATTCCTAGAACGGACACCCTTTAGTGTCTGCCACAACACAAAATTTCTCCTGTCATCTCCCAAGTCTCTCCCCAAACCTCAAATATGTGGGGTACTCGAGAATGAAAAGGGTTAACCTTTCACAGCTTAGGAGAGCTGTTACTTTGCATTTAAATAGCCGCATTTAAGAAAGCAGCATTCCCAGGATCCTTATTTGATACTAATGTGCTGAACACCTTAAAGCACACTTACTTCTCCCCCATTCGGGTCACTTGGAGCTTCATTACTTAATAATTTGAAAGCTTTTTATGGAAATCAGTTGATAAAGGGAGATGATGAAGTGAAATGTTATTACATTTAAAGACCCAGCAAACTAGGCTGCCAGAATAACACCTGCGTCAGACATTTCTAAGTAAAGAAAGAGAAGGAGAAGGAGATATTGGTGTGTGGATGAATTCTCATTTCTTTTGAAACTGCCGTTACTTTAAAGATACTCCTTGCCTAACAAAGCCTAACACTCTTTAAAATTGTCAAGTGAAGAACTCATCAGCTATCTTATGAATTCTACCCCTGCCATGGCGCTCTGTCCCCCTGCCCACCTTCCCAGCCGCTGCCTTGGCTTCAAGCCCATTGGGTCTAGAGGTCCGCCCTACTCTCCTCCACAGGCAGGGTCAGCCTCACACAGTGCCCACCTCAAAAGCCTTCATGACTAACCAGTTGAGAAAACCCTGGGAAACAGGCTTGGATGCGACCTTTTCTTTTTACTTTCCATTTTTCTTTCTCTCTCTCTTTCCTTCCTTCCTTCCTTCCTTCATTTTTTCGTGGTGGTGGTGAGACAGGGTCTCACTCTGTCACCCAGACTAGGGTGCAGTGGCACAATCACAGCTCACTGCAGCCTTGACTTCCTGAGCTCAAGCGATCCTCCCACCTCAGCCTCCTGAGTAGCTGAGTAGCTGGGACTACAGGCATGTGCCACCACACCCAGCTAATTTATTTTTTATGTTTTATTTGTATTATTTGTAGAGATGAAGTCTCACTCTGTTGCCCAGGCTGGTCTCGAATTCTTGGATTCAAGCAGTCTTCTTGCCTTAGCCTTCCAAAGTGCTGGGATTACAGGCATGAGCCACTGTGCCCAGCCGCCACTTTTTTTCTTTTTTTTCTTTTTTTTTTTTTATTTGAGATGGAGTCTCACTCTGTCACCCAGGCTTGAGAGCAGTGGCATGATCACAGCTCACTGCAACCTTCACCTCCCAGGTTCAAGCAATTCTCCTGCCTCAGCCTCCGGAGTAGCTGGGACTACAGGCGCATGCCACCACGCCTGGCTAATTTTTTGTATTTTTAGTAGAGACAGGGTTTTACCGTGTTAGCCAGGATGGTCTCGATCTCCTGACCGCGTGATCCACCTGCCTTGGCCTCCCAAAGTGCTGGGATTACAGGTGTAAGCCACCACACCTGGCCCCAGCCTCCATTTTTTTAATGGCAATATATTCACATGGTTTGAAAATCAAAAGATATATAATAAGGTTACACAGTGACAATCCTCAGCCTTTTGCTTGCTCCCTGGTTACCTAGTTCCCTTCTCCTGAGGCAACTGATTTTTGTAATGTTCTTATATATCCTTCCAGAGATACTTTATGCAACTAGAAATATATACACACACAATTTTCTTTATCCTTACCACCCCTCTCCACAAAGGTAAATAGATTACACAAATAGATTACTATACAAACTGTACTGTAGTTTGCTTTTAACATTTAATATATCTTACAGATACTCTTACTTGTGACATGACTTTTTTAATGGTGAATCCAAAGACTATACAGCAATGTCTAAAAAAAAAAGATTCAAAAGTATATACGTGTGTGTGTGTGTGAGTTTTGTGCATAAGTTATGATGTCAACTATGACAAACAAATGAATATTGCAATTGATGAAAGCTGCTGGGTAAGGATGGTGGGATTATAGGGTCATTCTTTTTGTTTCTCTCTCCTCCTACGCCGTGTGTGTGTGTGTGTGTTTGTCTCTGTGTGTGTGGCCAAAACATGGTTATGTTTTTAAATTCTAAAGACCTTATTTCAGTATGTGAGGTATATTTTCATTTTGGTAGAGTTCTTTCCTGGCCCTTTCATATGCATCAGCATCTGTTTCTTAAAATACTTGAGTCACTTTATTGGTGAAGGCTTCCTCCACCACTCTAAAATTGCAGCATAACTCTCTCACCCCATCCTGGCCCTCCCCCTCACCCTTCCCGGCTATATTTTCCCCGGAGAGCTAATCAGCACTGGACACACTGTGTAGCTGTTATGTCTGCCTCCTCCTCCGGAATGTAAGCTCCTTGAGGACAAGGATGGGTGTGTCTTCTGTTCAGGGCTCATTCTCCAGCACGTGGAATAGGCCTGGCACAGACTAGGGGCTCCATCTATCATTGCTGGATGAATGAGTCCTCACCATCAGCCCCAGCAACCCAACCCACATGCTCTCTGGCTCATGCCTGTAACCACTAACCAGAGCACCTGCAGATAACCAGTAACCAGAGCATCTGCAGCTCTGTCCTCTGCTTCCCTTTTCCCTCCCCACTCTGGCAACTCTGGAAGACCACTCCTCCCTCCCAGGTCTGGATCTCACCTTAGGGATCCATTCCTGCAAGTGCACCCTCCCTCTCTCCTGCAATATGAGCTTATCTTCTATATTGGATTATACACTTGGACATACAAACTTGCCCTCATATCACACATCTTTCAAAAAATAATCACATGTCCTTCCTGCTACTGCCATTTTTCTCAACTCCACAGCCGACTTCTCAAAAAGCGCTGTCTGGGCTTGCTGGTTCCGCTAATTCACCTCTGTCTTTCCTGAACCTGCTTCCATTGTATTTTCAGTAGTGGCCAGTGGGGCAGCGGCGGCAGCAGTGAGCACATGGCAGGGGGGGCAGTAGGGCAGCAGTAAACAGAGGCCGCAGAGGTAGTGGGGTAAGCACAGGGTTTCTGAAGAGGCCCTGGGCAGGTCCTGGTGTCCTCCTATCTCTCTGGCCATTATACCTTAGTCTGCTTTGCTCTCCCCCATCCTCTCCTCTGCCTCCATTCACTCCCCAGGTAATCTATCCTGTGGTTTTAACTACCAGTCTCTATGCTGATGACTTGGAGTTTACGTCTCCAGCCTGGACTTCTCCGTTGAGCTCCGGCCTCATATATCTACCTTCCTACATGACACCTCCTTTTGGAGTCATCCTTGACCCCTCTTTGTTTTATACCTCACATCCAATCCATCAGCAGATAACGCTGAGCCGACCTGTAAAATATATCTGCATCCCATGCCTTGAACCCCTTCCATTGCTCTTCCCTGGCCCTATGTCGCCAGACACAGCAATGGCCTCCTGCCTGGGGTCCTTGCTCCCCAGCTTGCCCCACTCCAGTTACTTTCCCTGAGCAGCCAGCAGGATCCTTTAAAAATATGAATCAGGTCATACCACTCTTCTGCTCACAAACCCCTCAGCCATGTTCCAGTCCCATCACACTCTGAACAACAGCCCCTAAACCCTCTGGGAGGGCAGCCAAGGCCAGAGACTTCCTCTAGCTTATTATTAACTAATTGTTTAATTAACTAATTCATTATTTATCCCTTAAATATTCCCTGCATACCTCTCACAAGCCAGGCTGGTGCTGAGGATATAGAAGGGATGCAATGCGGCCCCTGCTCTAATGCTGGCTTCTGGGACGGGACCTGCCCTGGGATGGCAGTGGGGATGGGAATCATGGTTGAGGAGTGTCCAACACTGTTTCTTTTTCTTTTTTTTTTTTTTTTTTTTTGAGATGGAGTTCTGCCCTCGTCGCCCAGTCTGGAGTGCAATGGTACAATCTCAGCTCACTGCGACCTCTGCCTCCTGAGTTCAAGCAATTCCCCTGCCTCAGCCTCCCAAGTAGCTGGGATTACAGGTGCCCGCCACCATGCCCAGCTAATTTTTGTACTTTTAGAGATGGGGTTTCACCATGTTGGCCAGGCTGGTCTCAAACTCCTGACCTCAGGTGATCCATCAACCTTGGCCTCCCAAAGTGCTGGGATTACAGTGTGAGCCAAAGCACCCGACCCCCAGTGCTGTTTCTTGAAGACTACAGGATGTGTTCCCATGGGGTAGGGTTAGGGGTGCTGAAAGGGGCACTACCCTTACAGGTTGAGGCACCTCCAGTCAGATCTGGCCTGGATCATGGGCTGGGCTTCCTCACAGCCCTTTCTGTTTGAAGGCAGACAGCCCTTGCTTGATGTTCTCTCCTGTTTGGATTTGGCATCACCTACGTGATGTTCGAATACCTTCTGCTGTGGCCCCCTTTTCCCTTCTTTGCTCTGGCCTTGGCACTAAGGTTTTTCTGACTGCTGAAGGTCAGGTAGAAGATGGGGAGGCGGACCACGGAAGAGCAGGTCCTGGGGGCTGGTGGGATGGGAGGCAGGCATGCCCCATCAGCCTCTTCTGCTCCTTTGCTCACTGATTTTACTCAGGGGAGCAGCAGACTTGTGTGAGCACTAAAAAGAACATAATAAAAATGCAGAAAATGAGGTTAAATCCAGGATGGTACTTCAGTTACCAAAGGACAAGCTAAGTAAATGCCGATGGCCAGTGCCAGCACACAGAAGGTCATAGGGTGATGTGAGTCCTCAGAGCTCCCACCCACCGGAGGCAGCCCTTGGGCGGAGGGGCAGTGGGGCAGGCCCGGAACAGCTCTGATGGTCCCTTCCTCTCTGGCTTCAGAAATGCCAAGCTGCTTCCACAAAACCATCTCAGGGGAAAATCATTATCTACGGACATTATGCAATTTTCCCATCGAAATTACAAGCTGTGTTTGAAAAGAAATAAAAAGAAATTGAATTTGAAATGCTTCTGTGCAAACGCATCATCTTCTAGTGGATCTGCTAATGGGCTTCAGATACTTTCTCTTGCTCTAAAATAGTTGATCAGACAGCAGCTTGTGATGGTGGCTGCTTCCCGGGGAACGGGGCATAGAATGAGCACTTATGAACGGCCAGCCAGCCCACCTGAGCCAGGTTCAGAACCTGTGAGCTCTGACCACGGTTCCCAAAGTGGTCACTGTATGCTGTCCCTTCCCCTCCTCTACCTGGCAGTGCTGGCACGGCTCTATGCTGGGACTCTCACTGCTCCTCCAGCGCCTCCAGCTGACACCCAGGTCGATGAGTGTCACTTCACACTGCGCTGGCTCCATCCTAGGTCCAGGGAGTGCCCACGGACTGGGCCTCGGAGGACACCAGCCCCTTCCTCATCACAGCCTCTCATTCACCCAACAAGTATTAGTTAAGCGTGTTCCCAACACAGATCTAAACACTGATAGTACAGCAGTGAGCAAAACAGACAAACACCCTCGCCCTCTTGGAGCTTCCATTCTAGCAGGGGGAGATAGACAATAAAAAGTAAATAAGGCAGGACATGGTGGCTCACGCCTGTAATCCCAACACTTTGGGAGGCTGAGGCAAGCAGATGGCTTGAGCCCAGGAGTGTGAGGCCAGCCTGAGCAACAAAGCAAGACCCCATCTCTACAACTAATTTTAAAACTAACTGGGCATGGTGGTAGGCACCTGTAGTCCCAGCTATTTGGTATGCTGAGGGTAGAAGGATGGCTTGAGCCCAGGAGGTCATTCTACAGTGAGCCATGATTATGCCCCTGTACTCCAGCCTAGGCAACAGAGAAAGACCCTGCCTCAAAAAAAAAAAAAAAAAAAAAAAAAAAAAGTAAGCAAAATGCACAGTCAACTGGACAATGGCAAATGTTATGAAGAAAAGATAGTGGGATAAAGGAATAGGGATGCTGAGTCAAAAAGGGGGCAGGGACCTGCCATGGACATCAAAGTCCTCACTGAGAAGTTGACATTTGAGCAAAGACCTGGAGGAAACAAAGGAGAGAGTGCTCTGGTATCTGGGAGAACAGCATTCCAGGCACAGGGAACAGCAAGTGCAAGGTGTGCCTGGCATGTTTAAAGATACATAAGAAGTCCAGGATGCCGAAACCCAGGTTGTGGAAGAGTAGTAAGAGATGAGGCTCAGGAGGACAGGCAGACCATGGAGGGTGTGGGGGACCAGAGCAAGGTCCTGTCTGCTGTGAGATGCAAAGCCACTGGAGGATTTTGGCCAGAGGAATGGCATGATATGACTGCTGCACGAACAAGAGTCTGGAGGAAGGGAGGGGAGGTAGAGAGACCTGCTAGGAAGCAACTGCACTCATCTAGCTGAGCGATGATGGTGGCTTGGATCAGGATGGAGGCAGGCAGGAGACGGAAAGTGGTTGGATCATGAAGATATTTTGGAAGTGGAGTTGACAGGGTGTGCCGATGGATCAGTTGCAGGGTGGGAGAGAAAGAGGCATCCAGGGTGGATGGAACTGAAAGTACGGCATTGCCATGTAATGGGATGGGAAGAATGAAGGAGGCTGGGCTTAGGGAGGGGAAGATCAGGAGTTTGGTTTCAGGCACGTTGTTGAGTTTGAGATGCCACTTAGATACCCAGATGAAAATGTTGAGTGGCTGATATGCAAGTCTAGAGTCAGAGGCTAGTTTGCAATAGAAGATTACAGCTTAGGAATCATCAGCATATACACAGTTGGCTTTTTAAGGCAGGGGACTAAATGAAATCACCAAGGGAGTGTGGATAAAAGAGAAGACCAAAGGCTTGAGCCCTGGGGCACTTCAAGCTTTAGAGGAAAGTGAATAGGAGTCAGCGAGGGAGACTGAGAAGGAAGAGTTGATGAAGTGGAAAGAAAATCAGAGGCAGCAAGTCCCAGAGCCAAGGAGAAAGCTTTTCAAGGCAGAGGGAGTGAGTGACCAGCTGTGTCAAATACTGCTGAGGGGTCACAAGAGCTGAGAGCTGGGCACTGACTTTGGCTTTGGCACGGAGAGGTCACTGGTGACCTTGACGGGAGCAGTGAGTCTGCTGTCAGAGGAGAGGTGAGTCTCAGTTGCCTCACCTGAGAAATGGGGACACCCTCCTGCCTTCCTCAGAGAGCAGCAGTGCAGACCATGGGCAAACTGCAAAGTGCCACCAAATATGAGCTGTTTTATTTATGACCTGAGAAGCCCAGAGGCTGTTGAAATGAGGGGAGGCTACTGTTGGGCACAATTGGTTTTAAAGATGCTTACAGCCCCGTTATCACCTCATAAAATGGCTCATTTCTTGCTACTCATCACCAGAACACTCACCCAGGCATGAAAAAGTTACCTTCAGAGGTAGAAGCTGTCAGGATGGATATTTTTTGTGCATGGCAACTGGGAAAGAGAAAAAGCAAATAATGGGGCCAAATAGTGCTCACCGGGGTCTCCACGCAAGATTCCAGACACTGCTCTCCCAGAGGGAACCCCAGTGATCCTGTGCCTCAAAGCAAGGGCTCCTTGGAGAAAGCCACCAACCAGGGTCAGCTGTGCTCTCACTGCAAAATGAGCAACATGGGGGAGGGAGGAGAGAAGGATGGAGAAGAAGGACAGTCAGGGAAAGTGGAAAGAATGTGAGTTTGGAGTCAGATACACATGCGTTGGAATCGTGGTTCCTGTGTGGTCAGCAAATGACCTGACTCCTCTGAGCCACAGCTTCCTCATCTGCAGTGGACAGCGTGATAGCTATTTCCAAAGCTTTCTGTAAGAAACAAGCTGTTGAATGGGGGAATGCACACTGTGTGTGTGGCTGCGTATCACTGCATTTGCAATTAGTGGCACTGGGTTTTCCCCTGTTTAGTAGCAGACAGTTTTTCTTCAGCCCAAGGAGCCTGTGCCTTCCCGGCTTCATCAAACCGGTCGTCAGAACAGCAGTAACTTTCAGTGTTGTGAACATGGTCTGATATTCTTCCACGTGTGGCTGTGATATGCAGAACTGAAAGTAGGCTAGGACATGCCCTTAAGAGCAGCAGAAGTAGGAGGGGTGGGCCTGGTTCTCCTGGGCCACAGTGTGCACTTTCAGGCCCCATCTGCCTGGGTTCATGGTGGCAACGGGTGTGGCCTCTAGAATCAGACTGAGGTCTAAACTCTAGCTCAGCCAGTTAACTAACTGTGAAACTAATTTGGCCAAATAAATGTGTTTCTGAGGATTAAAACGTATATATCCACCTTGCAAATGTGTTGTAAGGATTAAATCAGATGCTGTCTATTAGGCAATTTGCAAGGTTAGCAAGATGCTTAGCACATAAAAAATAAATAATTATTGTTTTATTATTGTTGCTGTTTCCACCTGTTTCTATTCCTTTCCCTCTCTGATCATGGATTGCATCCCATTTCTCTTCCTGTGGGGAGGAGAGATGGTAGGGGCATCAGGCAAGTTGGCCAGGCTGACTCCACACTGAGGTCTGAGCCTCAGTGCTACCAGCAGCAAAGGAATGTTTAGGATGAGGAAATGGCTTGTGGTTCAGGACTGGAAGACAAAGTCAAAAAGTTAGGAAGAAAGGGGCAGGGGGATGTGACAGACTCTGGCCTTCTGCTGTGGGCACAGCTGGGATGTGTGGAGCTCTTCCTCATTGGGTGGCTGGCTCTGGAGTGCAGAGGAGGGTCAGCGTGGGGTAAGATTGGTTCAGACACCAGCCCCGACCCTAGACTCACAGTCTTACTTTCTGTTCTGCTCAGACCACCCTGTTTATCTCCTGGTATTGATGTAATTGCTGCCTCCAGAACAGATCTGTCCCAGATCTGTTTTCATTCCACATGAACCCGCTTCCCTCCAGACCTGACCTCAGCCCATGGCCTGTTAGGGGATATGCTCTTCCCATTTGGTACCAGTAACTGTGAGGTACAAGTACAGCTGTTGTATCCCCACAATATGCTTACAAAAGCAAAATGGAAGATGAATATGAGTGACCTGTAGTATCTTTGGGTTTTTTCCTATTTTAATTGGTATGTCTTTAGAAAAGTGTTGGCATCATCCAAATGAACCATGAACGATGGATGCCCTGAGACACTTTGTTTGAAAAGGGTCCTGTGGGAGCTGAGAAGGGGCTCTAAGTATTCTTGAAAGTTCCTGTCTGTGCCTTAGAGACTTGTTAAAATAAGCTTTTCATTTAAGTCTGAAGTGTGGGTTGCTTACTCTGAATTTAAGTCCTTCATTCTTCAGAATGTGAAATGCCCAGGGCCCTAGTGCCCCCATCCAAGCTACATAAGCCTTCCATCATATGCTCCCTGGGACTCAGAGCTTGGCTTTCAATGGAGGCAAGTTCTCCTGAGGCTTTGTGGGTTTGTACCTGCAACTGTGTGCTCCAGTCTCTGTACTCAGGCAGCGCAAGTCAATTCTGATATGAACTTACCCTGAATGTAAGTAAAAATAAGAATGATCAGTAATTTTTGTGGAGCACCTGCTATGTGCCAGGCACTTCATTGCCACATTACATGAGTTGTCATTTAGTCCCCCTAACAAGCACATGCAGAAGATCCTCTTTTTACCCTATTTCACAGATGAGAAAACTAAGAGAGGTCACAAGACTTGCCAAAAAACAGAGTTTGGCAGGGCACGGTGGCTCACACCTGTAATCCCAGCACTTTGGGAGGCCGAGGCGGGCAGATCACTTGAGCTCAGGAGTTTAAGACCAACATGGGCAATGTGGCGAAACCCCATCTCTACAAAAATACAAAAATTAGCCATGAGTAGTGGTGCACACCTGTAGTCCTAGCTACTCAGGAGGCTGAGGTGGGAGGATTGCTTGAGCCCGGGAGGCTGAGCCTGCAGTGAGCTGAGATCGTGCCACTGCACTACAACCTGGGTGACAAAGTGAGACCCTGTCTCAAAAACAAAACAAAAACACAGAGCTAGTAAATGGTACCATTAGCATATGACCTCAGGTATGATTCCAGAGCTTATGCTTCTCAACTATGCTACTTTCCTGCCTGCTGGATTCATAAACATTAAAAAGATGGATAGTATCCCGTGTGCCCTAAATTGAGAACATGGGCACATACACATCCTTGCTGGGAGTAGAAATTAGTACAGACATTTGGAGGGCAATTTGGTAGGGCAGACCACAGTTTTAAATTTGCTTCACATTTTGATCACTCCTATGACTCAATGATACAGGAATCCTTGGATGTATGAGCAAATAAATACGTACATGAGTCTTCATCACAGCATCATTTATGAAAACAACTAAATATTTACTAATGGTGCCAGTGGAATCAATTAGAGAACATCCCCTGCTACATAACTCTCTGCATACATCAAAGAGAATGGTGTGGCTTTGCTTTTTCAACAATCTACTGAGCGGCCGTAGGCATGGTGATATGGCCATGAATGAGCAAGATTCTCTCTGATCCTTATAGAAGTTAAGTTCTACCAGATAACTTGCTGCTTCAACAAAAATATTTAGCTTTTTAAATAAATGTGGTAGAATGCTCCTGCTTTCTTGTTTCATTTAACTCAAATGATCACCAAAAAAGAGAACAATAAGCTGTTGACCCTGCAGATGTTGTGTAACCACTAGATGAAAAGATTTACAGCAGGAAGCTGTCATGCCCACACATATGGTCCCACCATCCTTGGAGCCTCCATAGGTCTAAATGGAGTTTCATCACCATAAATAAATGGTAATGTAGGTTCCAAACTATACTTGTGGAGTTATACATTTGATCTTGGCCAAAAGGCCAAGAAGCAATATTGTGTGTGTGTGTGTGTGTGTGTGTGTGTGTGTGTGTGTGTGTGTGTAGTTATATATTACAAAAGCAAAATCACTATATCAGCTGGGACCTGTAAACCAGAATTTAACTGTAAAGCAAGGTGAATCTGCATGGCCAGCTAACTTGGCAGCCACCTTCACTCCACCCACATTGATTTTATTTTCTAGTGAAATATTTCTTCAAGAGCAAACAGACTGTCATCAGACAGTATCTCATTACCAGGATCTGATATCTTGGATTTCCTTTTTCTAAGTCTTGACCTGGCTTGCCATAATTTGAAGATATCCAACACTTTAAAAATCAAAAAAGAGAGCTAAGATATATAGTATATAGTGTACATAGTATGTAGTACGTACTGATGGAAAGTTTCCCGTGATATGATATTAAGGAAATATTTTAAAGTCATGGTACAGAACAAGATATTCAGTATGACACAGATTTGGTGGGAAAGCTAAATATAATGCCTGCACACACACACACACATCCTTACATGTGCATCGTAGAAGATCTGGAAAGATACACACCATGCTGTAATATTCTGGAAACGGAGAAGGAGACAGAAGGCAGGGTTGCTGTTGAAGTAGACTGTGTTCAACATTTACATTGTGAGTTTCTGTGATGCTAAAATTTTCCACAATGTGTGTATTATTCTGGAATTAAAAATCAAAGAAAAAAAAGTGGAGCAGAACTAGATGATGAGGACCCCATAAGCAAAACTCAGGAAGTAAGAAATTGTCATGGAAGTTGTGAGGAGCCTTTGAAGGGTTTTGGCAGGAGACAGATACCGTCAGATTTGCAGCAAGTGGAGGATGAATTGGGGGAAGCAAGAAGATACTGGAGATGGGGTGGCCAGAGGGGAGACTGTGGAAGGAGGTGAACACAGGAATCCTCAGCCTGACTGGTGTCGGGGGTGAAGGGAGCTGCTGGTGTTTGGCACCCGGCTCAGGCACGCCTGAGCTGTGCCTTCAACCCAGGCTGGGCTGCTGGAGGAGGAGCAGGACTCTGAGGTCAGAGGAAGGGCTCAGCCATGAGGCATATGAGATGACTGGAGGAAAACCAGGTCTGGGGAGACATGGAGCTGGCACTCAGGAGACAGATAGGTTGTGTTCCATATATGACTTCAAGATAAACAACTTCTCGGTCATTCAACAGATATTTCTTAGGAGGGAAGAAGGGATACACTGTAAACAAATAAATATATTTCTCAGAGCATGAGAAATGTAACTGCTCTGTTGGGAAATGCTTTGCCTGCAGACATGTGAATGTTGGGGTGTCTGTGCATCCCAAGATTTTTTTCATCTGATGGAAAGAGGGTACCCCGGGGAGCCTGAGCCTAGGAGGAGGCTGCAAGCTTCCTGGGTGGCTCACCGCCGCTGCCCTGTCCTTGTGGGCCCTTCCCCTCACCCAGGACTGTCTGTAGGAGCCCAGACCACGCTGGGTCTGGCTAAGCCAACTTCCTCTGCACCACCACCACCCAGCAGCCCCTTCCTGCATGGTAAATGGGAAGCCATGGACCAGAAAGCTTTTTATAACCTCTGGGCCTGAGCCTCAGAGACACCACTGTCCTCCTTCCTTTCAGTTTCCATGGGGCTGTGGGATTTTCTAGGCAAGGTACCCAACCAGGGAGAAGGTCACAATGCATTCTAACTGCATTCTAGGCGCCTGCTGCCAGGCACGACTCTAAGGACTGTAGCCTTGTCGCTATGAGCCAGCCAAGCAAGTCTCTTCCCCTGGAACTCAGGGATCTGTTCAGTTGGCAACAAAGCCCTTCCTTCCCCAGCTGGTGACATTCTGGAGTTTTCCACACACAATGGACTATTGTGTCTGAGCACTGCTGGGCCCAGGCCAGGGAAAGGGGCCATACAGGACCAGCTGACTCCACTCTAGGGAAAGCCCCCCACCAGAGCTGAACTTGGACCTGTGGAGGCCTCCAGCCTTGCAAAGATCATGGCACCCCTCACCCGCAGTGTGTAATTGAAAATAAAAACCCAACCAAACCTCAAAGTTGAGCAAAATCAACAAAGTTCTGATTTTTGCCCTATGAAGACCATTCAGTGCTTTCCTTCAAAATGTTAATTATCAAATTATTCCTCAAAAAATTACTTTAGTTTCCCCAGTTATCCCTAAAATAACTTTATGGTGCTTTATTCACCATCCAAAGCAAAACAGAGCCAGAGAACCTGAGGGGCACCACGGGTATGGGGCCTTGGCTTTGTGCTGGCCTCCTCGTCCAAGGGAGTCTGATCCAGCGCATGGGTCTCACCAGCAGGACAGGCGTTGAGGGGACAGTCCTCAGGGCCAGGTGTTAGCCACATTGCAACTCCTGCTGACCCAGCTGGCCTGGAGCAGGCCCCACTCAGTTGCTGGACACAGAGCATGGCTCTGCCCTCTGAAATGGACATGACATGGGAGTCTGGCCAACCAAGGCAGAATCCAGGCCAGATCTCTGCTCTAGTGGGGAAGGGATGGGCTGAGCTGGAAACCAAAGGTGTGACTCAGTGGCCCTTCAGTGTCCAGGACATACCTGGACACTCAGTCCCCTCTCCCGGTATCACTGAGGCCCCAGGGTTCCCCCATCCCAGAGAGAGGTGGCTGTACACCCAGGCAGGAAAAGCCCCAACAGCAGGTGAGGGAGTGGGGGTGAATGGTGTCACCAGGTCAAAGCCCTATTGTTCCCATGAGCCCAGCTCTGTTCACTAAATATTTGTGGTCCTTTTTTGCAGAGTGATGAGGTCCTCACCGTCATCAAAGCCAAAGCCCAATGGCCAGCCTGGCAGCCTCTCAACGTGTAAGTAACACAAGTCCCTTGCCTGGCCTGTCTTATCCTAGCCCCTTCTCAAAGCCACCTACCTAATGGCCACCACATACCAGTTATGCTGTTGAAGTTAGCACTACTTCTCAGTTAACAAGCAGGCAAGATGCTTTCTATGTGCAGAGCATCACACCTGCCCCATCTTCTCAAGGATGCAGGCTCAGGCTCTGTTTTCCCCCAATGGCTTTAATACCACAGCCAGATGTGATGGCTTTAATACCAACTCAGATGGGATGATTAACTGTTCTGTGTTCACTCATGCTCTCAGCCACAACAGACCAAACATGCCCTCACCCTCAGAGCACACAGGTGTACTCATGCTTAGCCAGTCTGATGTGTGGAAAGCCAGATTTACCCTGGGTTCCATTCTCAGTCCCGTTTCTTTTCTGTCTCCTCTATCCCAGAGAGATTTTATCTGCCCTTGAGTCAGGTGACCAAGGGTATGCTGACAGTCCCCAAAACTACCTCCTGCCAAATGGATGGATACAGTGGTATATCCGTCAGGTTTTTGGACAGCTCTCCATGGATGGTCCACCTGGACCTTAAACTCATCATGTCCAAAATGGGTCCCATCACCTTCAAACAAACCTGCTGTTCTCCATGTGGAGAAATATTGAAAGTACAGTGAGTGTCAAAACCCTGTGGATTCTGCCTTCTGGGCAGCTCACAAATCAGTCCTTACTTGATTCTCCTCCCCTTCCTTCAAGCCATCACCCTTTCTCACCTGGACCACGTCACCTTTTTCCTTTGCTGTAGTCTCCCTCAGTCCAATTCCTCATCCACAGTTACTAGAGTGATCTTTTAAGAATCCAAATACCGGCCAGGCGCAGTGGCTTACGCTGTAATCTCAGCATTTTAGGAAGCCAAGGCGGGCAGATCACGAGGTCAGGAGATCGAGACCATGCTGGCCAACATGGTGAAACTCAGTCTCTACTAAAAATACAAAAATTAGCTGGGTGTGGTGGCACGTGTCTGTAATCCCAGCTATTTGGGAGGCTGAGGCAGGAGAATCACTTGAACCAGGTAATCAGAGGTTGCAGTGAGCTGAGATCGCACCACTGCACTCCAGCCTGGTGACAGAGCAAGAATCCATCTCAAAAAAAAAAAAAAAGAATCCAAATCCTCCAGCTAGCCTGGGCAACATGGCAAAACCCTGCTTCTACTAAAAATACAAAAATCTAACTGGGTGTGGTGGCGCATGCCTGTAGTCCCACCTACTCAGGAGGCTGAAGTAGGAGCATCGCCCGGGTCCAGGGAGTCAAGCAGCAGTGAGCCGTGATCGCACCACTGCACTCCAGCCTAGGTGATGGGAATAAGACTCTGTCTCAACAACAACAAAAAAGAATCCAAATCTGTTGTGTCCTCTCCTTCTTCATCCCTCTGTGACTTCGCTTAGTCTCAAGATCAAGTCCACACTCCTTAGTTTAGCGTGCGCAGGTGGGCGGAACACACGTCGGGGTTCATCTCTTGTCCTCCCCATGCTGCACCTCATACAGGCCACCCCGAATCCTGGGCAGTTCCTTGAACAAGCTTTGATTTTGCTCATCCTTTAAAGACGCAAGGCCTGGAGACTGACCCCAAGAAGATGGTTTACGAAGAAGCCTTGGCCAGCCCCTCTAGGGAGTAGTCTACATCCATTAACACCCGTATTGAAGACAGCAACAATGTGAGGAATGTGTGAGATGCTGCTCAGTGGGAGAAAAGGCGAAATCCACAGGATAGGAAGGGAGGAAAGTGCTGGACATTCAAAAGGAAGACGCCCCAGGATAGGGCAGTGGGAGTGAGGGAGGAGGCACACTCATAGCTGACTGCCTGGGAGCAGGGAAGCTACGGCGAGGCACCTGATACCTGCTCATTTAACCATTCAGCAAACTAATGGCTCATCCCCTACTGTGCGCCAGCCCTGCACATGCAGTCCTAGCTCTCTGGAACACTCAGCCAGAGAGGAGACAGACAACAGACCAAGTTGGGCCACTCCAGGTTTTCCCTTTGCACAAGTCCAGGCAGCACCATATAACCTGAATATATAAAATATAATGTCATCATGGCAGCCTTGTATACTCCAAGGGGATAAATGTTAGGGTGAGGAATGGCTCTGGAGCCCCAGAGCAGGGGCAGAACCCTCTCCTGCTGTGTGGAGGAGGGACATGGGGCTGTGCCTGGAAGGTGTTCCTTGTGCTGGTCAGGACTGGCCCAGGCTTGGGTGGAGCTGAGGCTCTGAGTGGAGGCCTGAGGAGGGAAAGAGAGACTAGCACTCAGACAGCTGGCCCAGCGCAGCCCAGCTGGCTGCATGGAGGCCTTTTCTAGCCTGCTGTGAGCTCTAAGCCTTGCTCTGGATCCTCCCTAAGGAAGCTCACACCAGGGCAGGAGAAAACCCACCCAGCCCAGGAAATGCCTTGCCCTCCAAGGAGAAGCAACACGAGGCAGGGCCTACCCAGGGCACTCTCCTGGCAGGTGCACCTTTGCCCATCTCATCCCTGTCCTACCAAAAAACAAGGATGTGAATTCACAAAAGCCCTTGGTGCCCTTTGCATAATTAACATCAGTTACCAGTCAGGTCACCCTGAATCTCCTTACTCTGCTGTCTCTTCAGATTCTCCCAGTTCCTTGGCTCCCAGAACCTATGTGTGAAGAACCCCTCACTTCTGGTCCTCTAAGTGGGCAGGGGATGAAAGGCAGGTAGGGGTGGGGAGAGTTTGTGGGTACCAATTTTTACACCATTAAGGAGTCTTTATACCAGTTTTCTCTTGAGGAGCCTGGGCTTAAACAGATGTAAACTGCAAATCAAAGCACATTCAGGAAAGAGATAGGAAGGGAGGGAGAGAGGAAAGAGAGAGCAGTCCTTTTTACCTTCAGCATCCCCTTGGGTCCAAGTAGGCGCTGACATTTATTATCCCTTTTAATCCTAATAACCATGAGGTAGGTATTGCAATGTCCATTTTACCAATGACCAAACTGAGACTCAGAGGTCCTATGACAGCAAGGGTGGATATAGAATGCCAACAGTACCCAGCTGATTCTAATGCCTGTGCTTTTCACTATAACACGATCCTTCCAATTAAGTAACAATTCATTCATTTTCCCATGTCTAAATTAATCAAGACATATATACCTGCCAATGAGCCTTCTGATTGGCATGAAATTAACAATGTGACCACACCAAATGGTCTCACACCTACCCCAAAACAAACAAAATCTTACTTTCACTTACCCTGTATCCTATCAAGGAGGACTGAAACATCCTTGATAGGAGGGTCCCCCCAAAAAAAGTCCTGTGAAAGGTGCTTAGGGCAACTGTGGTGAGCACAGCACAGTTCCTTATGGAGATTACAATTCAGTGGGGAGAGATATTTACTAAATGATCACACAAATAAATGTGACATGTCTATGAAGGAAAGGCATAAAGTGCCATTAGGGGGGTTAGAGATAGCTTCCCCCTAAAAAGGCAATGAAGCTAAGATCTAAGGAAGCAGTAGGAGTTAACTAAGCAAAGAAGAAAACAAAGGGGAGAACATTTTAGAAAATCTGGAGAGACCATCATGTATCTGCAAAGGCCCTGTATGAGGAGGGAGTAGAGTATGTCTAAGGCACTAAAAGGCTTTGGTCTAACTAGATCCAGAAATCAAAGATGAGTTTGGTGTGGGGCCAAGCCATGTAACATTTGAAATTTTTTATTTGAATTTTTGCATTAAAAGTCATGAGTAAGACCAGGTGTACTGGCTCACACCTGTAATCTTAACATTTTGGGAGGTGGAAGCAGGAGGCTCACTCGAGCCCAGGAGTTTGAGAACAGCCTGGGCAACAAAGCAAGACCCCCATCTCTACAAAAAATTTTAAAAACTAGCCAGGCGTGGTGGCTTGTGCCTGTGGTCTCAGCTACCTGGGAGGCTGAGGCAGGAGGATCACTTTAGCCGAGGAGGCTGAGGCTGCAGTGAACCATGCACTCCAGTCTGGGTGACAGAGCGAGACCCTGTCTCAAATAATAATGGTAAATCATTGAAGGGTTTTAAGCAAAAGGGTGACATGATCATATTTGCATTAAAAAATAAAAAGCAATAACAGCACTCGGCCCCTGTGTGAAAGGGTAGATGCGGGAGCCCAGTGAGGGGGGCTACTTCAGAAAACCGGAGAGAATTAACTGTGACTTCACTAGGATGGTGGTGGTGGTGGAAAAGGAGAGAGGTACAGAGATGTGTGAGGCACGTAGGAGGTAAAATCAACAGGCTGTGGCGATAGGTGGAGTAAGGGGGTGGAGAAAGAGCAGTCAAGATGTTTCCCATGTGTCTGGCTGGCATAATGAAAGAGTGGTGAAGCCACTCACAAGGCTGAAAACGTTAGATGAAGTTCAGTGGGAAAGATCATGGGATCAGTTCTAAGTGTAAGTTGTTAAGATGTATTCAAGATTTCCAGTTAGAGGTGTTAAGTACATGGTTGGCTAGATAGCTCTGGAACTCAGGGCAAGAATTCTGCACTGAGATCTAAAATTGGGAGCCCTCAAGGAATGGGAGACAATGCCAAGGGCATAAGAATAGGAATCAAGGGCTTAGGACTGAGTTCCAAAGATCTCTACTATTGAATGTTGAGGAATCTTGCCTGCAAAGGACACAGCAAAGGAGCAGCAAAGAAATTGGTAAGGAAGCTTGGTACCGAGAAAGCCAGGGGAAGAAAGTGTTTGAGGCGGGTGGTTGGCTGTGCCCAGTGCAGCCGAGAAAACAAGAAAGATCAAGGCTACAGGAAGCCCTTTGGGTTTATCGACAGGAA
This sequence comes from Homo sapiens, assembly GCF_000001405.40. Lineage (NCBI taxonomy): Eukaryota > Metazoa > Chordata > Mammalia > Primates > Hominidae > Homo > Homo sapiens. The sequence continues at coordinate 14,248,182 of NC_000011.10, forward strand.
GGTCATCAGTGACCTTACGGAGAATCCTTTCTGCTGAGTGATGAGGGGGAAAAACAGCCCGGAGCAGGTGAGCTGTGAACAGAGCATGAGGTTATGGAGTCAGCAAGTACAGACCACTCTTCTGTGAAGTTTGCTATGAAAGAAGAGAACCTGGCTCCAAGGGGATGAAAGAGTCAAAGGAGCATTTTTTTTTTCTTTTTTAAGATGGGAGAGACTTTCTGAAAAACTGAAATGAATATTTTGGGACACCTTCCCACATTTCACCTACCCCTCAGACTTCCTGAGGCCTCCGTGGAACAAAATTAATTGATGGCAAACACTCAGACCTCCCAAACACCCAAAACCTCTGCACTCGGCGCTACTGGCTTGTTAAGGGAAAAGAATTTTCCTTTGATTTTCCCATACCCCAGTCTCCCCTTTCCTCTTCCAAATCTCATTAGGAAGTCAAATTAGGAAGCCTACATGCAGCCAAGTTTTGTTTTGCAGAAACAGCCTTGCCTCTCTTTGCTGAGCCTGCCTGATTGAGGTTAATGGGATTCCAGCCTCCCTCGCCGCCCAGTGGAAAGCCAGGGTGACCTACTTTGCAAGGTCCTGCCCGTTGAAACTGACTTGTTTTTCAATGATCTGCATCTTTATCCCCAGGACCACTTCTCAAAGGACAGCCATGAATGAGCAAATTAGCTGCTGACTTGTTTAGCTCAATAAATCAAGCTGTGGCTCCGACAGCCCAGGGTGCAGGTAGAGACAGGAAAGGCAGACTCTGAACAAAACCCACATCCTTTCCTAGTTCCTCCGGTGCCTAAGTAGAAAATGCCCAGATTTCCTACAAATCAATTCTGAATGTCCATCATCCAGTTCCTCCAATTGCATCTGAATGCTAAGAATTACTGGGACTTTTACAAATAACTTTTATTTCCTTCCTTAAAATGAATCCTGCAAACCACTGTCACCACCTTAAATTATTCCCAGCCACTCTGCCGGATTAACATTGATTAGATAAAGGTCGTGTTTGTGAGGCCAGTGGAGTAGAGACATGGTCACCTTCTCCAGAAATCCAAAGCCATGCTCCCCAGGAGGCCAGAGATTTCCCTTAAATTGGGCCGGAAGAGTCAGGGCTCTCCCTGCCTCCTGCAACACCTGCACAGGTCCACCGATGTCCTCGGGATGCTAAAGGAAGATGGGCTTTGGACAGAGAAGCAGGTGGTAGGTCTAAGCATCCAGATGGACCTGGAGTCCTAGATGCCTCCTGGTTATAAACACAGCGTTTTCCAACGTTGCAGGAACCTCCCTCAAACCTTTCTCCACACACACCCCTGCAGAACTTCAGCCTAGTGAATGGCTTGGGCGCCCTCTCGTGGCCAAATTGAGTTTTTGCAACTCTGAAAATTCAGATTATTGAAAACTCAGGATGAGAGACAACACAGCATATGAGTGTTTTAGGAAACCCTCCTGAGTCTCACTGGTGTGGATCTGTAATTTAGGAGGGGATGGTAAGTCTCTAGAAGCAGTATCAAAATCCTTTCTTACCTCTTTTCTTTTATGGTGTTTTGGAACATTTTGTTTGGAAAAGTTGAATGAGAAGAAAATCAACCTCTACCAAGCCCTGTTATGTGTCCCTCACAATGATAAGCAGTTTTCTCACAATAAAACCTTGGGGTAGGATGATGATGCTCCCATTTGGCAGATGTAGTAATTGCAAAGAAAGGTGAGGTGGAAGCCCTCATCACATAGCTATTAAATAAACAGCTGATTCGAATCCAGCTCTGACTGTCACCAATGCCCTGGGTTCTTTCCTCCACACCATGCTGCCTCTCCAAATGTAGAAAAAGGAAACATTTCTCTGGGTCTTCATATCTGATGTGAATTGTCTGTTCATAACTTTTCTTTATCTAGTGGGATCATTGTCTTTTTCTACATATTTGGATTAACTCTGTAGATAATATAGATATTAACACTTTGTCAGTCACACTCAATGGAGACATTTTTTGCCAGCATGTCATTTTTCTCTCCAATTCAGTACTGCTGTTTTCATTTTACAGAAGGTCTTCGTTGATAGATAATTCAATTCTTTTCTTTATAATTGCTTTTATTGTTTCAAAGTTGAAAAAATTAATATTTCTCTAGTAGATCTGAAAGCTTTATTTTTTTCTATGATCTGGTTATTTTCTATTTGACTCTGGGTCTGTTTTTTTTTTTTCTTGTGTGGTATATTAAATGTGAATCCAGTTTTTTTTTTATTACAGTTAACTTAGCCCAACCCCACTTGTCGCACAATCTTTCCTTTCCCCCTAATTTGAAAAGCCTATTTTGTATAGTCCTTATCTATAGTTTCTGGGATCTCCAGTCTGTATTGCTGATTTATATTTCTATCTTACCTGAATATCACGCTATTTTGTCTATCATGCTTTATCATATACTCTGGTATATGGTATGGCTAGATCAACTCTCTGCTAGAAAACGGATACAAATCTAAGTCCCAGGTAGAAAGATGAAACCAAATTAACAAAATATATCTTGGAAGACATGGCATATACAAAAGCATAAAAATTTTTATGACAGTTTGAACAAATTAAAGCACTCCAGTCCTATCTAGCATTTTCTAAGGAAAACTCATATAGATTCTTATTCATTTAATTATTTTTATTATAGAATAAATACTTTGAAGTGATGCTTAATTAAATTTGAAGGTCAAAGGAAATACAAGAGCTCCATGTTCATTTCTTAGATTAAGTCATTTACTTCAACAAACATTTGAAGAGAATCCATGGCATGCCAAGTTCTAAGCCAGACATTGGGATATAGCTATGAGCACGGCAGAAATGGTCCTCACTCTATTGGAACCTGATGGGAAAGGCAGATATTAACAAAAAATTCCAAAGCAAGAGTGAGTTCAGCATGCTATGGGGAGGTAGAATAGGAGTTCTAAGCAATTTGGGGAGAGGTCAGGAAATACCTCCTCCAGGAAATGTTACATAAATGGGGTCAAGGAGGGATTCTCCAGTCAAGGATAAGAGAAAGCTGCAGGGCATATCTGAAAATGCTATCAAATTGTTCTCAGGCCCTTATAGATTCAGATTTACTCTATCACCCAAGATAAGTCAGCCATGTGACCTCATAGTCAGGAATTGGCCGCCCCACGTTTCCCACACCTTGAAACACTTACCAGGGTCTAGAGGGTATCTCGCTTCAGCTACAGATTTGGATACAACAGATTGGGCCAAAATGCATTTACTGAGAATGATTTCCACAAGGCCTTGGTCTCAGATGGTTACACCCATTGGCTGGGCAGGTTCCAGGGTAATGTGTTAGGGTGGCAGTTGGTTTGGTTTCTACAGCTCTGGATTAGAACTGGTTTTGTCCCCTTAGATTGTCATTATGAATAGTCACCCATGGGGTACAGGATATGAATGACTAATCTGGCCCCAAATCACCTACTTAGGAAGACAGGAAGGCAATAGATGGAGCGGTCAGTCTCTATGACAATGGAAGAGGAAACCTGCCTCCCAGGGGACTGCTGGACCACCCCAGAGGACAGCTGCACCCAGGTGCCAGTGCTGTCTGCTCAGCAGTTACTAGAAGGCAGACCAGAACCCCGTCCTGTGAGTCCCTAGGCGAGGTAATGCCACACCTCCATAGACTGCAATCCTTGTGTGAACCAGGTCTTTAAAGAAGCTGCTAAAATCACTGACCTACATGCCAGAAAATGCACACGTGGGAAAAGGAAATTAAATCCCCTGATTTGTGCCTAAGTAGCTGATGATGTCATTGCAATACTTTAGCAGTTTATAAAGACTTCCTAATAAAGCATCTCATTTGATCCTGACAGCAACACTGCAGGTATGTATTGCTAGATGAAGATATTGAGACTTGAAGAGGGTGAGCAACTTGCCCAAGATCTAAAGCTAGAAGTGGAGGAGTTCAAGTCATCATACGCATATTTGTTCAGTCGGCCCACTGGACACCTAGGTCCTGGGGTACAGCTATGAAACACAGAGTTCCTTCAAGGAACTCCCGGTCTAAGCTGGGGAGAGGGAACAGTGAGGAAGTGATTACATTCATGGGGTCTGGCTATGGAGACCTGCGCAGAGTGGGAATCCAGCGCTATGTATCTGCCTCAGCCGAAGGCAAGACCTGCGCAGAGTGTGGGAATCCAGCGCTATGTATCTGCCTCAGCCGAAGGCAAGACCTGCGCAGAGTGTGGGAATCCAGCGCTATGTATCTGCCTCAGCCGAAGGCAAGACCTGCGCAGAGTGTGGGAATCCAGCGCTATGTACTTGCCTCAGCCGAAGGCAAGACCTGCGCAGAGTGTGGGAATCCAGCGCTATGTACTTGCCTCAGCCGAAGGCAAGACCTGCGCAGAGTGTGGGAATCCAGCGCTATGTACTTGCCTCAGCCGAAGGCAAGACCTGCGCAGAGTGTGGGAATCCAACGCTATGTACTTGCCTCAGCCGAAGGCAAGACCTGCGCAGAGTGTGGGAATCCAGCGCTATGTACTTGCCTCAGCTGAAGGCAAGACCTGCGCAGAGTGTGGGAATCCAGCGCTATGTATCTGCCTCAGCTGAAGGCAGGCAGAAAGGCTGCTGGAAGAGGTGACATGACCTGAGGCTTGAAAGATGAGTGGGCCCAGCATTCTCAAGCTTGAGGTGTATTACAATCTGGAGGGATTATTAAAACAAATTGCTGGGTCCTACCCCAAGTCTCTAATTCAGCAAATATAGGGTGGGGCTCAAGAATCTGTATTTCTAACAAGTTCCTAGAGGTTGCTGATGCTGCTGGTCCAAGGACCACACTTTTCCAATCACTGAAGAGCTTGCCCAATAGATGCAAGTACAAGTGGAACCTGCAGCTAACCTGCAGGTAGACTGGCCTGTCAGGGCCCAGGGAGCTTCTTAGGTAGCAGGTAGTGTGGGATAAGGGAGGGGGTGCATGGGAGGCAGCACCAGGACCTTGTCAATCGACGGATGCCAAAGCCAAGGCTCAGGCCAGGTTCTTCTCCACTCCTGTGGCAGAACCTAGACTGGCATCAGGCTAAAATGGAAAGTCCATTCAGGAAGGCTTTTCCTCCCACCTGTCCCCTTTCTGATCTCCATACGATCCTACAGTACTTCTCTCAGTAACACTAATGGTAATAAGAGCTCTAGGGCCAGGCAATGGGCTAAGTACTGTCTGCAAGCTAGCTCATTTGAAATTCACAGGAACCCTTTGGAGTAGACGTATGTGATCACCATTTTAAAGATTTGGACACTGAGACGCAGAAAGGTTTGATAATCTGCCCAAGGACACACAGCTGTAACAGGTGATACCAGAGCCCAAGGGGCCCAGTTCCCCAGGCCCCAGTCGGGTCTGCAGTCATTGCTTTCTGGTGCCAGGTGAGGGCAGCCAGAAGCAGCTGGTCCCAACAGAGGGCACAGGGACTTCCAGACAGCTGAGGCAGACCAGCTGCCAGCTGGACTGAACAGAACAGTTGGTCTCTGGCCAAGGATTCCCCATGATTAGCAGCCTTGGGGTGCAGAGTCAGGCCAAGCTGCCTTCAAGCCTCAGCCCCCTCCTAGCTGTGTCTATTAGTTCATTAACCACTTATTCACTTTCATGGCCTCTCTATGAGACAGGATAATAATTCTAACCCCACAGGATTGTCATGAGGGGAAAATGAAATAATATGGGACTGCCACCCGCTGTGTGCTTTGCGAATGTGACTCTTTCCTTTCCAGCCACTCTGAGTGGTTGCTGCCATGTATCTCACATGGTCCCAGCCACTCCTGAGAATCTGTGTGACACAAAGAGAGAGGTTGAAGAGCGGCCTCTGATAGCTTAGACTCAGGATGTTATTCCCAGCAACTGGGGGTGTCGGCCAAAGGTCTCTGACTCTACAGCTGGTCCCTGCTTCCCAGCTGTGAGCTGATGGGTACAGTCTGGCGCTGGACAGTGCCTGCTATTGGCAGCCTTCTGAGGGCAATAGAAACAGGAAGCTGGGGGAGATGACCCCTCTGATGGGAGGTTGAGGTGCAAGGATCACTTGAGCCCAGAAGTTTGAGGCAACAGTGAGCCATGATCACACCACTGCACTCCAGCCTGGGTGACAGAGCAAGACTCTGTCTCTGAAAGAAAAACAAAAAGAGAAACTGGATAGGGTGGTAGTATATGGTTCTCTCCACATTTGTTCAATGGATGGGCTCAGGACAGAGAAGGGTATAAACCCACAGTGGCCAAAGGCAGAATTCAGTGGGAGACCACGAATGTGGATACTCTCTGTCCCTCTCATTCTTCATAATCCAGGCAGATTTCCCTCAGAGTGAGGACCAACCCCCAGAACTCTAATATAATGGTCTCTGTATTTCGTTTCCAGGAGAGCAGCACCTTCAGCTGAATTTTCCGTGGACAGAACGCGCCATTTAATGTCCTTCCTGACCATGATGGGCCCTAGTCCCGACTGGAACGTAGGCTTATCTGCAGAAGATCTGTGCACCAAGGAATGTGGCTGGGTCCAGAAGGTGGTGCAAGACCTGATTCCCTGGGACGCTGGCACCGACAGCGGGGTGACCTATGAGGTGTGTGTGTGTGCCTGGAGTGGTGAGTGGCTCCTTGCCTACCCGCTTCCTGAGTGTCCTGGACACAGAGGGGATCTGTCCCAGGCTCTGTCCTAGGTGAACTTTCAGTCTGGCTGGGGAGGCTGGCATGGTCGCATCATCACATATGGTGTAATTTGGGCTCTGGGAACTGTCTGTGCAGTGGCCAGGAGAGCACGGAGAGGGAACTGCTAAAGAGCAGTTCCCAGGTGAGCAGGGGACAGCATTCCAAAGCCATGACTGCAAGAGCGAAGGTTTCTGGACAGCTGGGCTAAGGAGTTTGCATTCTGTCCTGAATGTCATATTTCTCTGATATGATCTATTGCATTGAAATCTGGAGCCATCAGAAAACCAATGGGAGAACAATCTAGAACAGACATCTGCAAACTATGGTTTGGAAGACAAATCTGCCCTACAATGTGATTTGTCAATAAAGTTTTCAAAGCCAGTTACACTCCTCCAAGTACATATTATCTGCGGCTGTTTTCTCACTACCACAGCTGAGTTGAATATTAGCAACAGACACAATATGGTTCACAAAGCCTAAAATATTTAGCATCTGGCCCTTTACTAAAAAAGTTTTCCAATGCCGGGTCTATTAGAAAGAGTTTGGGATTCAGGCCAACCTGGCTCAGCCGTTTCCTAGCTGGGATGGCCTCTCTGAAACTTGGCTTCTTCATCTTAGCACAATCCTACCATGGACATGGAAGAATTTTAAAATATAGTTCTAGAAATTTCTCAGCACAGTATGTGGCATGAACACAATTCCATAAATATAAATAGTAGTTATGCTTGTTAAATTCCTATCAAGGACTTTGCTCTGATCCATATAACAAATGGCTTTTGTGGGTTTTCCCAATTTTATTTCTTACTCTCTACCTCTGTATGTTTTCTTGCAGTCACCCAACAAACCCACCATTCCCCAGGAGAAAATCCGGCCCCTGACCAGCCTGGACCATCCTCAGAGTCCTTTCTATGACCCAGAGGGTGGGTCCATCACTCAAGTAGCCAGAGTTGTCATCGAGAGAATCGCACGGAAGGTACTGGGTTAGAACCCACTCTGGCATCGACCTTTCCCGGTAGGAGTGCCAGGGAGATTGTACACCCTTCTGCTCTAGAATCATAGAGTCACTGGCAGAAAGCACCTCAGGATATGGAATTCCTGGGCCTCCCCAGGTTTCTAACATGCAAATTATTTCATAAGATGAAAATAAGCAGGCCAGGCACTGTAGCCCATGCCTGTAATCCCAGCCCTTTGGGAGTCCAAGGTGGGCAGATCACCCGAGGTCAGGAATTCAAGACCAGCCTGGCCAACATGGTGAAACCCCATCTCTACTAAAAATACAAAAATTGGCTGGGCATGGTGGCAGGGACCTGTAATTCCAGCTACTCGGGAGGCTAAGGCAGGAGAATTGCTTGAACCCTGGAGGTGGAGGTTACAGTGAGCCAAGATTGCGCCATTGCGCTCCAGTCTGGGTGACAAGAGCAAAACTCCATCTCAAAAAGAAAAAAGAAAAAAAAAGAAAATGAGCAAAATTAACTCAGCAGTGAGGCCCAGTGCTCAAATGAACAATTTGATCCAGGCAAATTGCTTTCATTGTGAGTTCTGCAATTGATTACTAATATCTGCCATGGGCCAGGAACTGGGGAGTGGTGGTACCCAAGTTATGTATTTATCATCCCTGGTTAGCCATTCCTGCTTTCTTGGCATTTCTTTCTCAGGCAGATTGTAAATGTTGGTCCAGAACTTTGCCATGGCATACGATTTGTATACAGAATGGCGATTAGATTTTAGTCCTCTTTCACCTTCCCCCTACACATTCCCTTCTTTCTCTCATGTGAGCCCTCCAAGTAAAATTCCTTTTTCAGGGTGAACAATGCAATATTGTACCTGACAATGTCGATGATATTGTAGCTGACCTGGCTCCAGAAGAGAAAGATGAAGGTACGTTGTTTTCTTTTGTTGCAGGTGGCAACATAAATTGACATAACCCTTTGAGAAAGCAATTTGCTAACCTGTTTTAAGAACCATAAACCATGTGCTTTGACTTGGTAATCATATCTCTGAGGATTTCTCCTCAAGAAATAATCAAAAACAAGGCCAAGGTTAGGCCCAAAGCATAAGGGAATTGGTGAAGATATGACATCAGAATATATACTCAACAACATCAGGCCTTTAAAACAATCATGTAAATCTCATTTTAATGGGCTTCGCAGGATTCAGACCACTCTCTGCTTCGATTCTCAGGCCAGCCTATGAGGCAGGTGTGGATACATTCACTTTCCTAGCAAGCAAAGAAAGGCCCAGATCCTACAATCAGGAGGGAGCGACAGAGTCATGGTTCAAGCTCAAGTTTTCTTATGGGATCTGGAGCCAGACAACCTGGACTCTCAGTAGACATGTGATCTTGGGCAAGAAGCTAACCTTTCTGTCTCAGTTTCCTCAACAGTCAAATGGGGATAATAAAAGAACTTGCTTCATACAGTTGTCAGAATTAAATGGGATAAAACATGTAAGGCTCTTAGAATGGTGCTGGTACATGATGAGTACTCAATGAATAGCAGCTGCTCTTATTCTTACCATGACAACTGTGTATGGGATCATTGGGAAGATGAAGCCATGGCATGTAAATAAGCCTTGAGCTTTTCAAAATTACCTACAATGAGCCTGCATGTGTCTGGAAACAATGCCAAGATGAGGGACTGAAAATGAGAAGACGTTCATGTGTTGAGAGGAAGGGATAATAAGAATCATTCTGCTTATTTAGATTAGATATTTATTAGCAAGATGTTAAACTATTATCTTTAAAGGGAAGTGGATGGCTGCTTCCATCCCAGGAGCACCCAGGCTCACTGAAGTCAGTCTGGCAGCATGGCTTTTCTTGTCCCCAGATAAGCTGGTATGGGGAGAGGGCCAGTGGCAGCTCCCATAGGTTCCCAGGGAAAACATGTCAAACACTCTTTCCAGATGACACCCCTGAAACCTGCATCTACTCCAACTGGTCCCCATGGTCCGCCTGCAGCTCCTCCACCTGTGACAAAGGCAAGAGGATGCGACAGCGCATGCTGAAAGCACAGCTGGACCTCAGCGTCCCCTGCCCTGACACCCAGGACTTCCAGCCCTGCATGGGCCCTGGCTGCAGTGACGAAGGTGAGGAGACAACCCAGACCAGCCAGGGGCTGGCAGGAGTTCAGGAAGGGAGGGTCTGCCTAGCAGTCAGACAGTGTCCCTGGTGAGGGCACAAGGACCCTGACAGTAGATGTCAGTGGGGTCCACCTTGGGCAAACTCCTATCTGCAACAGTGTCTTGAGGGCTCTGAACACAGAATCTCTCTTATATCAAAGGAATTCTTGAGATTGACCACCCCCTCCTTCTTTTACTGAAGAGCTAACAAACATAGATACAACTTATGACAAGTTACAGATAACACATAGCCTGCTTCTGGGCCTTAACTCCAATCTCTTCTTAAGGAGCCTGTTAACAGTCAGCCCAGATTGAATCTAGATCCATTGCCCTAATTCTGTCATTTACAGCCCCTCATCTGTGTTCCACCTCAGCGTGAGTCAGAGCACTCTCACTTCTTTGTGTCAGGACCTTTGGGCTGATTGCAGAAATTCTCAGTCTATTTGCAACAGTGCAAAGGTCAGCCTTTAAGTATAATCTTGCAACACCTATATCATGATGGCTCAAGCTTCAAGATTGCACTAAGCTGATTGCTGTGCAAAGGTCAGCTATCTGCTTCCCAAGCCATGACCCCTTTCTCTGCCTGATAGATCTACGCTATTCTGCCCTGATCTTATAGGATGCCATAAGGCAATGGGAAGGCACTGTATAGGCTGGACTGGTGTATGGCAGGGAAAAAAACCACTTCCAAGCCGAGGATAAAGAAAGCAAGCTTATCCCATGCAGGTCATTAATTCCTTGGCTCTGCCTAGAGGGAGGCTCTTAAACACCTCTCCCAGTGTTGCACTTTCACGATGGTTTATTGCTAGCTCATTTTGCCCACAATAAGCACTTTGGAGGGGAGTAAACCCTCCCCGTAGACTAAGTCATTCCTACAAACAGGCGGGAGGAAAGCTGGGACTGGCCTGTCAACATTGAAGCCTCTTTCTTGGGGCTGGGACTGGGGAGCTAAGCTGAGGAGCTGAGGTCCTTAACCTCCCCTTCCACAGGGAAGGATTGTTCCTCATACAAATGGATTATGATTTATCTTAAATTATATGTAGATTAAATTATATCTTATCTTAGATATATGCGTGTACATTTTTTAAACACCATCCTTTCCATACAAGCATCTTTCGAATGTATTTTCATGAGATAAAGAGTAATTCTGAGTGTCCCATGCACCTGGAAAAGAGGCATTTCCTCTTAGAGAACTTTGCCAGTTTAAGGATTTAGACCTCTTAGGTGTGCAGACAACCTCAACTGCCTGACTCCTCTTGATTCCCGCTGGCGGGAAGTTCCCACCGCGCAGCCTGGCAGGCGCCCCTGCCACCGTGCACTGCTGCAGCGTTCACTCGGTGTGTTGCAGACGGCTCCACCTGCACCATGTCCGAGTGGATCACCTGGTCGCCCTGCAGCATCTCCTGCGGCATGGGCATGAGGTCCCGGGAGAGGTATGTGAAGCAGTTCCCGGAGGACGGCTCCGTGTGCACGCTGCCCACTGAGGAAACGGAGAAGTGCACGGTCAACGAGGAGTGCTGTGAGTGGGGGCCCCGGGCGGGCAGGCGGGCAAGTAGGTCGGGGAGGCAGCAGGTGCGACTCCAATGCCGCTGGCCTCCCCAGCTCCCAGCAGCTGCCTGATGACCGAGTGGGGCGAGTGGGACGAGTGCAGCGCCACCTGCGGCATGGGCATGAAGAAGCGGCACCGCATGATCAAGATGAACCCCGCAGATGGCTCCATGTGCAAAGCCGAGACATCACAGGCAGAGAAGTGCATGATGCCAGAGTGCCGTGAGTGAGAGCGGGGGTGGACTTGGAGGAGGCCACTGGGGACAGGCGTGGAGGGCCATGGCATCCACTATTACCACCATAAAGGTCGGAGGCTGAGCAGAGGAAAGCATGGCCCATGGTCCTTGCTGGGCACTGCTGGGAGCCAGATGAGAGACATAGGTGTGTAGACATCAACCAGACCCAGAGAGAGTAACCTCCACTGGGGGACATTCTAAGCAATGCTGGGGTGGCAAACTGGTGGCCTCTGGATAGAGAATTCACCTGCAGCTGTGTTTTATAGGAGTGTCTTTCTTGCAGTGGTGGGGAGGAGGGCCAATACATTTAGGCGGGACATACATTACCCAGGTCCAGCCCACTCCTCCCACTCCTGTTGTACATTGGACTTGGCTGATCCCATAAAGCATGACCTCCCCTGCTCTGTGCACAAATGCATATGGGCCTGCCCACACATTAGTATGCAGATGTATACAGGCACACAAGTATATACACATTCTAGGGAATTCAGGACAATGTCCAAAAATGCATCCCTGAGCCTCTCCTTTAGTGCCTGATTCTTAGTGAGTGTGGGATGTTTCTGTCTCTAGGAAGACCCTGCTAAGATCCTCAGTGGCCTTTCTAGTGGGGACTTATGTAGTCATATTGCTACCCTCATGTCATAACCATCGGGGGGGGTCAGCAGGGAGATGAAAGAGAGTGAAAAGAAGAGCAGTAGGCTGCTGAGCCACTTCTTGCTCCATAGATTTCACTCTTATTTGAACCCATGGGCCAATTCCACTTTATTCCAGGGGCCAAAGCAGGGGACTCGGTGTGGAACACTGTGGGGTCAGGGAGATCAACGAAAACAAAAGGAACCTGTTCTCAGTGGCAAACCTGGTTCTTGATCTAGACACCATCCCATGCTTGCTGTCCCCATGGTCCGAGTGGAGTGACTGCAGCGTGACCTGCGGGAAGGGCATGCGAACCCGACAGCGGATGCTCAAGTCTCTGGCAGAACTTGGAGACTGCAATGAGGATCTGGAGCAGGTGGAGAAGTGCATGCTCCCTGAATGCCGTAAGTCCTGGAGCTCCTCAAGGCCCATCACTTCTATGTTCCTGAGTCCAGGGAGCCCCGAACCAGCCAGTGCTAATACTGCTAGATCCTAGAATAACATGGTTTGCTGGGGAAGAGTTTGGGGTTTGGCTTTCAGTGTTTGCAGTTACTTAAACACTGCAGTCAGTTTCATTAATAAAGTGAGAATCCCACTACCGTCTACAGAACACCCAAAGTTAAGGTTCCTGTGAAGTCTAAATGACAGACACATACGAAAAACAGCACAAAGCTCAATAAACCTTAGTTCTTTCCCTCCTCTCCCCCAACAATTATAGGCTTGCCTGACCCATGGATTTTCCAAGCATTTTAATTCTATTTTCCCTGTGACCATTTTAATTCCCCATGACCAGAGGCTGGACATTAAATCAATGACTCCTGCAGACTGGTAAGAAAACCAGCAAGAAAACAAGCCAAGTTCTCAAAAACTCACCCCACCCCGCTCCACTCCCAGTCCTGTTTTCCAAAGTCTCTGCGATCAGCTGTTTATATTACATGGGACTAATCTCCAAGCAGAGCAAGCCAGTTTCCTTGGCTGGTCTTCCAAGAGCTGCTTTTTTGGGTGGTAAAAGGGCAGGCACACTGGCTGTGGCTCTGGCCCCCTCCAGCATGTACTTGCAGTCGTTCATCCTCCCTCCCCTAGCTAGTAACCTTCAGCCGATGACTCAGCACCTCTGTTCCTCAGTTTCTCCATCTGTAAAATAGCAGGAAATACTTCCTAGGTTGCTCTGAGGATGAAACCAAGTAATTGGTCCAAAGTATGAGCACTGGACATGGCAAGGATAGGCCTTACTTAATCCCTGCTCCATGCTCCAGCTCCTGGGTTGTTTTAGGAGACTCAGCCATGGGTGGAGGTAACTTGGACCACCCACTAGAGAAAGCCTGGGGTTTTCAGTAACTAAGATTGGCCCATGGTTCAGGCCAGCTCACCAGAGTTGGGGCCCCATAGCCTTCTGACTTAGAGTGCCTGGGGTCCACTGAAGTAAGGGAGAAGAAAATGAAAATTTATGGAGCACTTACAGGGCTGGGAGCATCTCATTTAATCCTTACAACCTAATGAAAAAAAAAATACCATGATCCCCATTTTGCAGATAAGAAAGCTGCCTGAGCTTCCACAGGCGGGATAAAAGAACTGAAACTGTTGAACTAAATGAGGACATCTAAGTCCACCACCCTGACTTTGGCCTTGCAAGACCAACAGAGAGCTTGGAATAATTTACCTCCCTGGGACACATCCTGACAGTCAAACTGATGTGTTATTTTCCTTTCACATTTATGAGATGCTGGCTTAGTAAGAATTTACTGGATCTCGATAAACCATAAAGCACCACTTGCTCCTGACCCTCTTCTCTACTGAATGTCCCATTTCTGGCTCCTGTGTTTTTTGCATAGACCACCATATATAGAACACAGGATGATGTTGAGAATGAAAAGCTGCCAGGGTGTGTTAGAACCACAATGTCCTTGGTATTGGTCCACAAGGGTCAGCCGCCTTTAGCTTGTTGACTTGTTCTCTCCAAAGAGCAGCAGGGGGCTTGCTGGCCTTGCTCTGAAAAATATCACCAGTGAGTTTGGGACTGTGGGAAGCTATTCTGTACTTGAGGCTGATCTGACAATATTCTAGTTCACAGAGCAGGGCAAGAGGCTCTGAACACATCCTGAAAGTCCTCCAAAGCCTTCTTGAGTCATAGAGGGAGCATAGAATGGGTGATGACCTGGCACCAATCCTGCCTCTGCTGCTTACCAACCACACGGGCTGAAGTCAGCCTGCCTCTTTGGAGCCTCAGTTTCTTCTTCTGTAAAATAGCATGACACAGCACCTGCTTTGCATCCCTCATAGGCTTGTTGAGATGTTCAAAGGAGAGCGTGACCATATCTTGTTTCAGACATGTGATACACTCATGCCCATCTGTGTCTTGCCAGCCATTGACTGTGAGCTCACCGAGTGGTCCCAGTGGTCGGAATGTAACAAGTCATGTGGGAAAGGCCACGTGATTCGAACCCGGATGATCCAAATGGAGCCTCAGTTTGGAGGTGCACCCTGCCCAGAGACTGTGCAGCGAAAAAAGTGCCGCATCCGAAAATGCCTTCGAAATCCATCCATCCAAAAGCTACGCTGGAGGGAGGCCCGAGAGAGCCGGCGGAGTGAGCAGCTGAAGGAAGAGTCTGAAGGGGAGCAGTTCCCAGGTATGGCTCCCAAGTGTCAGCCTGGGTGGTCTCCAGGACAGGCAGGGTTCTGCACTGGGCTAAGTCTTGGACCTGTTTAAAAAAAAAAAAAAAAAAAAAGTCGGGGAGAGTCTGCATCTTCTGGAGTCTTCAGGCCACATTTTGATTCTTTAGATCCAAGTTTGTTCCCAAATATTGAGCAAGCATAATTTATAAAGGAGATTGGCGGTGGGGGTCATTTATCAAAGAACATTTAGATAACCTAATTACCTGCCAAAAATAAATTTTCAAGCAAAGAATCTTTAGGAATTACAGTTCCTTCTTTACACACATATAAAACCAATAATGTGTCCAACTTTGCTCAAAGTCAGTTATGACTTAGCAACACCATTCACTCCTTGCAAAGAGGGAAAATGATACAGATGTGTCAAAGGAGTCTTGTCTTGTTCATCATTTAGGGAATGTTCCTGAGAACCTCCCAGAACACATCATCTTCCATTTTAAGGGTGTGGCTCAGACAAGGCAGCCGTGGCCTGAGACTTTATGATTTTTTTTTGCAAGGCTAACCAGAAGTTTATCAGCAGTGTCATGTCAGCCTTGAGTTTTATTTCCCCAAATAATATTGATCCAAGCTGACAAATAACTAATAGAACAATGCACCAAGTGCTCAGGGAGCTGAGGAATGAGCATCATCTTACATTGACTGGAGTTCAGGGAGATGTCAGAGCAGGGAAAACTAGAGTGGGTCTTGAAAAATCTAGAGGAGTTTGCCACTTAGAAAAGTACATTCCAGGCCGGGCACGGTGGCTCATGCCTGTAATCCCAGCACCTTGGTAGGCCAAGGCAGGCCAATCACTTGAGGTCAGGAGTTTGAGACCAGCCTGGCCAATATGGTGAAACCCCATCTCTACTAAAAGTACAAAAATTAGCCGGGCATGGTGGCGCACACCTGTAATCCCAGCTACTCAGGAGGCTGAAGCAGGAGAATCACTTGAACTGGGGAGGCAGAGGTTGCAGTGAGCCAAGAGCACACCATTGCACTCCAGTCTGGGCAACAAGAGTGAAACTCCGTCTCAAATTAAAAAAAAAAAAAAAGAAAAGTACATTCCAGGCAGCAAGAATAGTCATTACAAAGGCACAGAGATGCCAAAGACCATGATAGGTCCAAGTGATAGGTCCAAGTGATAAATGGGATGCAGATGAAGCACAGAGGACAAGGCAGGCAGGAAACCAGGCTGGGAAGGCAGGGACCAGACCACACAAGGCCAGTGGCCCACCAAGGATTTTGGGACCTGATTCTGTAGGTGGTTTTAAGCAAGAGGGTGACTGTATCAGACCTGTGTTGACTGATTTGGGGATGGCAAACAGACACAGAGGCCAGATAGGTTTTATTTGTAACCCAAGAGAAAGATTATACATCCCCAAACTCCAGCTTAACTTCAGAGTTCCAGGACTTCAGAAGAAAAAGAAAATGCCTGCCAGGGACTTCAGTGCTGAAGGTGCCCATGTAAAAAAGTGAAGATTAACATGTACATCAAGTTTTCTGATTTTTAAAGGCCTATTCTTTTTGAAGCATGAGGATCTCCTTGATGGTTCAGGATCCTTATGATTAGGGAGCTGTTTGCATATCAAAGTGCTGTCTGTTCTACATGGTAGTCAGCCAGTCAACAAACATTCATTAAAGCCTACTATGTGGCAGGTACATAGTTGTACGGTACATTCCTCCATGACTCTTAGCTGTAGTGTGGTTAACAAATATCTCATGTGTAACCATAAATGTGGTGGGTTCTATAAAAGAGGAATCTAGAGTGCTATGGAAGCAGTAATCAAAAGATCTAACCTAATTAATCTCTGGGGTCAGGGAAGTTTTCTTGGAGAGCAGCATGTTTATGCTGAGTAGGAAGAACAAAAATTGTACTTCTCTATACTTAGCATTTGGGAGCCAAGTACTTGGGGAGTAAGGCATAAGAGAAAGTGGTTTAGTGTTCCTTATATGGCTGCTGCATAAGCCATCCCAAAACAGTCTTTTTAAACAATCACTTAGCAAGATTCTGTGGATCAGTGATGTGAACTGGGTCCACTGGATGGTTCTTCTTGGGTCTAGTTTGGACTCATTCATGTGGCTACTACTAGCTGGTGGCACAATTGGACCAGACCAGCCTCACCTGCGTATCTGGGGCCTCATGAGATGGCTGGGGCTTCTCTGCACATGGTCTCTCCAGTGGTCTAGCCAGGCTTGCTTACATGGTAGTAGAAGGGTCCTAGCAGCTTTTAGGCCTGTTTTTGCTCATGTCCCATTGGCCATGGCAAATCATGTAGTCAAGCCCAGATTCAAGAGGTGGAGAAACAGAGTCTGCCTTTTGATGAGAAGAACCGTGAAGCATTTGTGGCCATTTTTTTGCAGTCAGTCACATACGACCTAACTGTCCCTAATAACGACTCTAACCAATCATTACATACTTGAGCAGAGGAGGAGCCCAGACAAGCACATTTCACAGTTCTACTAGAGTTCAGCATCCCTGTTCCGTCCCGTTTCTGCGGGCCTAACAAGGCATTCTCATGCTTTCAGGTTGTAGGATGCGCCCATGGACGGCCTGGTCAGAATGCACCAAACTGTGCGGAGGTGGAATTCAGGAACGTTACATGACTGTAAAGAAGAGATTCAAAAGCTCCCAGTTTACCAGCTGCAAAGACAAGAAGGAGATCAGAGCATGCAATGTTCATCCTTGTTAGCAAGGGTACGAGTTCCCCAGGGCTGCACTCTAGATTCCAGAGTCACCAATGGCTGGATTATTTGCTTGTTTAAGACAATTTAAATTGTGTACGCTAGTTTTCATTTTTGCAGTGTGGTTCGCCCAGTAGTCTTGTGGATGCCAGAGACATCCTTTCTGAATACTTCTTGATGGGTACAGGCTGAGTGGGGCGCCCTCACCTCCAGCCAGCCTCTTCCTGCAGAGGAGTAGTGTCAGCCACCTTGTACTAAGCTGAAACATGTCCCTCTGGAGCTTCCACCTGGCCAGGGAGGACGGAGACTTTGACCTACTCCACATGGAGAGGCAACCATGTCTGGAAGTGACTATGCCTGAGTCCCAGGGTGCGGCAGGTAGGAAACATTCACAGATGAAGACAGCAGATTCCCCACATTCTCATCTTTGGCCTGTTCAATGAAACCATTGTTTGCCCATCTCTTCTTAGTGGAACTTTAGGTCTCTTTTCAAGTCTCCTCAGTCATCAATAGTTCCTGGGGAAAAACAGAGCTGGTAGACTTGAAGAGGAGCATTGATGTTGGGTGGCTTTTGTTCTTTCACTGAGAAATTCGGAATACATTTGTCTCACCCCTGATATTGGTTCCTGATGCCCCCCCAACAAAAATAAATAAATAAATTATGGCTGCTTTATTTAAATATAAGGTAGCTAGTTTTTACACCTGAGATAAATAATAAGCTTAGAGTGTATTTTTCCCTTGCTTTTGGGGGTTCAGAGGAGTATGTACAATTCTTCTGGGAAGCCAGCCTTCTGAACTTTTTGGTACTAAATCCTTATTGGAACCAAGACAAAGGAAGCAAAATTGGTCTCTTTAGAGACCAATTTGCCTAAATTTTAAAATCTTCCTACACACATCTAGACGTTCAAGTTTGCAAATCAGTTTTTAGCAAGAAAACATTTTTGCTATACAAACATTTTGCTAAGTCTGCCCAAAGCCCCCCCAATGCATTCCTTCAACAAAATACAATCTCTGTACTTTAAAGTTATTTTAGTCATGAAATTTTATATGCAGAGAGAAAAAGTTACCGAGACAGAAAACAAATCTAAGGGAAAGGAATATTATGGGATTAAGCTGAGCAAGCAATTCTGGTGGAAAGTCAAACCTGTCAGTGCTCCACACCAGGGCTGTGGTCCTCCCAGACATGCATAGGAATGGCCACAGGTTTACACTGCCTTCCCAGCAATTATAAGCACACCAGATTCAGGGAGACTGACCACCAAGGGATAGTGTAAAAGGACATTTTCTCAGTTGGGTCCATCAGCAGTTTTTCTTCCTGCATTTATTGTTGAAAACTATTGTTTCATTTCTTCTTTTATAGGCCTTATTACTGCTTAATCCAAATGTGTACCATTGGTGAGACACATACAATGCTCTGAATACACTACGAATTTGTATTAAACACATCAGAATATTTCCAAATACAACATAGTATAGTCCTGAATATGTACTTTTAACACAAGAGAGACTATTCAATAAAAACTCACTGGGTCTTTCATGTCTTTAAGCTAAGTAAGTGTTCAGAAGGTTCTTTTTTATATTGTCCTCCACCTCCATCATTTTCAATAAAAGATAGGGCTTTTGCTCCCTTGTTCTTGGAGGGACCATTATTACATCTCTGAACTACCTTTGTATCCAACATGTTTTAAATCCTTAAATGAATTGCTTTCTCCCAAAAAAAGCACAATATAAAGAAACACAAGATTTAATTATTTTTCTACTTGGGGGGAAAAAAGTCCTCATGTAGAAGCACCCACTTTTGCAATGTTGTTCTAAGCTATCTATCTAACTCTCAGCCCATGATAAAGTTCCTTAAGCTGGTGATTCCTAATCAAGGACAAGCCACCCTAGTGTCTCATGTTTGTATTTGGTCCCAGTTGGGTACATTTTAAAATCCTGATTTTGGAGACTTAAAACCAGGTTAATGGCTAAGAATGGGTAACATGACTCTTGTTGGATTGTTATTTTTTGTTTGCAATGGGGAATTTATAAGAAGCATCAAGTCTCTTTCTTACCAAAGTCTTGTTAGGTGGTTTATAGTTCTTTTGGCTAACAAATCATTTTGGAAATAAAGATTTTTTACTACAAAAATGAAATTTGTTTGGACTTCCACTTGAGACAGTAAAGAGAGTATTAGACACCCAGTAAAAACTGCCATATAAAGAAGTTGTAATTGTTTGTTGTGTATGTATTTTTTTCAATGCCAAACCAGCTGTGATCCAATTTACATCCACATTTTAGGTCCAACAGCAAGAAGTTCAGAGAGAGATTTCCCAACCAGACATTGGGTCACTCACTGGTCACCTTGCCAGTGCATTTTATTAGAAGGGAATCTGTTGTAGCAAATGGGAATAAACCTGGGTTTCTATAGACCCAGAACTGAAAAAATAAACATCGTGCTGTTTTTAATTTGAACTTTGCATATTGAACATATTTTAGGGATACTCAAAGTCTATGTACTCCCTCCAGGAAGTAAGGATACATTACACATTCTCACACAACTATAGCTCTCCAGAAATAGTCCAGGTCAAGGGCATGGCTAAAATGTGCTATGGCTTGAGTTTGTTCCCACCAAAACTCACGCTTGAAATTTGATCCCCAAGGTGGCCGCGCTGGGAGGTGGGCCTAGTGGGAAGGGTTTGGGTCATGCAGGCATATCCCTCATGAATGGCTTGGTACCATTGTAGTGAAGTAGTTCTCTCTCTAGACTGACTTAGTTCTCACAGAATTGTTCCCAAGGGAGTAGGTTGTTACGAAGCCAGGATGCCCCTTGGTTTTGCCTCTTCAAACACATCCATGTCCCCTTTGACCTTCCCCGCTATGACACAGCATGAAAAGCCCTCAACAGAAATGGAGCAGATGCTGGCAACATGCTTCTTGTACTTCCTAGCCTGAAGAATCATGAGCTAAATAAAATAAACCTTTTTTCTTTATAAATTACCCAGCCTAAGGTATTGTTATAGCAACATTAAAAGGACTAAGATGAGTATCAATACACAAAAATTCTCAAAGTCAAATTATTTCTGTGACTTATTTCTGTTTAGTCCACATTTCAGACAATGGTTAAAAAATAAAATTTTTTTCTGAGATGGAGTTTCGCTCTTTTTGCCCAGGCTGGAGTGCAGTGACACGATCTCAGTTCACTGCAACCTCCACCTCCCCGGTTCAAGCAATTCTCCTGCCTCAGCCTCCCGAGTAGCTGGGACTACAGGCGCCCACCACCACGCCTGGCTAATTTTTTGTATTTTTAGTAGAGACAGGGTTTCTCCATGTTGGTCAGGCAGGTCTCAAACTCCCAACCTCAGGTGATCCAACTGCCTCAGCCTCCCAAAGTGCTGGGATTACAGGCGTGAGCCACCACGCCCAGCAAAAAAAATAATGTTTTAAATAAAAAATCCAGCCTGGGCAACATGGCAAAGCCCTGTCTATACAAAAAATACAAAAATTGTCTGGGTGCGGTCACTCACGCCTGTAATCCCAGCAGACTTTGGGAGGCGGAGACAGGTGGATTATCTGAGGTCAGGAGTTTGAGACTTCCCTGGCCAACATGGTGAAACCCCGTCTCTACTAAAAATACAAAAATTAGCTGAGCATGGTGGTGTGCGACTGTAGTCCCAGCTACTCAGGAGGCTGAGGCAGGAGAATCACTTGAACCAGGGAGGCAGAAGTTGCAGTGAGCCGAGGTCGCACCACCGCACTCAAGCCTGGGCAACAGAGAGACTGTCTCCAAAAAAAAAAAAAAAAGCCAGCATGGTGGTGCGTGCCTATAGTCCCAACTACACTGAAAGCTGAGATGAGAGAATCACCTGAACCCAGGAGGTAGTCTGCTGTGGGCCATGTTCATACCACTGCACTCCAGCCTGAATGACATAGTAAGACTCTGTCTCAAAAAAAATCAGAAAGCTCAAGACCTGTAGAAAGGCCTCTCCTCAGCTTATAATGGAATCTGACCATTAAAAGAGCTCAGCTTTGGAAGTTCAGCTACAAAGGAGCTAAATATTTATTCCCTAACGATAGACTCTGTTGTTCAAACAAACAAACAAAAAAAACTAAACATTAATGTTTAATCCTTAATTATAACATAGACTCAAGGAAGACACAGTCATTTCCTCTATTTTGTTATGTGATGCTATCAATTTTAATAAGAGAATGATTCATGTTGTTCTTCATATTGCCCAATGTAGGGAGAATGAATAAAAATAAATCCCTTTTGAAAATGAGATGCAGTAACAAATTATAAATAGCAGCCGAATGCTAATTAGCATGAAGCTAATTCTTCAATTTACATCCTTTGAAATCTGAAAGCAAAAGATCTACACTAAAATGTCAAATTTAAATAATGACATCCTGCTTTAGAAACCCTGTTGGTTCAGAAGGCTTCACATGCTCTGTAGGGTGGAGAGCAGAGGCTGTGTCATGGTTCAGTACCACGGACCTAGGTTCAAACCACTGCTGCACCTGAGTACCCATGAGGGTTGGGGCCAGTTATTTTACCTTTTCTGGCCTTAGGCTTCGACACAAACTCTCTCCTACTAGCAGACACCTCTACTCCACCTCCACAATTTAGACAATTCTTACACGTGGGTCTTGATGGTATCCTGTTGTAGGACTCATTGAAAGCCAACTGCACTCCACCCAACCCTCACTTCATAAATAAGTAAATGCATGCACTGTGTGAAGCTGGTTTGGGTTGCATTTCTGTCACTTATAACTGAAAATGTCATGACAAATAAAATATGCATGCATAATTTTACAGTTATCAGAGCAAAATGAAATTTGTCTTCACTTAACATTCATAATATTCATAATGTCTTAACATAAGATAGCACTCATTAACATTTTCTCATACTGTTCTAAATACTCCTAGTCTTTATAACTGATTGGTAATAGTTCTCATATTTTAAGCAGTTGCATGTTTAAGCAATTTTTCTTTACCTCAAATAATCTGTAAGTATTCACAGAAGGGAAAAGGGTGAAAACATCTTATTCAAGTCTACTGACTCCAACACCTGGAGTTGGTATAAACATAGTCCCTCTTTTTCTAGTGTTGGAATGTAACTGTTACTCAGTGGTTCTAACCTGGAATCACTAGCCTACAGAGGAAGTCAAAAGCGCCACCTGTGAAAAACACTCGACTCTCCTGCTCCCTTCCCCACTACACTAGTGCTGCCCAAATCAAGACCTGCAGCCTGATAAGATCCACAAATGAGATAAAGAAACTGAAAGCAAGTGTTTAGAAACTCTTAATTTGACACTGCCATGATATACAGGAGAATGATTATTTTCCAAATAATTCATTTTTTATAACATTTAGAAAAGTATCAGTCCACAACACTGGAGACTAACAATCTTTTAACCTGGCCCTCCAATGCAGATAAGTCTTGAGAAGCTGCACTGTGCCACTCTCCCCCATCAGAGAGGCATGTGCTAGAGTCTGCGAACTAGGTTTCTAAATTTCTCAAACGCTGAAGGATCCAGGTGTGAATACATAGTTCCAGATCTGCATACCTCCCTATCTGTGATTAAGTAACTTGCAGTGGCTTATTCTTATTCCTCTAACCTCCTACCCTGTAAAACAAGATAACTTCCCCATCTTGCCCTGCTTTTGCCACAGAATTTCTCAAAATAGCCCACACTTACTTCCTCCACATCCTTAGCCTCCAATCACACCTCAACTCACTATCATCTGGTTTCCACAACCAGAAGACTGAAATAAATCTAAGGAAGTCATCAGCAACCGCACAAGACCAGTGCAGCCTCTCACTCCCCCATCCTCTGCACAGCACTCAATGCTTTCCACCACCTCCGTGGCTTCCTTCACAAAACAGCCTCGTGGTTCTCTCCAGTTTCTGGCTACTTCTCTTGGCTTTTTGCTGCCTCTTCATCTTCTACCTCCCATGTTTGTTTTCCCCAAAGTTTTACCCTTGGACCCTCTCCTCAAACACTCTCTTCCTGGAGGATATTACCCATTCTTATCTCCTCAATCACTAAGCTCAAAAGAGACAAATTTCAAATCTGCATTCCTAGTCCGAGCAGCCTCTTTTGACCTCCAATTCCCATTCCCCATTCCCAAATGCCTCCTGGACTAACCCTGTATGGGATTGTCACATAAATTTCTATCACTAGAGAGTTGCCTATACTCCTTATTTTAATTAATAGCACCACCACCTTCCTGGTCATCCAGACAGTATTTTGGAGACTCAAACATCACTTGGATATCCCTCCAGTGTTCAGTCTCCTTCTCCCCATGTCACTGCAGTTCAGGTCTTCATTGTCTCTCTTTCTGAAATCATCCATTCATCAAATGGCTTTTCAGCACATGCCAGGCAATATAAACACAACAGACGTGATTCTGCCCTCACTGAGTTTATAATACTAAGAGAACAGATTCCATGATTCCAACAACCTCTATCTGACCACCAAATTTGCACTTCTCTGCCATTATGCTACCACTAGATTAGATCCAGGCACCTCCTGTTCAGAATCCTTGGCAGTTTCCCATTATACACAGAAGGGCCATCCTATTTAAAGCCCTCCACAACCTGATCCCAGTCTATTTTATCATATTTTTTTCCCATTGCATGTAGAATCTTTTTAGGCCAAGGTTCCAGTCCAGAATACACCCTGCATTCTGCCAACTCTGGGCCTTTCTCATCTTTCCACCCTCACTCTTCTCTCCTCTCCATCTCAAATCCTACCAATCCATCGAGCTCCAGCTTAAACACCAATTCTAATTAAGAAGTTCCCTCAGATTTTCCAGGAGAAATATATGCTACAATCCCTTCTGCTGGACAACACTTTTTGAATGCTTTTCCTACTCTGCCTTGAAAGTGGGTCCCAGCATTTGTTTTTATCACTCTAAAACTTCCTGCACTAGACTCTGAGTAATTTGAAAAAAAAGGAAAATCTCCACATTTATCCATTTCCCCAGAATGCCTATTACTGCCATGCACAAAAAAAAAAAAAAAAAAAAAACATGCTCAGTCAAGTATTTTTAATTAAAATACCTTTTGCTAAAAATTACTTTGAAATTTTAGAAGCAATCACTGGTTAAATACCCTTAAGTGATTAAGTGATGTGTTTGAAAAAGACCATTTGATTATCATCTCCTTCTATTTACCTGCCAGTTATCTGGAGGTTGTTTGCTTTTTTAGACAGTTTCGCTCTGTCACCAGGCTGGAGTGCAGTGGCACAATCTTGGCTCACTGCAACCTCCACCTCCGGGGTTCAAGCGATCCTCCTGCCTCAGCCTCCCAAGTAGATGGGACTACAGGTGTGCACCACCACACCCAGCTAATTTTTTGGATTTTTAGTAGAGGCGGGGTTTCACCATGTTAGCCAGGATGGTCTCAATCTCTTGACCTCATGATCCGCCAGCACTTTGGAAGGCCTGAGGCAGGTGGATCACCTGAGATCAGGAGTTCAAGACCAACCTGGCCAACACGGCAAAACTTCATCTCTCCTAAAAATACAAAAATTAGCCGGCTATGGTGGCGCATGCCTGTAATCCCAGCTACTCAGGAGTCTGAGGCAGGAGAATCACTTGAACCCAAGAGGCGGAGGCTGCACTGAGCCAAGATCGTGCCACTCCACTCCAGTCTGGACAACAGAGCAAAACTCCATCTGAAAATAAATAAATAAATAAATAGATAGATAGGGTCTCACTATTAGGCTGATCACAGGATCATAGCTCTACTGCTGCCTCAAACTTCCTGGGCTAAAATACTCCTCCCACCTCAGTCTCCAGAGTAGCTGAGACTGCAGACACATGCCACCATGCCCAGCTAATTTCTATTTTTACTTTTTTATGGAGACAGGATCTGGCTATGTTGCCTGGGCTGGTCTTGAACTCTTGGTCTCAAGCAATCCACGTGCCTTGTCGTCTCAAAGTGCTGGGATTAGAGGCATGAGATACTATGCTTGGCCCCTACTTACCTGTTAAGTGGGATCATTACGTATAGCGTACAGCTATGGGAAAAGAAATAAAATGAATTAAAACAAGTGGTGATAAACAGAAGAGGAGCAAGCTAGACAAAGTATATACAACCTTGTTACATCACATTTTAAAAGTCAAATGATAAAATAGTCAATAAGGGCACAATCTATGCCAATAAGGGCATAATGTCCAACTCTGAGATACTGTAAATCTCTAAACAAACAATATAGAAAGAAAACACCTAGAACACAAATTCATGACCATCCATTCAGGAAATGCTGTCTGAAAGAACTTCCACATAAAGAGACTTAAGAGATTCTAAAGAATCGCTCAAATGCTAAATGTGCTATAATAAAGCAGGGCTGGCAAACCATGGCCTGTGGGTCAAATCCATCCCACCATCTGTTTTTGTACAGAATGGTTTTCACAACTGCAAAAAGAGAGTCATATTTCATGACATATGATGATGACATGAAACACAAACATCAGTATACACAAAGTTTTATTGGAACACAGCCACATTCATTTAGACATTGCTTATGGCTGCTTCAGTGCTATAATGGCAGGCTAGACTAGTTGGGACAGAGATATAGCCGCCAAAGCCCAAGATGACACTTACAATCTGGCCCTTTATGAAAAAATTTGCAAACTCCCAATTATAGAGAAAAAATGGCCACATAGACAAGGACTATTCATTCCATGAGACTGTCCACTCTTTTTAAGAAAAGTTTCAAGTCAGAGATTTAAAAAGCTACAAGGCAAATGGGAAACACTTCAACTTCCAATCACAATGGAGTAACAGGAACCAGATTAACCCTCCTATCTTAGACAATTTAAAAACTGGACTAAGCCGGGCACAGTGGCTCATACCTGTAATCCCAGCACTTTGGGAGGCTGAGGCAGGCGGATCACGAGGTCAGGAGTTTGAAACCAGCCTGGCCAACATGGTGAAAACCCGTTTCTACTAAAAATACAAAAATTAGCTGGGCATGGTTGTGCGAGCCTGTAATCCCAGCTACTCAGGAGGCTGAGGCAAGAGAATTGCTTGAACTTGGAAGCCAGAGGTTGCAGTGAGCCAAGATCGCACCACTGCACTCCAGCCTGGGCAACAGAACATGACTTTGTCTCGGAAGAAAAAAAACTGGACTAGTCGGGTGTGGTGGCTCACGCCTGTAATCCCAGCACTTTGGGAGGCCGAGGGGGGCGGATCACCTGAGGTCAGGAGTTCGAGACCAGACTGGCCAACATGATGAAAGCCCATCTCTACTAAAAATACAAAAATTAGCCAGGTGTGGTGGCACATGCCTGTAATCCCAGCTATTCGGGAGGCTGAGGCAGGAGAATTGCTTGAACTCAGAAGGCGGAGGTTGCAGTGAGCTGAGATCGCACCACTGCACTCCAGCTTGGGCAATAGAGCAAGACTGTGTCTCAAAACAAAAACAAAAACAAAAACAAAAACCCTAGACTAAATACATTCAGACATTGTACACCAGGTAGCAAAGGACTACAATCCTGATGGAAGGGAAAGAAGTTGGGTAAGCCTCAACACTGCCCTGGCCATCTGCCTGGAGGCACATTCCAGACTGTAGAGGGGATGGGGGATTCCATGTAGAACACAAATGTTTCCCTGGGCTGAAAGGAGACATTAAAGAACAGGAAGTCTGAAACAACTAGAAGTCACAGGACAAAGTTGTGCTGAGAAGACAGCTACACATAAAAAGAGATCCAAAAACATGCATAGAGTTTATGAGTCTTTGCTGACTATTAAGATACATATGTCTAGGATGAAAACTCCAGGAGGTTGGGCAAAGAATGACCCAGGAACTGTGAATAGAATTGTTCCCTAGAGCTCACACGGGGCTGGGAATTCTTTGAGTTCCCACAAGCCAAATTGATAATTCAGGGCATTCAGCAGACAGACCCCAAAAGGGTCATACTTTAGTAGTGGAGCTAAACTAGCCTGGGAAAAAGGCTACTTGAGACTGTATTAGCTTTAAAAGAGATCTCGAAAGGATCAAACTGAACTGCAGTCAGTAAATTAACTATCAGAACGAAACCCAACAAAGACGCCAACAAAATCTAGATACCCAACAACATAAAATACACAATGTCCTTCATCCAACCAAAACTTACTTGGCATGTGAAAAAACAAAAAAAATGTGACCTATAACTAGAGAAAAATCAGTCAGTAGAAACAAATCCAAAAATTATACAAGCAATAGAATCAGCAAAGACTCAAAACAGCTATTATAACTACATTCAAATATTCAAAGCAGTCTTTCTCAATCACAGTTCTGTAAGAGAATTGAGCCCCACAGAAAGTTATTTGAGGAACTATTTTCTTTATTTTCCCAAGGATGGTACATGGCTGTGCCATTCTAGATGCAAACGTACAATGCAAATTTTCCAGATGCAAATTGGGCCCTAATGCCGTATCTGTTGTGTGTTAATTCAGGGCTCAATGTTCTGCAAAACCAGTTGAGAGGGGCTGGTTAAGAGGAATACATGAACATAATGAGGAGAAAAACAAAATATATATATATATACCCAAACATAATTTCCAGGGGGAAAAAAACCCACAAAATCCAAAATGAAAATTCACTGGATAGGATTCATAGCAGATTAAACAGCAGCAAAAGAAATGGTTATGGGGATCGGGTGTAGTGCCTCAAGCCTGTAATCCAAACACTTTGGGAGGCTGAGGTGGGCAGACAGCTTGAGTCCAGGAGTTTGAGACCAGCTTAGGCAACAGGGCAAGACCTCATCTCTACACAAAGTATAAAAAGTAGCCAGGTGTGGTAGAATGTGCCTCTGTAGCCCCACCTACTCAAGAGGCTTAAGGGGGAGGATGACTTTGAGCCCGAGGCAGGTTGCAGTGAGCCAAGATGGCGCCACTACATGCCAACCTGGGCAACAGATCAAGACCTTGTCTCTACTAAAGAAGGGGAAGAGGGAGGGGAAGAGGAAGAGGGAGGGGAAGGGAACAAGCAGGGAGGGAGGAAGGGAGGGAGAGATGGAGATGGGACTTGAAGATGTAGTAATAAAAACAATCCAGCCAGGCACGGTGGCTCACGCCTGTAATCCTAGCACTTTGGGAGGCCAAGGTGGGTGGCTCACGAGGTCAGGAGTTCAAGACCAGCCTGGCCAAGATGGTGAAACCCCACCTCTACAAAAATTAGCCAGGCATAGTGGCAGGCACCTGTAATCTCAGCTACTTGGGAGGCTGAGGCAGAGAACTGCTTGAACCATGGAGGTGGAGGTTGCAGTGCAGATCACGCCACTGCACTCCAGACTGGGCAGCAGAGCGAGACTGTCTCAAAAAATAATAATAATAATACAAAGTAAAGCATAAAGAGGAAAAAAGGTAAACTGAGATAATAAAAGTTGATGGGTTTCTCATTAAATCTGGATATTATGTAAGCAATCTCGTTATCTGAAGTTAACTAAAACAAATAAACTTTGCCAACTGAAAGTACTACCAAGGATACATGATAGTGCTACAGTAACAAAAGCCACAGGATAAACATGGTATCTTCCTGGGCAGTAATTGTACTAGAAGACATGGAAGATAATTCCATATCAACATAGTTATACTATCAAGTACAGTGCATAATTACACAATTTTTTTTTTTGAGACACAGTCTCAATCTGTCACCCAGGCTGGCGTGCATTGGCACGATCTCAGCTCACTGCAACCTCTGCCTCCCAAATTCAAGTGATTCTCCTGCCTCAGCCTCCCAAATAGCTGGGATTACAGGCACCCGCCACCACACCCAGCTAATTTTTGTATTTTTAGTAGAGATGGGGTTTCATCATGTTGGTCAGGCAGTCTCGAACTCCTAACCTCAGGTGATCCACCTGCCTCAGCCTCCCAAAGTGCTGGGATTACAGGTGTGCGCCACTGCACCCAGACAATTATATTATTTTTACTGGTCTTCAAATAAATGTGTGTGTGGCTTTAGCTGTTTTCAGTTTCATCTTCATGGGGTATCTGTGTAGGTATTCACCTTCCTCTACAGTTGGGTTTCTATATCAGGAGCACTTCATAGAAAAAGTTTAAGAAACACGGACTTAAGTAAATATTCAACAAGTCAAAGAACATCAAACTGTTTCACATCCCCTCCACCTGCTGAATGACCAATGCTGACTTCTAGATTCAAACCCTAAGGCACTGGAGAAAAGGAACAGAGCTACTAAAGTAAGTTTCACTAACACTTGTTCCCTTAAGAAACCACTTAATTAACACAATGAGTAATCAAACATCATCTTGTGATAACAGATCAATTTTAATTCTAGCACCTGAAGCTATACAAGGGTATGCTCTATAAACTTCATGGGACTGTTGTACACACTTGATAAAGTGACAACTGTGCAATACCACTTAGCATCTCAAAATCAGGAACATACTATTGAATTGCTTAAACACAATCCACAGAATTAAAAACAAAATCAGATGCCATCCACAGTTATACTAATTATCCATTAAAAGCTTACACTTAATACTTGAAATAACAATCAATATCTAGCAGGGAATACTGAAAGTGATTTCAGAGTCTCATCCTGTTGTACTCTATTGGGAAGGTTTCTTGAGTAGTTATGTGACTGGCCAAAGATGGGTACAACCAAGACCAGACCAGCAAGTAAAAGTTCTACCACAGTTTCTGTAGTTTCCACTTGTTTTTCTTTGTCAGTTAAAAGTGAACAGTGAGAATTAAATACTTATCTTTACATATACACAAGGTATGCTATGAAAGCATATCTGCTTACAAACATATAAAAATACTTGTTAACTAGTTTGATAAGAAAATAATGTATAAAAGTATATAGCAAAAACATTAATCATCTCTGACCCTGGAAAGATCAATTCCATATTTTATATTACAAACAAAAACAGTTTTAGTTTTTTGAATCCCTTACCCAGAAATACTTGAAAAGGAAGACAGAAGGAAATTATTCCTTTTTACCCTTAGCGTGGCTGTGAAAAAGAGTTAAATTAAAAAATCAAGTACACTGAAATATCTAAGTCCTAAATGAGTCCAAATATTTGACCACATAGAATATTATCATCTCCAAGAGTAGGAGTAGTAACACAGGGTTTTATAAGCAGTTTTTAATCCATAAATACAACAGGCATTTGGTATTTTGGCCATCAGAAAACAAAAGTTGTAGTATCAGTAAAGGTCTGAGATGGTTCACTTTTGTAGATTCAATTCAGTGTATTTAAGGTTAACAAAGGCTGACATTGAAATGTTTAAAGATAGGCAAAAATTCACATTAAAAAAAACCCTATATTTCTATTTAGAGTAACAGTAGGCAGTATGATTCCAAAAGTTAAAAATTATTTCACAACCTGTAGCTTCAGCTTGGCAAACAGCTTAGATTCCAAAACTGATTCATCTCTATTAAAATGTAAGCACTTAAAAAAAGAGCATGTCTGTGTATATAGACATATATTTTAAAGGAATCAGATAATCTTTGAAGCAGCCTTAGTGTTTCCTTTAAATTTGTCTGGAAATGACCATTGTATTAGCTTCACAGAAAGGACTAGCCAGCTTCTTCGTCTAAGGCTAACATGGTGATCATTTGTCTAAGGCTAGAAAGGTACCAACAAGATGTAAACTGAGGAGAGAAAGAGAAGATGAGGGCTTTTCCTGGCCGTTGGTAGCTAAAACTGAAGGGATTCTAGAAAATGACACAATGGCAGCCTTTCTTGTCTTTTTCTTTCCGTGTTGGTTCTGGTGAAGGAGGACATTCCTGCTCTTGAAATTTCCTGTAAGATAAAAAATTCTAAAATATAATTGCCTTCTTGGTAATCTACTATTACAAACACAGGTTATTTTTTGTACAAGTTCACTTTTAAGTGTGTATGCTTTTCAGTGTTAAACTTCAACGAGGGAATTTCTCTCTTTCCTACCCCCACCAAAAAAGGGCACAAACGCGTCAACACCAGCACAAGCAGAGCTATGAAGCTGCTTTAATGGATGAGTCCTGAATCAGACGAGATACTAGACTCAGTAATCTCTAAGTTCCCATCCCAATTTGAAATTCCATGACTCTAAGGTATCCTTAAGAATAAAGATTCATCATTAGAGTGCAATATAAAATTAACCTTATGAGGTATGCAGGTCTTATCTGTGTTCTGCCATTTTTTAAATTCAGTATTAGACAAAGTTAGTTGACCTAGTCTGAGCCCCAGTTTTTTTAGAGGGGAATAATGGAAACCTACCTTTCACAGCTGTTGTGAGGATTAAAGATCTTGTGATGTTAGAATATATCTAATAGCTCCTGGCATTAAAAACAAAACAAACAAAAAACCTCCTCTACTTCTCCCCTCATTCCTGAATTACTGATGGGTAAGGAGAGATCCTAAGAACCAAAACAAAGGACAACATTTCAAAACGGCAGTCATAATTATTTTAAGAAGGCACTGCCTCATCAGTTGCTTAACACTAAAATGGAACTGGAATGGGAAAGGGGGGTAAAATACATATAACATAAAATTTTCCATCTTAATCATTTTTAAGTATACAATTTGATGGTATCAAGTATATGCATGATGTTGTGCAACCATCATCGCCATCCATCTCCAGATCTCTTTTTCATCTTATAAAACCGAGACTCTTACCATTAAAAAAAAATGGGACTGGGATTTTTAACAAACTACTAAAAAAGAAAAAGCTATAACCTTCACTTTTTTTTCCTCCACAGAAAGACAATGCCTTGGCAAGGAGCTAATAAGTAGAAGATCATCGCTCAGGTGTCAATTTACCTTAGATACAAAATAAATACGCAGCCCAGGTGCGGTGGCTCACGCTGTAATCCCAGCACTTTGGGAGGCTGAGGCGGGTGGAACACGAGGTCAGGAGTTCGAGACCAGCCTGGCCAATATGGTGAAACCCCATCTCTACTAAAAATACAAAGATTAGCTGGATGTGGTGGCAGGCGCCTGTAAATCCCAGCTATTCAGGAGGCTGAGGCAGAGAATTGCTTGAACCCAGGAGGCGGAGGTTGTAATGAGCCGAGATCACACCACTGCACTCCAGCCTGGGTGACAAAGAGAAACTCTGTTTCCAAAAAAAAAAAAAAAAAAAAAAAAAAAAAAAGCAGCCCACTTCACATTCCTATCAAACTGTCTAACTAGCAGAGAATCCCAGATCTACAGAGCAGAGTATGAAACAGGGGCCAGGCATCAAGACCCAAAATAATAAATCAAATCCTACTCACTAAAGCAACTTCATCTTTCTCACCCACAAACGTACCTCGTAATTCTATCAGACCTCACCCAACACCTTAAGCTTCCTGGAACCCGTTAACACTTTTTAAACCAAAAGGCCCCCTATGGCATCTAACAGAAAAATTCTCTGTTGTGTGGGACATTATACTTCACACCTTACAGGATTATTTAATCTCTACTACCTGGTTTACTCTTAGCCTGGGATGAGCTGGATAAAAAGAAAGGTAGGAGCACAGGCTCTGGAATCAGAGGTTTGAATTAAAGCCCCAGTTCTGCCATTTAATATGTCTTAATTTGAACAAGCTATTTAACTTCTTTCTCTGTACCCCCATTTTCTCCTCTGAAAGTGAGGATAAAACAGTATTTAGTTTATTGGGCGAGGGTGAGGATTACATGTAATAATACACGTAAAAACGTTTAGCACAGAAGCTGGCAGAGACTACCATGCAAAAGTTAGCTGCTGTCATCACTATCTTCACACCATCACCCCCTTTGGAAGCAGCATTTATTCTTATCAAAATCCTATGTGTACTTTATACTTCATAATTAAATTATATTTTATATTCTAGAAGTGCCTAGAATATGTACTTAAAAATTGTAATGCACCATGTGCATTAATCCCTAGAAAGGAATCACTTCCATATAAAATATCCTTACTAAAAACATTTAATAGTAATTTATTAAAACACACATCTAGAATGTGTTTTGCTTACCTGATAACCCGGACAAGTTCATGGAAAGCTTGATCTACATTCATCCTAATCTTTGCTGATGCCTCCATGTATGTTACCTTAAGCTGCCGTGCTAACTGTTGTCCTTCTTCCTGTGTTACCTGAAATTCCAACAGTTATGTTTATGGTACATTATTAACAACTGGATTTGTTCCATCTAATCCTGGCCACAGATTGTGCTAATAATTCAGCCAAGAGGCCAAGTTGTTTTATCATAAGGTGAAACAACAGACTTAACAGCTCAAGATAAACTAAAGCCCACCTCTGCAGAACAATGCAGAAGAACATATCTGTGATGGAAATACTAGCCTACAACAATATTTCCAAATACAGATCACACAAAAAGTATTAAATACAACAGTAATACATTCTGGGAAGGGAAAGTGTAAGGTGCTATTAAAGTATACAACCCTGTCAGGGAGATGAGCGAAAGCTTCCCTGAGGAAGTGACATTTAAGCCCAGAAGATAACAGAGTATGGAGTTGAGGGGTGGAGGGTGGGGGTGTGAAGAAGTATCCTTGCCAGAGAAAACTGAATGTGTGAGGCCATGAGAGTGAATGGGCTTTCCAAGAACTAAAAGAAGCGTCACATAGCTGGAATACATTAAGCAAAGAGAGAAAATGGCAAGAGGTGAGGATGGAGAAAAGTGTAAGTTTCAGAGGCCATAAGGTCTCTTCATCATTGCATTCCCCAAAACCTGGTACACAGGTGACACTCATCAATATGTGGGGAGAAATGAATTATGAATGCAATCACAGGCCCTCACAATGCCTTATATTTTGGAGATCAAGGAAAGGTGGCATAGCTGATTGATGTATAAAATGGCAGGTCAGAATAAGAAAACATAAACTGAATGTAAGTTCCTACATGTTTTAAATGTAAGGATTTGAATAGTGATGTTTACTAAAAATTATTAAACTCTATTACATTTACATTTATATAGTGGGGCTTAAAATTATATTTCTGAAAACAATACCTTTTATGGCTATTATTACAAAAGTAAACACCTGATGAAAAATTAGAAAAGCCAAATTGGGGGGAAAAAAAAAATCAAAGAAAATTTAAGAACCTATCAACCATAGAGAATCATGTTCTTTTGGTCATTTTTCAATGATACATAGTTTTTAACACTATAAAAATAGGATCATAATTTTTGTATATCTCATACTCTGGAAGCATTCTGAACTCATTTATCTAGGAGTTCTTTTGTAAATTCCACAGGCATTTCTACATAACCATGTCATTTGCTAATAAAGACAATTTTATTTCTTGCTTTTTGATGTG
The DNA here is from genome assembly GCF_000001405.40 of Homo sapiens. Classification (NCBI taxonomy): domain Eukaryota; kingdom Metazoa; phylum Chordata; class Mammalia; order Primates; family Hominidae; genus Homo; species Homo sapiens. Next base: position 14,282,904 of record NC_000011.10, read on the forward strand.
GATATCTTTTATCTCCTTTTCCAGCCTTAGTGCACTACCTAGAACCTCCAGTACAATGACATAAGTGGTGACGGGAATACTCTTGACCTATTTTGGATCTTAGAAACAAAGCTAGTTTTTCAACATTAAGTGTGCTGTCAGTTAGAGAATTTTTTTGTAGATGTCCTTTCTCAGGTTAACAAAGTTCTCCACTACTCCCTTTGCATAAGGCGTTTATCAGGAATGGATGGCGGATTTGCCAAATGTTTTTTCCTGCATCTTACTGAGATGATTATATGATTTCTCCTTTTTAGACTGCTAATATGATGAATTATATTGACTCACTGTCAAATATCAAACCAACAACCCATTGCAGGAATAAACTCTCCTTGAGTGATATATTGCCCTTTTTATATATTGTTAAATTCTATTTAATATTTTATTAAGAATCTTTATATCTGTGTTCATGAGAGATATTGGACTGTGGATTTCTTATGCTTTCCTCTGGTTTGGGTTTCTGAGTGCTATGCTGGCTTCACATAAGTTGCAAAGAATTTTCTCTCCTCTTCAATGTTCTGGAACACTTTGTACAGAATCAGTAGTATTTCTTCCTTAAATGTGTGGTATAATTCACCGGCAAATCTATCTGGGCTTGAAGTTTTCTTTGAGGTACGTTTTTAAAACAAACTCAATTTATTTTGTAGATAAAGTACTACTGATATTATCTTTTTTTTTCCCTTGAGTGAATTTTGGTAGTTTGTGCCTTTCAAGTAATATGTCCATTTCATTTAACTTGCTGAATTTATTGGCATAAAGTTGTTTATAGTATTTATTATCTTTCAAACATCTGAAGGATCTAAAGTGAAGATACCGCTCTCAATCCTGATATTGTGTCTTTTCTCTTTTTTATCTGATCATTCCGGCAAGAGTCTTGTCAATTTGACTGATCTTCCAAAAAGCCAGTTTAGGGTTTTTATTTTTTATTTTTTTTGGTAGAGGTGGGGTCTCACTATGTTACCCAGGATGGTCTTGAACTGCTCTGCTGGGCTCAAGCAATCCTCCTGCCTCAGCCTCCCAAAGTGTTGGCATTACAGGCATAAGCCACTACACTCTGCCAGTTTTTCTTTCCTTTATGGTTTTACTATTTTCCATTTCATTGGTCTTCATTCTCTTATTATTTCCCTTCTACTTACTATGGGTTTTAATTTTCTCTTTTTCTTCTTATTTCTTAAGGAAGAAACTAAAGGTCATTGAATTGAGACCTTTGTTCTAATACAAATATTTAGTGCTACAAATGTCTCTATATATACTTCTTTAGTAGCATGCTATAAATTTTGATGTTGTGTTCTAATTTTCATTCAGTTCATGATACTTTGTAATTTCCCTTTTCATTTTCTTGACCCAAGGGTTAGTTGGAATATGTTAATTTCCCAATATTTGAAGATATCCTAGATACCTCTCTGTTATTAATTTCCAAGTTAATTCTACTGTGGTCAGGAAATTACACACTATCTGACTAAAATCCTTTTAAATTTATTGAGGCTTACTTTATGATCCATTCTTCTTTCAAAAGAAGGTGCATTCTACTGTTGTTGGGTAAAGGGTACACTTAATGTCAATTAGGATATGTTGTGTTCAGTATTGTTGTTCAAGTCATCTGTATCCTTACTGATTTTCTTTCTACCTTCCTATCAGTTATCGAGAGGGGTATTGAAGTCTCTGATTTTAAGTGTGAATTTGTCTATTTTTCCTTGTAGTTCTTAACATCTTGCTTCAAGATTTTTGAAGCTATTAGATCACGAATGTTTGGGACTGTTATGTCCTCTTGAGGAATTAATCTCTTTATCATTATATAACACTCTTCTTTATCTCTGGTAATAGTCTTGGCTCTGAAATCTTTATCTGATATTCATATAGCTACTTTAATTATTTTCATTATTGCTAGCCAGGCAATCATGAAAATAATTAAAGTAGCTATATAAATATCTTACTCCATCCTTTTACTTTAACCTTTGTGTCTTCACATTTAAAGTAGATTTCTTGTAGCATCTTGTTTTTTTATTCAATCTAACACATCTGCCTTTTAATTGAGACATTTGGGCAATTTACATTTAATGTGCTCATGGATACAGTTGAGTCATCTTGCTATTAGTTTCCTATCCATATTATCTATTCTTTGTTCTAGTTGTCTTCTTTCTCTACCTTCTTTTGGGTTAGCTGAGTTGTTTTTATGATTGCATTTTACCTCCTTTGTTGGTTAATTAACTATATATCTGTTATTTCAGTGGCTGCTTCAGAATTTATGGTATACATTTTTAATTCATGACAGTCTAATTCAAATGATACCATACCAATTCAAGTATGGTTTAAGAATCTTACAACAGAGCCAGGTGCAGTGGTGTATGCCTAAAGTCCCAGCTACTTGGGTGGCTGAGGCAAGAGGATCACTTGAGCTCAAGAGTTCAAGGCCAGTCTGGGTAACACAGTGAGAACCCGTCTCTCAAGAAAAAAACAAACTAGTTAACAACAATATTTCTCCCTCCTGCTCTTTTTTGTTATTAACTTTTACTTCATAATGCGTTTATTTTTGCTTTAAATATTCAGTTATGGTAAGAGTAATTTATATTTATCCACATAATTACCATCTCTGGTACTCTGTATTCATTTTCAGATTTCCATTTGGTATCATTTCCCTTCTGCCTAAGGACATCTTTTCACATTTCTTGTAATGCAGATCTGCTGCGGATGAATTATCTCGCTTTTACATGTCTGGGAAAAGTCTTTATTTCATCTTCATTTCTGAAATAAATTTTTAGTAGGTAATGAATCCTAGTTGATAGTTTTTGCTATCAGTACTTAAAAGATTCTGCACCACTATCTTCTGGCTTCACTGTTCAATGAGATGCAATGATGACTCCTGCCATCCTTATCTTTGTTCTTCCATATGTAATGTGCTCTTTTCCCCCCGTCTGGCTATTTTTCAGATTTTTTTCTTTACCACTGATTTTAAGTGATTTCATTATAATGTATCTTATAATTTTCTTCATATTTCTTGTGCTCCGGGTTTGTTGAGCTTCTTGGATGTGTGTATTTTTCATCAAATGTGGAAATTTTCAGCAATGACTTCTGCTGTTAATCCCATCCAGTGCATTTTTCATGTCAGACATTGTAGTTTTACTTCTGAAAGTTTGATTTGGATCTGTTTACACCTTTCATGTCTCTAACATGTTTTCTTGATTGCATAAAATAACGGTCAAAATAACTGTTTTAATGTCTCTGTCCACTAATTCTATTATCTTTGTCATTTCTGGATCTGCTCCTATTAATTATTTGTTTCCTTATTGTGGGTCATATTTTCTTGCTTCTTTATATGTATGGGAATTTCTGAGTAGAAGGCTGGGACTTTTACGTATCAGGTATCAGATATTTTGTATTCCTAAACACATTCCTGAGCTTTCTTCTAGGATGCAGTTATTTGGAAATACATTATCCTTTCAGGTCATGCTCTAGGTTTTGTTACAGGGTACCAGAACAGCATTTAGTGTGGCTAATTTTGCCCCACTACTGGGACAAAACCCTTCTGAGTTATACTATCCAATACTCCAAGAAATATAAGGTTTTCTACTTTGATTGATTAGAATATGAATTATTCCTAGCCCTGTTTGAGCTCAAGGTATTGTTCCTTCTAAACGTTTTAGGTAATTTGTTCTCCCAGTTTAATATTCTATTCCAAAAATTTAGCAGCCTCAATACAGTATCATTAGTTTAGTACACCAATATACATATATCCAACAACTACTTCATAACTGTTTGTGCCCTGTGGCATTCCAACAGGATAACGGGCAGGTTCTACATAGCACTGGTATATCTAAGTTTATCTAACTTTTAAATTTACCTTGTCTCTCTTCAAAATAACGTATGTGCCACAAGGCTATGCATTTGAAATATAAACTGATCAAGTTACCCGAACAATTAACGATAAGGAAGGAAGCCGAGTAAACACAGAAAGCTTCACAGAACCACCAATTTTAGACAGGACAATTTCTGTTTTAGGAAAATTTGACATGTGAAATTCCTTCATATAAAATACCCCTATGCCGTCACAAATTCTGTTTCTTCTTCCTGGGATGTCATCCCTTCTCTCTCAACTCTACACTCTCAAATTCTTCCTCACTAACCTTTCAAGCCCTGAGCAATGAAACTTCCCCCTAAGTGTTGGTGCTGTTTTGGAAGCACCTTCTCAGAGCTCCCATCACACCATCTGGTTACCACTGACAAGTCTCTAACAATACCACAGTAAAATTTTTCGTTGTGTTTTCTTATTCTTTCACCACGTCATCATGTCCTCTGAGGCTAGGAAGTTAAGACAGGTTTGTCTTTGTACATCCAAAGCTTAGAAGCATGCTTAGCAGCTAAAAAAGTAAACACATGTTAAGTAAATGGTGTACAACTAACCAAATAGGTACATCCTTAAGTTAAAATATATATATATACACAAAAAGTAAAAGAAATCTCAATAAACTACTTACTTTGTTGGGGTAAATATGATTGGGGGAAGGAAATACACGTACTTATTAGAATTTTTCCAGTAGCTTTCCTGCTCCATTATTCCTCAAAAAGATACCTTGTCCTACCCATCATGCATAATGTAATTCACATAAACAGGAATAGCAACTCACCTATCCTTATATAGGGTAAAAAAAGTTAGGCCAGGCATGGTGGCTCATGCCTGTAATCCAAACACTTTGGGAGGCCGAGGTGGGTGGATCACCTAAGGTCGGGAGCTCAAGACACGCCTGGCCAACATGGTGAAACCCTATCTCTCCTAAAAATACAAAAAGTAGCCGGGTGTGATGGCACGGGCCTGTAATCCCAGCTACTCGGGAGGCTGAGGCAGGAGAATTGCTTGAACCCGGGAGGTGGAGGTTGCACTGAGCCAAGATTGCGCCACTGTACTCTAGCCTGGTTGACAGAGCAAGACTCTGTCTCAAAAAAAAAAAAAAAAAAAGAAGAAGAAAAAAACGAAATGTTAATTAATTCATGGTCTACATGATAAAACAATCCTGCTGCTAGGGTTATGTGCTTCACTTGTTTTTGTTTTGTTTAGTTTGGTTTTGGGACAGGGTCTCACTCTGTCACCCAGGTTGGAGTGCAGTGGCATGGCCACAGCTCACTGAAGACTCAACCTCCCAGTCTCAGGTGACCTTCCCACATCAGCCTCTTGAGTAGTTGGGACTACAGGCACGTGCCACCATGCCTAATTTTTTTTTATTTTTAGTAGAGGCAGGGTCCTGCCACGTTGTCCAGGCTGGTCTTGAACTTCTGGGCTCAAGGGATCTGCCTGCCTTGGCCTCCCAAAGTGCTGGGATCACAGGTGTTTGCCACCATGCCCAGCCATTTATTTGTTTTTAAAGCATGGTTTCACATCACTGTCTTCCAGGAAACAAAGCCAACAAATTTATACATACATTTCTGGTGAAGAAATCTCTAACCACATGCTTGTGAGCTGACACAGCATACTTTTAACTAAGTAGAAATAGCATTGCCATCACCAAAGCAAACAATAAAAGACAAAAAGGACAACATACCGGAACAGAGCCATAGCACTGTGGAAGTTAGAAATCAAAAGAAAACTGAAAGTTACAAAAGTAAGTACTTCCTAGAGGTTCCTCAACCCAGATAATTTCATAAAGATACCAAATAATATTAAGCCTCATCTCCTGGATATTCTGATTTGGTAGATTTTAGCACTTCCCAGACATGTTTTGTTTTAAATAACCAGGGCAAATCTGATGCAACAAATTCACAGAACTACATTTGGAAGCTTCCAGTAAGACTCAGTTCAAAAACACAGGTAGCAGCAGCAGTTCACAATAACATGTATGAGCTCATCTAGTACTACATATTTCCAAATAGAATAAACTACATTTCAGTGCTCAGAGTTATGTCAAGTTAATGAAGTTTACAGAAGCAAAACTTGTTTTCACAAACATCTATTATGTAAAAAGAATCATCACATTAATACAACGTCTTAACTCACTGGCACCCAGATTCATCCACCCAACAAATACTTATTTAGTGCATACCTCTGTTCTATATGCTAACGATAAAGCCTGAACAAAATTGACCTGTCAAAACCGAGAAACCCTCATAGTACCTACACCTACATTCACCATCTAAACCCTTTTAGACGCACATAAGGCACAGATAACGCCACATGTGGTAAGATCCTCTACTATTTGAGGAGGGGTTCTTTTTCCTAGGAGGCTGTAGGGGGCACACTGGTCAAAAGTACTGACAGATGGGAGTCTGGATTGATATACTTAGCTATCTATTATTTTAAGTATAATAAGTTATTTTCTCAAATTAATAGTAACGATTAATAATTAAGCAACTAAAAGGAGGGGAAAAAGAGGGAACAACCAAGGTAAGCCAGGAGAAAGATGGTAAAGACAAAAAAGCAAAGACAGTTGATCTCTAGACAGGGCTGAGTTGAGGACAAGGAACTTGAAATCAGATATATCATGAAATTCCACTGTCTAAGCCAACATACTGTGCTATTTAATTTCAGATTCAAGTGTTGTTATATTTACCTACTTTCATATTTTAGCAAAGTTAAGCAAATCATTTACCTATGTTTTCTTCCTACACCTTTAGCAGAATAAACAAAATGACTGGCATATCTTAAGGGACCAGATGGCTGGTAATACTAAACAACCACTCAAATTCTACAGATATCTTTTTATCTCACGTAAACCTCAGTGACTATTCTGTCTACTGCTGCATCATCACTGCCTAGAAAAGGTGTTCAATAAATACTGGATGAATGGATGGAAGGATGAAAGAAGCAACCCAGTCCACAGATACAGAGGCCATAAGCAAGCAAGCAAAGCCTCTTCTGGATGATATCCCTGAACCCTGGTGGGGTTCAGAATCTCAGGAGCCAGTGGTAGAAATGGCCAGTGCTGACCCACAAATTCAAAGAACAAGGAGAAATGGCATTTATTATCTACAAGAAAATAGGCTAGAAGGTAAAGAAACTACAAATGATCAAGTCTAAGACAAAGGTAGAAAAAAACAAGCTGTGTCGGCAACAGAGAGCAAGCCAGACTGGTTACTCAGAACCTACAGATGACAAAAAACTAAACATCTCTGAACAGGCGGAAAGAAGCTTTTACAGCATCCCCGTGGCCTGTCCAAGTTGACTTGGTAGAACAACGTAAGTGTGTCAAGACATTATAGACGGACACCTTTAATTGTGAAGAGATGTTAAAAAGGTAAAAACCGGCTGGGCGCAGAGGCTCACACCTGTAATCCCATCACTTTGGGAGGCCAAGGCGGCAGATCACAAGATCAGGAGTTTGAGACCAGCCTGGCCAACATGGTGAAACCCTATCTCTACTAAAAATATAAAAAATTAGCTGGGCATGGTGGCCCATGCCTGTAAGCCCAGCTACTCAGGAGGCTGAGGCAGGAGAATCGCTTGAACCCGGGAGGTGGATGTTGCAGTGAGCGGAGATCGTGCCATTGCACTCCAGCCTGGGAGACAAAGCAAGACCCGTTTCAGGGGGGAAAAAAAAGGTAAAAACCTCTACTATAGCATCTCAATTTCATGCTATAGTATCTCAATTTCAATAGCATGCCCCCTAAGGGTGGGAGATAAGGCATGTTTGTCTTTGCACATCCAGAGCCCAAGACACTTTAGAGAGACACGGAGACAAAGTAGTACCAACAAAGGACACTGGGGAGGCTGGAGGAGCAGGAAATACTATCTCAGAGCTAAGTAAAGAATGTGCTTCAAAAAGGAAGTGATCAACCATGTCAAATGTCACTGACATTTGTCCAATTAGTGATACTGACAGTGGCACTGAATGCCTGATGTCTGTAGAATCAAGAACGGCAGGAGAAAAAGTAGAGAAAGTAAGTTTCAGGAGTTTTGCTATTAAAGAGGGGCAGAAAAAATATACTCAGAGGGGAATGTGAGATTAAAAGTTTATGCTGTAGTTTTTTTGTTTTAAAGATAAGAGACATTGTAGCATGTTGTATGCTGATGGGAATGATCATGCAGAAATGTTCATCTGAAATAGAACAATTGCTGGGGTAATGTCCATGAGTTGGTGAGAAGGAACAGGATCCAGTGTCTGGTGGAGAAGTTGATCATAGACAGATGAACAGTTTATCCATGTAAGTGGAGGGAAGTGAACTTGATGGGGTACCTGTGCACTCATGTTAGTAGATATGGAGGTAAGGACATGTAGAAATTTCTCACAGAAACAGGAAAACATACACATTATCAGCTGAGAGTGAGGAAAGAGAAGAAAGTGTTACAGGTTGAAGAAAATGAGAAAGTATGTAAAAATTATCCAAACAAATGGGAAATAGGTGGACTAGGGAAATGTAGGATTCCCAGTCAGCACTAAAGGCCCATAAAGATTAGTGGTCATGACTTTAAAAGTGAGAGTAGTCAACATGCCTGAGTACAGGTGCAAAGGAAGAAAAAGCATAAGGAGGAATAAAACTTTTCTTTGTGTCTATCCTTCAGAGAGTAGACGCCATATAAATGAGCAGAAAACTAAGCAATCAGATTTCAGGCACTTGCTTTTCTCCCTTGGATATATATACATCTAAGCTTTTCAAGATATACATAATTTATGTCTATTTATATGGTTTAGATGGAAAAATAAATAAAAATAACTTACTGCAAGCTAACACTACGTATCTTTAGGGTGACTGAAATAAGGAAATCATTTCCTATATTGTTCTCTCACTTTTTTACCCTGAGAATCTATTACTTTTACAAAAAGTAAAAAAAAAAACTTCCACGAAAAAAATTATAATCCAATGATATACAAACAAAGCCAGTGCCACAATATGTTGACTGTCTGCAGACAGATGGAAACTGCATACCACATTCTGGCAATCTTCAGTACAGGTTGAATACCCCTTATCCAAAATGCATGGGACCAGAAGTGTTTGGGATTTTGGAATTTTTTTGATTTTAGAATACTGTATTTGCATATACATAATGATGTTTCTTGGGAATGGGACCCAAGCCTAAACACAAAATTTACTTTTTATATACACTTTACACACATAGCCTAAAGATAATTTTATACAATATTTTAAGTAATTTTGTGCATGAAACAAAGCTTTCACTGTGACATCACATGACATCAGGTGTGAAATTTTCCACTTGTGGAATCATGTTGGCTCTCAAAAAGTTTCAGATTTTGGAGCATTTCAGATTTCAGATTTTTGGGCTAGGGATCCTCAATCTGGTGTATAGACAACTTAAAAATAACTCATATAGACCCAAGCTGATAATGGCAGAGCCTCTTTGGGGTTCTAGTGGGCATACACCCTCCTCCCTTCCCTAATCTGCCACTGCCTACCCTACAGGAGATCTCCACCTATCCTAGGTCTCCTACCTATTCCTTTACTGGAGCTACCACCATGAGAAGGTTTGAGAAAGATCCTATTTCTATATTCAGGACAGGAAGCATATAGGGGTGAGGCAAAAGTCAGCGAGAGATAGGAAGAGAACTCCTTCAATGCACATCTACTTTGCCATTATTTCCCAGATGCAATGACATATAGAGTTTCTAGTACTAGAAAGAACTGAGAAGAGCCACAGGCAGGGTCCACTGGGCAACATCAATAAATATAATCAGGTTTAGAAACCTCAAGGAAATGGTCTTAAAAAAAAACAAAATTAAATCTAAAAAAAATAGATGAACTGTCTATGCTAGGTTTATAATGTAAGCAATGCCATATTCTTAATTATTTCAAACAGTTTATATTGATTTGAAATGAAGAACAAATTTTTTCACTCTAACTTTATAACCAGATTTGAACGAGATTTAGCAGGAAAATTTATTCTATACCAAGTTTCATCAGTGGACATTTCCAAATCTTAGCATTAAGATAATATATCATTTTCTTGGGCCAGGCATTGTGGCTCATGCCTGTAATCCCAGCACTTTGGGAGGCCGAGGTGGGTGGATCACAAGTTCAGGAGATCGAGACCATCCTGGCTAACATGGTGAAACCCCGTATCTACTAAAAATATAAAAAATTAGCCGGGCATGCTGGCAGGCGCCTGTAGTCCCAAGCTACTTGGGAGGCTGAGGCAGGAGAATGGCGTGAACCCGGGAGGCAGAGCTTGCAGTGAGCCAAGATCACGCCACTGCACTCCAGCCTGGGCGACAGAACGAGACTCCGTCTCAAAACAAAACAAAACAAATATATATATATATATATATATATATATATATATATATCATTTTCTCTTAAGTCAGTGTTTGAAATTGGGTATGCCGCCAATAAAATTTTATGTACACAGCTAAAATCAGAGACAGTTACAAAATAGAAAGCTGCCCTCAAAGCTGTTTATCAACCAATTTTTCCTGATGTTTACACTTTTCCAACAAAATCCTAAGAATCTGTAAACACAACATAATATAAAAACAAGAATACTTAAATACCAGCAAAATAAACAATTTAAACAATACATTTCAGATGTGGGGTAGAGACAAAAGACCTTTAAAAAAAGCCATATAACATTGATATTGTTTGGCTGTGTTCCCATCCAAATCTCATCTTTTTTAACTGCAGTTCCCATAACCCCCACGTGTCATGGGAGGGACCAGGTGGACATAATTGAATCATCCGCGGTTTCCCCCATCCTGTTCTCGGAGATCTGATGGTTTTATAAAGGGCGGTTTCCCTGCACACTCTCTCTTGCCTGCCGTCATGTAAGACGTGTCTTTGCTCCTCCTTCGCCTTCCGCCATGACTGTGAAGTCTCCCCAGCCATGTGAAACTGTGAGTCCATTAAACCTCTTTTTCTTTATAAATTACCCAGTCTTGGGTATGTCCTTTTAGCAGCATGAGAATGGACTAATACAAATGAACAGCCGGCATTAATATACAACTGACCTTGTTCCCCTCCCCTACAAAAAAGATGAATGTGCAATGTTACCAAAAAATTGTTTTAACTAATAAAATTTCAGTAAGTGGGTAAAGAAACAAGTGAGAATAAATTAGCCTGCAAACTAAATACTAAAAATATTATTTTATTAAATGTTACTGAAGTGTTAGAGCTAGCCAATGTAAAGAATTAACAGAAAATTCAGTCATTAAAGTGACTTAGAAAAAAATCCAAATACTGCAATTTAAATGAAAGCCATTCTCTACATGAAGTTAATTTAGTATTAACACCGAATAACTTAGGCCTTTAGTGGTAACTTTGAAATTATCCAACTAAGTTAGAGTTTTGGATGTAATCCAAGAAATTATTACATGCGAATAAAGCTAGTTTAAACACTTGCAGGCTTATAAAGTCTTATAAAATTTTATGAAAAACTATTTGAAAATAAGGAATTTTAATTTCCCCAAATCTACTTCCTTTTTATTTTTCACCCGCTGTGACTTCTGTAAATACAGTGTGCCAGACTCAGCTATAAACACTTAAGTGGCATGGAGCACCGTATTTTTTTTTTACTAGACTTTCAATTATTTCCTTAAATCTATCAGTTCACTCACATGATTATAAACAATTGGTTTCCCAACAGTGAAATTCCTTCTCACCTGTCTTTGATGATCCAGATCTGCTTTATTACCAATTAAAATCATTGGGAACTCATCACGATCCTTTACTCTGAGAATCTGTCTTTGAAACTTATAGATTTCTTCAAAACTTAAAAAAAAAAAATCAAAAACAAATTAATCAATTTGGTCAAGTATCAGAATTCAGCAAGTCTCATGCCCCAATTAGTACTTTATTTTTCCTTTTTCTATAAAAACAAAAAGTCCAAACTCAATAAAGTCTAGTGATCTTGACAAGAACAGTGGATCTACATTCTAATATGGTACAAACCTGCCTCTATCTGTGACTGAAAAGACCAACAGGAAGCCTTCGCCAGTCCTCATATACTGTTCTCTCATGGCTCCAAACTCTTCTTGTCCTGCTGTATCCAAAACTAAAGAAAAAACAACAAATGTAATTATACTTGTTTTTTATAAACTGCTTCCCCACAAGGGCAAGACCAATTAATGTGAGTCCTCTAGAGAGCCTCATACTTGGTATAATACAGAAATGGCATTCCTTTCTTAGTACTTTATTCTTAATACTAAAGGCAAATATATTCTAATGGCAGACAGTTACAGAGTTTATCTTCATCAGTATGGGTTGACTTTGTGGTTAGAATATATTAGCACACTAATTAGAAGCTTAAAAATATCAAACACATTTAATCAGATGGAGTCAGGTGACCTCTAAAATCACTTGAATGTTTTATCCCCTCCATGGAAAAAACTGAAAAAGATACCTGTAAATTCAAGAAAGAAATCTGAGTTATAACCACTATCCCCCAATACCATACTTAGTGCAGGTGCTAATGTAACTTTTGATCTCTGTAAATAAAAGAATCATACATATTAGAAGAATAGAGCTTTCTTTGTGGAGAGGGGGGATGTTTAGACACAAAACAGTACTTGCTAAAGTCTCTGTGCTATAAATTCTAAGTAACAGTATCAAACTTTTTCTATATTCACTTCATCCATTTTAACCTTTGCCAAAAGGTAGGAAGAGTTGAGACCTGACAGGTTTTTTCCAGTTGTCCCAATAAAATCAACTTCAACAAACTGCAATGAGACCAGTTTCACTAGAACAAGATCAATACAAATATCGTTTTACTTTTCATTTATTGAGGAATATTTAAATTACCCATTATGCAGACTCTTCAATCAAAACTTATAAATGACATGGGCTAATATTCCAGATCATCTAATATTTCAAATATATTATTTAACATAGCAAAACATCAGCGCTTACTTTTTTAAAAAATATGATATGCAAATTATCAAACAAAGGAAGTTTACTTACTATCTAGCCGGGCTGCTCTGTCATCTATCACACACTGCTTTGTGTAAGAATCTTCAATGGTTGGATCATAATCCGTTACAAAATAGGACTGCAAGAAAAGAAAAAACTTTATTTTAAAATTCATGGCCAGGCATGGTAGCTCACACCTGTAATCCTATGCTCTGGGAGGCCGAGGGAGAAGGATCACTTGAGGCCAGGAGTTTGAGACCAGCCTGGGCAACACAGCAAGACTCTTATCTCTTAAAAAAAAATTAAAAAATTAAAAAATTAGCCGACGTGGTGTGTACCTGTGGTCTCTGTTACTTGGGAGGCTGATGTGGGAGGATCACTTGAGCCCAGGTGGTTGGGGCTGCAATGAACCATGATTGTGCCACTGTACTCCAGCCTGGGAGACAGGACAAGACCCTGTCTCAAAAATAAAAATAAATAAAATAAATAGAATAAAAAATAAAATAAAATTTATGATTACCTGCCTACCAATGTACCAATGTAACTTTGCTTAACAAATTCCACTTATCCAGAACTAATCAAAACATTTTCACTGTACTAGGGTTTACCCTCTATGACAATTCCCCACCAAATGTTCTTATGAGCACCTTCACGTGAAGAAAAGGTACTAGGTATCTCTAAATTTTCATATCTGAAATATGCAAGACTGTAAAAGATCTACAACTTTTTTCATAATTATTTAAGGTTAAGAATCTAGATCTCAAACTCTAGAAAAATTAGAAAACACAGTAAGTTATAATTCAGACCTATTTGAATTAGCAACCTGATTATAATCATCAGTCCTAAGAAGTCAAGTATCTGGAAAAAATGGAGACAACACAAAGAGGCCTGGAACATTTCATCTTATACCTTTCTTTTCTCACACTTTGTCTTATTCCCCTTTCAACTGCCTTATGTACTACAAGAAAATATCATTTTGAAATTTTTTCATTAGTAGGAACCTCAAACTTACTCTTTCACTGACATCTTTTGTTGTTTTTTTATCTTAAATTCTATTCCTCTCTTCTCTGATCAAACCCTCCCAACTACCGAAGTCATTACCATAAAAAAAAGGGGGGGGACAGTTAAAGTATCCAAGTAAGAAGGGAAGAATCTCAGCCTACATTTCAGTTTTATTTAAAAGGGTTTTAAAAAATCAGCTACTCAGGAGGCTGAGGTGAAAGGATCACCTGAGCCCAGAAGGTCAAGGCTGCAGTGAGCCATGATCATACCACTCTGCACTCTAGCCTTGGTGACAGGATGAGACCCTGTCTCCAAAAAAGAAAAAGGTTTAAAAAAGATAACAACAATAATCTGAGAGAGTGCATTTCCCTCTTCTTACAGAAGGGCACTAACCAGGACACCAACATCATCCTCCATTTGTTCTGAGTATCTCCTTTGATCTACTTTGGACTGACTTCCTCAAAGCCCATTTTCCCACTGGCTCATTACAAAATCTGAAGGAATGATTTGGAAGGAGACAGCTTAATGCTAGGAACCAGCATCAAGAGTATTTAGCCTTCTTCAGGCAAGGGTTCCTGGCTCTTGGGACCCAACATTCGTGGCGACCTATGCAAACACCAGAGAGCTACTCAGAAACAAGCACTCTTGAAGAGGACAGAAAAGAATCCCCTGGTTTTGGGAGGAGATATATTAATCTGCCTGATACCATGACTTTACATATTTTTTTTGAAGGACACTTTCCACATTTTATTTAAGTCTTAAGAATAACTTTAAAGCCAGGCATGGTGGCTCATGCCTGTAATCCTAACACTTTGTGAAAATTACTTGAGCCCAGGAGTTCCAGACTAGCCTGGGCAACAAGGTGAGACCGCATCTCCACGAAAAATTTAAGACTTAGCCAGATGTGGTGGTGTACACCTGTAGTCCTAGTTACTCCGGAGGCTGAGACAGAAGAACTGCTTGAGCCCAGGAGTTCGAGGTTACAGTGAGGTATGATCATGCCACACTGCGCTCCAGCCTGGAAGACAGAATAACACCCTGTCTCTTAAAAAAATTTTTTTTAAATTAAAATTAAAATGTTTAACTTTAATCACAGAATTCCATATCTATAATCCTATTTGTTTTTTGATGTTTCACTTCAATGCATGATGTATTGAACAAAGTCTGTAAAAGAAATGTTCACCAACAGCAGTAACTTTTAGTAGGAAGCCATCTCCTCCACCACTCCATCACCATTTAAAAATAAACAGGTATCAATTCACTTAACTAGCCTTAAAAAAAAAAAAAAGCAGGTATCAAAACAATCATGAACTTACTTTTTGGCACCCATGCCACTTCAAAAAGTAAATAAATTTTACTGGCAACAATATTCTCTACACCCACTATTTTAAACAACAGGAATCAGCAGTCTTTCACAAGCAAATTGGATAAAGCATGCGCTGTACTTTTTAAGATTCATTTCTTGAAACATGTTTCCCCATATGCCATGCTTTTATATCTTGTAAAACCTGAATTTCACTGACTACTCCCAGCTGATGCCTAAAAGTGCTACACTGTCCCTACTGATTTGGCCTAAAATATAATAAACAAATGTTAAATACATTTTTTACAAATGCCAAGCCATGCACAATAGCTAGAATTCTTTAAATGTGACAGTTCTTGGCGTTGTGAGATTAAGATATTAACATGCACAAAAGATTGTTGGTTTGATTGTTATATAAAAGATTGTTGCAACTTTGAAGTCCAGTATAATAAACTGTTTTACCTCTACTCGCTATGGACATTTCTTTGGATGTCTTAACTCTTGAAACACAATCTTAGTATTACAAGAATTTTGCCATACTGCTACATGCATTTATTTCCACTCATATTAATTTTTAAGACAAATTCATTGTTGGGATTTTTGGATATTTAGGTTCACACCCAATCTTTGCTGTGTCCTATCTTCATACTTTGTCTACAGAGACCATCATCTACTGGCTACACGTAAATTGTAAAGAGCCATCCACATTGAAACAATCCTCCTCCAACGAAACATCACTCTGGGAACTGCCTATCATAGAATCAAAAACCTCTTTCCCTCTCAAAATTCTAAGAATCCATAGGTCAGAATATCCCTAAGAGCATTCACTGTGTGCAGGTAACAAATACAGGCATCACCTCTCACCAAAAAGGCAACATTTTTGTTAAACTTGGGTACCAGATATTTGAGGCAACAGATCACCAATAAGTAATCAGTCCCCGTGATGAAGTGTCGTGGGTTTAATTCTAACTCTGCTATTCCCTAGCTGTGGGACCTAAGGCAAATCACTTTACATGTCTAATCTTCAGCATCTGTAAAACAGAGACAGGAACAAAATCCTGTGAAGCAGGTAAAATGAAATAATGCATATGAAGTGCCAAGGCATGCTGATTAATAAATGTCAACCATAATAATAACTATTGTTTTTGTCATGCAGTTAAATGGTCTGAATTAGTGTTTTTTACTCAAGTATAAAGATTTGCTAAGCTCAGGAGTAGCTGTAATAATTCCAGTCCTAGTTACACTTCAGACCAACCACACGACCTCTGGGATTTGGTATCCAAACGTTGTGAATCAAGACAAAAGCTGGGGTTCTGGAAATAGTCTCTGGATCTGAGCAGCAACTACACAGTTAATTTACATAAGTAAAAACCCATCAGGCTGTACACTTAAGATCTGTACACTTTTTTGTACATATATGAATTATACCTCTAGAGAACATATAAATTAAATGGCTCCCTGCTGCTTACAGGATTCCATAGTTTCTTTACATGCTATGCAAAGCCCTCCAGGTTTTATGTAGTATGCAAAGCCATCCAGTTTGATCTGTGTTGTTCACCATGCAAAGCCTCATTCCCACTACTTGAAACCCTTCAGCCAATTGTCCTTGCTCTCTTGATTTCACTCACTCATTTGTTCAGTGATCATGTATGAAGCACCTACTAAGTACTCCATAAAGATACTCCATAAAGACAAGGTCTCTATCTTCAGAGTCCAGTGCCTTTTATACAACCACCAGTAGTTGAGGTATTACTGGGGGCAAGAGAAGGATTGGGGCATTTTAAGTCTATACCCAAGCCAAAAAACAAACAGCATGAAGTGCCAATACCATGCTTGTTCAGAAGGCAAGAGAAGTTAGACAGTTAATACTACAGTTATGTACAGAACTATGTATGCGTTCACTTATCAACACAGCCTCAGCAATTTGCCAGAAAAGAAAACAGTCTCTCTCCTGAAATTATAAAAAGTTACCAACCACAGCCCAGAAAGGATGTTCTGTAGCAGAAAGAGAAAAAAAGAGGAAAAAAAAGCAAGCACAGTATTGCACTGAGCTAGACAGTAAAGGTTCAGGCAAGGATAGGGAAGAAGGGTGGACCCAAGGGCTCAAAAGAGTACACTGAGGGGAAAGGAAGGGTGGAGGATGGAGAGAGCACATGTTTCCTGATAGACATGAAAGGATGTGTGCAGAAGAATCCTAGTCAAAAGACAAGGAATACCCTCCCATTCAAAGGGCAGCATGCCTTCCCGGTAGTATGGATGGGCAAATGAACTTCAGTTTCTTTAACATTGTCAGGAGATGTGGAGAAACATTTAGGATTAGGGAAGCTATCACATTCAGACAGAGATAAAATCGGGTCTGGCAAGCCTGGGCAACCCCCATCTCTACAAAAAATAAATTAGCCAGGCATGGTGGCACGCGCCTATAGTCCCAGCTACTCAGGAGGCTGAGGCAGGAGACTGAGGTCAGGGGATTGCTTGAGCCCAGAAAGATGAGGTTGCAGTGAGCCATGATGGCACCACTGCACTCCAGCCTGAGCAACAAAGCAAGACCCTGTTTCCACCCCCGCCTCAAAAAAAATTGATCTGGGTAAGTTTGTCAGAAGCCCCTAATAATGCCAAAGTATAATATTATGCTGGGATAAGCAGGATAATCCTGCTTACATGCCACTAGATTGCATAACAGGAGCTCGGGCTGGCCTCCTAAGGAGAACTGCCAACTCAGTATCTCCCCATTCAAAGAAGCCACGTTAAGGAGGAAAAGAAGAAGGAAGGAGAGAAAAAGGGGTGAGTTGCCCTTCCGCCTTCAGTGGTAAGGAGTGACAACACACTTTCTTCTGACACCAAGCTATTGGTGAAAGTGTAGTTCCCAAACACTGCCACAGAGTGGTGCCTGGTCTACACCCTGGGACTGGTAATTTACTGGAAATTCTAGGAAACTCAGTGAATCCAGCACACTGGTTAAGTCTACCACCCTTGCATAGAAAAAGGATAGGCTAGCTCTAAGGTACCACTGGGGAGTTGTAAACAAATGGAGGGCAGTTCTGAGCACAGCATCATTCTCAGGAAAGTCGTAGGAGTTCTCTAAAACCATAGGGTATAGAAAGGGGAAGGGAAAAGGAAAGGAGAGAACGGAAACAATAAACAAGTGTAGGAAAACCCTGAAAAATACTGAATCTGGGCAACGTGTATATGGTTGTAGGTTCTCTGGACTTTTGTATATATTTGACAGTTTTCATATTAAAATTAATTTTTTCTAAATCTGGTGGTAGCACATAAGGAAAGAGACAGTGATCCTTTTTTAACCCTGAGCTTTCACCTCATTCTACTCAAGACTACACATCATGTAGAAGGCTGATGTTTTTTCTTGCTCAGAATATTTTCCAGGTTTTTTTCTCTTTTCCCCCTCCCTCTTTTCTCCCTTCCTCCTTTTCTCTCAACACCACATATATCTTATCTACTTCGTCTTTTATTTTTTACTTTTATTGTCCATTTCTTCCCCGACCGAACTAGAAAGGAACTCCATGAGGGCAGGGACTTTGTCAGAGAAGTAAAGTGACCTGCTTAGTGCTTAAACATCAAATAACTTTGCTAATCTGCCTCTCTGAAAGTAAAACACACTCACACTCATCTTCCATTCCTGCTTCCACTGATCCCATCGAAAGTGACATATCCATAGGCCAGGCATGGTGGCTCAGGCCTATAATCCCAGCACTTTGGGAGGCCGAGGCAAGTGGATCACCTGAGGTCAGGAGTTCGAGACCAGCCTGGCCAACATGGTGAAACCCCGTGTCTACTAAAAATATAAAAATTAGCTGGGCGTGATAGCGGGCACCTGTAGTCCCAGCTATTCAGGAGGCTAAGAAAGGCAGGAGAATCGCTTGAACCCAGGTGGCAGAGGTTGCAGTAAGCCAAGATCATGCCACTGCACTCCAGCCTGGGCAACAGAGCGAGACTCTTTCAAAAATTAAAATAAATAAATAAAATTCATAAAATTTCAAATTTCTCATTCCCTTATTGGCCTATAAAACAAGGAGTAAATGTACCACACACATACACACACACACACACACACACACACACACACACACACCAAAAACCAAGACTAACAAATTTTCTTTCTTTTCTTCTCCTTCTTGAGCTCCTGCTCAGCTCACCCCTTACCCCCACACTACACACAGATATCAGGTCATGAAACATTCTAGAAGCAAAATTCTGTGATTCTCTGCTCCCTTCCAGTTTAAGACAGCATTTCCCTATTATTACTTCTATCCATAAAACACGTACTATGTTTTTTAAATTATGATAAACCAAAATGAGATTTCATTAACTTGCTTCCTATTAATAGATGCATTTATATCTTTACTGGAGACAACATGATGAGAAGAAAACACAAGGGCTCTGGAGTCGGAGAGCCTGAAATCCAAATCCAGAAGCCATCCTACTTGCTAGCTGTTTGAGTCCTTGGGTAAACTAACACATCTCTAACTCCATTTCCTCAACAGAAAAGGGCAAGAACAGCTAGTTTAGGGAAGGCATATTCCAATGCCCACTTCAGATGTGGCAGCAAAGAAGTTGTAAGAGAAAAGGAAAAGCTTCCCAGGGAGCTGCTCCCACTCCCAGGGAGTAGGGGGAAGCTCACAAAGTTGCCCCTCGGGATCTAATAAGGGCCACAGGTCCCCAGTGACTGTTATGTAGCCTCCACTCTCCTCTTCCAGGACAGAAGCGCTGGCTGAAGCCATCCTGTCCCTAGTCCCACCACTGTATCTCTGGTGTGTGGGGCTGCCTAGGGAGGCAGCAGAATTGAGGGAGTCTGAGATGTAAGTCAAATAGACCCGGACACAGTTCTATCAGTTTGCCAGCTGTGGGAAACTAGAGTAGCTCACTTAACCTGTTTGAACCTCAGTTTCCTTGTCTATGAAATGAAAATCACACCAACTTTGCAGGATTGTTGTGAAAAGTTAAAAATACTCTATGTCTATGTAGAGTACAAAGCCCAACAGATGACACACAGTAGGCCCTTAATAAATTATAGCTGATAAAGCCCAAATCACATCTTGCTTTCTTTGCAATGCTTTCAACACTCCAACCAGAAAACAATCTCAATATTCTCTTACCCTTAAAGTGACAACAGTTTGGATTTTTCTCAACTTCTGTCTTATTAGTAATAAGTTGTGATTTGGAAAATACATATACCAAGCTTAATGTATACTATATAATTGCTACTTACAATTTCCTTTTACAATTGCTTATCCTTTCATGTATGTGTCTAAGTGAATGTATGAATAACTGATATACTGAGTTAAACTCAATGGGTATAAGCATAAAACTTTCCCTCCAAGCCCCTCTGTGGGAAAGTTTTTCCTTGTTCCTGAATGAAATCTAAGGCAAGTCTCATAATTTTTTAAAATCATTCTTTGACTATAAATATATTTAGGCCAAACACAACAGTTCATGCCTGTAATCCCAGCCCTTTGGGAGGCAGAGGCAGGAGGACTGCTTGAGCCCAGGAGTTTGAGACCGGCCTCAGCGACAGAGAGAGACCCCCATCTCCACAAAAAGGGGGGAAAAAAGTTTAAATATCCTTCAGCCCCAAGAACACCATAGTTTCAATAACTGTCTTAACTGCAGTAATCAATACTCATCTAAATTAAAGCTTCTCCCCTTCCTTGGTGGAGCTGAGAAGTCTAGTTGGGCTGGGGGATGTGAGGGGTCCTGTCATCATCTCTCTCTCCCTGCTCTGCATCTCTTCTACCCACAACAAGGCTGTCTCTGGCTCCTTCAGAGTGGGAACTGAAGCAGTGGGAAAAGCTATGGGGGTGTCAAAAGGCCACACCAATTAAGTGTGATGTTCATACCAACTTTTTCATGAGGGCCCTCCATACTCAATTCCCAGAACTTAAGTGAGACCTGGCCATTTACAACTCCAACCCTCCACCTCTGGGGTTTCCATGGGTACCTTCCTCCTGGTTCATGTCACCTTCTAGGTGGCCGAGCACAGTGTCCCTTTCTAGATGGCTTTAAGCTGGTTTCACCCAGCAGCCTGAGGAAACACTAACGTCTTTCTAAGTACAAAGTGCTAACATACAGCCCTCTCTGTGCTCTGCTGCCTCAGGGCTACTGATCCATAGATTTGTATACTAAACCTTTCATTCCCCAAACTCGAGGGGATACATGTCAAATTCTCAGAATGACTCCATTGGAGCCTCCCTCATCATTTGGCTTAAATGAAAGGGGCTTAAGGAGAAGCATCTTTCTCCTCTCCTCCACTACGTGTGGAAGCAGGAAAGGACACCAAACATACAACATACTAATAGCTCTTTCCAAAAACATTGTCTTAGAACCCTTAATAATCTCAACACTTTTATTCCCTAGAGGTAGGTATGGGCTACATGTGCAAAACCAGTTTAAGGCTACCCACTATGCAAGTTCTTGGAATATGAGGATAACTTGGCACCTACTGTTTTATTCTGTCTTTTGGGTTTCAAAAGAAGCTAAAATGAATTAGAGTTCCAGTTAAAATTGTGTTATATGTATGTCCCAGGACATATAAAACTCGATTTACATGCTCAAGGTTTTTAAAACTTTCCTGAAGCTAAGTAATATACTTGCACACAGATCTCAAAGTAGGGGAGGACTGCAGTGGGGAAAGAAGAATTAATTTCCCCAAGCACAATAAGGACCTAGTTAGCCATTGGTAGCCTCCATTTTCTAAAACAAGAGCAGAGCAAATTCCTCTGGTAACACTAGAGAAGACTGCAGCAACTTCAGGCAGCTGTGAGCCAGAGCTGGGCTCCTCCTTGTGTCACTTTTTAGCAGCAGCTGTCATGTCACAGAGAACCTTTGTTCCCTGCAACATCCTCCCTTATTTTTTTTGTCAAATGTTTCCAATATGCTTGATATTCCTTCACTGAAGTATAGCTTTTGACTGAAATTAGTATTTCATTTAATCTAACATGTACAATTATATATGTCTATAATTTAATCCCCAGAACTCTAATGCAGAATAATAAAAGCTACACTAAATCCAGTAATCCTTTTAGTTCCTTTTTAACAAAATTTAGTGAGGTCTTCAGTGTTGCCAGTTGTCTCAGACTGCCTAAAGCAACCATGTGCCTTCATTTGCCTTCCATACATTTTCAGCTAATATATATGTATTACCTCACATATAGTATTTAGTTGCAAATGAATGGGCCTGGTATGTGCCAGCAGAAAGTACAGTACAAAGTCAGCTTACAAACTGGTTCTATGACAAAAGTCTGTTTATAAGTTATTTGGAGTTTTTTCCTAAATTGCAGGTATATTCGGAGGCCAAACCACAAAAGCTACTACTGGATATGGCCCTGCCAGTATCAGCCCCAAGTTCCAACCTCCAAAGCACGGTAATTTTTCCTAAGAAGAAATGGGAAGAGAATTTCTTTTCCTTTTCCAGAGGACAGAGCCAGGCCTAAACAAAACTTGTATAGAGGGAAAGCTTGTCTTTGGGGTACCACTTGTATACCCCAGCCTTCTCAGCCTGACCTAACTCCCCACTCCAATAGCTTTCCCTGGGTTTAGCCTTCTTCTGAAAACATTCTAAGTACAAAAACACTGTATCTCTCTTCCCACTGTCCTCAAATTAAAACCCTCAAGAGATATTCCTTGAATTCCCAAATTAAAACCCACAGACACATTCCCACTAGCAGTGTTTGGGGGTTCCAATTTTTCAATATCCTCACCTAGACCTGTTATTAAACTCAGTCTTGGCCGTGCGCGATGGCTCACACCTGTAATCCCAATACTTTGGAAGGCTAAGGCAAGAGGATCACTTGAGCCCAGGAATTCGAGACCAGCTGGGCAACACAGTGAGACCCCCATCTCTACAAAATATTTAAAAATTAGTCAGATGTGGTGGTGCGTAACTGTAGTCCCAGCTATGTGAGAGGCTGAGGTAGGAGGATCACTTGAGCCCAGGAGTTAGAGGCTGCAGTGAGCTGCGACCGCACCACTGCATTCCAACCTGGGCTACAGACTGAGATCCTATCCCCCACCGCCGCCCCCACCCCAACAAAAAAAGAATTTTTTTTTTTACAACAGACACCCTACGGATGTAAAATAGTCTCTCACTGCAGTTTTAATGTGCATTTCCCTAGTGGGATGTTGAGTACCTTTTTGTGTGCTTATTGGCCATTTGTATATCTTCTTTGCAGAAATGGCTACTCAAATCGTTGCCCCTTATTAAATTTTATCTTATCATTGAATGTAAGAGTACTATATTCTGGATATAAATCCCTTATCAGAAATATGATTTACAAATATTTTTTCAATGGTTTTCATTCATTCCTTCATTTATAGAGATGTGATCCCACTATGTTGTCCAGGCTGGTGTCGAACTCTAGGCTTAAGGGATCCTGCCATCTCAGCCTCCTGAGTAGCTGGGACTACAGGCATGCATCACTGTGCCCAGATGATTTGCAAATATTTTCTCTCATAGCCCCCTTCTTATAAAGCCTTCCTGCCATAAGTGAGTACATAGTTCCTAAATCTCAACTGTGGGGCGAAGTCTTATTACCCACCAACAACTCTCCACAATTCCAATTCCACATACCCAGGATTTTGGGCAATACCTGCTCCTGAGCCATCAATCAGTTGTACTAGCCTCCCACTAGGTGGCTGTTCTACTGGGCTGACTGCTGATCTAGAATGAAACTTCCCTCACTGTAACTATCCCTCTAACACCCCATTCCCTACCCTGAGCTTTTCCTATCACACTGAGCTTCAGCCTATACCATGCCCTAGCATAGTTCACTTGTCCCAGTATGTGAATTTACCCTTTTTCATCAAATCTAAGATGACACTGATTGTAAGACCATCATTATTTTATGTGCCAAGATAAAAAAAAAAAAAAAAAGGCCGGGCGCAGTGGCTCACGCTTATAATCCTAGTACTTTGGAAGGCCAAGGTGGGTGGATCACTTGAGGTCAGGAGTTCAAGACCAGCCTGGGAAACATGGTGAAACCCAGTGTCTACCCAAAATACAAAAATTAGCAGGGCATGATGGCACATGCCTGTGGTCCTAGCTATGTGGGAAGTTGAAGTGGGAGGATCATGGGAGCTCGGGAAGTCAAGGCTGCAGTGAGCAGTGATTGTGCCACTGCACTCCAGCCTGGGTAACAGAGGAGACCCTGCCCCCTCCCCCAAACCAAAAAAAACAAAAAAAAACAAAAAACAACAACAACAAAAAAAAAGCAGAAAAAGGAAGAGGGAAAAAAAAACTGCTACCAATACACTCATGACATGCCTTTGACTATGAAGCATCTCAATTTCAGATATACTAAAATGTACGGGGGGAAATGTGATGAAATACAATAGTTCAAGACAACCGTATTGGTAAGGCTAGTTTTTGAGACAGAATATCTCATTTTGTCGCCCAGGCTGGAGAGCAGTGGTGCAATCTCGGCTCAATGCAACCTCCGTCTCTCCCTGGTTCAAGTGATTCTCCTGCCTCAGCCTCCCGAGAAGCTGGGATAACAGCGCCCACCATTTTACAGATGAGACCATTGAGGCTCAGCAGTTAAATAACCTGCCAAAGGTCACAAAGTGGAACTGGGATTCCAATCAGGTCTAACTCCAATGCAATACTCCTTCCATTATACTTTCTTTAACCTGCCATACTAACATAGCACATAGCCTGCGACAGTTTAAAAAAAAAAATCCTGGTACCCCTTAAAATAAGTGATTCATTATTTTTTTAAATTATAAACTGCTACTGCCAAATAGAAAAGTAAAGTCGTTTCATTAAAAATGGAAACGCCCCATTTGTAAGTTACGAGTAAAGGTGTAAGTAGGTCATTTTTTTTTAAATACACAAAGATACTGTTTGACCCAGCAATTTCAATTCCAGAAACTTATCCTGCCGATAGGTCTGCACATATAAGAAATGATATGTACAAGGTTGTTCATAGTGAAATGTCTTTAAAAGACTGGAAACACAATGTGCTTCAGCAAGGACAATGTCATTCAGCAAATGCCTGGTTAAATTACGAAAGGTTCATTCAATATGAATATAACCATTAAAAAAAGGAATGACTTCATGCATTAATATACAGCAATCTGCAAGATATGTTGTTAAATACCCACAGTTTATGTATTTGCTTTATGTGCACAAAATATCTCTGGAAAGATACACAAGAAACTGATTAACTTTACCTGTGGGTTTAACTGGGTTGCTAGGAGATATGGATGGAAGGAAAACAATTCTTGTAGCTTTCAAATTTGAAATACATGAATGAAAGAAGGAACCCAAGAGTTTCGAAAGACCTAGACAGATTAAACATAAACTCTTTAGTAATAAAAGCTAGATTCTAGTCCCAGCTATACAAACAACTAGCTCAGTGCTCCTAGATGAGTAAATCTCTTAAACCTCTTTCCTGGCTCTCACCTATAAATGAGGGGTTTGCCCTTCATGACCTCTTTAAGACTCTTTCCAGCTATATAATTTTATTATGACACGTTTAGCTCCTACAATATGCCAAATATAATTTATAGGTGCTATCGAGGACTTCCTTGTTTTAAATTTGTGGAATACAGCAAAATATCATATTTTAAAAGAGGAAGATTTGCTTGAAGCCCTACCTCTGCTACTTTATAGCTGTAGGATTTGCAGTAAGTCACTCCTCACTGACACCAAATTTAATTACTTGCAAAGCTGAGAGACACTTTCAAGAGTTTTTTACAAGGAGTAAAACGTGAACATTTTCTGTACTTTACAGCTCCACATGAAATGTGAACTACTGCACACAGACTCCCCCTTCAGGTGCTATGAAGTAAAGAGCATGTATTTTAGAGGCAGTCAGACCTACATACCCCGCTTAATTGCTGTATCATCTTGGGAAAGTTATTTAATCTCTTAAGTCTCAATTTCCTCACCTAAAAGATGATCATAATGATTCTTACTTGAAAGGGCTATTGTGAAGATTAAATGATATTGTTAAGTACTCAGTACACTGCTTAACTAAAACTGAGTATTCAAAAATTGGCTCTTTTCCTTTCCAAACTTAGAAATGGAAGGGTGCCCCATAAACAGGTAGGTAACCAACTCACTTCTAGTTGTAACTTTTGCTTCCCAGAGTCTAGACTGTTACTTCCATTTTCACTTCCTCTCCCCTCTATCCCGTTACCTACCAATATCCTAAACCCCAATTTCATTTCTCACCTCTTCTAGAACAGAGAATGGTCTGTAGAAGCAAAACTAGAATTAAAGGGGGTGATTTCCACAGCACATGTTCTATTACTAAACTGCTAAAACTGCCACAAGAATCTTCCCTAGGCTCACTCACCACCCCACTTAATCTACAAATACTAACTGAACACCTATAATGTGCCAAGCATTGTGTCAGGAGCTGAGGATCTAATCCCCAGGCTCTTAGAGGGCTGGCAGTTTCTTGAAGTATTGACCATCAATAAATAAGCAAACATAATACATCAGAGGTGATAGGAACTCTGAAGAAAAATGAAGGGGGCTGGCAACAGCAGGAGTTGGAGGGGAGGATATGATACTGCATAAGATAGCCAGAGAAGGCTCCACGCACAATGTGACACTGGAGAAGGGAATCCTGGATCAACTGAAGGAGTGAGCCATGCTGTGATCTAGAGTATCATTCCAGGCAGAGGGAACATTAAGTTAAAGGCAGTGCGGTGAGAGTACTGTAACATGTCTGAAGAACAGCAAGACAGCCAGTGTAGCTACAACAACAAACATGAGAGAGTGGTTAATGAGTTCAGAAAATTAACAGGGAGGCAGGCGGAGACTTGCAGGCCAGAGTGAGGACTTCAGATTTTATTCAAAGTGAAATGAAAACCACTAGAGGGTCTGAGGCAGATGAATAAAATGTTCTGACTTTCATATGAAAAGTAATACTGGCTGCAGTCAGAAGACTGGATTATAGGTCAAGGGTGAAATCAGAGACTACTTAAGAAGCTATTACAATAAATCATGAAAAGAAAATTGCAGCTTGAAGGGAGGTGACTGGAATGGAGGTGTAAAGTGGCCAGATCCGTGTTTACTTCCAAAGGAGGGCCAACAGCATTTGCAGATAAACTGGATGTAGATACAGAGTCTGTCAGAAAAGACTCAAAGATGATGCCAAGTTTTTCTGCCTAATTAACTGTAAGAATGGTGGTACCATTTATTGGGCTGCAACAGGCTGGTGGGGTAGAGAATGGAGGAAGAATACAGAGTGGTTTTGTACATGTTCTGTTAAGACACTTATTAGACACCTACAGAAATGAGTCTGGGATTCACTGAGAAGGTGGGGCTGAAGACAAATTTGGGAGTCAGGAGATAGATGGTATTGTCACAAGACGAATCAGACAGAGAAAACAACAGAGACTGGGACCTGGGGTACTTCACTGTTGGGAGGTCAGGAAAATGAGAAAGATCTAGGCAAGGAAACTGAGAAGGAGCAGCTAAAAGTAGGAAGAGAACAAAGAAAATGGTAGCCAGGAGGCCAAGAGAAGAAAATAATTTAAGAAGGAGCGAAAGATAAGGGTTGCTGATAGGTCAAGTAATCATAATAACAGTGACAGCAAGCACTTACATGACATTTACTATATACCAGGCACTGCTCTCTCTCTACAGATAAGGAAAAAAAGAACTGAAAGATTAAGTAGGGTGACCATATAAGTTACTGATAAACTGGGACTCAAAGAGGATGCTAATAATAATTACATCAGGACAACAGGCATAAACCAGGACTTTCCTAGGCAAGTAGACATATGGTCACCCTAAGGTTATGCATCTCTCTTAGGCATGGAAGGAATTCTTCCTTGTTTCTTATTCAGTGTTCTAATTGTAACCTATTGTGTGGCTACTGCTTTCCTTCCCAGCCTTGCATGCAATGGACAGACAGGTTCTGATACTTCCTTTCAAAGGGATTAGCCAAGAACCATCCCACAGAGGAAATCAAAACAGTGTGTGCATACACACTGCTTCTGATACTTTTTTCAAAACTCTGTGGCAAAGGATTTTTCACTGATTCGAGGAGAAACAAATTTAAAAGCATTTTAGGCCAGAAGCAGTGGCTCATGCCTATAATGCCAACACTTTGGGAGGTCAAGGTGAGAGGATCGCTTGAAGCTAGGAGTTTGAGACCAGCCTAGGCAACATAGCAAGACCTATAAAAAAATAACCTAAAAATTGACCCGGTGTGGTGGGGTACACCTATAATCCAGCTACTCTGGAGGCTGAGGCAGGAGGACCACTTGAGCCCAGCAGTTTCAGGCTACAGTGAGCTATCATCATCAGACCACTGCACTCCAGCTTGGGCAACAGAGCGAGAATCTGTCTTTAAAAAATAAAAATAAAATAAAAAAGTACTTTATTTTATTTTGAGACAGAGTCTCTCCAGCCCAGGCTGGAGTGCAGTGGCACAATCTCGGCTCACTGCAACCTCTGCCTCCCTGGTTCAAGCAATTTTCCTGCCTCAGCCTCCCAAGTAGCTGGGATTACAGGCACGTGCCAACACGCCAAGCTAATTTTTGTATTTTCAGTAGAGACGGGGTTTCACCATGTTGGCCAGGCTGGTCTTGAATTCCTGATCTCGGGTGATCCGCCCACCTCAGCCTCCCAAAGTGTTGGGATTACAGGCACGAGCCACTGCGCCTGGCAACATAAAAGTACTTTAAATGTATTTAAGAAAATATAGGTCAGTTATACTGGAAAATTATTTCAATAATATATTTTAAAATGTGCTTGTTTCACAAGAACATAGCCATGAATGAAGGAAATTAACACTGCAAACTACGAAAGTTACATAAACATACACACACAAACAAGATATGTCATGGTAGCTTTGTTACTGTGAAAAACTTTTTTTTTTTTCTTGAGATAGAGTCTCACTCTGTTGCCCAGGCTGGAGTGCAATGGCTCAGTCTCGGCTCACTGCAACCTCCGCCTCCCAGGTTCAAGCAATTCTCCTGCTTCAGCCTGCTGAGTAGCTGGGATTACAGGCACCTGCCACCACACCTGGCTAATTTTTGTATTTTTAGTAGAGATGGGGTTTCCCCATGTTGGCCAGGCTGGTCTCAAACTCCTGACCTCAAGTGATCCACCCACCTCGGCCTTCCAAAGTGCTGGGATTACAGGTGTGAGCCACTGTGCCCGGCCTGAAAAACTCTTAATAGCCTAAATATCCCTAAGGGGAGAACACGGACTAGTTACATGAATTACAGCATATCTATCACAGCATAGCAAACAGCCATTGAAAAGAATAAGACACGTCTTGAAATGCCACATAGATTTCAAGAGCATCTATGATATACTATTCATTTGACAAATAGTTGTTGTGTACTTAATACCTACAAGCTAGGATATGGTTCTGAATAAGAATAAAACCAGCATAATTCAGGCACTTGTTTTTTGTTTGTTTTTTGTTATTTTTAGAGACAATCTTGCTCTGTTGCCCGCACTGAAGTGCAGTGGCCCGATCACGGCTTACTGCTGGCTTGAACTCCTGGGCTCAAGTGCTCCTCCCACCTCAGCCTCCTGAGTAGCTGGGACTGTAGGTGCATGCCACCACGCCTGGCTAATTTTTTCATTTTTTTGTAGATATGAGGTCTCACTATATTCCCCAGGCTGGTCATCAACTCCTGGCCTCAAGTAATCCTACCACCTAGGACTCCCAAAGTGTTGGGATTACAGGTGTGAGCCACTGCACCCAGCCAGTTCTGGCACTTGTGGAGCTATGTTTTAGTGAAGACATATAGGTCTATGGCACAATAAAATTCAAAAAAGCAATCTCACACCTGTATCACTGTTGTTTTACTTTCCTAATAATACGAAGAACTAAATTCCTCATCAAGTTCATCTCAAAATGGGAAAGCAGCAGCAGCAAATGTTCTCAACCAGAGATTCCCTCCAAACCACATGCCTGGAGGCCGGGCCAGCACTTCTCTGAAAGTGGCTGTCTATTCACACCAAGGACAACCAGTCTTACTTTTGATTACTTAACCTCATTCTACCAGCAATTCTGTTTTTATAAAATATCTTATGGCACACAAATTTAAATCAGACTAGGTCGCTAGGGATAATTTTAAACTTTTATGTGGAGACAAACATGATTCATATCAAAAGGAACTATAAACATTTATCTTATAAAAATACCCAAGTACGTAGGTTTAAAAAGTCAAGAGCTAAACAGCACATGTTCACAGAATTTAAGACCCTGCTCACACCATTTAGAGACACAAATTATAGCTTGTCTGTATGTGCTCAGCCTAATTCATAGTAAAAGAATGCCACATCAATTGTAAACCACATGAAAAGAAAGTAAACATGTAACTCTGAATCACATTTATATGCATATAATATAGGTCAGATTCTATAGCTATTATTGCATTTAGTAAAAGTACTTTCATAGTGCTTATTTGCAAATGCAGGAAGAGGCTTGCTCACTGTAGTGGCCTGAATGGTGGCATCCAAAAAAGATATATCCAACTCCTAATGCCTGGTACCTATGAATATGACCGTATTTGGAAATAGGGTCTTTACAGTTATTAAAGTGAGATGGCCCTGGACCTAAATCCAACCACTGTTGTCCTTATAAGAGAAAGGAGGGTGAGATGCAAAACACAGAAAATAACCCAGAGAGGAAGGCCACATGAAGGCAGAGGCAGAGATTGGAGGGATGCATCCACAAGCAAGCCAAGGAGCACAAAGGGCTGCTGATAAGCACCAGAAGCCAGGACAGAGGCATGGAAATGATTCTTCCTCAGACTCCAGAATCAACCAGCACGACAACAACTTGATTTTGGAGTTCTGACCTATGAAAAAATAAATTTCCCTTGTTTATACCACCAAGTTTGAGGTGGTTTGTTACAGCAGACCTAGGAAATTAATATACACATCTAAAATAGTCATTTGTTTACAATGCAGTAAGTCTCAAGAGCAATCAGTAAAGAAAAAAGAATTTAGCAAGTATTTTTAATTTATTATGTTATAAAACAACACATCTTCATTGTAGAAAATCTGGAAAATCATTAGAAAAAACTATAAAATTCACCTTTAGAACCAAAGCCCATCTTCACAATCTCTCAACTTTAAAATGTGAAACTAGACATGTATTTTCTAGCCTGTGAGCTAAATAACCTGATCTTAAATTGTTCAAATAATGTCCATCATTAAATGCCTTTGTTTACAATTAGGTTTATATGGCACTTACACAACTATGAAATTGAGAGTCTATGATGGAAATTCTGATCTAATTTTAACATAAGCCTTATAATTGAAACATACAAATGGGAACTACAAGGAGAGTTTTATTGTCATGGGGGTTTCCAGCGAGGTGCTTTCCCTTGATCATTTTGGGTCCTAAACTGTTCTGGTCTCTAATCATAATTTACATATCAACCAAATCCTCAATTTTAGAAATAATATATGCAGAAATAAGAAGTGCAGAAAAGCAATAAATGCAGAACAAAATATTAACGAATTTTATTCAAGAGCTCTTGACTAATGTTCTTCCACATTTCCATTACATTTTTTTCAAAAAATAATTATCAATTAGATGCCATAAAATAAAGAGGAACATCTAACAGCTGCCATGTAATAGCAAATGTTGAAATACTGAGAATGAAAAATAGCTTGAAAATTATTGCCAAACCAAATCTTTGAATGCAGGCACATGGTTTTTTTGTAGTTTTTGTTTTGTTGAGATGGAGTCTCACTCTGTCGCCCATGCTGGAGTGCAGTGGTGCGATCTCGGCTCACTGCAACCTCCGCCTCCAGGTTCAAGTGATTCTCCTGCCTCAGCCTCCAGAGTAGCTGGGACTACAGGCACACGCCACTATGCCTGGCTAATTTTTGTATTTTTAGTAGACCAGGTTTCACCATGTTGGCCAGGCTGGTCTCAAACTCTTGGCCTCAAGTGATCCGCCCGCCTCAGCCTCCCAAAGTGCTGGGATTACAGGAGCCACCATGCCCAGCCAAATGCAAGCACATGTTTTAATATTTCATTTAAATAGCCATGGTTTTTGTTATAAAAAGCAAAAGTCTCACTAACTCCAGGTAAATTTTTAAACTAAGCCTCTACTATTTAAA
Source organism: Homo sapiens (assembly GCF_000001405.40). NCBI lineage: Eukaryota > Metazoa > Chordata > Mammalia > Primates > Hominidae > Homo > Homo sapiens. Next base: position 14,315,096 of record NC_000011.10, read on the forward strand.
TGTTTATTCAAAATTAGACAGCATCCTCATTCCGTAAGTGTGAGCTGCACATAAGGACTTCCTTCCAAAGAATACAATATGGAAAAGGGTTGGGGCAGGGAGCAACTTCATAGTAGAGAAACCAGACAAACATTACCTCAGCCAGATGATCAGGGTCAGCATCAACAGTTACAAATCACGCTGACAGCATGTACTCTTGATATAATGTGATGAAAACGGTACTTCACCTCTGTGGTCTTCCTAACCCAAAACCCATAACCCTACACCTGTCATGAGAAGAACACTAGACACATTCTAATAGAGGGGCACTCTACAAAATACTTAATGAGTACTCTTCAAAATAGTTGGGTCATCAAAAACAAGGAAAGTCAGCCAAGAGGAGCCTAAGAAGGCATGACAACTAAATGTAATGTGTTATCTTGATGGGATCCTGGATCAGAAAAAGGACATTAGGTAAAAACTATGGAAACCTGAATAAAGTATAGACTTTAGCTAATAATAATGTATCCACATTGGTTCATTAATTCTAACAAATGTACCATACGTGTTAACAATAGAGGAACTAGGTGACAGATATATGGGAAGTTCCTATACTATCTTCTCAGGTTTTCTGTAACTCTAAAGTTCTTAAAGTCTACTAAAAAAAAACTACATGGCAGTCATTTCTAAAAAATGCCAACTGAGGTTCTGGATAAGACTTTTCTAATCACCCACATGTAAAAGCTTAAATTTAATTAAGGAAAACAACTAGACCCACTAAACAGTTTCTAGCACTAAAATTAAATCCACATTTTAGGGTACTCAGAGGCAAGATAAAGGGAGACCAGATCAACTCCACCTTTTTAAGCAAACATTTACTGTGATAAGAATGTAAAAATTCAGTCTCAAAACCACAGAGCTATTAAAAACATTAATTTTAAACTAATAAAAAGACAAAAAAAACGTAGTTCAGAAGAGATTTTAAAGCAGAAAGCCCAGATCAGAAACCCATAACAGGAAGTTTGGTCCTTCTTCCACCATCTTGGACTAAAATTTTACGTCTCTGAACATATTTGACTGTTTCCTCATTTACATAATGGAAAGTGACAATCGCACAGTGCAATATCCAAAAGATGCTCAAAAAATAGCCTGTCATAAATAAAAATATAAAATTCTTAGTCTTTTTACTTCACTCACATCTGCTAAAACCAATGCTTTCTTGGTGAGGTATGCATCAGTCTGAAGAGAATCAACCAAAAGAGAAAGACAGAAGGGGTACAAAGGAGGGAAAAGTAGGAATAGCATTTAACTATGTATATTAGCATTTTCCAGGCCCTCCTTTTTACAGTTTTTACATCTCCCCCTGCAAAAGTATCCTGATGAGGCCAGGTACAGCAATCCATGCCTATAATCCCAGAACTTGGGGAGGTTAAGGCAGGAAGATTGCTTGAGCCCAGGAGTTCAAGACTGGCCTAGGCAACATAGCAAGACCCTGTCTCTACCTACTAAATAAATAAATAAAGCCAGGCACGGTGGTACACCTCTGTAGTCCTAGCTAATTGGGAGGTTGAAGCAGGAGGATTGCTTAAGCCCAGGAGGTCAAGGCTGCAGTGAGCTATGATCGCACCACTGCACTTAGCCTGGGTGACAAAATAAGACCCTGTTTCAAAACAATCCAAAAACAGTGTCCTAATGAAACTCTCATTTCAACTAACACTTATTAAGATATCCCGAAAATTGTTACATTGTAATTCACCAAACTTTGGGTTCTACTGCAAATGAGACATTGGAAATAACAAAAATAAATGACTATCAGTTCCTGCCTTCAAGGAGTCTACTTATAGTCAAGTAGGAGGCAAGACAAGAGAACAAATAACCACCTTTTGTTGACAGGAGGATGACATCAATTAGAAAATGCACCTAATTACAGAGGTGTTAAAATAAGAAATTTTTTAATGTGTGCCTTAGAATGAAGGAGATACTATAGTTTCTGTGTGGTAAGAGTAAATTTAGAAAAAGGTACTATGGAGGCATAGATGTTAATGTACTGCCATTTAACACTGCTACCCTTATAGGTGTTGGGTGGAGTTCCACAGATTCTCAATCATCCAAGTTATGGAAGAAGAGAATTCAAAACGTATACACCTTACCAAGAACAGACGTGTTTGCAAAATGCAAGACAGACCTGTAAAGATGCAGAATATCTGTATTAATAAAATCTTAGGCCGGGCATGGTGGCTCACACCTGTAATCCCAGCACTTTGGGAGGCTGAGGCAGGTGGATCACCTGAGGTCAGGAGTTCAAGACCAGCCTGGCCAACATGGTGAAACCCCATCTTTACTAAAAATACAAAAATTAGCCAGGTGTGGTGGTGGGTGCCTGTAATCTCAGCTACTCAGGAGGCTGAGGCAGGAGAATCGCTTGAACCCGGAAGGCAGAGGTTGTAGTGAGCCAAGACCGTGCCATTGCACTCCAGCCTGGGCAACAAAAGCGAAACTCCATCCCAAAATAAAATAAAATCTTAAAAGGCAAGATGAATTCATATTGACATTTCACTAAATTATTTGGGAAACAAAATTCAAAGGTAATTACTTTTAAGAAACGTAGCCTCTATCAACAAGAAGCAGATGATGAATGAACTTACTAGTTTTTCCTCTTGATCTTTCCCTACAAAACAAATCATTGCAAACTCTAAATGTACAAAGGGGAGCTGAGCACAGTGGCTCATACCTGTAATCTCAGCAAGTCAGGAAGCCAAGGCTGGAGGATCAATTCAGCCCAGGAGTGCAAGGCTGAGGTGAGCTACGATTGCACCACTGCCCTCCAGTCTGGGCAACAGAGTGAGAGAATGTCTCTAAATAAGTAAATAAATGTATGAAGAGGACAACTGTAAAATAAGCCACATTTCTAAAAGAGAATCAGGTCATTTTCAAACGGAGCAGGAAGAATAAAGGAATCATTTTCATGATATTTCCCCTCACTGTTAGGACTAAAGCTGTCCTTTATACAGGAAAAGGAAACCCTGTCTTCGCAAAATCCTGAAGGCTTTTCTATGTGTAAACCCTAGAGAAATACCTGTCAAATGAGTAACTATCCTAATAAATCCTATATGGATGTTCACTTCTTTTAATACTTGAGTGCAGCCGGGCGTGGTGGCTCATATCTGTAATCCCAGCACTTTGGGAGGCCAAAGCGGGTGGATCACCTGAAGTCAGGGGTTCAAGACCAGTCTGGCCAACATGGAAAAGCCCCATCTCTACCTACTAAAAGCACAAAAATTAGCAGGGCGTAGTTGCGCATGCCTGTAGTACTAGCTACTTGGGAGGCTGAGGCAGGATAATCACTTGAACCTGAGAGGCAGAGGTTGCAGTGAGCTGAGACCATGCCACTGCACTCCAGCCTGGGTGACAGAGAGAGAATCTGTCTCAAAACAAACAAACAAACAAAAAAAAAAACCTTGAGTGCCCAGGGATGAGATGGCACCTATTCAATTAACCATCCTGATAAGAAAAGCAAAACCCTTCTCTCACAGGAAGGCTCCTGAGCCCAGCCAGGTGCAGCACTACCTGTGTCTCCCAGTGCTGTAGTCATTCCAGCTCAGCAGGGCAGTGGAACAGCTGAGACAGAAGAAATGTTTCCTGAGGAAGGCAGAGTGTTTAGGAAAGATAACCCAAACACGGACATTTTGTACATTCTTTCAGTCCCCACTTTGGACTATTGAAAAGTAAATATAAATCAGACTTTTACAAAACTTAAGTATTAAACTTCAAATTCCTTCAGGGAAACATATCTGTATACTTTGACTCACACTTACTGACTTGGCAACAATACAGCTATCATTTACTATGTGTCAGGCACTAAGTGCTTTACCATATTAATTCATTGAAACCTCACAGTCCATGAAGTAGGTGGTCTTATTATCGTCTCCATCATACAGGTGAGGAAAGACTTTAAGTAACTTGCCCAGTCACGAGGCTAGTAAGCATGGAGCAGAAATTGATTCCCAGCAGTCTGGCTCAATTCTGTGCCCCAAATTACATCATTACAATGAGAGCTACCTTCAGAAAACAAAAATAAATGTATTGCCCCTGCTTTCTCTAGATTCATGGAGTAACATGTCCAGATTTTCTCAAATCCATCTCCCCATACACCTCCGTCAATCCTGACATTTGGCAATAATGCCAAGCAGGAAAAGAAGCTTTTCCCAAGGTATGTGAGTAAAACCTGTACTACAATAAAAATTATATTAACTATTCAGGTTCCCTCTGTCTTTTTTTTTTTTTTTTTTTTTTTTGAGACGGAGTCTCGCTCTGTCGCCCAGGCCGGACTGCGGACTGCAGTGGCGCAATCTCGGCTCAGTGCAAGCTCCACTTCCCGGGTTCACGCCATTCTCCTGCCTCAGCCTCCCGAGTAGCTGGGACTACAGGCGCCCGCCACCGCGCCCGGCTAATTTTTTGTATTTTTAGTAGAGACGGGGTTTCACCTTGTTAGCCAGGATGGTCTCGATCTCCTGACCTCATGATCCACCCGCCTCAGCCTCCCAAAGTGCTGGGATTACAGGCGTGAGCCACCGCGCCCGGCCGGTTCCCTCTGTCTTCTAAGAGCACAGATAACTGCAAGTTTACCATACATGATGGAGAATTTCTGCTACTTCCCCTGTAAAATATTTTCAAAATATCTTACTCACTCAACTGATAAAAGGTGATAAACCTACCTAAAAGACTTTTGGTGAAGAGAAGTAAGTATCAGTTGTATTTTTCAGAGCGCAGAAAAGTTGTGTGATCAAAACAACAAAAATAAGATTATAATTCCAGTTTACTGATGGACTCGAAAAACATATACGTTATAAAACAACTAAACAACTCAACTGTAGCTATGTTACATGTTTAAAATGAACTAATCATTGTAAAAATGTTTAAAGAATGGGAATGATAGCAGAAGAAAAATGTCACCATGAGAGAGTATAAAGATGGGTTAAAGGTTTTCTTCCTGCAAAACTCAATTTGTTTATTAAGTTGTAGCACTGCCCACCCACCGCACCCCACAAAAAAAGCCACATTCATTTGAGGTCACTTTACCTCCTGCTATTTCCTTTGCAGTGAGTCTGCAAAGTTCTAATGCACGGTGCTGATTTTATTCATTGAACAGAAAGCAATTGAGTGAAACATACAAGCAACTAAACCTTTGGCATCCTGTGAAACCACAAGAGAGCAAGATATTTTTTCCCAGGTTCTAACATCTTTTTAAAGCTGTTTTTTCAAATAGCAGTATGCCTAGAATGACTGCATGCTTGTCTAGAGTCATGTGCTCAGTACCAAAAGCCAGATCAATTGACTCTGAGACGGGAAAGTAATCAAGACAAAAAATTTTAATGGATGTCTTAATTTAAGCAGCTCTCATTTACTTATTCTTTCATTTAGCTAATTTCAATCTATAAACAAAATAAAAGCAGTAGACAGTTTTTCCTATGGAAACTCATTAACACAGCTTTCAGAGTTAAGCTTCAGCTTAGCCCAGATTCCCCTTAATCAATTATTTGTTGCTTTTAGAAAAGGTTGTGCAAAAACATTAGCTAAAACTGGTTAAAATTAAAGCACAGGGAAAGAACTTTTCTGAAAGATATTAAACATACTATTAATTTATTTTAAATAGGATGGATTGGTAAAAATAAAAATATAAAAGAACTTAAGTCAAAATTCATTGTTTAAGAACCTAACAATCATAAAGTCATATAAAGTAGTATGCAGTAAAATGTGGGAAAACTATAAAAATGTTAATTTTTATAGTAACTTAACACAACAATTTAAAAAAATGGTTGCAAATGGCTGGGCATAGTGGCTCACGCCTATAATCCCAGCACTTTGGGAGGCTGAGGTGGGCTGATCTCCTGAGGTCAGGAGTTCGAGACCAGCCTGGCCAACATGGTAAACCCCGTCTCTACTAAAAATACAACAATTAGCTGGGTGTGGTGGCAGGCGCCTGTAATCCCAGCTACTTGGGAGGCTGAGGCAGGAGAATCACTTGAACCTGGGAGGCAGAGGTTGCAGTGAGCCGAGATCGGCCAGTGCACTCCACCCTAGACAACAGACCAAGACTCCATCTCAAAAAAAAAAAAAAGATTGCAAATAAGTAAACACACGACGCACGTCAATATTTTAAAATCTTATGTCTATACCATTCCTCCTTCCCCTAACATGACTAGTCAACAGCAAATTTTAGGTGTTCTCAATAAATTTCCCTTGGTGAAATGGTGGTGGGACAGGGAAGGGAACTAACTCTACAAGGATGGCACGAAAGTCCCTCATTCTTTATACTCACTTAAAAGAATGATCAAAAATTGTCAAAACTTCTGAAGTTCTTGTATAGGGGTTGGGGGTTGGGGGCTACATTTGTTATTATTTTTGCCATGTCTTGTGTTTTGTGTTTGATCATCCAGGAGCAAGTGGGAGTGGGGAGAGCAGGGAAGCTGTTTACCTATTAAGACCACTTTAGCCTACCTATGATCACTTCTAGCCAGGTTGGATGGATCCTTCTTAATAAAGGAAATACCAGATTTAGCTCCCTTTCCACTATCCCTGGCTTGTTGCTGGCTGAAAATTCAGTCTCTAATTGAAAGTCTGACCCATTTCTGAAATTTTGCCTGTTCTGTGTTTTTATCACTAAATGCTCCCCTGCTTCCATTTAAGCTCACCCTTGTTTGAGTGAGGTGAAGACAACATTTGAAAATGTGTTTGGTTTTTTTGAACCCAATAATGCATTTAAAAGGTATATTTAATCCAGATCTAGTTATTAGTGGCTTCTGGTATAATTCCTCGTACTGTAATCATATGACAATGATTAGTTCATTATAATTAACTACAATTGAACTTTGTTTAGTACTTTTAAAATCCCATCTACCTAGCTATAATAAATCTATTGACTATATACTATTTAACAGTTACTATGCTAGACACTGTATAAAAAACAAAACACCACCAATAAAAGTGTTTGCCCCAAAAGAGATCACAATCTAACTGTCAAGACAAATATACCCAACAAAATAGGTGATAACTGCTATCAGGAAATATCAAATATGCTGGGCACAGTGGCTCACACCTGTAATCCTAGCACTTTGGGAGGCAGGGGCAGGTGTGTCACTTGGACTCAGGAATTTGAGACCAGCCTGGGCAACATGGTGAAACCCCATCTCTACCAAAAATACAAAAAAAAAAAAAATGAGCCCAGCATGGTGGTGCACACCTGTAGTCCCATCTACTTGGGAGGCTAAACTACGAGGATCACTTGAGTGCAGGAGGTTGAGACTGCAGTGAGCTGAGACAGCGTCACTGCACTCCAGCCTGGGTGACAATGTGAGGAGACTCTGTCTCAAAAAAAAAAACACAAAGAAATATCAAATGCTATACAAACACATTCCATCTAGGAAGACACAGCTAGCAACATTTCCTGCTTCTCTTCCTTGATGTTTAATTTCTTTCTTCCTATATTTCCCACAAATAACATTTTTTCCAAATTATTTACCTAAGAAAACCTTAATCATCCAACAAGTAATTCCTCTGTAATACGTATGTTATTGGCTAAATACAGCAATCCAGATCTATATCTATGTGTTAAAGTAGTCACAGTCTAATTTATCTTGAACTTATTAGGGAAGTACATAACAACCATTGTTAAAATTTTATCAGCCATACCCATCAAGATTCCGGATTAAATGTTAAAAATAAATGAAATCACAAACAAGTGAGCAAGAGGCTATAAAAAATGACCATCAATCCAATCAAGACAAATGTGAATTTAAAAAATAAAAAGTTAAAGAATGACCACTAAGATCTTAAGAGGAAACACACAGAACTTATGGAAATAAAAAATATAACCTAATGGTAAAAATTCAATAGATGGACTAAAAAGCGTATCTCTTCAAACACTGCTAAGGAGAACTAAAGGACAGACTATAGTGAACATAACTACAGCTAGAGGAGACATTTAAAAGAGAATACTATGAACAACTTTATGCAATAAATATGAAGCACAGACAAAATGGACATACGCCTAGAAAAATACAAACTCAAAATTGATTCAAGAATAATTAGAAGGCTGGGTACAGTGGCTCACACCTGTAATGCCAACACTTTGGGAGGCTGAGATGAGAGGATCACTTAAGCCCAGGAGTTTGAGATCAACCTGGGCAACATAGTGAGACTTCATCTCTACAAAAACAAAACAACAACAAAAAAACTAGGCCAAGCATAGCGGCATGCGCCTATAGTCCCAACAGCTTGGAAGGCTAAGGTAGGAGGATTGCTTGAGCCTGGGAGGTGGATGGTGCAGCAAAGTGAGATCACACCACTGCACTCCGACCTGGGTGACAGAGCGAGACCCTGTCTCAAAAAAAAAAGGATAATCAGAAAGCCTGAACAGCACTATGACTAATAAAGGAAGAAAAAATAAAATAAACTTCCCCCTCTTCCCCCCACCGGCACACACACAAACTAGGTCTAAAAGTTGTAAAAGCAAGGTCTACCAAACTTTCAGGAAACAAGTAAATCCAGTATCACACAAATTCTTCCAGAGAATAGAAAAGGAGGAAATACACCCCCCAAGTCATTTTATGAGGCCAGTATAATCTGGATACCAAAACCAGACAAGAACATTATTAAAAAATGAAAATTACAGGCCAATTTCACTAATAAACATACATGAAAAGAGTCCATATGCAAAATATTAACAAACAGAATCCAGAATCCAACAGTATATAAAAATATACATTATGACCAATATGTCCCAGAAATTCAGGAACAGAATATATAGACTTTTTTAAAATTATAAATATAATTCACCATATGAACAGACTAAAGAAAAACACTATAAGAGATATGGAAAAAGGATAAGAAAATGTCACATTTGTCTTAAAAAAAAAAAAACTATAGCAAACAACACTTTTTACAGTGAAACTCATTAAAATCAAGAACAAGTATGTATGTCTACTATTACCATATTTATTCAACATTACATTGGAGGTCCTAGTTAATTTAATAAGAAAATAAAGTGGTATACAAATTTTTAAGAATATATTTGATATGATTATCTGCACAGGAAACAATATACATAATAATTATTGGAATTAGAATTCAGCAAGGTATTTGGATATAAAAGTCTACATAGTCCCCTCAACCTGTCGAAAAAATAAACAGCAAAAAAAAATACCACTTCTGTATAAAGCTATTAGAAAGCTTAAGTCAAATAAAAGACACCATTTACAACAGCAACAGCAAATATATGATATGCAGGACTAACTCTAGTAAAAATATATTCTAGACCTTTAGGGAAAGAAATAATTAAGCTTTAAACAGAGGCCAAAAAAAAAAAAAAAAAGGAAAACGTATATGAGTGTAAAAGCATTCTCTTCATGGATAGAATTGTCAAGGTATCAGTGCTCCCTTAACTGACCCAATTTAAATTTGTTTTAACATTACTGGGTTTTTCATAGAATTTGACAAGCTGAACCTAAAATTTATAAGCAAGAAAATAGCCAAGAAATTGTTTATAAGTGTAAGAGTCATGAGAATTTTTTTGTTTTGCTCAATGCCATTTTCCCAGCACCTAAAAAGTTCCTGGCACATAGCAGTTGTCTCCAATATATGTGCTGAATGAATTTTTGAATGAACACAGCAGGGAAACTTATCCTACCCTCTACGAAATTTAGAATGGAAATGACACAAGAATAGGCAAAAAAGACAAATGGAACAAAACAGAAGGCCTAAAAATAAATCCACATGAATGAAATTCGATATATAAATAGAAGAGCAGATCATAGGGGAAGCATAGAACAGTACTCAAAAAGTGATGCTGGGATAACTAGTTTATGCATGTGGAAAAAAGCGAGATTGAGGGGAGAGATTATAAAGGGTTCATAAATCTCTAAGCACAGCCTGTATTATCTCTAGATTCTTCCTAGCAAAGCCTCACAAGTTTTACATTAAGATGCTATTCTAATTGAGAAAATATATAGTACCTCACCTGGAATGGTAATGCACAATAATATAAACACTTACTGCATGTTAGCTATCATCGTATCTGAGCCCTCAAACTTACCCTGATGTGAAGCCTTGCTTCACCACTTCCCAGCTTTGTCATTGGAGAAGTTACTTGAATTCACCTTGTCTTACCACAAAATGAGCTTGCACTAGCACTTACCTCAGCAAGAGTACTGTTGGGAGTTTCTTTTAATCCTTTTAGTATTTTTTTTTTTTTTTTTTTGAGACAGAGTCTCGCTCTGTCGCCCACGCTGGAGTGCAGTGGCGCGATCTTGGCTCACTGCAAGCTCTGCCTCCCGGGTTCATGCCATTCTCCTGCCTCAGCCTCCTGGGACTACAGGCGCCTGCCACGACGCCTGGCTTTTTGTATTTTTAGCAGAGAGGGGGTTTCACCTTGTTAGCCAGAATGGTCTCGATCTCCTGACCTCGTGATCCTCCCGCCTTGGCCTCCCAAAGTGCTGGGATTACAGGCGTGAGCCACCGTGCCCGGCTTCCTTTCAATATTTTTATTTTAGAATGGCATTAAGTTTGTAGATTAACAATTAGAATTGACACTGTTAAGAATCTGAATTTTCAGATCTGGAAATATAGTATGCTTTTCTGTTTAAGTCTTTGTCTTAAAAAAATTTAATGTTTGCTTTAAAATTTTGTATGGAAGACTGTAAAAAAAAATTTAACACACATTTTTTAAGTGTGTAGAAGTAGTCTTTTTGTTTGCTATTCTAAAAGGGGTGTCTTCTTCCATTGTATCTTCTACTTGATTTGTAAAAACTCTAAGTATTACATAAAATACTGTCCAATTGTGGAATGCAGTAGAGGCTGGGGAATGAGCAGCAACTGATAGCATTTTGAAGGAGGATCAAGTCTGGAATCTCACTATGCTTCTCTCATCTCCTTCCTTGAATTTAAGATGTTTTTTAAGAATATTACAGAATAGCATTCAGCAAAACATGGACGTGTACTAGAACCCCTTTGAGAGAACTTGGTTTTTTATTCTTGAATGGTGCTAAAAAGTGACCTTATTATCCCATAGCATGGAATCCAAAAATAGTAGTAAAGAAGGCTTCCACAGAATATGTGCAAATCTGAAAATCTCAGGGCATGTACCTAATGCTATATTTATTTTTCACAAAACCGGAAATAGTGACAGCTTAAAACAAGTAACTAGACTGTTATATAGCTTTTAAAATGCTGCTGCTATTGTGTAATTTTTAGCATTTTGTATATTGAATTTCTATGCCAGGAAGTATGCCACTGTTAACTATTTTACATGATGCCTAAATTTTATTTTAAATAAAAAGTTATCACACATATCAAACTCAACTACACAAATTGTTATACTAAAACATTTCAGGAAATATGTGCTTTCTAACGCTAATGAAGTTTTAGAAAAGATTGTAAATATACAAACATAAAATAAACAAGTATCACCAATTCTGAAATTTGTTAAATCAGTAAAAGAATTTTAAGGGGTAAAAGTTCTATATCTTTATACCAGCTGACTTGACAAAATTAAGAGTTCCAGTAAGAGCAAAATGTTGTCCTCTATTTGGGAGGGGGAGGGGACAGGGCACTGAGCAATCAAGCAGTTAAAACTCCTATGTCGTATCTTAAATCACTTATAACATCAAAAAGAAAGTAAACATTTCAATCCTATTAAGAATATGATTTTGGCCGGGCGCGGTGGCTCACGCCTGTAATCCCAGCACTTTGGGAGGCCGAGGCGGGCGGATCACGAGGTCAGGAGATCGAGACCATCCCGGCTAAAACGGTGAAACCCCGTCTCTACTAAAAATACAAAAAAATTAGCCGGGCGTAGTGGCGGGCGCCTGTAGTCCCAGCTACTTGGCAGGCTGAGGCAGGAGAATGGCGTGAACCCGGGAGGCGGAGCTTGCAGTGAGCCGAGATCCCGCCACTGCACTCCAGCCTGGGCAACAGAGCGAGACTCTGTCTCAAAAAAAAAAAAAAAAAAAAAAGAATATGATTTTGCTATTCTGTTCTGCTGTGGAAAACTAAGTAGTCACTTGTTTAAAAACTAAGATGAAGCAGACATAGCATAAACCAATTAAAATTAAATCAAAACAACAGTTTTAAGATGCAATATGCATACATGAATTTCTTAACAGATTATTATAGTTAAAATACCACTGAGTGTACTCACTTCAAGTGGTGTGTAAAAATAAAAATAGCTGAAGAGAGGATGGTCAAACCTCAAAACAAGTACTATAACCACCACCCAAAAATGCAAAATAAAGGAAGTTGTCTTCTTCAGAGTTAAGAGGAGGGGAAAAAATCTTTCTACTTACACATTGGGAGGAAGTGGGGATGGAGAGAAAGAAAAACAATTCCATGCCCTTCCTAAATGTTTAAGAACAAATGCAATTTATGTTACCTTCAGAAGCATTTTATCAGTACCCACAAAATTGCCTTTTAATTTGTACTAGTAAACTTACATTGCCTGAGCATCTTTCTCTACCCCCCTTTCTCTTCACTTGATTTCATGTGAAAGTCAAATTATTTGTATGACTGCTACCAGAATTTTAATAAAAATTGACACAACATAACCCAAACAATATAAATTTTCCCCTATTTAGCCAGACTCTAAATGCTTTAGGGAAAAAGAAAAACGTGCAGTACATAATTTAATTAGGTTCCAACAACTCTTCACAGATTCATATATACTTCTCACCTGTAACAACTCAATAGAGAAAAAAAATTCAAGGATGAAAAGGTTTTATTTACTTCTTTCCATACGGCAGGTAATGAGAATGGATGTTGTCTCTTACAAGACACAGGTCAAACATAGGAAAGCATGGAGGAAAAAACACAAAGAAGCCAAACTTAGACCAAATGTAGCTGTGACAAAGTTAAATGGCTTCATTAGAGAAAAAAAAGTCTTGACAGGATTTTCTAAAAATAAAATCTACCACTGTAGTGCTTACAAAGTACATAAGGCTAACAGTAAAGAGTGAGAAAAATGGCCAGGCGCGGTGGCTCATGCCTATAATTCTCGCACTTTTGGAGGCCGAGGCAGGCGGATCACCTGAGGTCAGGAGTTCGAGACCAGCCTGACCAACATGGAGAAACCCATCTCTACTAAAAATACAAAATTAGCCAGGTGTGGTGGTGCATGCCTGTAATCCCAGCTACTCGGGAGGCTGAGGCAGGAGAATCACTTGAACCCAGGAGGTGGAGGTTGCAGTGAGCCAAGATCGCACCATTGTACTCCAGCCTGGGCAAGAAGAGCAAAACTCCAACTCAAAAAAAAAAAAAAAAAAAAAGAGTGAGAAAAAATAATGTAGCAAATTTAGTCAAGCCAGGAAGACACGTGTAAAAACAATATCAAACATGGTAAAATTTATTTGGCAAGAGCTATAGTAAAATTTTAAGATGCCATTAGGCAACAGTAAAAATAATATTTAGGCAACAAAAAAGTATAAATCAATGTAAAAGCTTAGAAACACTAGAAGAAAAACAGCTATAGTATGTAAAGTAGTAAAAAATATATACATGACACAAAGTAATGACTAAAATTAATGCAGATGCAATACACATACACCAATTTTTTTTTTTTTCAACAAGAGTTTCGCTCTTGTTGCCCAGACTGGAGTGCAATGGCGTGACCTCTGCTCACCGCAACCTCCACCTTCTGGGTTCAAGCAATCCTCCTGGCTCAGCCTCCCCAGTAGCTGGGATTAGAGGCATGCGCCACTATGCCCAGCTAACTTTGTATTTTTAGTAGAGACAGGGTTTCTCCATGTTGGTCAGGCTGGTCTCAAACTGCCAACCTCAGGTGATCCACCGGCCTCGGCCTCCCAAAGTGCTGGGATTACAAGTGTGAGCAACTATGCCCGGCACATACACCAAATTTTATATATATGTGTGTGTGTGTGTGTGTGTGTGTGTATATATATATATATATACACACACACATATATATGTATATACACACACATATACATACACACACACACACACACACACACACACACGCATATACATATATATATATATTTTTTTTGAGATGGAGTTTCACTCCTGTTGTCCAGGCTGGAGTCCAATGGCGCGATCTCAGCTCACTGCAACCTCCCTTCGCCTCCCAGGTTCAAGGGATTCTCCTGCCTCAGCCTCCCAAGTAGCTGGGATTATAGGCATGAGCCCCCACACCCAGCTAATTTTGTATTTTTAGTAAAGATGGGGTTTCACCATGTTGGTCAGGCTGGTCTCAAACTCCTGACCTCAAGTGATCCACCCGCCTCAGCTTCCCAAAGTGCTAAGATTACAGGCACAAGCCACCACGTGGGGCCAAAATTATATATTTTAAAGCAGAGATAGATCAAACACAAAATGAATCAAGTTAGGCTTTTAGACCCCTCGCATACACAGATACCTTTTCTTATTCTAAACAAATATTCACATGTGCATAATCTTGTATTTTCTTTCCTAAAGAGGGTCCTCAAAATTATATAAGCTGTAGGTCCCCTCAACACCTGGATCTGATTCCTGCAGTAAACAGCAAAAACATACCTTTTCTAATGTCTAAAACTTGCCAATTTCTGGCCATGATGCCAAAAGTAAAATAGAACAAAAAAGCAGAAATCAACAAAGACTTAAATTTTAAATATATAATAAAAATTCACATGATGAAAGGACACATTTTAAATTAGGAAATTAAAAACAGGGCCAGGCACAGTGGCCCATGCCTGTAATCCCTGCACTTCAGGAGGCCAAGGTGAGACAGTCACCTGAGCCCAGGAATTTGAGGTCAGCCTGAGCAACATAGTGAGACTTCATCTCTATAAATAAAAATAAAAATAAATTAGCCAGGCGTGGTGACACATGCTTGTAGTCCTAGCTCTTCAAGGGGCTGAAGCAGATGGACTGCTTCAGCCCAAGAGTTCGAGCCTATAGTAAGCTATGATTGTGCCACTGCACCCCAGGCTGGGCCACAGACTAAGACCCTATCTCTTAGAAACAATGAAAAAGAAAATTAAAAAATATCCAAATGACTCAATGTAGTATTCACGGTGTAATGTGAATGTGTTCATTAAAAGATGTAAAAACACAGCAATGAATTCTAAGATTTTAGAAAACAAACCCAAAGGAAAACAGAACAAAATAATTTAAGGAAAAATACAAGGATCTATTCATTGGTAGTCCTGATAATTTAAGAACTGCTTCCTGGCCAGGCTCAGCAGCTTACATCTTGTAATCCCAGCACTTTGGGAGGCCCAATCTATATAAAAAATTTAAAAATTAGCCGGGCATGGTGGCACACGCCTGTAGTCCCAGCTACTCAGGAGGCTGAGGTAGGAAGATCCCTTCAACCTGGGAGGTCGAGGCTGCAGTGAGCCATGATTGTGCTACTGCACTCCAGCCTGGAGGACAGAGACCCTGTTTCAATTAAAAAACAAAAAACTGGTTCCTTGGGGTTGGGGGAACACCATACTCAGAAACTTAAATGAGTACCACTGATGAGGGGGACGTCTTTATCATTTCAGATTCCCTGAAAAAGCAGAGGCATTATGATGACATGTAGTTAACATTAAAAAAAATTTTTTTTTCAGATGATATAAATATTCAAACGAAAAAGGCTGTAACAAAAATAAGATACTTTTAACCACAGCTATATGTTGAGAAATTTAATTAAGGCAATGTTTTCACACCAAATTTTTAAGAAGAAAAATGTATTTACACATAAAGCTTACATTTCAAGAGGTAGAAAACTGAATCAACAGGATGAAATAGACAAAATTGTTTATCAACAATAGGAGTAACTATAGTTAATAACAGTGGCAAATTTCATTTGTTTTTTGTTTGTTTGCTTGTTTTAGAGACAGTTCACTGTTGCTCAGGGTGGTGTGCACTGGCGTGATCATAGTTCACTGCAGCCTCAAACTGCTGGGCTCAAGCAATCCTGCTGCCTGAGACTTCTAAAGTGCTGGGATTACAGGCATGAGCCACTGCGCCTGACCCTAAATCCAGATTTTTAAAGAACATAAAATTTAAAGCCCTGGGAGAATATGAAGATGAACATACTACCCAATTCATCTTTCAAGTCAAATATATTCTTGGTCACAAGTTTCTGTGAACCTAGAAACTGGAAACAAGAAACACAACACCCATACAACTTAATAAAATAAACAAGAAACTGGGGTAAAATGATGGTGTATAAAACCCCTCAGTGTACTAAGTAAATATATTCTAATGATCTAACATATCACAGTAATGGCTTAACAAAAACAAAGAGGATCCATTTCTACAGATATCAAAACAGCATCTGGTAAAATTACATTGCAAATAACATTAAAGGAAAACACTAATAGGATACTTATATAACTTATCCAAAAAATTTTAAAACCATTGTACACGATGTAGAAAAAAATAGTTAACAAAACAAGGTTATCTACTGTGTTCATTTTGTTTGAACTATTTTGTTATAAGGTTCTGGCCTGGGCATGGTGGCGCACATCTATAGTCCCAGCTATTCAGGAGACTGGCGGGAGGATCACTTGAGCCCAGAAGTTCAAGTCCAGCGTAGGCAACATAGGGAGATCCCCAACTCTTAAAAAAAAAAAAAAAAAAAAAAAAGTTCTGGCAAGTCTACTACAGAAAGAGGATGTAAGTATTAAAAGGGAAGGAACAAATGAAAAGGCAAGATATGGACTAGAAGAAACTATCTGTAATACACAGCTGACAAAGGATTTGTGTTCCAAATATATTAAGAAACTTTACAACTCAGTAACACAAAGCAATCCAATTTTCAAAAGAGACAAAAGACATACAGACACACAAAAGGAGCTATACCAATGGCCAATAGGCACATAAAAAGATGCTGAATATCATTAGTCGTCAAGGAAAAGCTATTTAAAACCACAATGAGATACCACAGCACAGCCATTAGATTGGCTAAAATACCCAGTATCGGTAAAGACCCAGAGTAACTGGAATTTCCATACCCAGTTGCTGGGAATGTAAAATGGTACAACCATTTTATAAGAAACCACCTGTTTCCCAAAGTTAAACATCCACTTACCATACGACCCAATAATCACAACTTGGTATTTATCCAAGCAATATGAAAATGTAAGTCCAAACAATGACTTGTACATCAATGTCTGGGGCAGCTTTATTCACAGTTAATGAACATTGGAAACAACCCAAATGTTCTATCAATAAGCAGACAAGTAAATTGTGGTATATCATACAATGAAATACTACCAAACAATAAAAAAGAACTAACTACTAGCCAGGCGTGGTGGCGTGTGCCTGTAGTCCCAGCTACTTGGGAGGCTGAGGCAGGAGGCCCACTTGAGCCTGGGGAGGTTGAGGCTGCAGTGAGCCATGATGGCACCACTGCACTCAAGCCTCAGCAACAGAATGAGACCTTGTCTCAAAAATAGTAATAATAATAATAAAATAAAGAACCATAGAAACAAGCAATATCATAGATGAATGTCAAAATCATCATGCCAAGCAAAAACATCCCAGACACAAAAAGAGTACATACTGTATATTTCTATTATATAAAGTCTAGAAACAGGCAAAACTGAACAATGGGAATAAAAAGTCAGAAGGGAGACAAGGGACCTTCTTGGAGAGATAGAAATGTCCTATATGTGCTTGTAATGATGGTTACACAAGGTGTGTAATTTTTCAAAACTCACATGACAGGCTTTTCCAAGTAAAGTAACAGATAATGGGCAAAGACATGAACAAATCATACAAGGAAAAAAAATGCAACAGTAAAAATAAGAATCAGAGTTCCCTGGAAACAATAACAATATAAACCAAAAAAAGTTTAAATATCATTTTATATCAATTAGCAAATTAATTTACAACTTTTTTCTTATAAAATAATTACACCATTGTAAAAACTTTATGAAAGTATAAAGAAAAAGATAACTCAACATTTGGGTCAATTTCTATTTCTTCCCATTGTTTTATCTATTATTTTAAAGATTAAAAAATAACACAAAAAGTATTTTTTCTTCAGGTAAATCATAGTATAAGCAACTTATGTCATCATATATATTTCTTAAATAATTTTTATAAGCTACACCGATCTGCTTTAAGTCCACTAGAAAAAAGAGTTATATTTAACCATTGGTCTATTTAAGACAATTCTAGTATATCACTATTATAAGTCATGTCATGATAAATATCACTGTAGATAGATATTTATGGTTCTTATCCCTGGAGGTGTATTTATCAAGTCAAAGGAAAAGGCGAGGCTATTGATAAATAACACTAAACTATACTCTAGAAAACTACACCAATTATATTCCCTTAAGCTTATAAACTCAAGTTTTAAAAATTCCTTTTCCTTATAAACATATTGCATGTTCAATAAAGAAAATCCAGACACAGAAAAGAAAAAAACAAAAATAATTAAAATCATCCATAATTCCACCATCTAAGGATGCCCACTCTTAGCTTGTGTCCTGTTTTCCTATGCATATATAATTAAATCTATGCTGTACTGTGAATTTCATTTTATAATCTGTTTTCATTTTATAATCTGTTTTCCCCACCCCCACCCTGCCCCTTTTTTTTTGGAGACAGGTCTCTGTCGCCCAGGCTGGAGTGCAGTGGCAGCGATCACAGCTCACTGCAACCTCGACTTCCCTAGGCTCAGGTGATCCTTTAACCTCTGTTTCCCAAGTAGCTGCAACCACGGGCACGTGCCAGCATGCCTGGCTAAATTTTTTAGAGACGGGTTTTCGCCATGTTGCCCAGGCTGGTCTTGAACCCCTGGACTCAAGCAATCCACCTCCCTCCACAAAGTGCTGGAATTACAGGCGTCAGCCATCTCACACAGCCCCGCCCTTACTTTTAATGAGCATTAGCTTACCAGTCTTTTAAAAGTAATTTTAATGACATGGACCATATTTAATCCATCTTCATTATTGACCACATAGGTGATTTCTAATTTTTTTAGATTAAGCAACAGTCAAATCATTGCACATATAGGAAATTACTTCATCAGAAAAAGTTACCTGGAAAATAACTACTGGGTCGAAATTTATGAAATTTAAGATTTAATTCAGCTTGTTGATTTCCAATCTCAATAGCAGCACGAGAGTGCCCATTTCCCATAACTTTACCTATAACAGGTAGTATTTTACTAACCTGTGTCAATTTGATAATTTAAAAATCGTTTATTGTTTTACTTTGTCCTGGTTTTTTTTTCCTATTCAGTGAGGGCTAACAATTTAAAATGTTTATTGATTTGTTTTTCAACTGCTCACCTTGCTGTCATTTTAAGATATGAGAATTATTTGTATCATCAGCAAATTTATTTTAAAAATGCAGTTCTTGTTGTTGATCATATCCATTAAGTTATATATATAATTCTGATATATCCATGTAACCTATTCAATTACTGATGGAGGGTAAAACTTTTTTGAAAAGCATCCATACATACACACACACACACACACACACACACACATAATGGATTAGTCTGTCTCCTACATCAAAGAAAATTATCTAGCTGGGACTCCCATCAAGTTCTTCCTTGTTTCTAAAAACTCTCCTGCATCCATAAACATAGCCATATAAATATCCTTCCCACCCTTCTAGCGAGTGTTAAAAAAAAAAAGTATATTATTCTGCCCATCTTTTATCCTTCAGTTAGAAATCAAATCTCCTCCAACCTTCTCAAAGGTCCTTGCCATCAACAACTGTCCCTCCTCCAACATCTTCCCTATTGTACTAGCTTTTTCCTCAGCATATAAACAAGACACCTTCTTTTTCTAAAAACACTCACATGCACCACTGCACTACCACCAACCTAGCCCCAACCTCTGCTCTTACCTTCCTTCTTTCTCCTCCATCAACATTTTTCTTGACTGCCCATCCAGCGGTCTGGCTTCTAGTCCCACACTGCTCTCTGTGTCCTGTTCATTGCTGAATCCAAACTTACAATTTTCACCATCAGATTATTTACCAATCTAAGACCTGTGACCCTGCTGAACACTCAAAGCCATTCCTGAAACTGTCTTCTCTTGGTTTCTGTAATACCTAACATGATTTGTGTCTCTAGTTCTCCAGTGGGTTCTGTTCAGTCATCTTGTTCCTTTTCTTCTTCCAGAGTCCCTTTTAATGGCAGGCTTCCAGAGTCCCACCTTGAGCCGGCAGACCTCCTTAACATGAATGATCCTCATCTACACCAACTAGCTTCAAAAATCCTTACTTTACATTCCCAAATCTACCTCTGCACCTAAATCTCTTACCTACACTTCTCTTCTGATTATAAAAAGGGATATATACCTTCATATGGCAGCCCCTGAAGCATCTCAAACTCAACAGGTTCAGAACTGAACTCATCATAAATTAAGATGAATGACAAAATGACTTGCAATTTGAATGAGGCATAAAAATATCAATCTATTTTTTGAGCTAGCAGAGAAGTAAAAATAGAAACAAAATCAAAACTTCAGAAGAAAACATCAATTACAACATTACTTAATAAACCAAAAAGCCCTTAAAATAACTTTTTCTTCTGAAAAGATAGAGTAGACATACTTTTCCCTATTTCTCCTGCTAAAAACTAAAAATCCTTGACAAACATAAGACTCTGAAAGTTTGAGGGAAGGCATATAGACCAACACTTTGGAATCCAAGAAACCAACACTGTGGTGAGTTTCCTGGGTTTTCTTTTTACAACATATATCCCAGAGTTGGAGTTGAAAAAGCCAGCAACATGGAAATGCCAACAGACACAGACAAAAAAAGTACTAACAAAAGAATGCTCTCTCTAGCTAAAGGACCAGAACAGGACGTCCCAGCAAGACAGAAAACTTTTAGATGACAGCTGCTCTACTCCCAACAGACACCAAAGAAAAAACCTCTGCCCACACCAGGGAAGGTCAAGTGGGGATCCTAGAATCCCACACTCAAAAGGCTGTAAAGGGGCACCCCAACACCCCACTGCAGTGGTGTCAGGGAAGACCAAGTGGGGAGCTAAGACTTTCATCCCAACTGGCCAGCATGAACCTCCTTCTCCCAGCAGTGTCAATGGACTTCCATCCCCACCAGGCAGTAATAAAGAGCGTCCCCACATTTTGGACTTAATGTAAGCTGAGTAGGGAATCTAGACACCTGCCTCACCTCACAGTAACAAGGCAGCACTTCCCTTTCTCCTGCCAGAGTGGTATCCAAAAAAGCCAGCTAACCCAGTCTAAAAAAATACAGAGCCACACAACAAAATATGAAAATGTGCAGATTTCAAAAGAAAAACCCAAGGAACAGGAAGATCCCAAACCAAATGACAAAAAGACAATCGACAGACACCAACATCGAGATAACAAAGATGTCAGAATTATCTGGCAAACATATTAAGGCAGTCTCCATAAAAATGTTTCAACAGCTTGAAACAAATGAAAAAAAAGTCTCAGCAAAGAAATGAAAGTCTCAGTAAAGACACAGAAGTACAAAGAAACAAATGGGAGCTTAAAACTAAAAAATACAATAATCAAAATAAAGAGCTCAGTGGATGGTCTTAACAGTAAAATGGAAGGGACAGAAGAATCAACAAACTAGAATGCACAACAGTAGAAACTACCAAATCTGAAAAACAGAAAACACACTGAAGAAAAGAAAGCAATGAACAGAGCCTCAATAGCCTTTGGGAATGTTACAAAAGATCTAACTTCCATGTTATCAGAGGATCACAATGAGAAGACAAGGAGAATAGAGCTGAAAAAGTACATGAAATAACAGCTGAAAACTTCCCAAATGTGGTAAGACATAAACCTACACATTCAAGAAGTTGAATAAACCCCAAAGAGGAAAAACCCAATGAAATCTACACCAAGACACATCATAATTAAACTTCTAAAAACAAAAGACAAAAAAATATTGAAAGCAGCCTAGGAAAAACATCTTACCTACAGGAGAAAAACAGCAGATTTCTCATCAGAAACCATGGGGATCAGAAGAAGTGGCACAGTATCTTTCAGGTGCTGATCAAAGAAAACTACAGTACCTTGCTTATCCCCAGTTTCACTTTCCTTGGTTTCAGTTACCCACAGTCAACCACAGTTCAAAAATATTAAATGGAAAATTTCAGAAATAAAGTTTCAAATTGTTTACCATTCTGAGTAGCCTGATGAAATCTCACACCATCTCACCCAGGACAATGAATCATCCCTTTGTCCAGAGTATCCACACTGTATATGCTACTCAACCGTTAGTCATCAACACTGACACTGTCTGCTCTGAACATTCAACTGTTGACATTATCATGCCTCAACAAGCCATATCATCATGCCTCAACGATCCAGGATCATCCAAAGCAGATGATTCTGACCATACATCAGAAGGTCAATAGTAACAATGCAACATCACAATGCCTACATCATTTACCTCACTGCTTCTCATCAAGTAGGCATTATCTCATATCATCATAAGAATATAGAACAAAAAGATATTTTGAGAAAGACCGCATTCAGATAACTTCTATTGTAGTATATGGTTGTAATTTTTCTATTTTATTAATAATCTAATCTCCTACTGTGCCTAATTTATAAATTAAACTTTATCGTAGGTATCTATCTCCTTATTGGAAAAACAGGATATGTAGGGTTCAATACTATCCACAGTTTCAGGCATCTGCGGGGGTTGAAATATATAGCCCTTGCAGGTAAGGGGGGACTACTGTATTAACTCAGAATCTTATGTACAGTAAATTTTTTAAAAATTGTTCTGGGATGAAGGAGAAATCAAGACCTTCTCAGATAAGGAAAACCAAAGAGAATGTATTGCCAGAAGGGCCACCCTAAAAGAATGGCTAAAGAAAGTTCCTTAAACAATAAAAGGAACCTTGAAACATCAGAAAGGAAAAAACATGGTTAGCAAAAATATGGACAAACTCCATAGCTTTCCTTCTCGAGTTTTCTATAGTATGCTTGACAGTTCAAAAAAAAAGTTAATACTGTAAAATGTATATAGTGAGAATATTTAAAAGTTATATTATAAACAGGAAAATAAAGGGACATAAAGGTTTCCATACTTTATTCAAACTGGCAAAATGACAGTATCAGTAGGTTGCAATAAATTATACATAAATAATGTAATACCTAGAGTACCCACATAAAAAGCTAAAATCCTATAAGGTAAGTACTATTATCATCCCCATTATATTGATGAGGAAATTAAGGCTCAGAGTTGCATAAGGACGCAGATACTAGTAAGTACAGGCTGAGTATCCCTTATCTGAAATACTTGGGACTAGAAGTGTTTCAGATCTGAAATTATTTTGGATTTTGGAATATCTGCATATACATGAGTTATCCTGGGGGATGGGACCCAAGTCTAAACATGAGATTTATTTATGTTTCTATACACTTTTTACACATATCTACAAGGTAGCTTGACACATATTTTTAATAATTCTGTTCATGAAACAAAGTTTGTGTACTTTGTTTCAAGGTCAAGAGCAAAACTGAGGTCAAGTTTTAAATTTTCCACTTGTGGCATCATATCATGACTCAAAAAGTTTCAGATTTTGGAGTATTCTGGATTTCAGATTTTTGAATTAGGAATGCACAACATGTAAAGATGAGACTCAATCCCGAAGTCAAATGGCTCCAAATCCTAATTTTTTTTAAACCACATTAAAAAGGGGTTTTGGGGATTTAAAGCTCAGAGTTACAGAAGGATACAGATACTACAAAACAGTGAATATGGGACTCAATCCCAAATTCTGATTTTTTTTTTCCACCACAATAGAAAGGGGTTCTTGGGATTTAAAACTTCAAAACATGATGGGGAAACGGTTTTTCACTAACCTCTGTTAAACCAAACTTATGTGACGCCATCTGTTTGGACTGAGCTTCTGTACTACGCCCAAAAGACCAAACCAAAATGAAGTTACCCATGCTGAATGAAGTTCCACACCACCACGCCATTTATCTGACCTTCTAGAAATCAGGAGAATGAGAGATGACAGCCAAATACCCAAACAGGCCAATTTTAGCTGGCACAATAAGGAAGTCCCATCTGCTTTAACCTTTACAAGGAAAATAACTTTAAAAATATCAGCTGGCCCGGGCTCAGTGGCCCACACCTGTAATCCCAGTACTTTGGGAAGCCGAGGTGGGAAAAATCACTTGAGGCCAGTTGTTCGAGACCAGCCTGGGCAACACAATGAGACTGTCTCTACCAAAAAAAAAAAAAAAAGGGGGGGGGGGGAAGAAAAAATCTATAATAAAAAAATAAAAAGACCGATCCATTTTTTGTTTTGTTTTTGCTTTCTTCAGCCCTTTTCTGTCTATAAAGCCAAACTGCTGTGCTCAGTTCATCAGAACAGTCATTCTATTTTATAAAATGAGATGTTGCCAGATTCTAGGATCAAAAAGCCAATTAGATCTTTCAATTAAATTTGTTGTAATTTTGTTTTCTGATACCTCCAACTGAAACTTAGCACTTCCTCTATAAAGCACTCTAGCAATACCTGCTGATTGTCAACAACAGACGTCAGATATTTTCATGTAATAGCTACTGCAGGTAAGTCAGAATAGCATTTACACTACTAAAGTTAAAAAGAAAGAAAGAAAATAGAAAGTTAAAGTTAAAAAAGAAAGTTATTAAAGTTAAAAAGAATTTTTTTAAAAAGTTAAATAATTTTGCTTCTAACATTTTGATATTTGAATTTAAATGTACTGGTTCCCCTTATAATCATATACATTTTATTTTATACATTTAAAAATAGTATTCTGGCTGGGAGCAGTGGCTCATGCCTGTAATCCCACCACCTTGGGAGGCTGAGGTGGGCAGATGGCTTGAGCTCAGGAGTTCGAGACCAGCCTGGGCAATATGGAGAGACCCCGTCCCTACTAAGAACACACACAAAAAAATAGCCGGGTGTGGTGGTGCAGGCCAGTGGTCCCAGCTATTCAGGAGGCTGAGGTGGGAGGTTTGCTTGAGCCAGGGTTTGGGGGTTGTGGGGGAGGTTGCAGTGAGCCGAGGTCGCGCCACTACACTCCAGCCTGGGAGACAGGGCAACAGAGTCTGTCCCTCTGTCTCCCAGGCTGGAGTGTAGTGGCGCGACCTCGGCTCACTGCAACCTTCGCCTCCAAGGTTCAAGCGATTTCTGCCTCAGCCTCCCAAGTAGCTGGGATTACAGGCGCACCCCACCATGCCCAGCTAATTTTTTGTATTTTTTTAAGCAGAAATGGGGTTTTGCCACATAGGCCAGGATGGTCCCAAACTCCTGACCTCAAGTGATCCAGCTGCCTCGGCCTCCCAAAGTGCTGGAATTACAGGAGTGAGCCACCGCACTCAGCCAAAAAAAAGTATTCTGAGAATCCCACAGGCTTTACCAAACTACCAAGAGCCCTTTACACAAAAAAGTTTAAGAATCCCTACATTAAGAACCATTTCCAATTTATTAAAAAGTCTTAACAGACCACAGCTTCTACTTGTCACTGGAATGAGAAGAATGGCTCTGCTAGAAGACACCGAAAGAAAAATACCTACAAAACTAAACCATGCTAGAAGCAAATGCTTTTTCAAGTTCTCAAAAATCAATACCGTAAGAGTTAGACCCTTAGTTCAGTAAAAATCTATCCACAATCATCAAAGGATCCCCAATTTACACCATGAGTTAATTCCTAGGTAATTCCCAAAAAGGATATAATCCAAACCTCTAAACTCAAGAACAAGAGCACTTTTTCCACCTTCCCCAACCTTCCACCTCTTACCTACCCCTACCCATTTCCTCTTGAACATTATAATCTGTAAATCTAAAGATGGAGAGTTCCTTTCTTGAGGAAATTAGCAACATTCAAATGTATATACTTTCACATTCTTGTTCCAAGAACACAGAATTCCTTTTCTCTCCCCCATCCCACCTCTCTCAAAGGCATAAGTACCCAAATCAGGCAAAGCCTTTAAGATGAACAATGACCACGGCATTTTTTCTAATCCCATGATGAAAATAAGATTCCTGTCATACGCAAAGCCACCAAAAGAGTGGCAGCACATTTTTTACATAAATAATCCTATCCCTCCCCCTGAAAATTCAACACTTGATGAAAATCTTCTCGGTCCAAAAGTAATCCATTTTCTAAAGGAATAAATTTCATGAGCAAAAAAAGTCAACAGCATAGCACAGAGCACAGGTCTAGTATGATACTCCAGGTTTTCTTTCAATCGGTAAACCTACCTCAAACTACATTATGTGGGCATTTGTTTTGTATACCTACAAATAGTGTTATGAATTCGGTGCTGAGAAAAGTTAAAGGCATTTCTGTATATAGGAAACTAAAGGCAAAATTAATCATCAGTTCCTGTAACTACCAAGACAAAAATTAGATACTGTGCTTTGGAGAAATCTTCAGAAACCATGTATAGTAATTCTTAAAGCAAATCATAACACACACATTCACGTACAAGTTTTATCCACAAATTGAAATATGAATTTCTTACTGTAATAAGAATGTACTCAAGTTTTATTTGTTGTTTGAGAAGGACCAAAAAAAAAATAAAAATAAAAATAGTTTCCTACTCTGAAGGAAAACCCCTGAAGAAAACACTTGTGTCTCGTCAAACAAGTCATGATACCTTTAACACCAAATTAACAGCTAAAAATTTCCATTTGACTACACAGTTAAGTCAGAGTACATTCTCTGTTCTTAATTAACTATAAAATACCTCAGAAAATGTTATGAAAAAATATAAATACGCATACTCACCTCCCGACTTAGGAAACAAAACATTTGTAATATGATTGAAGACTCTTGCATGCCTCCTCAATAATATTCCCCTCTCTCCTCCCCCAACACCAAGAGGTAATCAATATCCTGAATTTGGTATCTGTCATTCTCATGCATTTATACAACATTAGTAATCATATGATAGTATTCCTAAACTACGTTTTGGAGAGGACACCACTGCAAATCTTCAGCTCTATACTAGCTTTTATCAGTAGCCATCAATTGCAGTTTTAATAGAAATACAAATACATCAAGTGTGCTTTTGGGTGAAACCTCACCCTTCCCTCTCCTCCTACCCCACTGCTCCTCCCAGATTCAAATTGTTAACACAGTCACATGACCAAGAACTTCAGAAAGAGTATCTATCACTCTTTTCAGCTCCCCTCTAGTAAGTGTTGGCACTTTTATTCCAACTTAACGTTAATAGTTCTGTAGTGAGAAGAGGATCATATTTAGAAATACAAAAACCAACTTAAATCCCAGCTTCGCTTTTTACTTGCTACAGGACCTTGGGCAAATCCCTTCTTCCCAAGCCTGCATTTCCTCATCTGTAGGATGGAAATAATGACCATGACGATGCCATGCTGCCTTCCAATCATAAAGGGTTGTAACTGGTAGAAAATGAAATAGTCATAATTACTTCAATGTATTTTTCATAGGTACCTGCTCCTAATTAAAAAACAAAACTTGAAACCCTTAGTAATATAATTCAGTTACCGCATTGTATAGGAAAATGAAGTCCAACCAACCAACCAGCTTATCAAAAATACAAACCAAAGTTCATCAATACAGGTTCTATACAAGCTATAGAACATGATATTATACCTTTTCATTTCATAATTCTATTGAAATTAATGCAAACTCAAGGTTAATATTAAGAAAATAGAAGATGCCTAGTTTCATTATCTAGATACTAGCTACTTATTTGGGGGACATAATTAATGTATGGTGCCTTTTTCAATGTTAATCACTTAACTTGTCTCATATACATATTTCACAACTGCAACTTTAATTTTCAAAGAATTAAAAATATGACAAGGCTGAAATCTATGTCACATAATTCATTTTGGCACTACTCTAAGTAAACAGCTATTGATAGGAGTAAAAACGAAGAAAAGTCACTAATTACTAGATCCATTTTAAGTAATAATGTATAGAATATTACAAGAGGTTCTGTTTTTAAAAGAAAAGGAATGTGGGGTATTTTGTGACAGGCCAGTAAGACAGCTGGAACAAAGCTGTTTGAGCAACAGCTGTGCACCATGTACTGTTCATCTAAAACCACAAACTAAAGTAACTCATGTCAGACAACTTCATTGGATAATCAGCTCAGCCAATGGCTTCTTTCTGAAACTCTCACTACAAAGAAATAGACACTAAATATATACTTTGCAATGATTTGAGGAAGGAGACAAAATAAACAATTGTCTCTAAATATAAAATTAAAAACTAAAAATTACAGACTAATAGTGAAACAGAAGACAAAGTTTTCCATACTATTTTCACACCTCTTAGGCTTCATAATAGTAAGGAAATAACCCAAAGACTCAAAACTTAAATTTGAATTACTAATATGCAACCTCACCATTCCTACTCCATTCTTAATTAACTTTCAAATGAATCAAAGTGCTTCGTCATAAAACATCTTCGCAGTGGTTATCAGAAATTTTTCACATTAAGTCACTTGATAATTTTAAAGTAGTTCCCTGTAGGCCAGGCGTGGTGGCTCACGCCTGTAATCCCATCACTTTGGGAGGCCAAGGCACGCAGGCAGATCGCTTGAGCTCAGCCTGAGTTTGACAACAGCCTGGGCAGCACGGCGAAACCCCGTCTCTACCAAAAAAAATACAAAAATTAGCGGGGCATGATGGTGCACGCCTGTAGTCCCAGCTACTTCCGGGGCTGAGGTGGAAGGATCGCCTCTACCCGGCAGAAGGAGGTAGCAGTGAGCCGAGATCGCGCCAATGCACTCCAGCCTGGGTGACAGAGTGAGACCCTGTCTCAAAAATAAATAAAATAAAATAAAATAAAACAAAAATAAAGTAGTCCCCTGTAATCCCAGCACTTCGGGAGGCCAAGGTGGGCAGATCACTTGAGTCCAGGAGTTCGAGAGCAGCCTGGGCAACAAGGCGAAACCCCCATCTTTACAAAAAAATACAAAAATCAGCCGGGCATGGTGGCGCACGCCTGTACTCCCAGTTACTGGAGAGGCTGAGGTAGAAGAATCACTTAAGCCGGGGACATCAAGGCTGCAGTGAGCCATGATTGTGCCATTGCACTCAAGCCTGGGAGACCCTGTCTCAAACAAAATAATTTAAAAAAAAAATTTTAAGTAGTTCACTTAAACCAACTTGTTGGCATGGAAATTCCATGCCATTATCTGAAAATAATAATTCATGTAGTACTCAAGCTACTACAATCATTAATTTAAACATCTGCAACTCGTCATTAAATTATCAGACTTAACTTTTGTTTCACATTTCCACTTTTTTATTCCAAAAACCCACAAACCTCTCTCTAACCTTAAATTCACTCCTTCCTCAAGTAAAATGTATGCCTCTGTGTACCTGCACACAAGCCTACTTGCATGGGGCAAATTTCCCTTAGTTGACACACCTTAATTTTAGAGGCAAAAAGGACAAAATTACAAATTTAATAGCCACATATCTTTTCCATGTGATTTCTGAAACTTAAACATTAAATCTACCACAAATCTTCCTCTGCAGTTTGACTTGACTACCTGCTTAGCTTTCCTTTCAGCTCGCATCTTTTGACTACTGAAACGTCAACCACATCGTCATTAACCAAAAACAGGCATTAAGAGAAAATTCATCAGGAAATAAAACAAAAGTTACAACTTTTAAGACCTTACTCTCAGACTGTTGTATACTTCCCAAGTCAGAATTGCCAGACAGAAATTAAGAAAGGACTATCTTCTCCAAAGACTATTTTGGCTAAAACCGAATGCTACGGATCAACTTCTAAAACTCAAGATTCAACGTGTATATGCCACACATGATTTCTGAAATCCAAAATGATAGCCAGCTCTTTCTCTTCTTCAGTAACTAGATGCTATGGAACCATAATAGATACAACTCATCTTTCCAAAAGCCTCTTTTTTCCACTATTTATTTCCTGTGCCCTACTCAAGACTTTATTTTTTTTTTTTTTTTTTTTGAGACAGTCTCACTCTGTCACCCAGACTGGAGTGCAGTGGTGTGATCTCAGCTCACTGCAACCTCCACTCCTGGGTTCAAGAGATTCTTCTGCCTTAGCTTCTCAAGTAGCTGGGATTATTGGCGCGTGTCACTATGCCCAGCTAATTTTGTATTTTTAGTAGAGACGAGGTTTCACCATGTCAGCCAGGCTGGTCTGGAACTCCTGACCTCAAGTGATCTGCCCTACTCAGCCTCCCAAAGTGCTGGGATTACAGGAGTGAGCCACCGCACCTGGCCTCCACTCAAAACTTGATACTAGCAAATAGCAACAAATATTTTGTTGTGCTTAGTTCTGTGTAACAAAGGTATTCCTAGTCTACGATTCTGAAAATGCAAATATGAATAAAATGTACAAATATAACTAAGAGACATAGATACAGACAAAGCACACCAAATATATAAAGTCCTCTACTAAAATACTTATAGTCTAGTGCTTACAGGGTTTAAGATAATGTCAAGGTGAACCAGACACAGATCGTTGTTCAAGGTCTGAGCTACAGAAGAACAAAAGAAGGAAAAAGGGATCGTTTTCTAATCCATAACCTTCTTTTAAGAATACACACACTCTTCCACTTGCCTCACTGCAGAAAGCTGTGGTATGAAGGATTTAAAAACTTGAAAACTATCCCTTTTAAACATCTCTAATTCTACAAAAGTATACCTCTCAGCCAAAAGCCCATATTTGGAGATTAAGATTTAGAGGGTGTAGTAAAATTTTGTATTTGTTGAAATTCTGCTACTGATAATCTCCAAGAAACTGAAGCTCTCCAACGTCAACTTGCTGTTTAGCACCAAAACAAAGCAGAAATCTCAGTACCCCAAGGCAATTCTGAGAGATGACCAGCTCTTAACTTCCTAAACCAAAAATAGCTATGAGCAACTCTTCATGAATAAACAAGAAAAACAAATATATTCTTCCACACAAAGAAAAATCACTTCCCTGTAAGTTGTTTCATTAAATAGTATCAAGCTTTACAAAAATACCAGTTTTGTGGCCTTCTGAAAAGACAAGAGAACATTACCGTTGTTTAATATCAGACCGAGAAATCAAGGGCACTAAATATGTTTTGGAGACAGTAATTATGTGTGACATCCAGAAAATTTCATCAAGGATGGAGAAGACAAATTTGATAAATCTTCCTAGAATAGAGAGGATCTTATCCTTTTCATTAGCTAACTTAAAACAATGTACTATAAAGTTACAGAAAATCAATGTGTAAATAATAGGTACTTAAGAAGATAACTGAAAAAAATGAATACAAAAATGGAGAAGTCTTCCCAGACCTGAGAGTGTTTCATCATTTCCCTGAGAATACTAGTGACAGAGAAAAACTTCTAGTCATATCCTGATAAATGTGTCCATTTCCAATGATAAGAGAATGCTGCAAGCATACACCTAGTGAAGTTATTTCTACAGAAACTTGAGGCCAGACAAAGATAACAAATAAAGCAGGACCTCTACTGTTATAACACAAAAATGTTGGGACCCAATAATTTTATACCCAGCCAAATCATCATTTATCATGCAAAAGTAAATTTAATCTTAGATATGTTTTCAGTAAAAAGTACTTGGAAATGTTCTTTAAATCACAATTCAAAATAAAAAGTAGCTGTAAAGCATAGTAACTATAGTTAATAACAATATATTGTACTCTTGTAAAAAGCTGAGTGGATGTTACATGTTCTCACCACAAAAATGACAACTATGTGACATAGTACGTATGTTAGCTATATTTAGTCATTCCACAATGTATATATACTTCAAAACACCCTGTTGTACATAATAAATACATACAATTTTATCTGTCAATTTAAAAATAAAAAGGCCAGGCACAGTGGTTCACGCCTATAATACCAGCCCTGTGGGAGGCCAAGGTGGGAGGATTGCTTGAGGCCAGGAGTTTAAGACTAGCTTGGGCAACAAAATGAGACCCCATCTCTAAAAAATAAAAATAAAAAAGTTAGACGGGCATGGTGGCATATGCCTGTAGTCCTAGCTACTCAGAGGGCTAAGACAGGAGGAGGGTTACTAAAGCCTAGGAGTTTCAATGTTGCAGTAAGCTATGATCATGCCACTGCACTCCCGCTTGGACAACAGAGCAAGACCCTGTCTCTAAATAAAGACAATTTTAAAAATAATTAATTAAAACTAGCTGTTCATGAGGATTGTTTGTAAACACTAAAACCAGGTAGAATGATAGAAATGGCAAATAAAAGCAATAACCCTTAATGACAAACGGATTAATGCCAATGGGTATTAACTATTGTAATTGTAATAACAAAACAGAATGCAGAAGATTTTTGAAATCTTTTAAAAATACTGAATCTGACACAATTTTGGTTGTTGTAAATAAGGACAAAAAATGTACGAAAGGAGTGGGTAGAAACAGGGTTAACAAAAGTGCTTAATTCTCATTTTCTGTAACTGGGAATAAGACACTATTTTCTGATTCCCTAATTATGTATGTTTAAAAATATAAATCATTTTATACAGGGACAGATGGCTCACACCTGTAATCCCAGCGCTTTGGGAGGCCAAGACAGGAGGATCACTTGAGGCCAGAAGTTCAAGACCAGCCTGGGCAACATAGCGAGACCTCGTCGCTACAAAAAATCAAAAACTTAGGTACAGTGGCTCACACCTGTAGTGCCCGCGCTTTGGCAGGCAGAGGCAGGAAGATCATTTCAGCCCAGGAGTTCCGAGGGTGCAGTGACCTGTCATCACACCACTACACTACAGCCTGACCTGGGCACCAGAGCAAGACCCTGTCTTTAAAATTTTTAAAAGAATATAAATAATTTTTAAGATAAATTCCAGTAGAAAAAAAAAAATCTACTTTCCAAAAACCACCACAGAACACAGAAAAAAACAAAAACAGTTGTACAGCAAAAGACACACTTGGTGCAAAGGGAGGAAGTTATTATGCTAAATAAAGATTAGAGTTTATGGACAAAACCTTACTGGCCTAACCTAAATTTATCAACCTTTCCCTCCCAAGACATCTGGCTACAAAATTAAGAAGATATATTTTTTAAACAGAAAAAAACCTGGTCCCCTTTATGCTCTGCTTGGTTCCTTTAGGCTTAATTTCATTCAATGCCTCGCTGAACAAATTATAAAGACAAGATCTCATTAGCATAACAAAGTAAAACAAACTCTGCTCATTATTATTATGTAGAGTAACATCAAAGATGTTGACTTTCATCACATGGGCAAGTTGGTGTCAGATTTCCCCCTGTAAAGTTGTTATTTTCCCCCTGTAAAATTAACAATAACTTATGAGAACATACTTTGAGACTATATTAACATCTACTACTCTCAAACTTTCACATACTAGTTTTAACATCCATTTTTACCCACTTAGTTTTAAGATCCATTTATGGTTCTTACTTAAATCAACTGTTATAATTGCCAAAAGGCAACTTACTAATTCCACCTTTTCCTTTATGTTCATTCATTAGTCAGAATTCTACATTAAGGACTTCTAGATCATTTATTTATCATAGATCCTTACTCTATTTATGGGTAATAAACAAGTACTGCCTTATTTATTTCAATGATTAAATTGCCCTATAGTCAGTCAATGGGAGTTTTGCCAGGCTGGCTCCTGTGTCTCTTTCAAATATCCCCATCATTTTACCTTTTTGAGCACTCCCTTATGAGACTACAAGATGCTCCAAGCATATTTTGTATTTTTTCCTTCCCCTATTCTGGAATCCTCCATTTCTCTAAGGTTCCTTCCAGTAGAGAATAGTATTAATGGTATTTAGAAACCAAGATCTAGTGCTAGGTGATCTCATTGCTAAAGGGGTATCACTGCTTCCTGGCCATCTTAGCAGACAGAAGTGGAAAAAGATGTACAGATGTACGCATGTGTATCCATAATGAGATCTATTTCTATATCTACATACTTCTTTTTTTGTTTCTTGTTTTTGAGATAGAGTCTCGCTCTGTTGCCCAGGCTGGAGTGCAGTGGCGCGATCTCGGCTCACTGCAAGCTCCGCCTCCCAGGTTCACGCCATTCTCCTGCCTCAGCCTCCCAAGTAGCTGGGACTATAGGCACCCGCGACCACGCCCGGCTAATTTTTTGTATTCATTTTTTATTTTTATTATTTTTTTTAGAGACAGAGTCTTGCTCTGTCACCCAAGCTGGACTGCAGTGGCGCGACTTGGCTCACTGCAACCTCCACCTCCCAGGTTCACACCATTCTCCTGCCTCAGCCTTCTGAGTAGCTAGGACTATAGGCACCCGCCACCACACCCGGCTAATTTTTTTTTTTTTTTTGTATTTTTAGTAAAGAGGGGGGTTTCACTGTGTTAGCCAGGATGGTCTCGATCTGCTGACCTCGTGATACACCCGCCTCAGCCTCCCAAAGTGCTGGGATTACAGGTGTCAGCCACCACACCCGGCCTATATCTACATACTTCTAAAACTATGAATTTATGCCACTATCTGCAATTCCAATCAAACATCAGAGTTCATTTTAACCTTCACATTTTTCACCTTTGTAACTCCCTTCTCCAACAGTGAGAAACTGGCTCCCATTTTCCACAATATATTTACTTATTTGCTTATAACAGTATAGACAATTGCTTCAAAATTGCAAACCCATGCCTTTATGACAACAACAAAAACCAAAAATTCTAGTTAACTCTATTAACTAGAGTTCAATGTTTCTTTCAATCTTTTTGTCTTTATCCTGAGGACAGAGTTCAAATACTAGGATCAAAAGTTACCTAAATTAGTTGTTTTTCACTCCTTCAGTGTAGTTAAGTTACTCATTTGAAATACGGTTCAGTTCATTTGTTTCTATTTGTACTCCCTGTTAAGGTGTTTTTATTTGTCATCAGTTGATTTGGTTGGTGTGTTTGCTGCTTATATACTCAGTATGTGAAACATTAACATGGTTTCAAAAGTCAGAAAGGTATCCTCAGAAGGGTCCCTGCCCCCATTCCCTCTATCCTTTCCACCATATACCTTTTTACCCATCCTCTAGGAAATCAATCTTATCAACCTCCAATTTATCTTTGTGTTTTGTTTTTGCCCCAATGAACAAATACATACGTATTTTCTTATTTCTCCTTCTTTCTTACACAAAAGGTAGTATACACACAGTAGTAGATACTTTTGCACTTTTTTTTCACTGACTGTAAGTTTGGTTTGTGCGATTCCTCCAAATCTCATATTGAAATCTGATCCCCAAAGTTGGAGGTGGGGCTTAATGGGAGGTGTTTGGGTCATGGGGATGAATCCCTCATGAATAGATTAATGCCCTCCCTGGGACTGGGGTGTGAGTGAGCTCTTACTTATTAGTTCCACCACAGCAGGTTGTTAAAAAGAGCCTGGCGCCTCCCCCACTGGCTTGCTTCCTCTCACCATGTGATCTCTGCACATGCCACTCCCCTTCATCTTCTGTCATGAATGGAAGCTTCCTTACACCCTCACCAGAAGCAGATGCTAGTACTGTGCTTCTTGTACAGCCTGCAAAAACTCTAAGCCAACAAAACCTCTTTTCTTTATAAATTACCCAGCCTCAGGTATTCCTTTAGGGCAGGGGTGTCCAATCTTTCGATTTCCCTGAGCCACACTGGAAGAACTGTCTTGGGCCACACATAAAATACGCTAAACTAACGATAGCTGACGAGGTTAAAAAAAAAATTGCAAAAAAAAAATCTCATGTTTTAAGAAATTTTATGAATTTGTCTTGGGCCACATTCAAAGGTGTCCTGAGCCGCATGCCACTCGCAGGCTGAGTGTTGGACAAGCTTGTTTGAAAGCAAGACAAACCAAGACAAGTGAACAACATATCCAAGAAAGCACTCCATATCAGTTAATCATGCCCTCAGTCTTTTTCACAGGTGCATAATGCTCCATTGGATATTCCTACCACGTAGACTGCTTGTTAATTTTTGTAATTAAGAAATGCTGCAACCTTGTACATGTGTATTTTCATACTGTGGGAAGTGCATCTTCTGGGTAAATTCTGAGATTTGGGACTGCTGAGTCAAAAGGCATGTATGTGGTCAAATAAACACATCTTATGTTGCCTAATAACACATAATTTCTGTATTATTTCTGCCCCCCAAAAAATGCATAACCTGAATCTAATCATGAAGAAACATCAGCCAAACCCAAACTGAGGGGACTCTATAAGTAACTAATTTGTACTCTTTAAAAATATCAATGTCATAAAACACAGAGACTAAAGAACTGTTCCAAAGTAAGACATGGAAATAATGAATTGGATAATCTGAGATTTTCTTTTGCTATAAAAGGCGTAACTGGAACAACTGGCAAATTTCAAACAAATTCTACACATCAGGTAATAGTATAATAACAAATCAATGTTAATTTCTGAGTTAGGTTAGTATATTTTATTCATGAAAGCAAATGCAGCCAGGCACAGTGGCTCACACCTGTAATCCTAGCATTTTGGGAGGCCAAGGCAGGTGGATCACATAAGGTCAGGAGTTCAAGAATAGCCTGGCCAACACGGTGAAACTCCGTCTCTACTAAAAATACAAAAATTAGTAGCCGGGCATGGTGGCAAGCGCCTGTAATCCCAGCTACTCGGGAGGCTGAGGCAGGAGAATGGCTTGAGCCCGGGAGGTGGAGGTTGCAGTGAGCCAAGATCGCACCACTGAACTCCAGCCTGGGCAACAAAAGTGAAACTCCATCTCAAAAAAAAAAAAAAATTAGCCAGGTGTGGTGGTGGGCGCCTGTAATCTCAGCTACTCGGGAGGCTGAGGCAGGAGAATGCCTTGAACCCAGGAGGCGGAGGTTGCAATGAGCCGAGATTGTGCCACTGCACTCCAGCCTGGGTGACAGAGTGAGACTCCGTCTCAAAAAAAAAAAAAAAAAAGAAGACAGCAAATGCCCTGGTTTTTCGGAAATACACAAAGAGATATTTAAGGATAAGGGTGGCATCATGTCTTCAACTTACATTCAAATGATTTTAAAAACCATATATTGCAGGGAATAAGCAAATATAGTAAAATGTTACCATTTGGGAAATCTGGTTAAAGTCAAAAAAGAAAGCAACATCGGATGTCTTTTTAACACTTATATTCTTATTTCTACTGCTGAATTTTACTTACATGGATAAAGAGCTTTCTCCCAGAAAAAAGAATCATTGTATAAGGTGACAGTAAGTTAAAGACGGCAATATTAAACTGTTAGTATATACCGACAATAAACTGACTGCATTTTTAATTAAACTATAAGTTAAAGCTGTTCAGTGCTATGCAACAAATAATCACATGGCCTTTATAAAACACTAAAAATAAAATATAATTTATAAGACATCAAGGAGCTCAGTCCAATTATTCTCAAGTACAATTTAAGACAATTTATATTTCTTTGCATCTTTGAAACACATTTTTCTTTGCAAAAGAAATAAATCTAAGGCCTACCAACTACAAGTTTAAGTTTCAATCTCAAACAGACTCAGCAGCTCTGCCCAAAGTAATTCAAGATCAAGGCCTTTCAACAAAATTCATGACTATTAACTCCATACTGTCTACACGCAAAGTGAAAATCCTTTACTCATTATCACTTTTCATTAAGGAAGGCACGGTGGAATTAATATCCTAAAGACCATTTTCCCCAACCAGAAAAAAAGGCGTGTCAAGTGGCATCACAAAATCTGTTTCAATTTTAAAGACCAACTTTAATTTGAAAAAGAAACTTTTAAAATATATATATATAGAGAGAGAGAGAGAGAGAGAGAGGGAGAGAGAGAGAGAGAGACATTTTTTTTTTTTGAGATATAGTCTTGCTGTGTTGCCCAGGCTGGAGTGCAGTGGCATGATCTCCGCCCACTACAACCCTCCGACTCCCAGGTTCAAGCAGTTCTCCTGCCTCAGCTCCTGAGTAGTAGCTGGGATTGCAGGCGCCCGCCACCACACCCAGCTAATTTTTGTATTTTTAGTAGAGACAGGGTTTCACCATGTTGGCCACGCTGGTCTCAAACTCCTGACTTCAAGTGATCCGCCCGCCTCAGCCTCTCAAAGTGCTGGGATTACAGGCATGAGCCACCGTGCCCAGCTAAAATTTTTTTTAATAGCTTTAAGAAAGTCTCTTCCCACTCTACTCCCCCAATTTAAAGTTATCAATTTATTTTCCTAACTGAATGGAGCAGACTATTTTTATTCAAAGCTTAGGAAAGACCATGATATTTCAGCAATCAGATGAATTAAAATCCCATCCCGGTAAGCAGTAGCCTGTTATCTACCAAGGGAAAGCAGTATTCTTGACCTACTCAACAAAAGTGCTCCCACTCGGCCAGGCATGGTGCAGGCCCAGGCGGGTGGATCACCTGAGGTCAGGAGTTCATGACCACCCTGGCCAACATGGTGAAACTCCACCTCTACTAAAAATACAAAATTAGCTGAGTGTTGTGGCACATGCCTGTCTATAATCCCAGCTACTTGGGAGGCTGAGGCTGGAGAATCGCTTGAACCTAGGATGTGGAGGCTGCAGATAGCCAAGATCACGCCATTGCACCACTGCACTCTAGCCTGAACAAGAGCGAAACTTCGTCTCAAAAAAAAAAAAAAAGTGTCCCCACTCAATTCCTACAACTTCCTTATCCCAAAACAGGGGTACGCATGCACACAAACACACACACACAGAGACAGACACAAAGAGAAAGAGAATGAACAAAACAAGAATAAGACGTAAGTTAAGAAACTGCAGGTTAAAATTTCCTTCTTCTCCAAAGGCAGTCATCCTCTATAAGAAAATGTTCTTCCTTGGGTGTACAGAAATTTTATCTAGGAATTGCCTGCAGGACCATTTCAACTGTTCCCCAAACAAGAAAACCTTTAGTATGGTACCACTTTGGGGGCAGGTGTCTTATTTCTCAATGCTAACAATTCATTTGTACATTAATGTTAAAAAAGTTTAAACACTAAAAATGTCTAGTTTCAAAATAATAGATAAAAGTTAACAGTTTAAGTAGTTTCTAATTGCAGGAAAAATCTTCGAGATGTAGCAATGGAACAGCAAATTGGGAATTTAAACTCACAACCTTCACATGTGGATCAATTAACTATTAACACAAATCTCCTGAAATCTCTTCTCGGCTCTCTGCCCCAGGAAAAAGCAATGAAAAAGTACTCAGCAAAAGACAAACTTTTAAAAAGCAATGCTGGGTCCAGACTAACAGGTCATAGGACTGACTGAAATTCAAGACGTGAGAAATCAGCTAACCCCTACCTACCTCAAAATCTGGCAAATTGTTGAATAAAAAGTTAATATGCTAAAAAAAATATATAAACCTCCCTGTAAATTTTTAAAACATATATGGCCTTTTCTCAGAGTTACCAGATAAAGCACTAACCCCAAAATTAAATGCTTACCTCATTATTTCTTAAAATTAAATCCAAACTGACAAAAAGAAATTTCTCCAACTCAAAACGGAATCCACATTCATCACCTGAATACCACACAGAAGTAAGGAGGGGAGTATAGGGTTGAGCCAGGAAGGAGAGGGCAATGAAGACTTAAAGTAATAGACCAGATTATGTGTCAAAGAAAAATGAAAAAATTACAAATTTTGTTTTGGAGGAACACCAAGATACAGAACTAACAGCAGCAAATAAAACCAAGTAACAATTTCTTTTTTTTTTTTTTTTTTTTTGAGACAAGAGTCTCACTCTGCTGCCCAGGCTGGAGTGCAGTGGCGCAACCTTGACTCACTGCGACCTCCACCTCCCAGGTTCAAGTGATTCTCTTGACTCAGCCTCCCGAGTAACTGGGATTACAAGCACGCACCAACACGCCCGGCTAATTTTTGTATTTTTAGTAGAGGTGGGGTTTCACCATGTTGGCCAGACTGGTCTCAAACTCCTGACCTCAAGTGATCCACCCACCTTGGCCTCCCAAAATGCTGGGATTACAGGTGTGAGCCACCACGCCCAGCCAACAATTCTTATTTGCTTACTCTGTAGATGGCACGGTGCTGGATGATTTACCTGCATTATTTTATTTACTCCAAAAACCCTAAGGGTACTATTATTTAATGTTATTCTCCCTTCTCAAATGGTGAAACTTGGGTTTAGAGAACCTAAGAAACTTGACTAAACACACAGCTAGTTAAATGAATAAAAAAAAAAAAACACTCCTAGAATTTCAAAAGTGCAGAAATTTGTTCAACCAAACCCAACATTTCATGGGGAAGAAAGAGAAGCTCAGTCGAGATAAAGGCAGATTAAGAAACTACTCAAAGTCACCTGGGTAGAGAGACATAGACCCCACACACCCAGCAGTCTCTCCTAACCACTCTGTACCATCCTGAAGTCATTTCCTACCTAGAGTTTACTTAACATTTAGGTGTTCTACCTACCAACAGAACTTTACACATTTTTCAAAGAAATATGAGCAACAGAAAGGAGGAGGTAATGTACACACACATATTCATTAAATAACATAATACTTTACATTTTATCATGGCTACTTTATGATTTGTTATATTTATTTTTAAAAAGGAAAAGGTATCTCAATTTAATTATCTTAGTTCCCTAATTTTGCAACTCTTCATATGAACAGAAGGTAACAACTAAATCTAAGTCAAAGAAAGTTAGGGTAAAAGGCATTGTTTTTAAATTCTCCGTTCCCAATTTTATATTTTTTTCTGCTCAAAATCACATAGTAGAAAATATATATACTGAAAATTGTAAAAACAGTCTGGTGTTTCAGGAGTCTTAAAAAAGTAAGTCCAATTTGTGCCATTCTAATCTCCTACCAAGAGAACTGACTTCTGCTTATTAAAATGATTAGTCTGCTGTGTTCTCTCCCTCCAGTTACTACTGCTAAACAATCATGGTGGAATGAATTTTAACATTCCAGGAGTCAGGCAATGAATAGCTACCCTATTAAGTGTAAATATAAAAAAATCGCTTTAGCTCCATAATCTAAAATTAATATAAAAATGTATGCAGCTTTACTACAGACTGTACTAGACACTGTTCTAAGCCCTTGACATGTTAACTCATTTAATTTCACAGCTATATGTGGTCCACCATATTTCCCCAGTTTACAGATGGGGAAAACTAAGGTACAGAGAAGTTAAGTAACCTGCCTAAAATTACACATGCAGCAAGTGGTAGAGCTGAGACTGCATCCAGGTGGTCGGGTTCCTGTCTCTCCAAAAAGGCTCCTTTTTGCAGAGACCAGATCACAGGTCCCAAATCAACTATCAATCCCACTTCCCCACTTGCCACCTCCTCTCTCCAAACTAGCATATGACTCCCACATATGACATTTCCATTCTCCCCACCACCAAGCCTACATAATGCTTTCATCAATTTTTTCCACAGACTTCTCTGAGTCTGAATTCCCTTTGCATTTAAACATGTTACAGAACTGTAGGCATAAACACTGATAACACCTACCATTACTGAGCACATACAACATGCTGGATACAATGCTACCATCTTTGTCATAAAAGTTATAAAGAATGTGTAATCAGACCCATTTTACTGGCGAGAAAACTGAGGCTCAGAGAGGCTGAGTATTTTGGCCATGTTCTCACAGCCGATAAATGACAGAGCTTTAAAAGACACACATGCTCAAGTCTGTAAGACTCAAGGTTCATACTCTTTATGTACACATATGTCTTCCTCATACATACCTGCTTCCTTTACTTCTTTAATATCATCTAGAGCATCCAGGTACTATACTATTCACAGTGGAGGTATTTCTTCAACAAATGATTCTATAAATTATTAGGAAAACGGCAATTAATGCTTTTTTTTTTTTTTTTTTGAGGCAGAGTCTCGCTCTGTTGCCCAGGCACAATCTCGGCTCACTACAATCTCCGCCTCCCGGGTTCAAGCGATTCTACTGCCTCAGCCTCCAGAGTAGCTGGGACTACAGGCGCGCGCCACCATGCCCGGCTAATTTTTGTATTTTTAGTAGAGACGGGGTTTCACTATATTGGCCAGGCTGGTCTGGAACTCCTGACCTCGTGATTCACCCGCCTCGGCCTCCCAAAGTGCTGGGATTACAGGTGTGAGCCACGACGCCAGGCCCAATTACCGCTTTCTTAATGGTTTAATACCATTACTTCCCCAAAACAAAAAGGCCCAACACCTTAATTAATTAACATGGGCTCAAATAATTCAGATGGCCCCTTCCTCAAAAAAACGTAAATATTTGTGGTTCAAATCTTTTAAATAACACTACCAATATTGTAACCCAAGATTATTCTCCCACTCCTAGACTTCTCCTCCACTTATCCCCTCACCCCCACCCTCCCTCAGCCATCAGACTAGTCCCCAAAGGGTTAGCTATAAATTGTTTTGCTTTGCCATTAGATACGTACAATCTCTCTGCGCCCTAGGGAAATAGCAACCTGACAGCATCCCTGATTCTGTAGCCTGCTAAACTTAAACCAATCTCACCCCTTACTCAGTGATTTTTTTAACCCACTAATAAGCATACTGTAAATGCTCATTACATAAAACATCCTTTCTTCCTGGATTCAAAGGTTTTAGCAGCAGTAATCCAGGGAATATTATAGCAGCAATTATTGCTCATTTACTCAATGTGAAAGGTGACAATCACATTTGTTACAGTACTCAATATTTTAATGTCACTATAAACACTAAGTGAAATAAGCTATTCAGGTATCCCAATTAATGACAAATGGGTGAAAAGGAAACCAGACAAAAATATTTCACCGTTCATACTCTAGATACTGTGAAAAATATCCTTGTTTCCTGTTATAACAGGGTACCTTCGTTCTCTCCCAGCATATGCCACACCTTTTAGGTTGACAAAAGCAGAAAGACATCGGGGCTTTGTGTTTTAAAAATCCCAAAAAAGACTACTCAAACCTCTCCCCAAGAGCAAATTCTAAGAAGGAAGAATACCACCTCCCTTTTCTTTACCACAAACCCCTGACTTACCGTCTCTAGCAACCAGAGAGGGCTGGGGGTAGGGGAGAGGGTGGTTAGAAAACAGAACGCACGACTCGGTCATATCCTAGCCCGGCCCATCCCAAACTTCACCTAGGCACGGCGAGAAGCAGGACGGCATCAGGAATTCCTAGGAAATGGTCTCACCCCATCAGAGAACATTTTTAACTTCCTAGAAGCCACCATTTCCCCGGGGCATTATCACACACTCCCACCCGGACATATTACCTAAGAGAGTACTTATAAAAAGAGCGTAACACACACACAAAGAAATACACAGTACTTGAAGCGGGCAGCTCCGGCTCAGGCGGCGCGGGGAAGCCCGGAGACCACGCGGAGCCGCGGCCAAGTTGCCACCGCTATCGCCCCGACGGTGAAGGCGCGGCCGCAGGCGGCTGGAAAAGCAGCGCGCGGGGCTCCAGCTCCAGCCCCACGCCCGGACCCTCGGAGCAGTAAAGCCCGGCTCGGTGGCCCAGCCTCTCCCGGAGGTCTCTGGCCTCGGCCAGAGCAATAAGGTGGATCGGTGCTTCCCACCCTTCCAGCTCCGCCCTCCCGACCACATTCCTGAGAAGCCCTACTCCCGCGACGCCGCGCCCGGGAGGAGGCAGGAGCGCGACGCTGCGGCCGCAGGGCAGGAGCGTAGTCGGCCCCGCGCCCTCCCGCCCCCTGGCCCCGGCCCGGGCCCGCGAGGCGCCTCTGGGGCGAGGTCGCGGCGGCCGCCCCGCCACAGGTAGCGCCAGCCCCCGCCCGCCGCCGCTCCGGCGCCCCGGGCAGGCCCGCTCCAGGTACCTGGATGAACTGGATGGTGAGCGCCGACTTGCCCACGCCGCCCCCGCCGACCACCACGAGCCGGTACTTCTCCTGGCCGGAGCCGTCCCGCCAGCCGGCCGCGGCCATGGGGACGCTACAGAGCCCAGCCTGACTGCGCCGAGCCGCCGCTGCCGCCCGCCCTAGGCCCGGCTCCGGGGACGTGTGCGGCCGGCGGGCTGCGGGCGAGCGGCCGGGCTGGGGTCCCGGGTACCGGGAGGCGTCTGGAGGGCCGGTCAGCGCGGTAGCGCGGCGCTGGGGACTGGCTGGGTACCGCCCGAGGCGCGGAGAAGCGGGGTGACGGC
Source organism: Homo sapiens (assembly GCF_000001405.40). Taxonomy (NCBI): domain Eukaryota; kingdom Metazoa; phylum Chordata; class Mammalia; order Primates; family Hominidae; genus Homo; species Homo sapiens. The sequence continues at coordinate 14,359,086 of NC_000011.10, forward strand.
ACGGGCCAGGGGCGGCAGCGGCCGGGGGGCGCGCTCCTCTACGCGTCTCCGCAGCGCCTGCCGAACGCAGCCTCCAGCGCCGCCACAAATGGCCGTCTGGGGGCCGGGCTGCCAGGCTGAGGTGCTGCATATGCATGAGGGGGCGGGGAGGGGCGGGGCCGCGCCGCTTGGGGCTGAGGTTCGGGAGGTAACCCGGGCTTCAGACCCCCACGGACACACCGCTCTAATCCCTAGCCAGTGAGCGAGTGCGTGAGAGTGTGGGAGTGGGTGTCAGTTGGGAGTGGGACGAAGGCAGAAAGAGTGTGTCACCCTAATTGTCTATGTAAGGGATTGTGTGGATGAAAAATACAATATGTGACGGCGTGTGCGAAAAATAGGGCTGTTGGCATATTAACTCAATTTTATAGGAGAGTACATACCCTGCTTTAAGAGTACAGATGGTGACCATATTTGTGTGAAAAACAGTATGTGACAGTGATTGAGGATTAGAGCTGTGTCACAGTAATTGAGTGTGTGATGGGCTGGTGGTTGTGACAGTGTGAAGAATGGGACAGTGGCTGAGCATGGAGAATAAGTCAGTGATTGAGCTTGCATGGGCAAGACGGAATGTGACAGATTTTGTATGTGTCAGTACAGTGTCATAGTGGCTATGTTTATGTGTGACAAATGTGCAGTAATTGGATATGAGGAGTGTGAGTGCGAGGGGTTGAACTCCTGGCCTCAAGCAATCCTCCCGCCTCGGCCTCCCAAAGTGCTGGAATTACAGGTGTGAGTCACTGCACCCGGCCTCATGGGGTTTTTAATAAGAATTAAATGAGCACATAAAACAGTGCTGCTACACAGGAAGCATTTACAGCAATCTTGGAACATGACTGCAAGTTCTTGGACTTCACTTGGTAACTCATTTGGAACCAGTAGAATGCAGCAGAAGAGATGCTGCCTAATTTCCCAGGCTAGATCAGAAGAGGCCATGCAGCTGTTCTCTTGGTATTCTCACTCCGGGAGGAACAAAGTCAGAAGTTTGACTATCATAAGACTGCCATGCTAAAGAGGCTACATGTAGGCATGCCAGTCGAAGTCTGATTGATGGCCAGGAGCAACATGCCATTTAAAAAAAAAAAAAAAAAGTCCCACTGAGCTCCCACCAGATCACCAGCATCACCTGCCAGCCATCTAAGTGAGACATCTTGGACACTCAGCCTAATCGAGCCTTCCAATGACGGCATCCCCTGTTAGCATCTGAATGCAACTGCGTGAGAGACCCCAAGCAAAAATACCCATCCAGGCCAGCCCATCCTGAATTCCTTTTTTAAAAATCTTTTTTTTTTCTTTTTTGAGACAAGATCCCTCTGTCACCCAGGCTGAAGTGTAGTGGCACAATCATGGCCCACTGCAACCTCCAACTTCTGGACTCAAGTGATCCTTCCACCTCAGCCTCCCTAGCAGCTGGGACTACAGGCACATGCCATCAAGATCAGGTAATTTTTTTTTTTTTAAGAGACAAGGTCTCTCTATGTTACCCAGGCTAGTCTCGAACTCCCAAAGTGCTGGGATGGCTGGGCGCAATGGCTCATGCCTGTAATCCCAGCACTTTGGAAGGCCAAGGCGGGCGGATCGCTTGAGCCCAGGAGTTCCAGACCAACCTGGCCAACATGGCTAAACGCATCTCTACTAAAAATACAAAAATTAGTCCGGAGTGGTGGCGTGCACTTGTACTCTCCGCTACTCCGGAGGCTGAGGTGGGAGGATCACTTGAGCCTGGGACGCGGAAGTGACAGTGAGCCAAGTTCACGCCACTGCACCCACGCCTGGGCGACAATGCGGGCTCAAAAAAAAAAAAAAAAAGTGCTGGGATTACAGGCATGAACCATCACTCCCGGCCCTTCTTGAATATTTGACCCACAAAATCATGAGCAAAATAAAATTGTAGTGGCTCACGCCTGTAATCCCAACACTTCGGGAGGCCGAGGGAGGCGGATTGCTCGCTTGAGCCCAGGAGTTCCAGACCAGCCTGGCCAACATGCCAAAACCCGTCTCTACAAAAAATTACAAAAATTAGCTGGGCGTGGTACACGCCTATAGTCCCAGCCACTCCGGAGGCTGAGGTGGGAGAATTGCTTGAACGCTGGAAGCGGAAGTTACAGTGAGCCAAGATCGTGAGATCACGAGATCACACCACTGCACTCCCGCCTGGGCGACAGAGCCGTCTCAAAAAAAAAAAATGTACTGGGATTACAGGCATGAGCCATCACTCCCGACCCTTATTGAATACTTGACCCACAAAATCATAAGCAAAACAAAATTGTTGTGGCTCATGTCTGTATTCCCTGCACTTTGGGAGGCCAAGGCAGGAGGATCGCTGGAACCTGGGAGGCGGAGGTTTCAGTGAGCCGAGCTCGGGGCCACCGCACTCCAGCCTGGGCAACAGAGCGAGACCCTGTCTCAAAAAAAAGTACATCGAAATACTGCTTCACACACACGAGGATGACTAAAATTAAAAAGACAGGTAAGTGTTGACAAAGATGTGAAGAAACTGGAGCCCTCATACACTGCTGGTAGGTGTGTTAAATGATGCCACTGCTTTGGAAAACTGTATGTGTCAGTTCCTCAAAAGATTAAATGTAGAGTTACCAACAACCTGACAATTACACCCCTACTTATCTGTACCTGAGAGAAATGAAGACATATATTCACATGAAAACTTGTTTGTGAATGTTATATATAATAGCCAAAAAGTGGAAACAACTCAGTTGTCCCTCAGCTGATGAGTGGATAAACAAAAAAATGTCGTATAGCCACGCAATAGAATATTATTTGGCAATAAAAAGGAATGAAGTCCTGATACATGCTACAGCATGGATAAACCTTGAAAACATTATGCTAAATGAAAGAAGACAGACACAAAAGACCACATATTATATAATTCCATTTATATAAAAGGTCCAGAATAGGCAAATCTATAGATACAGGAAGCAGATTTGTGGTTGCAGGATTACAGCAACCAATAGTAGGTATTGAGTTTCTTTTTGAGGAGTTGAAAATGTTTTGAAATTAGATAGTGGTGTTGATTGCACAACTCTGTAAATATACTAAAAACATTGGATTGTATGCTTTATATGGGTGAATTTTATTGTGTCTGTATTATGTCTCAGTGAAGCTACAAGGAAAAAAGATTCAATTGCAAGGTTTCATTTGAACTGTGAAGTTCAAGGAAGTGGCTTTATACTTCAGAATGTTCCCTATATTAACTCTATTCCTTTATTTTTTTTATTTGACTCAAACGTAGTATTCAGCAAATGAGAAGTCCATATGCTCAACCCCGCCCAGACTTTCTATGCCAAAATGAGCTCTTTCCCTTAGAAAATACCCCCAAAAGCATACAGCAGAAAGAAACTTCCATGCAAACACAAATCACTGAAGACACAGGAGAATATGGGAGAGGAAGAACTAGTTGTCACTCAAGCCAATTAAAGGTGAATTTTCAACTTAATCTGAAAAGTTTCCTTTTCAAGTAGCTGACAGATAATAAGTACATACATTTTCATGAAAAAGAATGATCTAGAACCTTGGAAAGAACAATAGAGATCATCCCCCTTACTTTATAGAAAGAAATCCTGTGACAAGGGAGAGAATTTCTTTCCCAATGTCACCTAGCAAGTTGTTAGCAGGGATTAGGAAACAGGTCTCCTGACTCCCCTGCTCAGAGCACTTTGCTCCATGCCAAGCTGGGTGTTATCCAGAACCCCGGAGAGCCTCACATCGCAGAAGCAGTGTGATGCTGCCAGTCAAGAGAGCTGTTGACTGCATCATTTTGACTTAAATCAAGCTTTTGTTTGGCTAAAGTGTTGTCAAGAGATTTCAACAGGCAGATTCAGAGCCAGATCTAGCCAGCGCATATGTTTTGGCCTACAATTCAAATTTTTTGTGTAAATTTTGAATTGGTTGCCGATATTTAAAAATAGGGTATGTCACAAATAAATCAGTATTTCTAACTCTTCTTGGAAAAATTAAGTGGAATATCTAGCAACACTGGACTGGCGTTATCTGGCAACAACTAGCTAAAGCTAAATACTGACTGCGTTTTAGAAAACTTAAGATCCTCCTGTTCATCAGGGTCACCAGCACTCTTCTATCACACACCACCCATTTGTTACCTGCCTGGCTTTAGTGGGCTTTAAGAGCTTGCAAATCCTACTATGACAATGTTCTCCACGAAGGATGTGCTTCCAAATCCCCTGTAGTGTATTTTATTTATTTATTTTTTTCCTATTCAAACATAAAAGGCAGCCTGTAGTGTCTTTTAAAATGAAGAAACTGGGCTCCTCCCCAGACCTGCTAAATGAGAACCTCTGAGGACACGGACTTAGAATCTGAATTTGTATATTAAATATCTAAAGTGATGGCCGGGCGCAGTGGCTCACGCTTGTAATCCCAGCACTTTGGGAGGCCGAGGCAGGTGGATCACCTGAGGTCAGGAGTTCAAGACCAGCCTGGCCAACATGGCGAAACCCTGTCTCTACTAAAAGTACAAAAAAATTAGCTGGGCATGGTGGTGTGTGCCTGTAATCCTAGCTACCTGGGAGGCTGAGGCAGGAGAATCACTCGAACCGGGGAGGCGGAGGTTGCAGTGAGCAGAGATCGTGCCACTGCACTCCAGTCTGGGCAACAGAGCAGGACTCCGTCTCAAAAAATAAAATAAAATAGGCCAGGCATGGTGGCTCATGCCTGTAATCCCAGAACTTTGGGAGGCCGAGGCAGGTGGATCACCTGCGGTTGGGAGTTTGAGACCAGCCTGACCAACATGGAGAAACCCCATCTCTACTAAAAATACAAAATTAGCTGGGCATGGTGGCACATGCCTGTAATCCCAGCTACTCGGGAGGCTAAGGCAGTAGAATCGCTTGAACCCGGGAGGCGGAGGTTGCAGTGAGCCGAAATCACACCATTGCACTCCAGCCTGGGCAACAAGAGCGAAACTCTGTCTAAAAATAAAATAAAATAAAGTGACCCTGAGACACCACCACAGCAAGAACTCTTAGAGGAGGGTGCTCATCCCTGTCCACTCTTTATTTCAGGACAAACAATGACCATCTCATCTGGACTGTTGGTTATTCATAATCTTTACAAACCAATATTGACCAAACAGCATCCCTGGCCCATCCCAGAGACAGGATCTGAGGGTAGAGTGGAGAGGGAGATGCTAGAATCAAGATTCCTCTAACCTCATCTGTAGCTACAACAGACAGAGCCAAGACCTGTTGGCCAAAGAAGGCCAAGCCCCCAGATCAGAGCCTGCAATACTTACCATGGGTGATGGAGGAGCATCATCCACTTATTTCCTTAATGGGCCATTGCTTTTAATGTGAATGAATGGCTGGCAGAGAATGAAACCGCCCAGCAGGAGCTGCATGCATCTGAGATGAGACATAAGCACAAATCTATTCCTTGTTTAAAGATCACATTGCTAAGAATAGAAATTGAAACACACGCTCAAGCGTGTGCACACACACACAACCCTGAGGAAGGCCGTAATGGTGCTGGAGAAATCCGCAGCTTAGTAGAGGATGATCTGAGAATCATTGAGCCTTAGAACAGAAAAGCCATCTTGAGTTCATTCCCTCTAAAGCTCTCCTTTCACAGATGGGGAAACAAAGGCCCACAGAGAGAAGAGCAATCCCCAGCATCACCTGGAAATAGAGCAGAAGCATGACTGGAACTCGGATTTCTGTCTCCCACCTTGAGATCCATCTCAATGTAGCACACTGTCTTAGGAACCCAAGAGCCCAGAAGGCTGAGCAGGGCCAAAAATCATACCTCTCTTCTTCTGCATGGCTACCAGAAAGAATCAAACGGAGGTATCCACCATTGCATTTTTTTTTTATTTTTTTGAGACAGAGTCTCACTCTGTCACCCAGGCTGGGGTGCAGTGGCGTGATCTTGGCTCACTGCAACTTCTGCCTCCTGGGTTGAAGCAATTCTCGTGCCTCAGCCTCCAGAGCAGCTGGGACTACAGGTGCACCACACCATGCCCAGCTAATTTTTGTATTTTTAGTAGAGACAGGGTTTTGCCATGTTGGCCAGGCTAGTCTCAAACTCCTGACCTCAGGTTATCCACCCGCCTTGACCTCCCAAACTGCTGGTATTACAGGTGTGAGCCACCACACCTGGTCTTACCATAGAATTTTTTAAATAATGAAAAATTGAAAAATCCCTAAATATTCAACAACGGGGACTTGGTTAAATCAATGATGCAATGGCCACTATGTGGCCATTAAAAATAATTTTTACTTATATGGGAAAATGAGAAGGATAAGTGCTATGGTCTAATCCCCCCTACCAAAATTCATATGTTAAAACTCAATACTAAATGTAATAACATTAAAAGGTGGGGCCTTTAGGAGGTTATTAGGGCTCTGCCCCCATGAATGGGATTAGTGCCTCTATTACTCAAGCTTCTCTAGAGGGACAGAATTAATGAAATAGATATATAGATATTTATTAATCTATAATTAATGAAATAGAAATACATAAAGGAGAGTTTATTAACTATTAACTCACACGATCACAAGGTCCCACAATAGGCCACCTGCAGGCTGAGGAGCAAGGAGAGCCAGTCCGAGTTCCAAAATTGAAGAACTTGGGAGTCCAATGTTCAAGGGCAGGAACCATCCAGCAAGAGAGAAAGATGTAGGCTGGGAGGCTAGGCCAGTCTTTCTTTTCACATTTTTCTGCCTGCTTATATTCTAGCCTCCCTGGCAGCTGATTCGATTGTGCCCATCTAGTTTAAGGGTGGGTGTGCCTTTCCCAGCCCACTGACTCAGAATGTTAATCTCCTTTGGCAACACCCTCACAGACACACCCAGGATCAATACTTTGTATCCTTCAATCCAATCAAGCTGACAGTCAGTATTAACCATCACAATGCCCTTATAAAAGAGGCTTGAGGAAGACTGTTTGCCTCTTCTGCCACATGGGGACCCATAAAAGGCACCATCTGTAAAGCAGAGAGCCCTCACCAGACGTGAAATCTGCTAGCATTTTGATCTGGACTTCCCAGCCTCCAGAACTGTGAGAAATACATTTATGTTGCTTATCCATTACTCAGTCTAAGACATATTTATTTTTATCCACTGGCCAGTTACTAGAAATAAGATATTTTGGGCCGGGCATGGTGTCTCATGCCTGTAATTCCAGCACTTTGGGAGGCCGAGGCGGGCAGATCACCTGAGGTCGGGAGTTCAAGACCAGCCTGGCCAACATGGAGAAACCCCATCTCTACTAAAAATACAAAATTAGCAGGGTGTGGTGGCGCATGCCTATAATCCCAGCTACTTGGGAGGCTGAGGCAGGAGAATCCCTTGAACTTGGGGGTTGGAGGTTGCAGTGAGCCGAGATCGCACCATTGCACTCCAGCCTGGGCAACAAGAGTGAAACTCTGTCTCAAAAAAAGAAAAAAAAAAAAAAGAAAGAAAAAGCAGTATATCCAGTGTAATTACAATTACCAAGATAGATAGATACCGATATATATTAATACATAAGCTGTCATTTATTGAGCACTTACCAGGAACCCGGCACTGTGCTTACCATTCAAAACATTATCCAGTTTAAAGGCTGGGCATGGTGGCTCACACCTGTAATACCAGCATTTTGGGAGGCCAAGGCAGGTGGATTACAAGGTCAGGAGATCGAGACCATCCTGGCTAACATGGTGAAACCCCGTCTCTACTAAAAACACAAAAAATTAGCCAGGTGTGGTCGCAGGCACCTGTAGTCCCAGCTACTCGGGAGGCTGAGGCAGGAGAATGGTGTGAACCCGGGAGGCGGAGCTTGCAGTAAGCCAAGATTGTGCCACTGCACTCCAGCCTGGGTGACAGAGCAAAACTCCATCTCAAAAAAAAAAAAACAAAACATTATCCAGTTTAATCCATCAACCATCTGAGTGGGTTCTATTATTTTTTGTATTATACAAAAAAGCTGCAGCACAGACATGTCCTATAGCTACTAAATGACAGAGTGCATTTCCTTGAACCCAAAGTGCACTTCCTTGAACCCAGGAAGTCCAAGCTTGTACTTAGTCACTATGCATAGATTTTTTTTAAAAAGATGAAGACTGGCAGGATACTCAGTTATCCTAGAGAGTGAAATCACAGATGAGTTTTATTTTCTACCTTTTGTATTCTCTATCTTTTTTTAAAGTAATTCCCCATTCTCTTCCACCTCCAGCCCCTGGAAAGCTCTAATTTACTTTCTCTCTATGAGTTTTCCTATTCTAGACATTACATATAACTAGAATCATACAATATTTGTCTTTTGGTGTCTGGTTTATTTTGTTTAGCATAGTGTTTCAAAGTTTATCCATGTTGTAGCACATATTCATACTTCATTCCTTGTTATGGCTGGATAATATTCCTTTGTATGGATATAACACTATTTATTCATTCACCTATTGAAGAACATTTGGGTTGTTTCTACTTTTTGGCTCTTAAGAATAAATGCCGCTATGAACATTTGTGTACAAGTACCTGTTTGAATTCTTGTTGTCAAGGATATGCCTAATCATGGAATTGCTAAATCATATGGTAATTCTACGTTTAATTTTTTGAGGAACTGACACACTGTTTTCCACAGCAGCTGCATCATTTTACATTCCCACTAGCAACGTATGAAGGTTTTAATTTCTTCACATCCTTGTCAACACTTGTTATTTTTCATTTTTTTATTATAGCCATCCTAGTAGGTTTGAAATGATATATCACTGTAGTTTTGGCTTGCAGTTCCCTAATGACTAATGATGTGGAACATCTTTTCACAGGTTTATTTGCCATTTGCATGTCTTCTTTGGAAAAATGTCTATTCAAGTCCTTTGCCTAGTTTTTAATCAGATTGTCTTTTTGTTGTTGAGTTGTAGGAGTTATTTATATATTCTAGATATTAAACCTTTATCAGATATGTGATTTGCAAACATATTCTCCCATCCTATGGCTTGTCTTTTTACTCTCTTGATAATGTTCTTGGATGTGCATCTTTTTAATTTTAATGAAATGCAATCTCATCTCTCTTTCTCTCTCTGTCTCTTTCTTTCTCTTTTTAACAGAGTCTCACTCTGTTGCCCAGGCTGGAGTGTAGTGGCGTAATCATGGCTCACTGCATTGAACTCCTGGGTTTAAGCCATCCTCCCACCCCAGCCTCCCAAATAGCTGGAACTGCAGGCATGTGACACCATATCTGGCTAATTTTTAAATTTTTTTGTAGAGACGATGTCTTGCTATGTTGCCCAGGCTGCTCAAACTCCTCAAGTGATCCTCCCGCCTTGGCCCACTAAAGTACTGGGATTATAGTCATGAGCCACCATGCCTGGCCCACTATTTCTTTTTAATGCGAAAAATATAAAATTTTATTTGCAAATATTTGTTAATGATATGGACAAAGTGGGAGCCAGATTATACACATATGATCTATTTATGTAAAAAGGTATGGGAGTTAAATCATCGAGGAGAATTAACTATTCTAGGAAAACTGAGAATGAGTGTTAATATACAAAAAAACATTTATGTAGCCTTCTGTCACTCAGGGGAATTGTGATGGCGACTTTTTCTCTTTCTTCTCTACAGCAGCTTTCCAAAGAGAGGCATACCTACTGCTCTGAGGGGACTAAGCCCTGAAAATCGAGCTCTCTGTAGCACCCAGGCCCAATTTTTGGAGCTCCAAACAGGTCTTTCTTTAATCCACACTTCTCACCAGGACCATGACAATTGTTGTTTTAAAGATTCATGAAGGGCGGGGCGCAGTGGCTCACGCCTGTAATCCCAGCAATTTGGGAGGCCGAGGCGGGTGGATCACTTGAGGTCAGGAGTTCGAGACCAGCCTAGCCAACATAGTGAAACCCCGTCTTTACTAAAACTACAATAATTAGCTGGGCGTGGTGGCGGGCGCCTGTAATCCCAGCTACTCAGGAGGCTAAGGCAGGAGAATCGCTTGAACCTGGGAGGCAGAAGTTGCAGTGAGCCAAGATTGCGCCACTACGTTGCAGCCTGGGCAACAGAGGGAGACGCGGTCTCAAAAAAAAAAAAAAAAAGATTCATGAAGAACTCAGAAAAGAACAACACAGTGGAAAGGGGAAGAGGGAAGTCCTATCTTTTTTCAAACACAGACTAAGACATTTCTAACCTCCAGAACAGTGGGCATAGCTTCAAGAGTAGCCATATAGATTTAGGTTAGACAGCTGGCAGAACCTGATAATTAAACAAGGTAGAGAGCTCTTAGGAAGCTTTTTAAAATGCAGTGGTTTTTAGGCCCCATTCCTGCCTCACAGAATTATACTGTTTCAGGAGAGAACAGAAAGGAAATGCTTTATGATTGCAATCTTCCCTTCTGTGCCCATGGGGCAAGGGATACTTCTGACTCCCACAGATGCAACATCAGTGATCTGGTGAGAACAAACAAGGTTTTCTTCCCCAGAGCACTCAGGATCCCTGGAGAGAGTGTGGAACATGGCATCCTAGAATATTAGAAGGGTAAGGGACTGAGAGATTGCCTATATTAGTCAGGCACTAGGGGCTCACTAAATAACAACTCTCTTTTCACCCACATTCTGAACCAACTGAGAAATAGGGCACAGAAAACCAACAGATGGGGATCAATATGTCAGCTTTATGACTGATAAGAGCTAGACTGGGAGATATGGTTTAGAAGTGAGGTCAAATGGGCTTGCTTACACTGTTCCCAGAATAAACTTCCCACCTAGTTACAGGCAGTGCTGGAAAGACTGCTGGCCTTATCTTATGGGGATCTGCCTCTGTTGTGGCACATAGAGGAACAGAATAACTGTCCCCTTTAATCAAGCTGGCTCCCAAAGAGAAGAAAGAGAAGGCATTAAACTAACCATGCCAAACTTACTAATTAGATAATTCATATCTTCTTCATGGAGAAGAATGAATAAGGGGTGGAAAGAGAGGCCAGGAATTCTGCTCTAGTGATTTTCAAATTTTAGTAAGCATCAGAGTCACCTGGCGAGCTTGTTATACCACAGATTGCTGGCGTCCACTCCCAGAACCCTGCAGTAGGGCCTGATAAACTGTGTTTTTAAACAGATTCCCACATGAGACGGTTATCTAGGGACCACACTTTGAGAACCGCTTCTCAAAGGAAATCTCTCCACTTGGAAACATTAGGAGAATAAGTGTTGCTCTTGACAGCCAGATCTTGTTTGGTTGCTAGTGACAAAGCCAACTCAAACTGAAATGCAGGCTGAGTATTCCTAATCTGAAAATCCAAAATCTGAAATGCTTCAAAATCTGAAATTTTTTGAACACCAACATGATGTTCAAAGGAAATGCTCATTGGAGCATTTCAGATTTCAGATTTTCCAATTAGGGATGCTCAGCCGGTAAAAAGAAAGCAAATACTCCAGAAACCAAAAAAATCTGAAATCTGAAACACTTCTGGTTCCAATCATTTTAGATAAGGGATACCCAACCTGTTAAAAAAAGAAAAGGTTATTGGTTCATATAGCTAAATGATATAACAGTCAATTTAAGTTCAAGCACTACTAGACTCATAGACTCAAATGATGCCTTCAGAACTCTGTATCTCTCAGCTCTGTTCTGCATGGCTCTAGTCATAAGGGGGGTTTCCTCTGGTGTTGGCAAGATGACTCCACTTATATTTTCCCTAAGCCAGTGTTTCTCAAACGTGAGCACTATTCAGAATCACCTGGAGGCCTTGTTAAAGCACAGATTGCTGGGCCCCACCCCTGGAGTCCCTAATTCAGCAGGACTTGGGTAACAACTGAGAATTTTCATTTCTAGCAAATTCCCAGGAGCCACATTTTGAGAACCACTTCTCTAAGCAGTTTCTGAAGAAAAGAAAGAGGTTTTATCTCTCCTGACTGTTCTTTTCCAAACCATTCAAAAAACAAATAAAATAAGACCTGGAATTGATTCTCATTAGCTCCAACTGGACGGATTTGAGCTGAATGCCCGTGTCCCTGAGCCAACAACTGTTCTGATGTTCTCATCAGCCAGGCTTGGGTCAGAAGTTTCCTTAAGTACTCCAGAGGTACCTGGAGATGCAAGTGAGGTTAACTCCACATGAGCTATCCAGACTGAAAATGGGTGAGGGATAGAGCTACATAAAGGTGCTTTTAGAAAATGACAAATGAATGCTGGTGGGCACTAACAACAGAGGTTCTCTACCCTTTGTTTCATAGATTAAGAAACAGAGAGGTTAAGTGGCTGTTCTGTTTTATCCCACTTGGAAGATAAAAGTTTTTTGAAAGGGCAGCTTGGCATAACAGACAGAGCATGCATGGGTTTTAAACTAAGAAAACCCATCCTCACCACAGACAAATTGACTGGTTTGGGGCAGATCACTAAGCCCCTTTAGTGTTTCATTCCTCTCTTTAGTTTTTTAAAATGAAAGTAATAACACCTACTCACAGGGTGGGATGAGAGTGTGATGATTTTCTAGAACATGTAACACTTCTTTATTAGGAAAGTATTAAATATGAGTTTAATTTTTTTTTTTGAGACAGAGTGTTGCTTTGTTGCCCATGCTGGAGTGCAGTGGCGTACTCTCAGCTCAATGCAACCTCCATCTTGCAGGTTCAAGCAATTCTCCTGCCTTAGCCTCCCAAGCAGCTGGGATTACAGGTGCATGCCATGAAGTCCAGTTAATTTTTGTATTTTTAGTAGAGACGGGGTTTCACCATGTTGGCTAGGCTGGTTTTGAACTCCTGACCTCAGGTGATCTGCCCACCTTGGCCTACCAAACTGCTAGGATTACAGGCGTGAGCCACTGTGCCCGGCTTAAATTATTTTAAAAGTTGATGTGAATTATAATGTATGAAAATTGAAACTACCTAGAGTTACTACTTTTTGTTTTATAAGTACTATTTTCCCCCTACAAAATAGGCAAGATGAAATATTTGGTAACACTATTGAGTGAAAGTCTGAGGAAAGACACTTTAATTTATTGCTGATTGAGCTCAGCCCATATCCTAGGACCTTCCATTTTCCTCAGTGGCCCAGTGCCTCATGGAATTTTATCTCTTTACCTGAGGGATTTTTTTTCTGAACTGTGGAAGTCCGTGCTGGCCACCAGCAGGCCAGGCCAGGGTATTATCCCAATTCACACCTCCACATCCCAGAGCAGCTTTCCTCCTATGACTCCTGGGAGTTTCACCTTCTTCACCTTTGATAAGGAAATTCCAGAAGTAAGTATTTTGCACCATTTCTCAGAATTATTCACTGTAGTATCTGGCTTAATAACACATCCCTTTAATGGCTGCCTTCCCATCCCTGCGTCATTCCCTCTCCCCCAGCTTTCTGGTGTTCCCTGCACCTCCCAAATATACAAATGCACTAGAATCATTGTCACAAAGATAGGTTGTTCTGGAGGAACCTCAATCAAGATATAAATAGTCCCCGGGAGTGGGCAATGTCTAGCAACGTTACAAATTTACATGTCCTTTGACCTGGCAAATCTAATTCTAATAACAATTTTAACAAGTATATTCACACATGTGCAAAATAACTTATATAATGTTATTCACTGAACCACTATTTGTGATAGCAAGAGACTGACACAATTTAAATGCCCATTAATAGGGAACTGGTTAAATAAATCAAAGTTCATTGATACAATGAGATACTATGCAGCAAAAAAAAAAAAAAAAAAAAAAATGCCTGCTAACTTGGAACAATCTTCAAGATTTATTTAAATGAAAAAACAAGATACCAAACAGCATGTGTGATACACTACCATTTGTGGAAAGGGGGGAGCATAAACAAACATGTATTTGATTGTAATCACAGATTTTCTTTCTGGAAGAATAAGAAACTGGGAAACTTTTCTCTTTTTTTTCTTTTTCTTTGGAGTTTCCTCTTGTTGCCCAGGCTGGAGTGCAGTGGTGCAATCTTGGCTCACCGCAACCTCTGCTTCCTGGGTTCAAGCAATTTCCTGGCTCAGCCTCCCGAGTAGCTGGGATTACAGGTGCCCACCACCACACCTGGCTAATTTTTGTATTTTTAGTAGAGTTTTTACTGCATTTTGACTGCATTTGACTGCATTTTGATGTGGAATTTTTTTCACATTTTGAAGTACTTTGGATTTTTTCCTTTTTTTTTTTTTTTTTTTGAGATGGAGTCTTGCTCTGGCGCCCAGCCTGGAGTGCAATGGCATAATCTCAGCTCACTGCAAGCTCCGCCTCCCGGGTTCATGCCATTCTCCTGCCTCAGCCTCCCGAGTAGCTGGGACTACAGGCATGTGCCACCACGCCCAGCTAATTTTTTATATTTTTAGTAGAGACGGGGTTTCACCGTGTTAGCCAGGATGGTCTCGATCTCCTGACCTTGTGATCCACCCGCCTCGGACTCCCAAAGTGCTGGGAATACAGGCGTGAGCCACTGTGCCTGGCCAGGAAACTTTTCTTATATAAACCCTTTGGTGCCTTTTGAATTGTGAGCTATGTGAGTGAATTACCTATTCAGAAAAAAATGACTTAATTGAAACCTTTAAAAAATGAATGTGGAAAAAGATTTTATATTCAGAAAGTTATTTTGAGTCATTTCAGAAACACATTTATTTGTGTAAAGTTAGATGTAACTACAAACCACAAAACTACAAATTGCAATATGTCCAACAAATGTGTACCAACAGCCACCTAGAGCTTTAAAGGTTTAGATAATGTGTTAATTAATCAGAGAGGTAGAAAGAATAAAAGACAGGTTAAGTTGTTGAAGATCCCAAAGTCACAGTTGGGGGACTTGGAAGCTCTCATTATAAATAACATCTCACCTATCCTGTGAACCTGCTATGAGATTAGAATGTACATGTTATAGGTGAGGAGACTAAGGCTAGAGAGCTGAAGGGACTGGCTGAAGGTCACTTAAGCAGAACTTGAATTCCAGGTCTATCTGACCCCAAGGCAAGATATGTGCCAACATCCCCTCAGTGCTATCTATTAAAGATTCAGACCTTGATAAGAGGTGATAAGAGCATTGAATAAGGGGTCATCGCCCAAGGTCCAGGCCTGAAAGTACTCTAGTAAGCAGGAAGGATAGCCATTTGGTCTTTGGCCCCTTTGTACAGATTTTCATGCCAGAGCCAGAGCATAGAGTCCACATCTTTCTGTGACTACAGCATGACAATGCCATACTACAGGGAGGGAATCTATCAAAACTGGTTTGGAAAATATTTTTGACAAACATCTAGTAAACACATTTTTTGTGCACTAAGCTGAAAGTTCTTGAAAGTACAGATCATTTTGCCTTTGTAGCCCCTGGCTCAGTGCCTGGCACATAGAGGTTTCTCAGAAAATATTTGGTGAGTGAATGAATGAGCCAACAGTTGGCAGCACAGTGTGAGGCAATGCAGGAAGTCCAAAGAAGTAAAATACACAGTGCTAGGTTATAACTCAGTTGAGGAGACAAGACAAAAATATCACAATACTTAGGTAAGCATAGGAGACAGGCTATAAATAAGGCCCCCGTGTCAAATGAAGCCTGAGCTACATGCAATCAGAAGTAGAAGAATAGCCCTGTACAGTACAGTGATGGGAATATGTCATCTAGATAGGCAGAGATCAAGAGGAAGGCATTCTAGGGAAGACAATTTCTAGTGGAGATGTTTTATAAGCCCAAAAGCTTGACACAGGGGAAAAAAACTATAAGATTTGGAATTAGGCCCAAGGTTTGAATCCCAGATCTACCCTTTATTGATGGGCACAATTACTTAACCCCTCTGATAAGGATACTATCTCACAAGACCATTGTGAGAATTAAGCTAATTATATTGAGAACCTAGTCCAGTGACTCACTCATGGTAGGTGTTCGATAAATGATTTTTCACCTTCGTACATGGAACCCAAAAGTCTTCAGCCAATGGCTACAGGTAACAGTGAAGAAAGGGTGCTGGCTGGAACACTGGGAGAGATTTAGGGGGCTAAGCTCCAGGAAACAGACTGGGATGGAAGTAATGTGGGGTGGGAGAATGGGACTTCAGAGCCAGACTGAGATAGTTGGACTCTACAGCCCCACCTGTGGCCATTTTAGATGGCTGGTATTAAGGATCTTGTCCTTCCTAGAATGCTAGGCTGAAGACAAACTGGCAAGAAGGAGGACTAAGGAGAGGGCAGAGGAAAGATACTTTTCTCCAAGCCCTGAGATCCTCCAGACCTTGAGCCAGCTGGAGAATAATGGGGAACTGAAGTCCCCCAATAGTATGTGGGGCCTCCCCAGATCCAGGGACAGTCTAAAACTGGATTCGGGTAGTGGGGCCAAGGGAGATCCTCCACTGCTGCCCCTGAACATCACCTTAGCCCCACAGCCTCAGTGAGCAATCCAAGCTCCAAGCCTAGACACAAAGCCCTCTCCTCCTCTAGATCTTAGTCTCCCTCCCTTGGCTTGTTGCTCTTTGCTCCTTCACTTATCTTTGTTTCTGTTTTAGTCTCTATCTCAGCTTTTCTGTCTCTGTTCCAATTGTTCTCTCCTTCTGTCTTTGTTTCTATCTAAAAGTTTCTTTTTCCATTTTACTCACATTTCTCTGAATAACAAGGCATGGCTCCCTGGGAAATTTTCTTTGCGTTACAAAAACCCAAAACAAAGCAAAACAAAGACACCCAATAAGCCCGGGTGTTTTGGTATTCACAAAAGCATATGAATCTAAAAGCCAGTAATAATTTAGATTCATACCTCTATACCATAAACAAAAATATATCTTAGACTATTAAAGAGTTAAACATAGAAAAGCCAAATCACGGAAAAACTGCAGGAAATTGAATTTACTATTTATCAGATCTTTGAAGGAATGGTAACTTTCAAAGCATTAAAGCAAAGAAGAAATCATGAAGGAAAAGATTTTTATTACAGTGGTACATGCTTGTAATCCCAACTACTGGGTGGCAGGTACAGGAGGTTAGTGGGGGGCAGTGGTGAGATGGGAGGATTGCTTGAGCCTAGAATTTCGAGACCAGCCTGGGCAACTTAGTGAGACCTCATCTCTCTTTTTTTTTTTTTTCTTGAGATGGAGTTTTGCTCTTGTTGCCCAGGCTGGAGTGCAGTGGCACAGTCTCTGCTCACTGCAACCTCCGCCTCCCAGGTTCAAGTGATTTTCCTGTCTCAGTCTCCCAAGTAGCTGGGATTACAGGCGCCCGCCACCATGCCTGGCTAATTTTTGTATTTTTAATAGAGATGGGGTTTCACCATGTTGGCCAGGCTGGTCTCGAACTCTTGACCTTAGGTGATCCGCCCACCTTGGCCTCCCAAAGTGCTGGGATTACAGGTGTGAGCCACCGCGCCCAACCTGGTCTTAAAAAAAAAAAGTGAAGCTTCTGAACAAAGAAAAGTAACAAGATAAAAATAAAAAGTTTTCAGTAAAGCAAATAATAAATATTTAAATTATATAAAGTTCATATCATAAAAAGAACAATTAAAGCCTGAGTAAACATATTATCCATAAGTTGAAAAATGTCAACATAAGTAAAAATGCTTAGCTTCTTATTTTCAGGCATATGCAATTAAAACATTAATGAGAACCTTTTCCCTGCCATTATTCTAGCAAAAAGCAAAACAATGATAATACACAATGCTTGTGGTTAGGTAAATTTGTACAACACTTTTGGACTGGTATTTGGCAATAATTATCAAGAAACTTTAAACTATTTGTACCTTTGTTCCTTAATTCCATTCCAAGAGATTTATCCCAAGGCAGCAGATTTTAAACTATGCTTCTGGCAAGCCAAGAAGTGCTACAGAATTGTCTGTGGAACTGATAGTAGGGATATACATTAACCAAGGTTTGGGGCTATAAGCAAGAAAAACTAACCCTGATTACCTTAAGCAAAAGGGCAATCCACAGGGAAAACTTGGACACAACAGAATCAATGAGAAGCTACAAAACCATGTTCTGAAAATAGGCAGGAAACAAGAGAATTCCAGAGGGCTAGGCAGCTGGAACTACACTACAGGTCACGGAGCAAGAACAGTTAGGTGCATGTGGCACTGCTGCTGAGAGGAAAATGACCTCTAATTACCCCCAAACTGTCATATGCCCGTGATTCATAAGAAAGGATGTCTGATTGACTGAACCTAAATCACATGCCTCAGGCTTTTCAAGGAAGCAGGAGGTGAGGGTGAAGACTCTAGGTCTCTGGTTTCCTAATGGGTGATGGGAACTACCTCTCAAATCTACACACATATGGGGAACCCTCAAGCAGAAGACTTGGGTACTAATTGCAGGATGATATGGATGCTGGACAGCTGAAAAGCAGGAAATATTTATCAACTACTGGGTGATATTCAGAGATGCCGACCACATAAAGCTCTCAGCTTCCTACCCCCACTTCAACCAGAGCAACTCCACTTTCATCACCTTTTCCAAATAGGCTTCCAGGCAAGATTTTGTCTGCTGAAAGGTTTCTGCAGCTTCAACACATTTAAGAAGCCCTTGTGGATCGCCAAGAAGGCTGGCTTAATATACCTTACCAACTGTTTTCTCCTTTGCTGTCTTCCAGTGACAAGACTGGAACAATGCTTATTTTTCTAGTCTCCCTTACAGGTGGAGGTGGCCATGTAACACAATTCTAATCAAATGAGACATTAAGTCTGTATCCACTGGAGGTTATCTGGGGATGATAAAGACAAAAATGTAGACCTGACTGGCATTATCTCTACCTCTTTCTGCCATGAATGCTGATGTTACAACTGCAACTTCAGCAGCCACTTTGAGAACATAAACATGAGAAAATGGCCAAGAGAACCAAAGCCAACATCCACCCACCTCTGAATCTCTTGTTATATGAGAAACATAGCCTCTTACTTTAAAAGCAATTTTAAGAAGTTTTCTTTCCTTGCAGCTCATATAATTATTTATTGATATATCCCTAAGGGAAAAATCTAGAAGAAGTAAAAATATATACATATATATGCATATATTTGTGTGTGTGTGTATATATATATATATAGAGAGAGAGAGAGAGAGAGAAAGTTGTTCATTACAGAATTTTCCAAACTGGTTTAAAAAAATAACTAAATCTAAATGTCTATCTATAGGAGATTGCTTAAATAAATTACAGTCTATCCACTAGATGAAATACTATGCCACTATGCCTGTAGTGAGATAAATAATTTTGAAGCTATTATATGTTTATGACATAATAGTAATTAAAACCCTAGAATGAGTAATTGTATCTATGTTATGTACTATACATACAAACCCAGCTATCTGCAGTGGCCACTGTCACCTTTAAAGGAACTGAATCATCCACTGCACCTGATGAGCAGAGCAGCTATAAACATGTTCTGTGCTGTGTGGCTCACTGACCACCCTCCACTCCACACAGCTGATTGGCTCAGGGGTGGACATCTGATCCAGAGTACCCAACATCCTTTGAGATGCTTATTGCAAAACTCTCTGCTCAAACAGGGGTGAATTGGTCCAGTAAGATTCTCATCCTTTGGAATCAAAATTGGTAGAATACCAAGAGAATCAGGCAAATCGAATCAGGAGCTGAAGTTTAAAGAATACACAGAATGGTCAGGCATAGTGGCTTATCCCTGTAATCCCAGCACTTTAGGAGGCTGTGGCAGGAGGATCATTTGAGGCCAGGAGTTGGAGACCAGCCTGGGCAACATAATGAGACCCCGTCTTTACAATAAATAAATAAATTAGCTGGGCATGGTGGCATGCACCTGTAGTCCCAGCTACTCTGAAGGTTGAGGCAGGAGGATCACTTGAGCCCAAGTTTGAGGCTGCAGCATGGTATGATTGTGCCACTGCACTTCAGCTTGGGAGACAGCAAAACGTCTCAAAAAAAAAAATACTTAGAGAATTATTTGGCACAGTGGCTCACATCTTTAATTCCAGCACTTTGGGAGGTTGAGATGGGAGGATTGTTTGAGGCCAGGAGTTCCAGACCAGCCTGGGCAATATAATGAGACCCCATCTCTATAAAATAAAATATAAAAATTAGGCTGGGTACGGTGGCTCACACCTGTAATCCCAGCATTCTTGGAGGCCAAGGTAGGTGGATCACCTGATGTCAGGAGTTTGAGACCAGCCTGGCCAACATGGTGAAACCCCGTCTCTACTAAAAATACAAAAATTACCCAGGCATGGTGGTGGGCGCCTGTAATCCCAGCTACTCGGGAGGCTGAGGAATGAGAATCACTTGAACCCGGGAAGTGGAGGTTGCAGTGAGCTGAGATCGCGCCACTGCACTCCAGCCTGGGTGACAGAGTGAGACTCCATCTCAAAAAAATAAATAAAATAAAACAAAATAAAAATTAGCTATAATCATGTCACTGCTCACCAGCAGCCTGGGCAACAGAGTGAGACCCTGTGTCTTAAAACAAAAAACGAAAACAAAATATAGACTATGTCATCAAGCAAGGGCCATGAGAGGCTATGAACTCATGTGTTATAAGGAACCAGAAAATATTAGGCTAAGAAAAGATAGAGTACAGTGTGAAGAAGTCAGCCAGGTGAACAGAGAGACAGAGGTAGACACAGAAAAAAAGGAAAGCCCAAAGAGTAGCTAACTTAGGTAAACAGCAGTGTTAGACTGAGGATCAAGAATTCTAGAGAGATGCCTTAGATTCAGAACAGCTTTCTAGGTCCAGTCCTACAGGCTTAGCTGGACTCCAGCCTCTTTTGGCTAAATGGTTTCAATGAGACCCTGTAGCCAGTGTGAGTATGCATTCCTGGGAACCATAATAGTTTAGCATAGCTGTAAAAATTATCTTTGCATATAGAGAGGGACAGGAACATGAACAAATAAAAACCATCCATTTGTTAGAGAAGGATTTTTGTGGATATTTCTTTTGAAGAATTCATTATTGTTGCTCTAATGTTGTTTTTACATTAAATAACAATTTTGTTTTAAAACCACTGTGGAGCTCCTGGGATAAAGCCTTAAGTATGTGTGTATTACTGACTTTGCAATACTGGTTTCCAAGAATTTATTTTAAGAATATAATCAGAGATAAGGCATGAAAATGTAAATTCTTGAATCCTTATTATAGCATTGTTGTAGTAGAAAAAAATGGAAACTACTTAAATGTCAAACAACAGAGTATTGGTTAAATAAATTATGATATATCCATAGAATGGGATGCTGCACAACCATTAAAAAATCATATTGTAGGCTGGGCACAGTAGCACATGCCTGTAATCCTAGCACTTTGAGAGGCCGAGGCGGGCAGATCACTTGAGGCTAGGAGTTCAAGACCAGCCTGGTCAACTTGGTGAAAACCCGTCTCTCCTAAAAATACAAAAATTAGCTGGGCTTCATGGCACGCACCTGTAATCCCAGCAACTCAGGAGGCTGAGGCAGGAGAGTCGCTTGAACCTGGGAGGCAGAGGTTGCAGTGAGCCGAGATCACACCAGTGCACTCCAGCCTGGGCGACAGAGCAAGGCTCCGTCTCAAACAAACAAACAAAAAAAATCGTATTGTAAAAGAATATTGGTTGGTACAGAAAATGTTCATGATTTACTGCTAAGCAAAATACAACAACAACAAAAAAAAACTTACAAAATAATAACTACAACGTGACACCCTTTCTTTTGTACAGAGAATAAAGCATGCTATCACAGGCATAAAATACTGAAGGGACAGATACTAACATGTTAACAACAGTTGCTCTTGGGTTGCGAGGCAGGGGTAGTTAGAAGAAATGTTTGTATTTTTCCTTTATACTATTTTGCTTTTTTCGTGTTTTCCTACCTTGAGTACCTTGTTTGCCTAATTAAAGAGGTGGGGAGAGGAGGAGATTTCCTCTCCCGCTTTTAATTTTTTTTTTTTTTTAAAGAAAATCACGCTGACTGTGTGCCTAGGAAACTATTGCCAGAATTTCCAACATCTCCCACAGCCCGGTGCTTGGGGAAACCAGAACTAAGTGAAAGACTTTCTCTCTGAGAGCAAAGTGCGCAGGTGACAGGAGAGAAGGGCAGAGGAAAGAAATGGGTTGGACCGATCCGAGAACGGGCAGGCTGGCGTGCCGACGGTCGCCAGCAGACAGCCCTCTCCCTAGCGGAGCGCTCGCCCCAGCCTCTGCCCAGAAGGCCCGGGGCGACGCGCTCGGATGCGTGGCTCCGGAAGGGCACTGAGCTAGAACATGCTGGGGCACCGCGCGGGCACCCAGGTGCCGCTGGCGCCGCTGACGAGGGGTGCTAGCAGGCTGTGCTCGAGGAGCTAGGAAGCTGTAAGCCTGTGAAAAGCCAAGCCAACCAGGCAGAGCGGCTCCGCAACAGCTAGCCCCGGCCGGGGCCTGCCCAGCGCTGCGTTGACCGCCGGAGCCCGCGTGCCGCTGCAGCGGAGCCATCATGAAGCGGCTCCCTGGCCAGGCCGTCCTGGCAGCCCGCCCGCCCCGCCCGCTGCGGAGCAGTGCCCGGGGAACGAAGGCAGGCGGGGATCATGTGCTGCGCGCTCAGGAGCCCTTGGCATTCCTCGCGGGGCGGCAGCTCTCCCCTCCATTTCCACCCAGGGGGGCTATCGGTCTTACTTTAAAAAGACAAAAACACAAATTACGGTGACGCAAAAGAAATATAAAAACAGGAGTCAGAGGACCTAGATTTGATTGTCAACCCATGTGACCATGAGCAGGTCACATTCATGCCTCTGCTTCCCTATCTGTGACATGGATATAATGATCCTATTTGTCCCAAGAGGTAGCCGTGAGTCTTATTAATGAAGATACAAATGATATAAGAGTAATGAAAACTGCTTTGCAAATTATGAAGGATAAGCTGATGCCAGTCCCTGTTCGCTAGATGTATACATTTCAGGACTTCGTAGTTCTTTAATTTTGAATGTTATTTGTGTGTATTGGTAAATCATCACTTTCCACTTTCCACAGTTTAAAATGGAAGACTATAGTGCAGTGATAGCTTAGAACTGGGAAGGAAATCAGGTCCAAAGCAAAGGAGAGCACACACCTGCCAATATAAAGATCAATAACATTTCTGACACTGGGTTTGGAGTTGAGTTCTGAGTTTCACAGCAGTCAAAGTGTAAAAGGAACCACGATCAGATGTTGTACTCATTATCAGAAAAGATTAGTACAGAGGAGAAGGTTAAGCAAGACAAGTGCCCTCAGGAAAAAATGGGATGTTCTCTAAATCCGCATTCCCCAAGTATCAGTCGTTTACATACCATCTTCATGTGTTTTGCTGTATTTATATGCCACATGTACATTTAGTTAACGAATATTTTTTCTTTAAAACAGTCTAACAAAAAATATTTCCTAATAAAAAATATATATTACTCCCTTAAGTGTTTGTTCTATATTTTCCCTGATATAATTTACTTTATTAAGAAATACATAACCATTAAATTTAAAATGTTCATTCTCTAACCACCTAATGTCATCTTATATGCCACGTGTATTAGTCCGTTTTCACACTGTTATAAAGAATACCGGAGACTGGGTAAGTTATAAAGAATAGAGGTTTCATTGACTCACCATTCCGAATGGCTGGGGAGGCCTCAGGAAATTTACAATCATGGCAGAAGAGGAAGGGGAAGCAAGGACCTTCTTCACATTTGTGACAGGAGGAGGCAGGGGGAAAGTGCCATACTTCAAAACCATCAGCTCTTATGAGAACTCACTCACTATCACAAGAACAGCATGGGGGAACAACCCCCATGATCCGATCACCTCCCACCAGTTCCCTCCCTCAACACGTGGGGCTTACAATTCTAAATGAGATTTGGGTGGGGACACAGATCCAAATAATATCACCACGTAAGATGTCCGAGTGCATAATGTGTGCAGGCTATGTATAGCACACTTTGGGAAACTCTCTTCTTCTTGTTTGATGAGCCCCTTACAGAGCCCATCATGGCATGTCCACACTGACAGAGATCCTAGATATCACCAGGGCCAATTCCCTTTGCAGACTCTACTAGCAGACAGAGGCCCAGCAAAAGGACCAGACTTGCCCAGGATAACCCATTATGGGAGGGACAGGCTGATGCCTCCTAACCTCCAGTCCTATGTCTTTGGCTCCCTTTACACACTACCTCTCCCTAGGTCCCTCCACTCCCCCTACCTCCCACCATCCTGTTGACCCCTCAGTCAGGGCTTGTGCCCATGAGAGCCTAATAATATGCCCCTGTCTGAGTCTAAGAGAAGGTAAGTTGATACAATTTGGGCGGCACCCCAGAACCACCTTGGATTCTCTCCTGGTCTCTTTCCTTAGATTATGAACTCCAGGAGGGGAAGAGCCATGATTAGGAGGTTGGTGTGAGATAGCAGGTGAAGAGGCAGAGTTATATAGAGCTCATCTTCCCAAGTAGGTACTGAATAGGCTTTGGACAAATTGCACAGGATAAAGAGAAGTAGCCAGAAGAATTGTAGAATTTCCAG
Source organism: Homo sapiens (assembly GCF_000001405.40). Taxonomy (NCBI): domain Eukaryota; kingdom Metazoa; phylum Chordata; class Mammalia; order Primates; family Hominidae; genus Homo; species Homo sapiens. Next base: position 14,383,452 of record NC_000011.10, read on the forward strand.
GGCTCAGAACTACTATCAGGCCACAGCTTCTGGTGGGGCGGGTTGTACTCTGAAGGAAGACACCTGCAGAGGAGGCAACTCAGGATCTCCTACCTGAGGCTGAGGCAGCAGGCAGAGAGGAGGCTGTTTTAACTGGGCTCCCAGAGGAGCTGCCTTTCACAATTTGTTCACCTGAGGGGTACCTGCTTGTAATATGCTCTAAGGTGCCATATGAGCTAGCAGAGCCTACATGGATCCCAAAGAAAATTATGGCAGTCAAGGACTATGAGGTAATAATCTGAAACTCAAATGGGTCCTCTGGGGCCCAACAGGGATATGTCTTCCTCACCTAAAGGCCCCTGCAGAGCTGATGAGCAGTGCTGCCTTGGACCAGTGAGGATAACCTGCAGAGCTCATCAGAGCTAAGCACCAATAAGATTCAGGTTGGGAGGGTGGAGTACAGAGACCCCACAAAGTCTAGCAATAATGCTGCCAACACTCAAGGTAGACAGAAGAACAATCTTTTCAGCTCTGCTTAGCCTCTGCCAGGTGTTGCTATTGGGAAGGCTGTGGGCTGAAGGAACAAGCCCTGGATTAGGAGCCAGAAGGCTAGAGTTCTCACTCTGGCTCTGTGTGATGTTGGGCAAGTTTCTTTGCCACTCTGGGCTTCAGTTTCCTCATCTACACATTTTCCTAATTCTTGTTCTGCTGTAAAAATTAGGAAATTGGCCAAGTGCAGTGGCTCACACCTATGATCCCAGCTCTTTGGGAGGTGGAGGCGGGCGGATCACTTGAGGTCAGGAGTTCGAGACCAGCCTGGCTAACATGGTGAAACCCCGTGTCTACTAAAAATACACAAATTAGCTGGGCGTGGTGGTGTGCACCTGTAATCCCAGCTACTTGGGAGGCTGAGGCAGGAGAAACACTTGAACCCGGGAGGCAGAGGTTGCACTGAGCCAAGATCATGGCACTGCACTCCAGCCTCAGCAACAGAGTGAAACTCCATCTCAAAAAAAAAAAAAAGATTAGGAAATTTAGGTTCTGAAGTCAGACAGACTTGGTTTTTAGCCCAGTTCTTCCCAAAGGAACTCAGAGGTCAGCTAAGGACACAGATACATAAACAGGATTTACAAAAGAGACTGGCACAAAAGCAATGATCTTGCTTCTTGCTCAAGGCAGCACAGTGAGTGGCAGAGTGAGGACTAGAATACAGGGCCCAGACCTTGATGTAGAGACATAATAATCATATAAATGATTAATGAAGTGGCTAATCATAAATGTGACAGTTGCCACAAAGGAAAGGTAGAGGATGCTATGCGAACACACAACAGATCGTAACATGATGTATACGCTGTGGTAAAGATTCTGGATGTTCCCCAAAGAGTAATAGGAAATCATCTAAGCAAAATGGTGATAGTAAGAGGCTGCTGCAATGAAGACCAGATTGGAAGGATGCAAGAGTGGAGGCATGGAGGCCTGTTAGGTGACTCTTGCAATAATTCAGACAAGAGATGTTAATGACATGGGTTAGGGAAGTGGGGTGACTAGACCAATGAGGCATAAAACTATCAGGACTCAATGACTGATTCCATGTGAAAAGAGAAAGGGAGAAGGCCATGTTAAAGGCAACACTCACGTTACTGATAGAGACAGAAGACAGCCAAGGGTCCCCAGCAAAATCCCAGCTTCAAGCCTAAAAAAGCCTGAAGATTGAAAAACCAGACTGCTGGTCCCAGATGAAGCCCACCCTTTCCCAGCTGATTCTCTCTGAATAATGTCCACCTGCACACTGGGGGAAAGGGGTGGAGCCTCAGGAAGTTTGTGCCCTAGGCAGCGGAGGAGCCTGTTCTCTTCAGCTGAGTGGTGACCTGGGTGGGAATGAATCTGTGAAGTGGAGGGCCTGTTAGCATGACTCCATCTCACTTGCTGAGTTGTTTTTTTCTTTTTTTCCTTTTTGTTCAATAAAGTTCTGCTTTACTTGCCCTTCAATGCATCCACATGCCTAATTTTCTTGGTCCTGTGGCAAGAACCCAAGTTTAGCTGAACTAAGGAATAAAGTTCTACAACATTACTGGAATGAAAAATAGGGTGAATGATGGTGCCATTTACTGAGATCAGGGTACTAGGGGGGAGCACGTTTTAGGGTGATCTTTAGTTCAACTTTAGGGACATTGGGTTTTCTAGTTGTGGTGGTTGTGTTTTAATTTGGTTTGGTCTGAGAATGCCGAGTTTGCCTATGAAATTGAGAAAGTAGTTGGGTATGGAGGTCCCTTGATCAATGAGAGGATTGGGTTTTGGAATCAACCCACTGGCAACTGAAGGCACAGTGGACAGAGACAGGCAACCTGCCTATCCCTAAAGCATAGCGGAGAATAGATGGTACACAGGCTTTGGAATGGCACTCATTGGTTTTTTGTTCCCTTTTAACCAGCGGCCATGTGACCCTGGTCAATTTGCTTAATCAATCTGAGCATAAGACTCCTCATTTATAACATGGAAATAATGATTCCTACCTCACTGAATTATCATGAGAATTATACTATATTACAATTCACAATTCAAAAGACTCTCACCTACTTACTATATGTAAGGATATTTCAGACAAACACTGTATCTTATAAACTTGGTGTGAAATTGCTATGATCTGAATGTTTGTGTCCCCTTAAAATTTATATGCTGAAATCCTAACCCCAGAGGTAATGATGGTATTGGGAGGTGGGGCCTTTGGGAGATGATTAAGTCATGATGGCAAAGCCCTTATGAATGGGATTAGTGCCCTTATAAAAGAAACCCCAGAGGGATCCCTCTCCCCTTCCACATGTGAGGTTGCAGTGAGAGGGCAGCCAACTGTGAGGAAACTGGCCCTCACCAGAACCCAACCATGCTGGCACCCTGATCTTAGACTTCCCAGCCTCCAGAACTGTGAGCAATATAGTTCTGCTGTTTATAGCCACTCAGTCTATAGTATTTTATTATAGCAGCCTGAACAGACTAAGACAGAAGTCTAATATCAATATAATTTATCTGAACAAAATAAATCCAAAGCACTTATCATAGCAAAGAGACAGTATAGCATAGGTTTATGCAGACATTTTAGACATAGACAACCCTGGGTTCAAGCCTGGGCTTATCACTTCCTGGCCGCATGACTTTGGAAAATTATGTACTGAGTTTCCTTTTCTGAAAAATTGAGAGAATAATAGAATTCACCCCATGGGATGGTTAAATGGATTAAATAAAATATGTAAAGTACCTTGACTTAAAAGTTTCAAAAATGCTAGTTATTGTTATTGTACAAAATACAGCGTCAGGCACACAGTGAGCATTCATTACGTGTTTGTTGCCCTACCTCCTCCTCACCACTCCTCAAGCCTCCCCAGGTTCATCTGCACACATTTTTAGGTGCACAGGCCTTACTCTAGTTCATAAAGGAACTAGAGTAGAGCTCTCTAAATTCTAATTCCTCACAATGCTTTCAGCTCAGCCCTCTCCACAGCAATCTGTTCTCCCCCTTCATTCAACAAACCCAACAGATAATATAGGACATTGTATCATGTTGTTAGCAAGTACCAGCTCCTCTCCCTCGCTGGGAATGTAAGAGACAGAGGCTCTAGGCCACATGCTCACAGCATCAGCTGTGTTTCCATGACGACAAGCCCGGCACAACTAGATATTTCAGCAGAGAGGAGCTGTGACACCCAGCTCTCCGCAGAATGTAGCTGACTAGCTATTGTTATCTTCCTTGCACTGACCTAAGGACTAAAGCAGGCTGGATGTGGCTCTGAGGGGTGGGGAAGTTTGTGTTTGCAAGAGTAGGAGATTGAATTTGGGAATGCAGTTGGCTGTTCATTGTAGCAGTTAACTGTATTGGCTGTAATAAGTTAAGAGAAACCTAAAAACAAAACAAAAATTCCATTCTAAGTGTCATAACAAAGGAAGGTACTTATTGCTATGTGAACAATAGGAGGATTTGGACCTAATTCTTCCTAAGGGAGTCATAGAAGACTTCATCTTTACAAAATCTTTGGTATTTTCTCTATTTTAAAGAGAAATATCCTATAAATGTGTTAATTAGGGTACTTTCAGCTCCAAGTAACACGAAACCTAACTAAAGCAGCTTAAATAATTAGGACAGTGAATATCTCATGCTCCAGAAAATCTGGAGGTGAGCCATTCTGGGGCTTGCTAATTCAGTGGCTTAGGGATAGCAGCAGGACCCAAACATTTTCTATCTTTCTGCTCTTCTGTCCTTGTTATGTCTGCAGTGTCTTTCCTCATGATTAAGAGATGGTCAAAGCATTTCCAGGTGTTACAAGCAGACATTTCATCTCCAAAGAAGAAAGGCATCTGCTCCTGTGCATTGCTTTTTAGTAGTGAGGAAAACCTCTCCCAACTACCCACCTGCAGACTTTCTATCAGGTCCCACTGATCACAGTGAGGGCCCAGGGTAATGCCTTCATAGTGGATTCAGGATCAAGCATTTGTGTTTTCTTCTAAGGGAAATGGAGAGTCATTAGAGGATTTTCAACCAGGTGATAGAGTCAGACTTTTCTAGTGGTTGTTTGTCTGTTTTATAGAGACAATGTCTCACTAGGTTGCCCTGGCTGGTCTCAAACTCCTGGGTTCAAACAATTCTGTTCTTGGCCTCCCAAAGTTCTGGGATTTACAGGTGTGAGCCACCTTACCCAACTTAGATTTCTGTTTTTGATAGATCACTTAGAGAGTAATATGGAAGATGGACTAGAGGGAGGCAAAGATGAGAAGCAGGAAAACCTGTTAGCAAACTGTTGCAAAATCCATGTGAGAAATTATGAGACCTGAACCAAAGTAATGATGATGGGAATTTGGGGTAGGAATTAGAAAAGACAGAGCTAATCGGAGATGGTAAATTTTCATTGGCAGTAGATGCAGAGATTGTCTACAAGTCTTGCCACCAACTGAACTGAAGAACATCACAGGATCGAATTTGAAGGAGCTGATGATTAGCTCAATTGTGTAAATATTGAATTTGGAGACCATGGTGTTTCCAGGTGGTAGGACAAGATAAAGGCTGGAATCTTGGGAAAGGGATATGGAGCTGGGAGTTTTCTGCACGGCAGGGATTGGTTAAAGCCAAAGGAATGGATGAGGTCACCCAAAGCAAGAAGGGAAGAGTGCCAAGAAGAGAACCCTGGGTGCACAGCATTTAAGGAATGGGCTGTGGATGAGAATTCCGTGAAAAAGATGAACTCAGACGAATCAGAAAGATAGAAAGAGAACCAGGAGTGGGTGGTATTACAGAAGCTAAAGGACAAAGATTTCCAAAGAGTGTTAAATACCACAGAAGGGCAAGGGAGGCAGGGATTGACTTCAGCTTTAATGACTTTGATGAGAACCATTGAAGTGAGCAGTAAAGGCAGCAGATGTAGACAACTCTTTCTAGAAGTCTGACTGTGATGGGGAGTAGAGAGATGATATGATAACCGGGGCGGGTGAGGGAGAATTTTATAATGTAGAATGAAGCTTGGACATGTTTGCAGGCTGAAGGAAGGAGCCCAGGGCCTGGGAGATGTCATAGTCCTGCCTGACTTATAGACATAGGCCAGTTTTGAAGCAAAACCCCAGAAGTTGAGTTCTCTCCTCCCTGTGCGCTACTCCAGAGGATCCCTTGAGCTGGCTCCTCAACAGGGGGTCACCAGGTGTCCCTCAGCCTCTGCTGCTATGATGACACATTCACCCACATGCCCTTATTATTCTTAGAAAATATAAGGGAATCAATCCTAGTCTCCATTTAGTACTGGCTTTCTGGAAATTATGCAAAATACTGGCTGTCTCCCAGATCACTTATTAGTGCCTTGGGGTGGTAATTTCATGGAAATGACTTTGAGGCACAGTTAAGCTGTCTAGCAGACAGCCATTTACATTCCAGGGGTCTGTCTTCTATAACTTCCCTATCCCCTTTGGGGCTGGTCCCACTGTCCCCAGGCCAGGCTCTCAGGGAGCTGTACCCTCACCTTCTCTACTTCCTTCAGACTCAGAGCTTCCTTTGCCCAGCCAGTCACTCACTGTCCATCTCTTGGTGGCATAATTGTAACCAGAAGCAAATAGTAGAGTATGGACCTCGGTAAGATCAGGGATGTGTAACTCGAAGGAGATCCAGGAAAAGCTGTCAACACGGCACAGATACCAACATGCAGCCCTGGGACAGGCAGCCCTTACCCACAGAGCCCTGGTAGGACACATATTGAGATATATATATATATATATCTATATATATCTATATATAGATATATAGATATATATATATGTGTGTGTGTGTATTTTTTTTTTTGAGACAGGGTCTCACTTTGTCTCTCAGGATGGAGTGCAGTGGCATGATCTCAGCACACTGCAACCTCCACTTCCCAGGTTCAAGCAATTCTCCCACCTCAGCCTCTTGAGTAGCTGGGACTACAGGTGCTTGCCACCATGCCCAGCTAATTTTTGTATTTTTTTGTTAGGGACAGGGGTTCACGATGTTGGCCAGGCTGGTCTTGAACTCCTGACCTCAAGTGATCCACCTGCCTTAGTCTCCCAAAGTGCTGAGATTACAGGCGTGAACCACCGCGCCTGGCCGCGGTATATGTTTTCCCTTTTTTTCTTTTTTTGAGATGGAGTCTCACTCTGTCACCAAGGCTGGAGTACAGTAGCATGATCTCAGCTCACTGCAACCTCCACCTCCCAGGTTCAAGCGATTCTTCTGCCTCAGCCTCCCTAGTAGCTGGGATTACAGGTGTGTGCCACTGCACCTGGCTAATTTTTGTATTTTTAGTAGAGACAGGGTTTCACCATATTGGCCAGGCTGGTCTCAAACTTCTGACCTTGTGATCCACCCACCTCAGCCTCCCAAAGTGCTGGGATTATAGGCATGAGCCACCGTGCCTGGCTGCGATATATGTTTTCTAAGGGAAATCTTCTTTACAGAAACTGCCTGCCTCACCCCCAAAGTTTACTCCCAGAAGCCATGTTTCTGCTGCATCTTCCTATTCCTTATCCCCATCTTGGGCTATGAGGTCCAGGGTAGACATTCTGTGGCTTCAATCACTTAGCATAATGTTTTAAGATTCATTCATGTTGCAGTATGTATTCACACTTCATTTCTTTTGATTGACAAATAACATTCTTATGTGTGGATGTGCCACATCAGTTCATGGACATTTGGATTGTTTCAATATTTTGGCTTTTGTCAATAATGTTGCTATGAATATTTGTGTACAAGTTTTTTTGTGAATGTATGTTTTCATTTTTGGGGGGATGGAATTGCTAGGTTATATAAGTATGTATATTGTGTAATTGTTTAAAAATTGTGTAAATGTTAAAAATTAAACATGACATTTAATTGTTAACTGCCAGACTGTTTTCCAAAGCAGCAGCACCAGTTTACTTTCCCACCAGCAGTGTATGGGAGTTTCTCTACATCCTTGCCAACACTTATTGTTTGTCTTTTTCATTATAACCATCCTGGGGGGTATGAAGTGAAATCTCATTGTGGTTTTGATTTGCATTTTTCTAATGGCTAATGATGTTGAGCATTTGTTTGTGTGTTTACCGGCCATTTGTATAACTTCATTGGGGAAATGTCTATTTGTATCCTTAGCTCATTTTTAAATTAGATTGTCTTTTAATTACTGATTTCTAAGAGTTCTTTATATATTTTGGGTACAAGTCCCTTATCAGATACATGATTTGCAAAACTACTTCTCATTCTGTGGGTTGTCTTTTCATGTCCCTGATGATAGCCTTTGAAGCACAAAAGTTTTAAGTTTTGATAAAATCCAGTCTATTTTTTCTTTCACTCATGCTTTTTTTTTTTTTTTGACACAGGCTCTCACTTTGTCATCCAGGCTAGAGTGCAGTGGTATGATCTCAGCTCACTGCAACCTCCACCTCCTAGGTTCAACTAATTCCTGTGCCTCAGCCTCCTGAATAACTGGGACTACAGGCGTGCGACACCACGCCCAGCTAATTTTTGTATTTTTAGTAGAGATGGGGGTTTCACCATGTTGGCCAGACTGGTCTCGAACTCCTGGTCTCAAGTGATCTGCCTGCCTCTGCCTCCCAAAGTGCTGGGATTACAGGCGTAAGCCACTGCGCCCAGCCTCATACTTTTTTTGTATCCAAGTAGGCTTTGTCTAACCCAAAGTTGTTTTGTTTTTGTTTTTGTTTTTGTTTTGTTTTGTTTTGTTTGAGATGGAGTCTTGCTCTGTCACTCAGGCTGGAGTGCAGTGGTGTGATCTTGGCTCACTGCAAATTCCGCCTCCCAGGTTCAATCAATTATCCTGTCTCAGCCTCCCAAGTAGCTGGGATTACAGGTGCGTGCCATCACACCTGGCTAATTTTTGTATTTTTAGTAGAGACGGGGTTTCACCGTGTTAGCAGGCTGGTCTGGAACTCCTGGCCTCAAGTGATCCACCTGCCTCGGCCTCCCAAGGTGCTGAGATTACAGGGGTGAGCCACTGTGCCTCGCCCTAACCCAAAGTCTTGAAGCTTTACACCCGTGTTCTTTTCCAAGCGCTTTTTAGTTGCAACTCTTACACTTCACTGATGATCCACTTGGAGTTAAAACTTAAATTCAGTATAAATCTGACCCTCATCACATACACACCTACTCCTCATCCCAGGCTTAGGTTTCACCCTGATTGCTTAGAGCAGAAGTAGAGGAATAAAATGTAGCAGTAAGCCATCCCCTCTCCTTAATAGGGGGAAGTCTTCTGCCTCACAATTACGTTTCCTTTCAAATAAGAGAGCTCAATTATTGTGACACTCTCCATTAATTTACCCTGTCCACGAAAAGTAGAGTATTTACTTGATTCAAAAATGTGGGAGTAGGCTGGGCATGGTTGATTCAGTGCCTCCTTTTAAATTTATTTTCTAGCCCAGCACAGTGGCTTATACCTGTAATCCCAGCACTTTGGGAGGCTGAGGTGGGTAGACCACTTGAGGCCAGGAATTCGAGACCAGCCTGGCCAACATGGTGAAACCCCGTCTCTACTAAAAATACAAAAATTAGCCAGGCATGGTGGCGCGTGCCTGTAATCCCAGCTACTGGGGAGGCTGAGGCAGGAGAATTGCTTGAACCTGGAAGGTGGAGGCTACAGTGAGCAGAGTCTGTGCCACTGCACTCCAGACTGGGCAACAGAGTGAGACTCTGTCTCAAAAAATTATAATAATAGTAAATAAATTTCTTTTCTTTTGTGTTCTTAGGCTAGAGCCTGCCTGCAGGGAGAAGGAGTTCTCTTCTGCTCCTTAAGTCTCATCTGGGCAGGGCCCCATGTCTGGATGCTGCTGGGGACCATGCTACTTCCACTGGATGGTGAGTCTGCCTAATTCAGGGGTTCATTAGCTCGCTTATTTGGCTCCCCTCTAAACTATATGCGTCAATTTGGCCTTTATTACCAAAAAGGTGAGTTTTTGTCACCATCTATCTATCTGATTTTGTCACCATCTCTATCTGGTTTCTCAATTTGTTTAGAACACTCTGATTGGGCCACATCAGAGACTCTAACACCCTCTTTCCTGCCTTAAAGGAAAAGAACAATTCCTAGTTTCTCTAGTATATGGGGGTGGGGAAGAAGAAAAGGGCCATCTCCCTCAAATTTTCTTCTCTCTTGCTCAGTTAGACCCTGGAGATAGTTCAGTAATCTACTGCCTAAGCAGATGTCCACATGGGAAATAGAATTGCAGTCTCATCTTCTTGCAGGCAACTCTAATCCCTACAAATGCTTCCTTTGGGGCCCAGTGTGGTGGCTCACACCTGTTAATCCAGGTGGTTTGGGAGGCTGAGATGGGAGAATTACTTGAGGCCAGGAGTTCAACACCAGCCTGGTCCAACATAGTGAGAACCTGTCTCTACAAAATAAATAAATAAATAAATAAATAAATAAATAAATAAATAAATAAGTAATCAGCCAAGCATTGCGGCATATGCCTATAGTCCTAGCCACTTGAGAGACAGGTGGGAGAATTGCCAGAGCCCGGGAGTTTGAGGTTATTATGATCACACCACTGCGCTTCAGCCTGGACAACAGAGAGAGATCCTGTCTCTTAAAAAACAAAAAAATACGACTGGACGTGGTGGCTCACGCCTGTAATCCCAGCACTTTGGGAGGCCAAGGCGGGTGGATCATGAGGTCAGGAGTTTGAGACCAGCCTGACCAACATGGTGAAACCCTGTCTCTATTCAAAATACAAAAATTAGCTGGGCGTGGTGGCATGCACCTGTAACCCCAGCTACTCAGGAGGCTGAGGCAGGAGAATCACTTGAACCCAGGAGGCGGATGTTACAGTGAGCCAAGATCACACCACTGCACTCCAGCCTGGGTGACAGAGCGAGACTCCATCTCAAAAAATAAATAAATAAATAAATAATACTAGTAATAGCAATTCCTTTGGAGCCCCCTCCCTCCTTTCCCTATACAAGGCTTCAGTTAGAGAAGAAAACACCCGCTTACCATGAACAAACGCTGCAGTCTCCACAAGTCCAACTACCCTCAAGAAGTCGCCCCTGCCTTCCCTTTTCTATATCTTAATATAATTCAGAAGGTGGGGGGTGACAGTGGAGGGGTGGTGGTTGATGGCAGCAGAACCCATTGTACATCCTGTTTGTAAGCCCAGGGGAAGATTAAAGGGTAGAAGGGTTCTACACTTCAAGTGTAAGCTGTTCTCTTTAGAAGGTGAGATATTTTGTTTTTGTTTTTGTTTTTTTTGGCCATGGGCTTTAGTGTCAATTGTAGGGCAACAGGAAAAGAGCCACCAACATCCTGTTAAAAAGTAACGCCCCATGCTGGGCGCGGTGGCTCATGCCTGTAATCCTAGCACTTTGGGAGGCTGAGGTGGGTGGGTTGCTTGAATCCAGGAGTTCGAGACCAGCTTGGCCAACATGGCAAAACCTCATCTCTACTAAAAATACAAAAATTAGCCAGGCGTGGTAGTGCATGCCTGTAGTCCCAGCTACTCAGCGGGGTGAGGCAAGAGAATCGCTTGAGCCCAGGAGGTTAAGGCTGTAGTGAACCCTGATCATTCCACTGCACTCTAGCCTTGGTGACAAAGTGAGACCCTGTCTCAAAAAAAAAAAAAAAAAAAGGTTACCCCTGCTCTTGGCCAAAAATTTAAAAATATTATAAATATAGATGTAATACAGGAATTGCAAAGCCCCCATAACCCCACTTCCCTGGATAGAAGGGAACAGTGTTAGCAGTTGGATATATATTCCTCCAGACTTTTTTTTTCAATGCATGTATTAACTTTAAGAAAAGGATGAGCTTGGCTGGGTGCGGTGGCTCACGCCTGTAATTTCAGCATTTTGGGAGGCTGAGGCGGGCGGATCACGACGTCAGGAGATCAAGACCATCCTGGCTAACACGATGAAACCCCGTCTCTACTAAAAATACAAAAAATTATCTGGGTGTGGTGGCAGGCACCTGTAGTCCCAGCTACTCGGGAGGCTGAGGCAGGAGAATGGCGTGAACCTGGGAGGCAGAGCTTGCAGTGAGCTGAGATCGCACCACTGCACTCCAGCCTGGGTGGCAGAGTAAGACTCCGTCTCGGAAAAAAAAAAAAAAAAAAAAGGATGAGCTCATAATGTACATGCAATTGTGTAACTTCCTTTTTTCAATAAAAAATATCCTAGGCATCCATAAGATTTTTGTTATCAGAGAATGGAGATAAAAATATGGAAAGGAAGATAACGAGGATGAACCTTCTGGAGTTGGATTCCAAATTGAGTATTGGTGGAAACATTTTCTTCAATATATATGGATAGATTTGGAAATAAATATACATATATGCACTTGAATCTCTCAAGTCGCCTGCTTGGCCCTCTTCCAAGTGTGCTAAATAAAAAGAAATATACATATAAATATCTATATGTGAGAGTATATACACACAACACACACACTCCACATGGATATACATAGATATATTTCCTAGCTTTGCCCATTCTTAGAGTCCAGAAACAGTGATATCACAAACACAGTGAGCATACCTAGCACTCAGTTCTTGATTTTTAAAAACAATCCTTCAGCCGGGCGCTGTAATCCCAGCATTTTGGGAGGCTGAGGCATACGGATCACTTGAGCCCAGGAGTTCAAGAGCAGCCTGGGTAACATGGTGAAACCCTGTCTCTAAAAAAAAAAATATATATATATATATAAACACACACACAACATGTGTATATATATATATATATACGCAATATATAGTGTATATATATAAACTATATATTGTGTATATATATATATACACATATACACTATATATGTGTGTGTATATATAGTATATATAGTGTATATATAGTTGTATATATAGTGTATATATATGTGTGTATATATATATATAAGTATATATATGTGTGATATATATACACACACACATACATATACATACACACACACACACACACACACACACACACACAATTAGCTGGGCTTGGTGGCTCATGCCTATAGTCCCAGCTACCTGAGAGGCTGAGGTGGGAGAATCACTTGAGCCCGGGAGGCAGGCAGAGGTTGCAGTGAGCCAAGATCACACCACTGCACTCTGGCCTGGGTTGACAGAGCCAGACCCCATCTCGATAAATAAATAAATAAATAAAAATATAAATAAATAATAAAAACATCCTTCACTAAAAGGAACCAGGGCTCCTTAGAGAAATGGCTGATTCCAGGGCTCAATCACAGAAAGTGCAAGATGAGTCTGGTTTAACATCTTTTTGTGCCAGAATGTAAAGAAATGCCAAAAAGTTGATGGGGACATGTCAAAAGGACATAGAAGCCAGCTTGCAGAGATGTTCACTGGCCAAATCCAGAATGATTTGCATATCAAAATTAATAATGATAATAATGGATTATAATCCACTTGTGATGATTAATTTTATGTGTCAACTTGACTGGGTTACAGCATACCCAGATATTTGGTTAACATTATTCTGGGTGTGTCTATGAGAGTGTTTCTGGATAAGATTAACATTTGAATTGGTAGGCTGAGTAAAACAGATTGCCTTTCCCCAGTGTGGGTGGACCTCATTCAATCTGTTGAAGACCTGAACAGAACAAAAAGCTTAGTAAGGGAGAATTCACTCTCTGGCCCTCTTCCAGTTGGGACATCAGTCTCTCCTGCCTTCAGACTCAGACTCAGGCTAGAACTTACACCTCCAGCTTTCCTAGATTTTCAGCTTGCCAACTGCATATCTTGGGACTTCTCAGCCTCCAAAACTATGTGAGAAAAATTTTTATAATAAGTCATATATGGGCCAGGTGCAGTGGCTCATGCCTGTAATCCCAGCACTTTGGGAGGCCAAGGCGGGCAGATCATCTGAGGTCAGGAGTTCAAGACTAGCCTGGCTAACATGGTGAAGCCCCGTTTCTACTAAAAATACAAAAAATTAGCCGGGGCATGGTGGCACACACCTGTAATCCCAGCTACTCAGGAGGCTGAGGCAGGAGAATCACTTCAACCCAGGAGATGGAGGTTGCAGTGAGCCAAGATTGCGCCATTGCACTCCAGCTTGGGCAACAAGAAGTGAAACTCCATCTCAAAAAAATAAAATAAAATAAATCATATATGACCAGATGTGGTGGCTCATGCCTGTAATCCCAGAACTTTGGGAGGCCAAGGCAGGCAGATCACTAGAGGTCGGGAGTTCAAGACCAGCCTAGTCAACATGGTGAAACCCCATCTCTACTAAAAATTCAAAACTTAGCCGGGCGTGGTGGAAGGCACCTGTAATCCCAGCTACTCAGGAGGCTGAGGCACCAGAATCACTTGAACTGGGAGGTGGAGGTTGCAGTGAGCCAAGATTATGCCACTGCACTCTAGCCTGAGCAACATAGTGAGGCTCCGTCTCAAAAAAAAAAAAAAATTAGCCAGACATGGTGGTGAGCCCCTGTGGTGCCAGCTATTCAGAAGGCTGAGGTGGGAGGATCACTTGAGCCCAGGAAGTGGAGGTTGCAGTGAGTGGAGATAGCACCACTGTACTCCAGCCTGGGCAACAGAGTGAGACCCTGTCTCAAAAAATAAAATAAAAATAAATCATACATATTATGATTATTTTACATATATAGGTTTGCTATTTTCATGTTATACATTTTAATATGTTATATACATTATAATATTTTTTACATATATTATGTGAATATATATATGATATATATGTCTTATTGGTTCTGCTTCTCCGGAGAACCCAGACATATACCACTGAATAAAATAGGACCATGAGCACATAGTGATATAACTAGATAAATAAGTTAAAGTTTGATGAAGAACAGTATATTTGCATGGTTTCAAAACATCTACCCACATTTCTTCTAATTAGGGAGAGCAAAAACAAAAACAACATATTCTGCCCACAAAATGCTTATTACAAAGGGAAAGAGTATGTTTTCAGGGAAGAAAGCTGGAAGACACCACCTTCATCAAATTATCAAAGTGAACATCATTAGTAATGGGACAAACGGAAACAATATACCCCCTGGTAAGATGCAATAAGAGCATAATATTATTCCTGTGATATGTAACCTGAATCTAATCACTGAGAAAACATCAGACATAACTAATTTCAGGGACACTCTACAAAATAACTAGAACTGTAATCTTCAAATATGTTAAGTTTATGAATGTGAAGAAAAGACTGAAGTACTGTGTCTGATTAAAAAGGAGAATAAAGAGACATGACAACCAAATGCAACGTGTAATGCTAAACGGCTCCTTTGCTGAAAAAGATCTTGGAATAACTGATGAAATTTGCATGGGGTCTGAAAATTGGATGGTTGTAATGTGTTAATATCAATTTCCTGATTTTGATGGCTGTATTGTGGCTATATAGGAGAATGTCCTTGTGTTTAGGAAATATACACTGAAGTACTCAGTGGTGATGGGTTATCATGTCAGTGACTTACTCTCAAATAGGGGGAAGAAAATTCTTTGTACTAATCTTGCAACTTTTCCTGGGTTTGAGACTGTTTTGAAAAATTAATGTTCTGGGGGAAGACAAGAGAATGCACTGGAAGGCTGATTGCAATCATGTTTGGGCAGGATTTGTTGCCCAGAGGGCTTCTTTGTACCTTGCTAAGGCAGAGGGCTGGCTTTTTCCCTGGACACTTCACTCTTGCTTTCCAAGGCATCTGGTGCCACTAATTCCTGAATCTTTCTAGGGTACTGCAGGGACACTGATTTGCTTCTTGTCAGTGTCTCCTTTGCAAGTACCCTCTGCCCTCGTTTGGTTTTCCCTGAAAGTAAAGTCTGAGATAAGAACTTGGGTGGAGGTAGATTATTTGAGAGATGATCCCAGGAAGCAAGTATGAAGAAGTAGAGAAAAGCTAATCAAAGGAAGAAGGAAAAGCCAATAGAAGGGTACATTATTAAGGTCATCTTTGAGGAAGCTGGGGGCTGAGAAAGGTAGAGAGTGCCTCTCCCAACTGTCTGCCCAAGGCACTGGACATTGAAGCATTCATCCTTTCTTTCTGTGGGCCCCCCTTTTGTTGAGGACTGCCCCCCACTGGCATTAATTTGGGGAGTCCCACTCCCCAAGTGCTTTTTTTCCTGCACATGAGCCAAGCAGCTTTCATAATATCGAAGAAACTTCAGGGCAAAGAGAAAAAATTCGGGTTTCATGTATGAGGCACAACGCTATCAGCACAGGTGAGTTTGAGCTGTGGCTGAAGTCACAGGCAGGCTGAGAAGATATGAATGAGGTACCAGGCAAATCTACTGTAGCAGCTTTGCCTTCCTCCAATTTCTTAAGACAATTTCTCCACCTGCTTTCTCTATTTCAGATTTCTCCCTCTGTTGCCAAGGATGGAGTTTGTGTTTTTGTTTGCTAGTCTCGTTGTTGGCAATGGGCTGATGTCTGAGTAAAGTACAGGGAAAGGACTTTGATTTTGCTATCTTGTCATTAGAAGTCAACCAATTGATAACTAATATAACACTTGCTTTTAATGTATCCAATATGTGATTACACTACTGTGAGTGATTCCCAAACCCTGTCCCCACCTTTTGTAGTTGTCTCATTTTTCAGGATTTCTTTGGCATTGCTGGTTAGTGAAGTGAGATTTGCTCATCCTAGGCAAACCACAGGTTGGACTGCTCCCATCCAAGAGGGAATGCAATTCATGCTCCACAGTTTTCACAGAAGCTTATCAGCTTGAGTATCTATTGGTCTTATACAGTTTTTTCTCTTTCTCTCCCTCTTTCTAGCACCTATTGGTCTTATGGTTGTTGTTTTTTTTCTCTCTCTCTCTCTTTTTCAGATGGGGTCTCACTATGTTGGCCAGACTGGTGTTGAACTCCTGGCCTCAAGTGATTGTCCCACCTCAGCATCTCAAAGAGCTGGGATTACGAATGTGGGCCACTTCACCTGGCCCTTGTCTTATAGTTAAAGCCTATCTGTGGTCACCAAATAGATGCCAGAAGCCCTTGTCAAGAAGCAAAACTCAGACTTAAAGTGTAAACTACCTTCTTATAAGAAGCACAGTTGAAATTTAAAAGTCCAGTTAGAAAGGGACTGAGAAGGGAATATGCCACTTTCAGACAAGATCAGATTCTCTCTTATGCACTGTATTCTTTTAGCACTTTATACTATTATAATTAAATAATTAATTGTGAAATCAATTGTTTAATGTCTAGCCCTCCTCCACTACAAGATAAGTTCCATGGGAGTAGATATGTGTTATTTAAAATATCTTCTGGCCGGGCATGGTGGCTCACACCTATAATCTCAGCACTTTGGGAGGCCTAGGAGGGTGGATCATCTGAACTCAGGAGTTCGAGACCAGCCTGGGCAACATGGTGAAACCCCGTCTCTACCAAAAATACAAAAAATTAGCCAGACATAGTGGCATGTGCCTGTAGTCCCAGCTACTTGGGAGGCTGAGGTAGGAGGATCACTTGAGCCTGCAGTGAGCCAAGACTGTGCCACTGCACTTCAGCCTGGATGACAGAGTGAGACCCTGTCTTTAAAAATAAATAAATAAATAAAATTCATGCAGTGTATGTTTTTGCATACAAGTGACAGAACCTCCAACTGAAATTTGCTTTAAAATTAGAAAATATGTTATTGTACATAAGAAGTTTAGAGGTAGGGTAGGTTCCCAGGTTGGTTGATTCAGCAGCTCAACGTCATCAAGAATATGGATTCTGGTTGGGCGTGGTGGCTCACGCCTGTAATCCCAGTGCTTTGGGAGGCCGAGGCGGGCAAATCACCTGAGGTTGGGAGTTTGAGACCAGCCTGATCAACATGGAGAAATCCCATCTCTACTAAAAATACAAAATTAGCCAGGCATTTTGGCGCATGCCTGT
Source organism: Homo sapiens (assembly GCF_000001405.40). Lineage (NCBI taxonomy): Eukaryota > Metazoa > Chordata > Mammalia > Primates > Hominidae > Homo > Homo sapiens. The sequence continues at coordinate 14,400,741 of NC_000011.10, forward strand.
AATCCCAGCTACTCAGGAGGCTGAGGCAGGAGAATTGCTTGAAACTGGGAGGCAGAGGTTGCGGTGAGCCAAGATCGTGCCATTGCACTCCAGCCTGGGCAACAAGAGCAAAACTCCGTATCAAAAAAAAAAAAAAAAAAAAAAGGAATATGGGTTCCAATGAGAACACATGGACACAGGGAGGGGAACATCACACACTGGGGCCTGTCAGGGAGTGGGGGACAAGAGGAGGGAGAGCATTAGGACAAATACCTAATGCACGTGTGGCTTAAAACCTAGATGACGGGTTGGTAGATGCAGCAAATCACCATGGTACATGTATACCTATGTAACAAATCTGCATGTTCTGGGCATGTATCCCAGAACTTAAAGTAAAATAAAATAAAACTAAAAATACGGGTTCTTTCCACCTCCCTACATGCCATCTTTGGTGTTGACTTCACCCTCAAGCTGCAAGATGGCTATAAGAGTTCCAGTCATCATACAAAATCAAGGCATAAACTTCGGAGGAAGAAGAGAGAACACCTCTCCTCGCTCTTTTTTTGAAACAAAGAAACTTTTCTTGGAATCCTCATCATACAAAATCAAGGCATAAACTTTGGAGGAAGAAGAGAGAACACCTCTCCTGGCTCTTTTTTTGAAACAAAGAAACTTTTCTTGGAATCCTCTTACATAGTTCTCAACACCCATTGGTCAGAATTGAGTCATATGCATATTCCTAGACTAATCTGGGCAAGGGGATAAGATTGCCTTTAGACCAATCAGTCAGGCCTAGCTCTTGGAATTGGGCCTGGAGTCTTCTTCCCTTGATACTCATGGCTACATGAGAGAGAAATGGATAGCTGAACAAAATCAAGATTCTGTTAAAATGGAAGCTGGAGGCAACACAGAGTGTCCACTAACTCTCCGCACAGCACACGGCTATTCAAATCTGCTAGCCCGGGCTGGACGACAATCTCTATGAAAGCCACTGGCTGTCCTCACTACCCTCCATTCCGATGTGGACACCTCCCCAAAACATTTCCCCTCTTTCTTTCTTGTTACCCAGCTCCCCGTCGAGTTCTGGAATTAGCCACTCCCAGGCACGGCTGTGTTTTACCTTGAGGTTTTTGCTACATTACCACTGAAGACGCTGTTTATGCTCTTGTTCAATATCCTTTATATAAGAATGTGTGATGAATGTCTCTTTCAATTACATGTTTGTATCTATAGACAAATATCCTCTCACCAAATGAGGACAATTACACAATCCATAATCATTCTTCCTTGCAACAGTGAACTTAGAGCTATCTATAGTGCTCAATAGCTGTCATGATCTCATCCCAGGCTCTTGGTACCATTACGTTTCTCCTTTCTCTAATATTGTGTCAAATATCTGGTTGTTGTTTTTTCTTCATGTAATAAGTTGATGTTGGGAAAGACTGGACCCCAGGATTTTGAGCTGCTAATGGGGAGAGACCAACAATACAAGAAACTAGACTTAGTTTGGCACAATTCCCCCATGGGCCAGAAATTGATTTCCCAGATTATATATCTTAATTTGAGTTTAATTTGATATCTAAAAGCTGACTGACCAGACATTGGAAAGGTATTTATATCAGATTATTGCAATTGTCTTTTGAGGACTGTAAGGCCAAAATATACTCTGGTGGTCTTTTAGGAAATACGTTCTGAAGGGAATGGTTATTACCATAGTTATTCATCCTGGCTAGAGTTCAATCCGGTGGCTAGAAATGAGGTCTGGGGAGCCACCCCGTAGAATGGGGTAAGGCAAGACTTCCTCCTTTCTCTGATGCCTAGGGCCAGTTTGGCCTGGACTCTAAGATCAGAATATTCCGGGAGAACTCCTGGTGGTCATAAATACTGACTCCTGCTGTCATGAGCCCAGGCCTGGAACATAGCAGGAAGATGGATAGTGGGGGTCCCAAGGAAGGATCTGAGTTTTTGCAGTCATTGGAAATTCTCATCTTTTGTTAATGTGCCTTTCCTTTTTCTTGAATCATCAGTCACTTCCCTTGAAATATTATGGGCTGGTCTCTGCTAGGATATGTGAAATTGAAGGGAAGGTCTTGTCTCACACATCGGCCATAGAAACCAAGTTCTGTCTACTTGAACCCCAAACGGTGTCGGCAGTAGTTGTCAGCAGAGGATAGCCGGGTCTGTGGAGCAGAGACCTCAGGGGTCACTGTGGCAGAGGTAGCAGTGTCGATACATGGTGAGGAGGCCAGAGAGAAAGTATAGGAAAGATTCTCCCTCCCTTCTTCCTTTCTTTTTTTCATTCCTTCCCTTCTCTCCTTTCCTCTCCTTCCTTTTTCTCTTTCTTCTCTCCTGTCATTTCCTTTTCTCCTCCTCCTTCTCCTTCTTCTTCTTCTTTTTTTGACAGTCTCCCTCTGTCACCCAGGCTGGAGTGCAGTGGCTTGGTCTCAGCTCACTGCAACCTCCATCTCCCAGGTTTGAGCGATTCTCCTGCCTCAGCCTCCAGAGTAGCTGGGATTACAGGCATCTGCCACCATGCCCAGCTAATTTTTGTATTTTTAGTAAAGACAGGGTTTTGCTATGTTGGCCAGGCTGGTCTCAAACTCTCAAACTCCTGACCTCAGGTCATCCGCCCACTTTGGCATCCCAAAGTGCTGGGATTATGGGCATGAGTCACTGCACCCAGGCCACCTTTTTTCTTTTTTTTTTTTTAGAGACTAGGTCTTACTCTGTCAAATAGGCTGAGTGCAGTGGCACAATCATAGCTCACTGTAACCGTGAACTCCTGGGCTCAAGTGATTCCCCCTGCCTCTGCCTCCCAAGTAGCTGGAACTACAGGCACATGCCACCATATCTGGCTAATTTTTTTATTTTTTTTAGAGATGGGGTCTTGCTATGTTGCCCAGGCTCGTCTCAAACTCCAGGCTTCAAGTGATCCTCCTGCCTTGGCCTCCCAAAGCTCTGGAATATTACCGGGATGAGCCACCACACTTGGCCCTTCTTTTTATTTTGTTTGTTTGTTTGTTTATTTATTTATTTATTTATTTATTTATTTATTTATTTTGAGACAGCGTTTCTCTCTTGTTGCCCAGGCTGGAGTGCAACAGCGTGATCTTGGCTCACTGCAACCTCCACCTCCCAGGTTCAAGTGATTTTCCTGCCTCAGCCTCCCAAGTAGCTGGGATTACACGCACCTGCCACCACGCCAGGCTAATTTTATATTTTTTAGTAGAGACAGTGTTGGGGTTTCACCATGCTGATCAGCCTGGTCTCAAACTCCTGACCTCAGGCTATTCACCCGCCTCAGCCTCCCAAAGTACTGGGATTACAGGTGTAAGCCACCTTGCCCTGCCCTCTTCTTTTTAAATAGGTAACATATTCACATGGTCCTAAATGAAAAAGTACAAAAAGCATATACCCCAGACATCCAGTCACCCAGTCCCTTCCCCTTCTCACCCCTGCTACTAGTTTCCTTTGAATTCTTGCAGGGAAACTTATGAATATACAAACCAGTATATATATTTATATAAATATATGTTTATTTAAAAGATATTTATCAAAATATACTTATATTTATATTTATTCATGTGCTGCATAACATTTCAGTCAATGATGGACTACATATAGGATGGTGGTCCCATATTTTAAGAGAGCTGAAAAATTTCTATGTCTCGTGATGTTGTGGCCATCTTAACGTCATAGCGCAAAGCACCACTCACGTGTTTGTGGTGATGCTGATGTAAACAACCTACTGTGCTGCCAGTCGTACAAAAAGTATAGCACATACAATTATGTACAGTATATAATATTTGATAATGATAATAAATGACTAGGGGACTGGCTTATGTGTTGACTATACTATACTTTTTTATTTTTATTTTGAGGAGTCTCACTCTGTCACTCAGGCTGGAGTGCAGTGGCGTGATCTTGGCTCACTGCAACCTCTGCCTCCTGGATTCAAGCAGTTCTCCTGCCTCAGCCTCCCGAGTAGCTGGGATTACAGGCGTGTGCTACCATGCCTGGCTAATTTTTCTGTTTTCAGTAGAGACGGGGTTTCACTATGTTGGCAGGCTGGTCTCGAACTCCTGACCTCAAGTGATCTGCCCGCCTCGGCCTCCCAAAGTGCTAGGATTACAGGTGTGAGCCACTGTGCCCAGCCGACTATACTATACTTTTTAAGTGTTATTTTAGTGTGTACGCCTACTTACTAAAAAAAAAAAATAAATAAGTCAGGCACAGTGGCTAATGCCTGTAATCCCAGCACTTTGGGAGGCTGAGGCAGGAGGATCACTTGAGGCCATGAGTTTGAGACCAGCCTGGGAAACATGGAAGAAACCCTGTCTCCATAAAAAATACAAAAATCAGCCAGGTGTGATGGTGTGTGCCTGTAGTCACAGCTACTCAGAAGGCTGAGGTGGGAGGATCTCTTGAGCCTGGGAGATTGAGGCTGCAGTGATCCATGACTGGACCACTGCACTCCAGCTTGGGTGACAGAGCAAGATCCTGTCTCAAAAAAAAAAAAAAAAAAAAAAGGGCTGGGCACGGTGGTTCAGGCCTGTAATCCCAGCACTTTGGGAGGCCGAGGTGAGTGGATAACTTGAGGTCAGGAGTTCGAGACCAGCCTGGCTAACATGGTGAAACCCCATCTCTACTAAAAATACAAAAATTAGTTGGGTGTGGTGACAGGCGCCTGTAATCCCAGCTACTCAGGAGGCTGAGGCAGGAGAACTGCTTGAACCTGGGAGACAGAATTTGCAGTGAGCCGAGATAGCACCATTGCATTCCAGCCTGGGTGACAGAGTGAGACTCCATCTCAAAAAAAAAAAAGTTAACTGTAAATTAGCCTAAGGCAGATCTTTCAGGAGATATTTCAGAAGAAGGCATTGGTGTCATAAGATGACAGCTCCATTTGTGTTATTGACCCTGAAGGCCTTCCAGTGGGACAAGATGTGGAGGTGATATTGATGATGCTGACCCTGTGTAGGCCTAGGCTAATGTGTGTGTTTGTGCCTTAGTTTTATTTTTCGAAAAAATCTAAAAAATAAAAAGTAAAACAAACTCCCATGACACAAGTTCACCTACGTAACAAACCTTAACATGTACCTCCAATCTCAAAATAAAAATTAAGAAAAAAGCAAACAGCTTACAAAATAAAGATATAAAGAAAGAAAAAAATTTCTATTTAAAAACTCATTTTTAAATTTTATTTATTTATTTATTTATTTATTTATTTTAGAAGGATCTCACTCTGTCATTCAGACTGGAGTGCAGTGGCACAATCATAGCTCACTGCTGCCTCAAACTCCTGGGCTCAAGTGATCCTTCTACATTGGCCTCCCAAGTAGCTAGGACTACAGGTACACACCACCACACCTGGCTAATTTTTAAATTTTTGGTAGAGATGGGGTCTCACTGTGTTTCCCAGGCTGATCTCAAACTCCTGGCCTCAAGTGATTCTCCCTCCTTGGCCTCCCAAGTAGCTGGGACTACAGGCACATACCACCACGCTGGGCTGCATTTTTAAATTTAGTGTAGCCTAAGTGTACAGTGTTTATAAAGTCTACAGTAGTGTACAGTAATGTCCTAGGCCTTCATATTACCTCACCACTCACTCACTGACTCACCCAGAGCAATTTCTAGTCCTGCAAATTCCATTCATAAGTGCCCAATACAGGCGTACCATTTTAAATCTTTTATACCATATTTTTACTGTATATTTTCTATGTGTAGATGCACAAATACCATTGTGTTACAATTGACTACAGTAATCAGTACAGTAACATGCTGTACAGTTTTGTAGAGATGGAGTTTTGGAGTTTTGCCATGTTGCCCAAGCGAGCCACCCGCCTTGGCCTCTCAAAGTGCTGGGATTGCATGTGTAAGCCACCACACCCAGACTGGGACATTATATATTTTTAAATATTTTCCTTTTATGAACAATGCGTATTTAATTTCCCATGTGGGTAAATATATCTACTGGAGAAATTCCTACAGGTAGACTTGCTGGGTCAAAGGGTATGTGTTGCGGGAAGTCAGGGACCCCAAATGGAGGGACTGGCTAAAGCCATGGCAGAAGAACGTGGATTCTGAAGATTTCATGGACATTTATTAGTTCCCCAAATTAATACTTTTATAATTTCTTATGCCTGTCTTTACTTCAATCTCTAAACATAAATTGTAAAGATTTCATGGACACTTATCACTTCCCCAATCAATACCCTTGTGATTTCCTATGCCTGTCTTTACTTTAATCTCTTAATCCTGTCAGCCGAGGAGGATGTATGTCACCTCAGGACCACGTGATAATTGCATTAACTGCACAAATTGTAGAGCATGTGTGTTTAAACAATATGAAATGTGGGCACCTTGAAAAAAGAACAGGATAACAGCAATTGTTCAGGGAATAAGAGAGATAACCTTAAACTCTGACCACTGGTGAGCCAGGCAGAACAGAGCCATATTTCTCTTCTTTCAAAAGCAAATGGGAGAAATATCACTAAATTCTTTTTCTCAGCATGGAACATCCCTGGGAAAGAGGATACGCGCCTGGAGGTATAGGCTTATAAACAGCCCCCTCAGGTGCACCTGCCTCTTATGGTTGAGGCTGCAGGGGTGAAATAGACCACAGTCTCCCATAGCGCTCCCAGGCTTATTAGGAAGAGGAAATTCCCGCCTAATAAATTTTGGTCAGACCAGTTGATCTCAAAAACCTGTCTCCTGATAAGATGTTATCAATGACAATGGTGCCTTAAACTTCATTAGCAATTTTAATTTCGCCTCGGTCCTGTGGTCCTGTGATCTCGCCCTGCCTCCACTTGCCTTGTGATATTCTATTACCCTGTTAAGTACTTGATGTCTGTCACCCACAACCTATTCGCACACTCCCTCCCCTTTTGAAAATCTCTAATAACAACTTGCTGGTTTTTGCGGCTTGTGGGGCATCACGGAACCTACCAACATGTGATATCTCCCCTGGATGCCCAGCTTTAAAATTTTTCTCTTTTGTACTCTGTCCCTTTATTTCTCAAGCTGGCCAATGCTTAGCAAAAATAGAAAAGAACCTACGTGAATATCGGGGCAGGTTCCCTGATAGGTATGAGCATCTGTAATTTGGGTATATCTTGCTATATTGAGGAGGGACCTGTTCTTGAATACATATGGAATAGCACCCTGAAACAGTTTCAGAAATAGCTGGGAGAATCCATGAGGACAACTTTTTTCTGGGAATTAATTGGTGGAACTTAGTGGTTTGGGCATAATAATTCGGGTTACATTTAGATCTCCTGAGTGATGGTTATTTATTATAAGACTTCTCATGACAGACACTCCCAATTGTCTCCCTAAATCCATTCACCTCTTCTTTCATAGTAATAGAGGTTAAGTTGGGCAAATGGCCATTCATTTCCTGGTCAGTTTGCAGCTAGATGTGACCTTGGAATTAATGTATGACCAATGGACTATGAGTGGAAGTGGAGGATGCAACTTTCCCTCACTTTTTTTTTTGTTTATTGTTTTTTTTTTTAAATCACTCACCCTGGACTTCTACTCTCTACCCTTCTTACAAGCTGAAATGTGTTTGGGTCTATGACCCATCTTTGACCATGCAGATTTTGATGGTTAATACTGAGTGTCAACTTGATTGGATTGAAGGATGCAAAGTATTGATCCTGGGTATGTCTGTGAGGGTGTTGCCAAAGGATATTAACATTCGAGTCAGTGGGCTGGGAAAGGCAGATCCACCCTTAATCTGGTGGGCACCATTTAATCAGCTGCCAGCAAATATAAAGCAGGCAGAAAAACGTGAAAAGGCGAGACTGGCCTAGCCTCCCAGACTACATATTTCTTCCATGCTGGATTCTTCCTGCCCTTGAACATCAGACTCCAAGATCTTCAGTTTTGAGACTCGGACTGGCTCTCCTTGCTCCTCAAGCTTGCAGACAGCCTATTGTGGGAACTTGTGATTGTGTAGATTAATACTTAATAAATTCATATATATATATATATATCCTACTAGTTCTGTCCCTTTAGAGAACCCTAATACACAGATGAAGACAATGGCATTGAGGATGACAAAACAGTAAGATGGAAGGAACTTGGGATCCTTAATGACTGTGTGGGTCAGAGAGGCTTTTCCGTTCTGGCCTGCTTACCTTGGGGTGCTTTTGTTAGAGAGAAATAAACTTGCATTTTCTTAAGTCATTGTATTCTGGAACCTTTTTAAAGGTGCTAAAAGCAACTTAGCCTTTACCCTAACATCCATTCAATATTTTTTTGGAAATAGGCTATCTCTTAGAGCACTACCCTCAGTGTTTGAGCAAAATAATTTACATATGCATATATTTTCTGTCTATTTAAACAGGAATTTAAGGGGGCTAAGCACTGCTCTGCCACAGAACAGGCAAGTCATTCCTTCCTTTCACAATATGTGTTGAAGCCAGGCGCAGTGGCTCACGCCTGTAATCCCAGCACTTTGGGAGGCTGAGGCAGGCAGATTGCTTGAGCCCAAGAGTTCAAGAGCAGTCTAAGCAACATGGCAAAACCCTGTCTCTACAAAAAATACAAAAATTAGCTGGTGTGGTGGCATCCACCTGTATTCCTAGCTCCTCAGGAGGCTGAGGTGGGAGGATTGCTTGAGCCCAGAGGTTAAGGCTGCAGTGAGCCAAGATGGTGCAACTGCACTCCAGCCTGGGTGACAGAGTGAGACCCTGTCTCAAAAACAGTATGTGTTGAGCATATACTATGTGATAGGTACATTGCTAAGTGCTAGGGATACATTGGTGAGCAAAACCATCACTGTCCCCGCCCTCATCCAGTCTAGGGAAGGAGACAGACATTATTCAAACAGTCACACAAATAAATATGTAGTCACGAAAGGAGTGAGTGTGAGGGAAGGTTGTGTGAGATGGGATAGGAGAGGCAGGCAGTGTCCAGATCACACAAGGCGGTAGCAGCCATGTGAACACTGCAAGATCTGCACCTCTAAGTAGCTGCTGATAAAATGGTCTTCTTGATAGCTTCACTCCGCCCACCCAACCTCACCTCATTTCATTCCTTTAACAAATATTTGTAGATCACCTACTTAGCTGACAGCATAAGGAAGCCCTTCTCATCTCGGGAAGACAAAGTGCTGGGCCTTAAGAAAACCTTAGGCATCTATGCACATATTTCTCCAGGAGAAATTCTCCTCTGAGATTGGATATTTAGCTGAAGTTACGATGATGCCTGGGAAGGCATGAGTTTCTGCTCACTGGAGGCATTCAAGCACAAGCAGGATTAGTCAAACTGGATTTGGAATTTTTGTGTGTATGGAACAAAGGTTTGGGACCTTGAAGCCAAACAATTCACTCAAGGTTAGCAAGGTGGGGCAGAGCTGGAGCAGGAAACCACAGCTTGGCACGTTTCCTTCTGAATTAGCCTCCCCTTTCTGGGGTGAGGAGGGAACTGCCGCCACATGCCCTGCCAGAGTCCCATAATGAGTTCAGGCTTCACCTGTGCTGGTATGGCCTGAGTTTGAGAAAGAACTTCCCATGGCTTGCCAGAGGCTAGAAAGGTCCTTCTCCTGCCTCCAGAGAGCCCTGACTTAGCCTCCCCTTTCCTCAAAGACCTCCAGGAAGGCTGAGGAAGATGCTGGATTTTCCATTAATATCACTATTCAAGAAATAGCAAGATGATGGAGTAGAAAGAGGACTGGCAAGGTGCAGTGAGTTGAATCTGCAATCCAAGCTAATTGGGAGACTGAGACAGGAGGATTGCTGGAGCCTGGGAGTTCGAGGCTGCAATAAGCTAGGATCATACCACTGCACACCAGCCTGGGCAACAGAGAAAGGCCTAGTCTCTAATAAATAAATAAATAAATGAAAGAGGACTGGATGAGAAATCTGATCACAGCCCTGTGATGCTGACAACTCACTTTCCCTCAGTTTACTAATCCATAAGAAAGGATGCAGAGTGGAGGAAGGGGACTAGATGGCTTCTCACACTCTACAGTGGTGGTTCTCAGTGTGTGGTCCCCAGTCAAGTAGCATCAGATTTACCTGGGAACTTGTTAGAGATGCATATTTTCAGGGTCCACCCTTGAACTACTGAATCAGAAACGCTGGGGTGGGGCCCAGCAGTTTGCAAACCATTGCTCTATGGCAAGGTCTTTATGGCACCCAGTACCTCCTAAGCCTGCAACCTGCCCATGGCAGAGCATGTGATAGCATGGCAGGCCACTGTGCTTTGCAGAGCTCTGAGGAGTGCTCTTCACATTTCAGGCATTGTAGATCTGTAGAGTTATTAAGACAATTTTCTGGTAAACCGAAGTAACATGTCTTGAAGAAGGGACACCGTTTTCTAATTGGACTGGAGGTGAGACTTGCAGGGGCCAGATTCAGGGCAGTCTGTGCTTCCCTGTGAGACCGCCCACACCTTTCCTCCTGGGCGTGTGCTGCTGTACTGTTCTTGCTATTTGAAAGCCTGAAAGGAGAGATTCCACTGGAACTTGCCTCCCCTCACCAGCCCTCCTCCAGAAGGGATGTGTTTCCGGTCCAGTGACGCAGAACTGGAAGGACCCTTGGATACTTCCTCACCCAATCACTTCATTTTACAAATGAGGAAACTGAAGCCCAGGGAGATTAAGAGACTTGCTCAATCAAGGATATAGAGAATGAGTGGCACAGCCAGGATAAGACATGGGTTTTTATTAGAGGTATAGCCCTGCGAACATCTGCATTGAGTGCTACTCAGCCCCAATTCTGAACATGTTTCTTCTTTCAATCCCACCTCCCACATCTATCCCCAACACACACACACACACACACATGCGTGCGCTCACACACATATGCTCTCACACACTCACACACACACTCACATGCACACATTACTCTAGGGCTCTCATGGTTCCCTGCTATCTCCCTTTCCATACCCAATAGGAGGAAAGGACATGAAACTCAGTCCTCTCTAAAGCCCATAGGACTGATGCTAACTCCAAGGACAGTCTTGGGCAGTATAGGGAGTTGCTTTTCATTGGAAACAAAGCCTCCAGGTAAGGTAAGGGTCCACTGGCTTATTTTTAGGCATTCGGAGCAGTTAGGGAAGGTGTACTGGAAATGGAAAATTTCCAGGCCTCCCTCCCCTGCCACATGGCTAAGTAAAACCCATTCTGCCTGCCTAGGAGATTCACAGGACCTGTGCAGCCACCACCCACCCCCATCCCTGCCAAATTTGGGAGGCAGCAGATTTAATTATTTAACTCAGCTCTGAGTCAGAGATGGCCCAAGCATCAGAGCCCAAGCCAATGCTGTCAGGGGTGAAATTACAAAATGATCCCCTTAGGCCCTGACCACATCATCCCTGAGTTATTAAGACCCAAAGCAGAAAATCAGAAATTCTCCAGCAGCCTCTGCAGCAGGCTTCCTCCCAAGGGACTGCACTATTCTTTGTGGCTCTGAGACCCACATGTGGGAGGCTTTGTCCTTCCCTCCCTTGCTGAAGTGTCTCTAAATGGGGGAAGGAATAGAGGAGGTCTGGTTGGGGGCATGGAGGGAAAAGAATGTGTTTGCCCCAACCAAGCAATCATAACCATCTGGGAACTTCTGGCTATAGAGGGAGTTAATTTAGGTCACAGATCCAGGCCCCCCAAGAGCCAAAGCCTCAGGGAGAATCATAGCATCACAGATTCGGGCACCTAGCTAATGCAGACATTACAGGATGGTAGTTAACACATCAACTAACTCCACTGTTACACCCACAGCCCTTCCTAAGGGTAAATACTCCGCTCCTTGTCTCTGCAAAAGGCAGCTAAGGGAAGCCCTGTTTTTACCATGTGACCCTATCACCCTTTGGCCAAAACTGACTGGAGAAGTGGAAGTGGGAAGCTAAACCCAAGTGCGACAAATCCAATAGTTACATGTGGTTGGTGGTTACCATAATGAACAGCACAGATACAGGACACTGCCATCATTTCAGAAAGTTCTATTGGACATTACTGGGAGACCGGCTCCCCCATTATCTTCTTTTGTTTTGTTTTTGTTTGTTTTAATTTTGTTTGTCATTCACCAATAATCCCATTATCTTCTATAATAGTGGTAGGCAAACTTATCCTGTAAATGGCCAGATAGTAACTATTTTAGGCTTTGAAGGCTATAAGTCTCTGTTACAAGCTACTCAAACTTGCCATTGTAGCATGAAAGCAAGCATAGACAATATATAAACAAATGAGTATGTCTGTGTTCCAATAAAATTTTATTTACAAAAAAAGGACAGTAAGCCATATATGACCTCTGTTTAGTTTGCTGATCCTTGCTCTACCACACTACTCTATTTATTTCTTTCACAGTGCTAAGTGTTTTGTAATAACTTGTTTACTGTCTCTCTCCCCATATCAGACTGGTAGCTCCATGAGGGCAGAGCCTATGTCAATTTTGCTTGTTAGAGAGAATCCAATACTGACATATAGTATAGGCTTAATAAAACTTTGTTGGCTGACTGAGTGAATAATGTGCCATTTACTGGACTAGGGAATGCCAGAGAAGGAACAGTTTTTGAGAGAAGATAATGATTGTCTTTAGGGACATGCACGTGTTATTATAATTTCTCATTTTTATTATTCTCTCTGGAGTCCCATTCAGCTCTAACCTTCTTTAAATCTCACTAGTTTTGAGGTCTGTGATGTTTTTCAGAGTAGCTGCTTTTTGGACTCACTCTCTGGGAGGCTGTAATTGGAGGTCCAGCCACTGGGGGGATTCCCTGGGACATCCACCATGAGCCAAAGCAGCAGGAAGAAGATTTGGGCCTGGCCTGCCCCTCCCACACATTTGTCAGCATTGGCTCCAAGAACTCAGATTCCTTTCCCATTCTGTTTGGGCTCAGCTAAATTAGAAAGACCAAATCTGTGACTTAAGGAATTACTTCATGCAGAATTTTCAAAATTTCAGTCATTCATGTGCCTCCTTCACAGTTTTAACTGCATTTCCATACCGCCCACACAGAGGCTTACTTAATATTTTCAGCTCTTTCAAACATTTTTAATGTTCAAATTAAATTGGATCACTCTTTGCTCAAAAAATCAAACAGCCTCCCATTACAGAGTAAATTTCGGAGCTCTTACCGCAGTCCACAAGGCCCCATGTCATCTGGCCCCTGGCTACTTCTCTGACCTCATTTCTGCCATTCATTCAGTCAGCCACACTGACCTCGTATTCTTGGAACATTCCAAGCAAGCTGCTACCTCAAAGCCTTGGCTCAACCTACCTAGAATGCTTCATTCCTCACACATCATTCCTCAGAAGGGCCTTCCCAGGCCACCCTATATAAAATATAAAATAGCAGCTCTGTTTGGTCTTCCAAATAAGTTTTAGAATCAGCTAGAAAAATTAAACACACACACACACACACACACACACACACACACACACACATTCAGAATATTGATTGGGATTGCATTAAATTTCTAGAATAATTTGGAAGAACTGACATCTTTATCATATTGAGTTTTCTTCCCATCCATGCTGGATCTTATTTGTTTAGGTTTTACTTTATAGTTTTCATTAAAATTATATAATTTTCTTGATAAAGACTAGGCGTACATCTTTTATGAGATTTATTTCTACACGTAAACAATGTTGTTGCTTTTGAAAGGTTATCTTTTAAAACATTATATAGAAAGTGCTTGCTATAATCCTGTTTTTATTTTTAATATTATTTATTTATGCCCTCTCTTCTTTTCTTCATGGTGAGTCTTACTGGTATCAGAGGGATGTTAAAGAACTACTAGCACCTAATGGAGACATTCTTCTTGATATAATCAAAAGTATTGAAAAGGAATGAAAAAGGGGGTAATTAAATATTCTTTAATGCTGATATTCATGTGGAAACTTAAAATTATTTTCTGTCCTACCAATGCTATATGACTTCCATACGGGGAAACATTGATTTATTAAATGTCATAACCACATTGAAATGCCTTTAGGGCTGTCAGTTGCTTTGGCTCACCTCTAGGGCCTGTCTTTAGCTCGGGAGTAACAGAAGGATCTGGGTTAGGAGACATGGGTGTGAAAGGTATCCCAGAGAAGAGGGGGATCCTAGAGTCTGGATAAGCTGGGAGGCCCCCTCTCAACACCCCATAGAGATGTGCTGTCTCTATGAGAAGTTGTTCAAACAGAGGGGTTGCCTAGGGCAAGGATCGGAGGTGGAGGGAGCAGGGGGTGGCACAGGCTTCCCTCCCTTTCCCCACCAAAGACTCAGGCTCTGGGTGTGAAGCAGGAAATGGGGTCTTCTTAGAATTGTTGAGGTTTCCTGGAAGCCTGTGAGGGCTGAGACCATCTGGCTTTCTAAAGTTCACTTTCTGGTGGAGGAGGGACCCCTATCTGGGGACATAGGCTCACTAGTTATAGATACTGAGGCCCTGGGGGTACAGATGCTGGACTGGAGGAAGAGGCTGTTAGCCCTGGACTCTTCCAGTCTCCACTGCTATTTACCCATGACCACACACTCCCTGTCCTCTGGTCAGTCTTTGCAGCCTGTGCTTGTCAAATCAAACTATGTGTTCTGGGAAATATGAGCATTTTAAGGCTCCGCCTTATCTGATAAACCCTTGAACTGAAGAAGGCAGGAAGCCACAGGCTCCTGGGTGGGCAGTACCTACCTGGGGTTACCCCCGACCTCAGAGGGGAAGGCAGCTGTTCTGAGTCATCAAGTAAGCCTAACAACTAACACCCACTTACACGTTCACATCATCAGAGAGGGAGGCGAAGGCCAAGTTGAATGCCTGGAACGGGGGCACTGAGAAGAGCAAAGGCTTTGGGATGACAGGGCCCAGGTTCTAGTTCTGGCTCTTCCACCTCCTAGCCATATCTATTAGATAACCTCTCTCAGTCTCTGAAAGCCCAATAACACCATGGTGCAATGCGATCCCACTAAAAAAAATTGTAGGCTAGGTGCAGTGGCTCACACCTGTAATCCCAGCACTTTGGGAACCTGAGGCAGGAGGATCACTTAAGGTCAGGAGTTTGAGACAAGCCTGGGCAACGTGGTGAAACCCCATCTCTACTAAAAATACAAAAATTAGCCGGGCGTAGTGGCGTACTCCTACAGTTCCAGCTACTTGGAAGGCTGAGGCAGGAGAATCGCTTGAACCAATGAGGCAGAGGTTGCAGTGATCCCAAACTGTGCCACTGCACTCTGGCCTGGGAGACAGAGCCTTGCTAAAAAAAAAAAAAAAAAAAAAAAAAAAAGTAATATTTTGTAAGCTCATATGAATTTTATAATTAAGAAAAGAACAATGGTAACAGTTTATTGTAAAGTGCTAGACAAATACATATTTTCTATTGTTATTTTTATCATTGTTCCTTTGTCCAGTCCTACAGTCAGAAAATATCACATAAGAAAACAATGCCTTCTTACATGTCCCTTACTAGAGGCAGACAGATTTTAGGGTGGGAGTGGTATGGGAGAAAGCAGAGGCTTTTCTCTTAAAATTTAAAAATATTCATACTAAAGAGGACTTCAAAGAGGTTACAAACCCAGGGCCAGGCACAGTGGCTCACATCTATAATCTCAGCTCTTTGGGAGGCCAAGGTGGAAGGGTCACTTATGCCCAGGAGTTTTAGACTAGCCTTGGCAACACAGCAAGACTCCATCTCTACAAAAAATAAAAAATTAGCCGGGTGTGGTGGTGTGGGCCTGTAGTCCCAGCTACTCAGGAGGCTGAGGTGGGAGGATCACTTGAGCCAGGGAGGTCGAGGCTGCAGTGAGCCATGATCACACATCTGCACTCAGCCTGGGTGACAGAGTGAGACCCTGTTTCAAAAAAAAAAAAAAAAAGAGGATACAAATCCGGGAAGCCATGGAATGGTAGACATGGAAGCACCTACAGTAATACACTCCGTATGGATTTCTCAAACACGTATGTAAAAACATAAATGAAGTTCTCAAAAAAATGAGATGTCCTGTCTTAAATATTTGCAGGATATAAGGGTCACTCAGCTCTTTTAGCTTTATTTGAACACAAAATATTTAATATTTTGCATGTAGAGAATAAGAGGTAGTCAGCATGAAAAGGGAGAAGAAAAAGATTTGCAATCAATGCTGTGTAGGAAGAAAGCAAAATGACAAATATGAGCCTACTCAGCAGATGGATATTAGAGAGACTGAGGAATAGACAAGGGGCAAATAGATAGAGAGACAGAGCAGAAAGAGGAGAAACGAAGCTGTGAAAGCAGAGACCATTCCCAGGCCCCATAGCTGGGTGACAACCTCTGAGATGATCCAAGGAGTCTGGCTCTGATTAGAAGACTTTATTCACTCAACAAATTGTTATGTTGTGCATACTGTGGGCCAGGACTCTTCTAGACATTAGAAGTACAAAACTGAACAACTCCAAACCTCTACTCTCATGTAATTTATATTTTAGAGGGAGAAGACATAATAAACAAGTAAAGCTAAAAGTATGACATGTCAGGTGGTGATAAAACTTTAGATAAAACTAATGCTGAGCGAGGGCGACAGGAAGCGCAGAGGAGAGGAATGAGGGAGAGAGGTGGGAGCCATGTGCTATTCTCTGTAGCTGATTCCATTGTCAGCCTCACCAGGAAGGAACCATTTGAGCCATGGCCTTAAAAGACCCATGTGAACTCACATGCAAAAAAATGCAATAGGAATCATCACAAAAGATGCAGTTGATTGTCCAGCCAACATCCAGTTATTCCTTCCTTCTCTCTCACAGAACCCTTCTCCCTTTGCCAAGATGCTGCCGTGTGATGAGGAGAAAGCTGGGCTCAATCTCTAATCCCAGAGGTGGATCCTGTTAGATCCCAATTAGTCTAGGTCAATTATGGCTATCCAACTCCACTTACCAGTGAGTGTGTTAGGAAGCCAGGCTTAAGCCAATCAACATAGGGAATCCCCCTGATCACTGTCATTGGTCCAGAAGCAGGCACATACCCTAAACTAGCCTAAGCATATTGAAAGGAAGGGTTTATATTTCTGTTTGGGGAGGAGATTTTTTTCTCTGTTAGATGAATGTGAACAAGGAAGCATGTTGTCACAGTTGCTCAGGACACAGTGACACAGCCGTCTCTGGACAATGAGGGAAGCTAGCCTGTAGACAGAGCCAATACAAAGAAGAGGGCAGAGCTGGGAGCACTACAGAGAAATGGAGTCAGAGCCCCGATTATTCCATGCCTGGGGCCTGCTCTACTTCAACACTCCCCATTATGTACTGTGAAGAATCTCCTTACTGTTTAAGCCAGTTCGAGTTAGGTTTTCTGTTCCCTGGTCCTTAAAGGTTCTTAACTGACAATAAAAATAATAGCAGCTAACATTTCTTGAGAATTGGCTTGTGGAGGCTCACACTTTATACTGGTAATTTTTAAAAATGTTCTAAACAACCTTACAAGGCAAATGCAACTACTGTGCTTATTTGTAAGACACAAGTGATTCTGCTAAAGGTCATTTGGGTGGTTAAGTTGCAGAATGAAAATCTGTCAGAACTCAGAGCCTGTGCTCTTAATCACTGTAGTGATTCCATCCATATGTGAGGCAGAGGAAAACAGGAAGGAGATTGTGAAGAAGTCCCAGGAAGAAGAGGAGATAGAGATATTATTAATTATATTAATATAATTATATAATATTGCTATCTCCGCCTGGAACCTCATCCCTGGGACAGTTTTTCTCTGCCTAGGAACTTTTTTTTTTTTTTTTTTGAGACGGAGTCTCGCTCTGTCACCCAGGCTGGAGTGCAATGGTGCGATCTCGGCTCACTGCAAGCTCTGCCTCCCAGGTTCACACCATTTTCCTGCCTCAGCCTCCCGAGTAGCTGGGACTGCAGGTGCCTGCCACCACGCCTGGCTAATTTTTTTTGTATGTTTAGTAAAGACGGGTTTCACTGTGTTAGCCAGGATGGTCTTGATCTCCTGACTTCATGATCCTCCTGCCTTGGCCTCCCAAAGTGCTGGGATTACAGGCGTGAGCCACCGCGCCCGGCCATTCTCTGCCTAGGAGCTTCTTTTTGTTAAGAACTCGACTCAGATCTATCTTCTCCTCTAAGAAGCTTCCCCACATTCCCAGCTCCCCAGATCTCCAACCTTCTGGGATCCCACAGAAATGTGTTCAGATTTCTATTATAGCCCAGGTTATTTTATAATATGTTTGTTTTCATACCTTCTCCTTTTACTAAACTCAGAACTCCTTGAGGGCAAGCACTTCGATCGGTTATTCCTTGTGGTTCCCGTGCTCAGCTTAGCTCATCGTAGGTGCTCAGGAAAAGTGGGATTGAATGAAGTGAGCATCCATCCATCAAACATCACACCTTGAGCACCCTCTGTCTTATCAGGAACTGTGCTACACCCTAAGGAGTTATATGGTTAAAAAGATCAGGCTTCTGTCCTCTGGAAGTTTATAAACAAATTGAGGATGCGTTTGTATCTTTCAATTATATATTACAGAAACCCAACTCAAACTAGTTTAAGAAGTAAAAAAAGAATGTGGGTAGGGGGCAGAATTAATTTGCCCCAGGCATGTGATCAGGAGAAAGCTGGGCTCAATCTCTAATTCCAGAGGTGGATCCTCTTAGATCCCAATTAGTCTAAGTCAGTTATGGCTATCCAACTCCACTTACCAGTGAGTGTGTCAGGAAGCCGGGCTTAAGATTACCTCCAGCTTCAGGAATCACTGAATCTAAGATCCAAGGATTTCCAACAATATTATTCTCAAAATTACATCTCTTTCTATAACTTGCTCTTGTGTAGCTGCATTCTCAGGATTTTTTTTCCATGTGAAAGTACTTCACAGCTCCATGTTTGCATCCAATCACAGCAATTAGAGCTGCTTGTTCCAATCTTTCCAGCAAAAGTAATTCCCAATGGTTCATCTGCCCTTCACAGAACCCTTCACAGTGACTCTGATTTAAAAGTCCTAAGTCACATGCCTGCCTCTGGATTTTGAGGTGGGGTTAACCCCATCCAAATCATATCGACTAAAAGTGAGGGAACGTGGTCCCCCAGAGGAAAATCAAGTTGCTGTTACCAAAGTGGGAGATGATGCTGGGCAGGCAAAAACCAACATGTCCTCCATACAGGAGATGTCTTATACACTAATAATTATGGCAAGGCCAGGAGTGATGCCTTTCTTGAGAGCTTACAGTCAAAGATTAGATAGAATAAATGGATCATTTCAAGGACAGCTGTCCATGAACGCCTCTTAGGAGAAAGTCTATGAACTTGGTCTTCTGGATAGTAGAATTATGGTAGGTGAAGATGAAAAAGCCTTTCAGATAATGTGGAAAGGCATGAACAGAGGCAGAGAGGCAGGGATACTTTGGAGATTTTCCAAGTTTGGTGGGAAATTTTGGGAATTAAGGCTGGAACATTGGTCAGGGGCTAGACCCATAATCTAGTAATGTACTAACCCTTTATTCAGATGTCTTTCACATATAATCTCAGAAAGAGTATACTAATTTTGGTGGGGACCAAGAATAGGACAATTCTTCCCATGTTACCGATTGCGTGTTACCCAGTACAAGAGACACCTGCTGAGAGAGAGATCACAGTGCCCAGACAGAACAGCACGAGTACCCCAGTGTTCTGCCTTTCAGTCCAGGACTGTGCCCCTCCTCCCAACAAACTCCCTCTCCTCCACATAGAGAGAAAATGAAGTCTGGGGTTGGAAGTCACCAGGACAGCAGCTGTGGCTCAGCCCCATGGCCAGCCTGAAGGATCCTCTGGAGGAAGCTGTGGGAACTACCACCTAGGCAGAGAGCAGGTATCTGAGTTGCATAATGGCTAAGAGCAGACTCCAGAGTCAGACAGGCCGGGCATTTATCACCAGTTTCATGACACGATGTTACCTTGGACAAATCATGACTTTTCTGAGCCTTAGTTCCCTCATCTGTAGAACAAGGATGGTTAATAAGATCTGAATGAGGTAATGCATATTAAGAAGTTAGCACAATGTGGCGGGGCCTCGTGGCTCACGCCTATAATCCCACCACTTTGGGAGGCTGAGGCAGGAGGATCACTTGCGGTTAGGAGGATCACTTAAGGTCAGGAGCCTAGGCAACATGGTGAAACCCCGTCTCTACTGAAATACAAAAATTAGCTGGACATGGTGGTGCATGCCTGTAATCCCAGCTACTTGGGAGGCTGAAGCAGGAGAATTGCTTGAACCCAGGAGGAAGAGGTTGCAGTAAGCCAAGATCATGCCACTCCACTCCAGCCTGGGCAACAGAGTAAGGCTCTGTCTCAAAAAAAAAAAAAAAAAAAAAAGGAAGTTAGCACAATGTCTGTTACATAGGGTGTGCAATAAGTGGGATATTGAGGGCATTACAGTGTGGTACAGACCCTTGAGTCAGATTGACTTCCCAAGGTCAAATCCTGGTCCCATTTTAATTGTTCTATAATGTACTTTCCACACCTCCCCCCCCGTTCCCCCACATTTTAAACATCTCTGAAATCAGAATGCACCTCAGCATTGTAACATGGTTTAATTGTCAGTTATTATCTCTTAGAATATATGAGATAATAGCCTGTCTTTACACTTGATCTCTTATGTTGGGCAAATTACTTAATCTCTTGGTACCTCAGTTTCTTCAGTTGTAAAATAGGGATAATAATAGTGTCTACTTATAAAGTTGTGAAGACTAAATTAGACTTGCTTTGGAAATTTCTGGCACACAATAAGGGCTTAATAAATTCCATGTATTGGTATTGTTTTTATTATTATCATTTCAAACCAGGTAATGGGTGTGGTGGGACCTGCATGAGCTGAGCAGCTAGAAGCAGAAGAGGGGAAGGCTGGTATGGGAGGGGCAATGCTGGTTCTCAGGTCAAAAGGGGAGTGTGATGAACAGTAGCCAGGAAGCCAGACAAGTGTCCAATGCAGCACAAGGTTGATGAGGGCATATGGTTTTCAGGTGAAGACTGGGAACCATGTTAGGGTACCAAGCCTGGTTGCCCAGCGGGGATGGGTTGGTGGGTTAAAAGGGATAGCCAGGTTGGGCTAGTTGGTCTATATGTTCTCTTTGAAATTGCATGTTCTCTGACTGTAATAACTACTGTCTATTAAGTCTTTACTACATGCCAGGGCACTGTACTAATTGATAAGTACTGTCTCACAGAAATCTGTTATCAATCATATGAGTTAGGTGATTTTATTAGATCAATTTTATAAAAGCAACCAAGAAGGTTCAGGCCGGGCGTGGTGGCTCACACCTGTAATCCCAGCACCTTGGGAAGCTGAGGCAGGTGGATCACCTGAGGTCAGGAGTTCAAGACCAGCCTGACCAACATGGCGAAACCCTGTCTCTACTAAAATACAAAAATTAGCTAGGCGTGGTGGTGCATGCCTGTAATCGCAGCTACTGGGGAGGCTGAGGCAGGGAGAATTGCTTGAACTCAGGAGGTGGAGGTTGCAGTGAGCCAAGACTGTGCCATTGTACTTCAGCCTGGGCAACAGAGCGAGACTCAGTCTCAAAAAAACAAAAACAAACAAAAGAAACCGAGGCTCAAAGAGGTAAATTAACATGTTCAAAGTCACGTGGCTATTAAGTGGTAGAGCTGGAACTTGAATAGGGTTTTTTTGACTTTACATCTGGCACCTAAGCTCCTCTGCCACATTCTTGAACTCAGTTCTCCAGCATATCTCAGTGTATCCAGAAGCAATTTTTCTCCCTTTTTCCTTTCCCCCCTCCTCCCCCACCCCACAGGTCTCCACCTCCCAAGTCCACAAATGCCAAACTCACAAGTCATCTGTTTTGCCAAAATTCTGTTCCGATTTGATAAACCCTAGCTGGGCCAGCTCACTCAGCATGATTCAGCCGGAGAGAATAGCAAGGCTGCATGCCCGGCATGCCGACCAGCTGAGCTCAGGCAGGATGGGAGGCGCTCAGGAACCTCAGCCTGACAGATGGCTCCACTCGGCTGTCTCCACGGGCCTGATGCCAGGGGCAGCACTCGTTCTCAGCAGGAGGGAGGTCGTACGAGTTTCACATGCATGGATGTGTGTGTGTGTGTGTGTGTGTGTGTTTCACATGGACCATGCAGGAGTGAAGCTGTGTATTATCCAGAGTGCCCATGTGTATGTGGCCGGTTTGCACATGTTTGTCTGTATGCGTGTGGATGAATGCATGTGTGCATGTCTAGCTGTGTGTTTGTGTGTGTATTTGTGTGCATGCAGAAGTGTATGTGTGTGTGTTTGAGTTTCAAATTTGCATTCATGTAGGATGTGTGCTCATGAGCATGAAAGAGAAAGCTGGGGGTGGGAAGTAGGGGGAGAACGGTCGTGGGCTTTGAGAGTTGAGAATGTTGAATGTTCCCACCTGCAGTGGAGAGTTGCTGTATGCCCCTCCCTCCAGCTCTCTCTCCTCTTCACAGGACTGACTGACATCAGCAGCAGCAAAAGGTCATATCAAGCCCAATGTGAAGTTTAGGCTCTGGCTATGATTTAGGTTTCCCAAACCAACTCCTTGGCTACAGTTTTCTCCTAAGGTAGGGGTACTTAACTGTTTGTTAATCTAGGGTCCCCCTGAAAAATCTGGTGACCAGAATGAATCTTCCAGGAAAATGCCCTCAAAACACATAATTTTATATGCAATATTATGGAGTTCTAGGGGCCCTCCAAAGCCTATCCATGGACCTCAGGTTAGGAAACCAAGTATTATATAAACACTTATTGAATGGCTATGATACTGAGCCCTTGTTAGAGAGATAAGTACATAGAGGAAGAAGATGGCCACTGTTTAAAGAGTACACAGTCTAGCAGGAGGAATAGATGTAAATGCATAACTACAGGGCACTGTAACAAGTGCAGTAGTGGCTGGAGGAAAGAACTGGCAGAGCATGAGAGGAATGAGGGGAAGCACTTCTTGACGGGTTCAGGGAGGAACTCACTGAAGAAGGGGACACTTAAGATATATATTGAAAGATGAGAAGGAATTTATCAAACAGAGAAGATGCAGAAAGACTTGCCAGGCAGAAAGAACAGCACAAAGGCAGAGGGGATGCTGTATTTGGGGAATGATACACATGAGATCAGCCGGGAGCAAGGCTGAAAGAGAGTTTAGAGGTGGACTGTGAAGGGCCTTGTTCACACTAAGCTAAAGGTTTTGGCTTTTATCCTATAAGTAAAGGGGAACTATTGGAGCTCTTTAAACAAGAGAGTGACATGATTTAACTGATGTTTTGCAAAGACCACAATGCATCCGGCACTTATCCAGAGGTCAAATAAGTGGCTGTTGCAACAGTTCAATTGACAGAAAAAAATGTGAACAACAGGAATGTATGGGAAACTAGTATATAGGCTTAAAGAAAAGAGATATTTAGGAGATAAACTAGTAAAAAATTAGATGCCCTCATTAAATGTGTGGGGGTTAAAAAGAAGAAAGAAGGAAGAGTTGAGCATAGTTTCTGTGATTCTAGCTTGAGAAGTAAGGTAGATGATAGTGCCATGCACTGAGATGGAACCATGATGCAGTTTAGGTTCTTGGAGGAAGATGAGTTGTGTTTGAGACACAATGTGAGATGTCCAAGTAGAAATATACATCAAGCAATTGACTATATAGGTCTGGAGCACTGGGGAGAGAGATTTAGAAATGTCAATTTGTGAGTCACAAGCAGACAACTGAAGTCATGGGTAACAGATGAGATCACTAAGGGAGAATTTAGATATCCAGTGAGAAGAGAAGCAAGAAAGAAGTCAATATTTAAGGGGACATGGAGGAAGAGGAATTTTTGTAAAGAAGACTGTGAGAGGGAATTCTTAGGGGTTGAAAGGATTGAAATAAAATCAGGAGAGGTATCTCCTAGAAGCTAATAGTACACAATGTTTTGTTTTGTTTTGTTTTGTCTTGAAATGGAGTTTCACTCTTGTTGCCCAGGCTGGAGTGCAATGGCACGATCTTGGCTCACGGCAACCTCTGCCTCCTGGGTTCAAGCAATTCTCCTGCCTCAGCCTCCTGAGTAGCTGGGATTACAGGCATGCACCACCACACACGGGTAATTTTGTATTTTTAGTAGAGATGGGGTTTCTCCATGTTGGTCAGGCTGGTCTCAAACTCCTGACCTCAGGTGATCCGCCCAGCTCGCCCTCCCGAAGTGCTGGGATTTGAGGCATGAGCCACCGTGCCCGGCCTAGTGTACAAAATTTTAAGAATGAGGGAGTAATCATTAGTGTCAAAGGCTAAAAAGAGGCCAAGTAAGCAGAGGACTGATGTAAAAACCATACATAATCAAAAGACAGAAAGAAGACTGGAAGGAAATATAAAATACACAAAACATTAATCAGAGTTATCAGCATGAGGAATTATAGGAGTTTTTACATTTATCAGAGTTATTACTATTGGAGATTATAAGTGCTTTTATATTCTATTTTACAGTTGTTTATCTCAATGTTCCCAGTCCACTCCAGTGCATGTGGACCAAATTTGAACAATGAGAAAGAATACCTGGAGAAAATTTAGAAGGCTATTAGAAGACTTTCTTCCAGCCAAGAAAGAATAACAGGCACTGGATTTAACCTCCTGCCTAAAACAATTATAAAGCAATAGGCCAGGTGCAGTGGCTCACACCTGTAATCCAGCACTTGGGAGGCCAAGGCAGGTGGATCACCTGAGGTCAGGAGTTTGAGACCAGCCTGGCCAACGTGGAGAAACCCCCCTCTACTAAAAATACAAAATTAGCCAGGCGTGTTGGCACATGCCTGTAATCCCAGCAACTAGGGAGGCTGAGGCAGGGGAATCACTTGAACCCGGGAGGCAGAGGTTGAGGTGAGCAAGATAGCGCCACTGCACTCCAGCCTGGGTGACAGAGTGAGTCTCTGTCTCAAAAAAAAAAAAAAGAAAAAGAAAAAGAAGAAAAAAAACAATTATAAAGCAGACAAAATTATACATAACTGTTTCTGATAGTGCAGGACACTGATCCTTGAAAGAGAGAGAGAGAAAAAAATGAGTCCTAATACTGCACAAGCTTACTGTCTGCAGTTTCCAGGCTGTAGTGCATAAAAGAGTAACCTAGGCAGAGCTGGAAGATTCTCTGAGTTGAGGAGACAGCTGATTATTCAGGGAGGCCAAGATGGCTAGAATTCACAGGGCAGAGTATCAGGGGGAGAAATTTGCATAGAGAGAACTCTAGAGATCTGCAAAGGGTTCCCATTAAGTCTTCATCTGAGTACTAAAGACTGTATGCATATGAGGAAGCTACTAGAGGCTGGAGAAAGCACACTTCACAGAAACAGGTGGAATAATTCTTGGTGTTCACACAAGGTTGGAAATAGTTCATATTCCTAACAACCAGGGTGAATAAATCTCATAATACATTGAGCATGGGAAAAATACCCACAAGGATATTGCCTCATAAAGGAGCCAAATTACTCCTAGAATATACTGTGCTCCCAAAGTTTCAAAGCAACCTCAGAGGCATCAAACTGTTTCCAAGCAAGTTAACTGCATCCTGAAACAAAGCTCAAAACAATTAAGGAATAAAAAAGCCTAGCACCCAACAATGTAAAGCTTACAATATTGGCATTGACTCAAACTTACCAGACATGCAAAGAAGCAGGAAATTATGGTCCATAATGAGGAGAAAATCAATCAATAGAAGCAGGCCCATAATGACACAGATGATAGAAGATAAGAACAATAGAACAGATTTTATAAATACATTTCAGACGTTTAAGAAGACAGAGGAAAGCATAAGCATGTCGAGGAGAGAGAAGGAAGATGCACAAAAGGCCTAAATCAAACTTAAATAGATGAAAATTGCAATATTAAGATAAAAAATATAGAAGATGGAACTAATAGATTAGATGTTGCAGAAGAAATATTAGTAATTCGAAGACATAGCAATAGAAACTATCCAAAATAAAACATAGGAAAAAAGATGTAAAACAAGGAATGAGCATCAGTGAACTAAATAGTCCTTAATATATATGTAATTGGAAATCCTAAAGGAAAGGACAGGGAGAAGACAGAAGAAATACCTGAAGAAACAATAGCCCCAAATTTCCAAATTTAATAAAAATTGGAAACCCACAGATCCAAAAAGCTCCATGAATCCCAAGCAGAAGAAACATGTAGACAACACACTAAGGCACACCATAATCAATTTACTTAGAACCAGTGATAAAGAGAAAATCTTCAAACAGCTAGAGAAAAAAAGATGTTGCAGAGAGGAGCAAAATGACATGGGATGCTGGGGCAGGAGGATCACTTGAGTTCAGGGGTTTGGGGCTGCAGTGTGCTATGATCACACCTGTGAATAGCCACTGTATTCTAGCCTGGGCAACTAAGACCCCATCTCTGAAAAAACAAAAAAGATATCAGACTTCCCATCTGAAATTATGCAAGCCCAAAAAGAGTAATGTAACATTTTTAATGTGCTGAAAGAAAAAAACGCCAACCTAGAATTCCATACCTAACAAAAAATGTCTTTCAAAAATAAAGGGAATTGGCCAGGTGCTGTGACTCACACCTGTAATTCCAGCACTTTGGGAGGCCAAGGTGTGTAGATCACTTGAGGTCAGGAGTTCGAGACCAGCCTGCCGAACATGGTGAAACCCCGTCTCTACTAAAAATACAAAAATTAGCCGGGCATGGTGGCGTGCACCTGTAATCCCAGCTACTTGGGAGGCTGAGGCAGGAGAATCACTTGAACCTGGGAGGTGGAGGTTGCAGTAAGCCGAGATCATGCCACTGCACTCCAGTCTGGGTGACAGAGTGAGACTCCATTTTGGAAAAATAAGTAAGTAAATAAATAAATAAATAAAGGCAATCAAACTTACTATGAAGTCACAGTAATCAAGAGAGTGGTAGTGGCAGAAAGATATGCATATAGGTTAATGGAACATAATTAATAGTCCAGATATAAAACCTTACATTTATGGTCACTTGATTTAAACAAAGGAGCAAGGACAACTCAATGAGGGAAAGAATAGTCTTTTCAACTAATGGTGCTGGGAAAATTAAATATCCATGCACAAAAAAGTGAACTCAAACCCTTACCTTACACCATATACAAAAATTAATTCAAAATGGATTATAGACTTAGACATTGGAGCTAACACTATAAGACATCTATAAGAAAACATAGGAGAAAAAAAATCATGACCTTTGGTTGAGCAAAGAACTTTTAGACATGACACTAAACGTACAAGCCATAAAATAAAATTTTGATAAATTGGACTTTATCAAAATAAAAAACTTTTGCATTCAAAAGATACCATTAAGAAGATGAAAACAGAAGCCATAGGTTGGGATAAAGAACTTGTACCCAGAATTTATAAAAATCTTTTACAACTCAATAACAAAAAAGAAAAATAACTCAATTTTTAAATGGTCAAAAATTTTGAGGAGACGCTTTACCAAAGAAGGAAAACAGATGGCTAATGAGCATGTGAAGAGATGCTCAACATCTTTGTCAATAACATGCAAATTAAAATCACAATGCAATGCCACCATACCAGAAGGGCAATAATAAAAAAGATAATCCAGGCATGCACCTGCAGTCCTAGCTACTCAGGAGGCTGAGGCAGGAGGATTGCATGAACTTAGAAATTCAAGGCCAATCTGAGCAACGCTGTGAGACTCCACCTCTTAAAAAAAAAAAAAAAGATATACCTTAAAAAAAAACCTAAAATATCCAATACCAAATGTTTGTGAGAATGTGGAGAAATTGGAACCCCCATGCATTGCTCGTGAGAATGTAAACCAGTATAACTGATTTGGAAAACAGTTTGTCAGTTCCTCAAAAAGACAAGCACAGGCCTGACACAGTGGCTCAGTCCTATAATCCCAGCACTTTGGGAGGCCATGGCAGGAGGATCACTTGAGGCCAGGAGTTTGAGACCAGGCTGGGCAACATACTGAGACCTTGTCTCTATTTAAAAAAAAAAAAAAAGTAGGCACAAACTCAGCAGTACAACCCAGCAATTCAATTTCTATAAACCTAACCAAAATAAATGAAAACATATATCTACCTTATGGCATATATGCAAATGTTCATAGCAGTATTATTCATAATAGCCCCTCACAAAAACAGAAACAAACTAAATGTTCATCAGGTGGTGAATGGATAAACCTAATGTAGTATATCTATAAATGGAATATTATTCAGTAATTAAAAGGAATAAACTACTGATACATACCACAATATTGGTGAACCTTGAAACATGATGCTGAGTGAAAGAAGCTAGAAGCAAAAAAATTACATGTATGATTCTATTTATATAAAATCCATAGGCAAAAACAAATTTAAAGAGACAGAAAGCAGGTTAACTGGTTGCTTGGGTTGGGGTAGAAGTGAAGATTAATTATTATATGCACATCGGGAAACTTTTTGGGTGGTGGAAAACTTGTTGGGTGGATTGTGATGATAGTCACACAACTCTATTAATTTACTAAATGACTGAATTTATAAATTTATAATTGGTAAATTTTACAGTATGTAAATTATACCGCAATGCAGCTGCTTAACAGAAAACAAAGAAGAAATAAAGACTTTGAGACATATTTTTAAAACAGAAAAAATTTATCACCAGCAAAACACCACTGCAAGAAAAGTTCAAGGAAATACTCCAATCAAAAGGAAAATCATGCCAAATAGAAATCTAGATCTATGCAAAGGAGCAAAGCACTAGAGATAAAAATATATGGGTGTACTATCTATTGCTGTATAATAAATTATTCTAAACTTTGATGGCTTAAAATGACAAATGTATTATCTCATATGGGTCAGTCTTGGGAGACAATTCTCCATGGAATTTCTGCATATCTTGTATCATCTTTGTTCTAAACTATCTTTTTTTTTTTTTTTTGATGAAGTCTTGCATTGTCACCTGGTCTGGAGTGCAGTGGCACGATCTTGGCTCACTGCAACCTCCACCTCCCAGGTTCAAGCAATTCTCCTGCCTCAGCTTCCTGAGTAGCTTGGATTACAGGTGCCCGCAATCATACCCAGCTAATTCTTTGTATTTTTAGTAGAGATGGGGTTTCACCATGTTGGCTAGGCTAGTCTCGAACTCCTGACCTCGTGATTTGCCCACTCAGCCTCCCAAAGTGCTGGGATTACAGGCATGAGCCACTGCACCCAGTCTAAGCTATCTTTTAAAGGATATTTGTACGGTCTGGAGTGCACCTCCAGCAAACTCCAACAGACCTGCAGCTGAGGGTCCTGATTGTTAGAAGGAAAACTAACAAACAGAAAGGACATCCACACCAAAACCCCATCTGTACATCACCATCATCAAAGACCAAAGGTAGATAAAACCACAAAGATGGGGAGAAACCAGAGCAGAAAAGCTGAAAATTCTAAAAATCAGAGCGCCTCTTCTCCTCCAAAGGAATGCAGCTCCTTGCCAGCAATGGAACAAAGCTGGACAGAGAATGACTGATGAGTTGAGAGAAGAAGGCTTCAGACGATTGGTAATAACAAACTTCTCCGAGCTAAAGGAGTATGTTCGAACCCATCGCAAAGAAGCTAAAAACCTTGAAAAAAGATTAGACGAATGTCTAACTAGAATAAACAGCACAGAGAAGACCTTAGATGACCTGATGGAGCTGAACACCATGGCACGAGAACTGCGTGACACATGCACAAGCTTCAGTAGCCGATTCGAACGAGTGGAAGAAAGGGTATCAGTGACTGAAGATCAAGTGAATGAAATGAAGCGAGAAGAGAAGTTTAGAGGAAAAAGAGTAAAAAGAAACGAACAAAGCCTCCAAGAAATATGGGACTATGTGAAAAGACCAAATCCACGTGTTATTGGTGTACCTGAAAGTGACAGGGAGAATGGAACCAAGTTGAAAACACTCTTCAGCATATTATCCAGGAGAACTTCCCCAACCTAGCAAGGCAGGCTAACATTCAAATGCAGGAAATGCAGAGAATGCCACAAAGATACTCCTTGAGAAGAGCAACTCCAAGACATATAATTGTCAGATTCATCAAAGTTGAAATGAAGGAAAAAATGTTAAGGGCAGCCAGAGAGAAAGGTCGGGTTAACCACAAAGGGAAGCCCATCAAACTAACAGTGGATCTCTTGGCAGAAACTCTACAAGCCAGAAGAGAGTGGGGGCCAATATTCAACATTCTTAAAGAAAATAATTTTCAACCCAGAATTTCATATCCAGCCAAACTAAGCTTCATAAGTGAAGGAGAAATAAAATCCTTTACAGACAAACAAATGCTGAGAGATTTTGTCACCACCAGGCCTGCCTTACAAGAGCTCCTGAAGGAAGCACTAAACATGGAAAGGAACAACCGGTACCAGCCACTGCAAAAATATGCCAAATTGTGAAGACCATCGATGCTAGGAAGAAACTGCATCAACTAACGAGCAAAATAACCAGCTAACATCATAATGACAGGATCAAATTCATACATAACAATATTAACCTTAAATGTAAATGGGCTAAATGTTCCAATTAAAAGATACAGACTGGCAAATTGGATAAAGAGTCAAGACCCAGCAGTATGCTGTATTCAGGAGACCCATCTCACATGCAGAGACACACATAGGCTCAAAATAAAGGGATGGAGGAAGATCTACCAAGCAAATGGAAAGCAACAAAAAAAGCAGGGGTTGCAATCCTAGTCTCTGATAAAACAGACTTTAAACCAACAAAGATCAAAAGAGACAAAGAAGGCCATTACATAATGGTAAAGGGATCAATTCAACAAGAAGAGCTAACTATCCTAAATATATATGCACCCAATACAGGAGCACCCAGATTCAGAAAGCAAGTCCTTAGAGACCTACAAAGAGACTTAGACTCCCACACATAAAAATGGGAGACTTTAACATTCCACTGTCAACATTAGACAGATCAACAAGATAGAAAGTTAACAAGGATATCCAGGAATTGAACTCAGCTCTGCACCAAGTGGACCTAGTAGACATCTAAAGAACTCTCCACCCCAAATCCACAGAATATACATTCTTCTCAGCACCACATCACACTTATTCCAAAATTGACCACATAGTTGGAAGTAAAGCACTTCTCAGCAAATGTGAAAGAATAGAAATTATAACAAACTGTCTCTCAGACCACAGTGCAATCAAACTAGAACTCAGGATTAAGAAACTCACTCAAAACTGCTCAACTACATGGAAACTGAGCAACCTGCTCCTGAATGACTACTGGGTACATAATGCAACGAAGGCAAAAATAAAGATGTTCTTTGAAACCAATGAGAACAAAGACACACATACCAGAATCTCTGGGACACCTTTAAAGCAGTGTGTAGAGGGAAATATATAGCACTAAATGCCCACAAGACAAAGAAGGAAAGATCCAAAATTGACACCCTAACATCACAATTAAAAGAACTAGAGAAGCAAGAGCAAACACATTCAAAAGCTAGCAGAAAGCAAGAAATAACTAAGATCAGAGCAGAACTGAAGGAGATAGAGACATAAAAAACCTTTCAAAAAATCAATGAATCCAGGAGCTGGTGTTTTGAAAAGATCAACAAAACTGATAGACCGCTAGCAAGACTAACAAAGAAGAAAAGAGAGAAGACGCGAATAGATGCAATAAAAAATGATAAAGGGGATATCACCACCGATCCCACGGAAATACAAACTACCATCAGAGAATACTATAAACACCTTTATGCAAATAAACTAGAAATTCTAGAAGAAATGGATAAATTCCTGGACACATACACCCTCCCAAGACTAAAACAGGAAGAAGTTGAATCCCTGAATAGACCAATAACAGGCTCTGAAATTGAGGCAATAATTAATAGCCTACCAACCAAAAAAAGTCCAGGACCAGACGGATTCATAGCCAAATTCTACCACAGGTACAAAGAGGAGCTGGTACCGTTCCTTCTGAAACTATTCCAATCAATAGAAAAAGAGGGAATCCTCCCTAACTCATTTTATGAGGCCAGCATCATCCTGATACCAAAGTCTGGCAGAGAAACAACAAAAAAAGAGAATTTTAGATCAATATCCCTGATGAACATCGATGCAAAAATCCTCAATAAAATACTGGCAAACCGAATCCAGCAGCACATCAAAAAGCTTATCCACCACGATCAAGTTGGCTTCATCCCTGGGATGCAAGGGTGGTTCAACATATGCAAATCAATCTACGTAATCCATCATATAAGCAGAACCACTGACAAAAACCACGATTATCTCAATAGATGCAGAAAAGGCCTTCAACAAAATTCAACAGCCCTTCATGCTAAAAACTCTCAATAAGCTAGGTATTGATGGGACGTATCTCAAAATAATAAGAGCTATTTATGACAAACCCACAGCCAATATCATACTGAATGGGCAAAAAACTGGATGCATTCCCTTGGAAAACTGGCACAAGACAGGGATGCCCTCTCTCACCACTCCTATTCAACATAGTGTTGGAAGTTCTGGCCAGGGCAATCAGGCAGGAGAAGGAAATAAAGGGCATTCAACTAAGAAAAGAGGAAGTCAAATTGTCCCTGTTTGCAGATGACATGATTGTCTATCTAGAAAACCCCATCGTCTCAGCCCCAAATCTCCTTAAGCTGATAAGCAACTTCAGCAAAGTCTCAGGATACAAAATCAATGTGCAAACATCACAAGCATTCCTATACACCATTAACAGACAGAGAGCCAAATCATGAGTGAACTCCCATTCACAATTGCTTCAAAGAGAATAAAATACCTAGCAATCCAACTTACAAGGGATGTGAAGGACCTCTTCAAGGAGAACTACAAACCACTGCTGAATGAAATAAAAGAGGACACAAACAAATGGAAGAACATTCCATGCTCATGGATAGGAAGAATCAATATCATGAAAATGGCCATGCTGCCCAAGGTAATTTATAGATTCAATGCCATCCCCATCAAGCTACCAATGACTTTCTTCACAGAATTGGAAAAAACTACTTTAAAGTTCATATGGAACCAAAAAAGAGCCCACATTGCCAACACAATCCTAAGCCAAAAGAACAAAGCTGGAGGCATCACGCTACCTGACTTCAAACTATACTACAAGGCTACAGTAACCAAAACAGCATGGTACTCGTACCAAAACAGAGATATAGATCAATGGAACAGAACAGAGCCTTCAGAAATAATACCACACATCTACAACCATATGATCTTTGACAAACCTGACAAAAACAAGCAATCGGGAAAGGATTCCCTATTTAATAGATGGTGCTGGGAAAACTGGCTAGCCATATGTAGAAAGCTGAAACTGGATCCCTTCCTTATGCCTTATACAAAAATTAATTCAAGATGGATTAAAGACTTAAATGTTAGACCTAAAATCATAAAAACCCTACAAGAAAACCTAGGCAATACCATTCAGGACACAGGCATGGGCAAGGACTTCATGACTAAAACACCAAAAGCAATGGTAACAAAAGCCAAAATTGACAAATGGGACTAATTAAACTAAAGAGCTTCTACACAGCAAAAGAAACTACCATCAGAGTGAACAGGCAACCTATAGAATGAGAGAATATTTTTACAATCTACCCATCTGACAAAGGGCTAATATCCAGCATCTACAAAGAACTTAAACAAATGTACAAGAAAAAATAAAACAACCCTATCAAAAAGTGGGCAAAGGATATGAACAGACACTTCTCAAAAGAAGACATTTGTGCAGCCAACAGATACATGAAAAAATGCTCATCATCACTGGCCATCAGAGAAATGTAAATCAAAACCACAATGAGATACCATCTCACACCAGTTAGAATGGCGATCATTAAAAATTCAGGAAACAACAGGTGCTGGAGAGGATTTGGAGAAATAGGAACACTTTCACACTGTTGGTCGGACTGTAAACTATTTCAACCATTGTGGAAGTCAGTGTGGTGATTCCTCAAGGATCTAGAACTAGAAATACCATTTGACCCAGCCATCTCATTACTGGGTATATACCCAAAGGATTATAAATCATGCTGCTATAAAGACACATGCACACGTATGTTTATTGCGGCCCTATTCCCAATAGCAAAGACTTGGAACCAACCCAAATGCCATCAATGATAGACTGGATTAAGAAAATGTGGCACATATACACCATGGAATACTATGCAGCCACAAAAATGGATGAGTTCATGTCCTTTGTAGGGACATGGATGAAGCTGGAAACCATCATTCTGAGCAAACTATCACAAGGACAGAAAATCAAACACCACATGTTCTCACTCATAGGTGGGAATTGAACAATGAGAACACTTGGACACAGGGTGGGGAACATCACACACCAGGGCCTGCCATGAGGTTGGGGGGAGGGGGGAAGGGATAGCATTAGGAGATATACCTAATGTAAATGACAAGTTCTTGGGTGCAGTACACCAA